>NC_000008.11:62802265-63427265 GCF_000001405.40 Homo sapiens | reverse complement strand
ACAGGCCCAAGGGCTTCCCAGGGTAGCCTGAATTCCATAACTCATTGACATGGAATCTATAAAGACGCAGCCACACCCATCTTGTGGCAACTCCAAAGAGTAATCCCAAATACTCTTCTAATCTCCTTTTTGGTGATTGGTACCCAGACATAAACCTGCAAGCTATCTTCTAGGCCTTCCTCTCCCAACCCCCAATAGTCAATGAGTGATTTCCATGCCCCAAACCCTATACCAAGTGCTTTGCCCTCATAGCCTCCTTTACGCTTCCCCACTGCCCTCTGAGACAGTGACTGATATTATTTCCACTTTATAGATAAGGGCAACCCAATTTGGAGATATGGAGTAAGTTTTCAAAGTCACACAGCTAGTAAGTGAAGAAAACATTAACTTCTTTTTTTACTATTATTATACTTTAAGCTCTGGGGTACATGTGCAGAATGTGGAGATTTGTTACATAGGCATACATGTGCCATGGTGGTTTGCTGCACCCATCAACCCGTCATCTACATTAGGTATTTCTCCTAATGCTATCCCTCCCCTAGACTCCCAAACCCTGACAGGCCCCAGGTGTGATGTTCCCCTCCCTGTGTCCATGTGTTCTTGTTGTTCACCTCTCACTTATGAGTGAGAACATGCAGTGTTTGGTTTTCTGTTCTTGTGGTAGTTTGCTGAGAATGATGGTTTCCAGCTTCATCCATGTCCCTGCAAAGGACATGAACTCATCCTTTTTTATGGCTGCATAGTATTCCTTAGTGCATATGTGCCACATTTTCTTTATCCAGTCTATCATTGATGGGCATTTGGGTTGGAAACAAGTCTCTGCAATTGTGAACAGTGCTGCAGTAAGCATACATGTGCATGTGTCTTTATAGTAGAATGATTTATAATCCTGTGGGTATATACCCAATAATGGGACAGCTGGGTCAAATTGTATTTCTGGTTCTAGATCCTTGAGGAATTGCCACACTGTCTTCCACAATGGTTGAACTAATTTACACTCCCACCAACAGTGTAGAAGCATTCCTATTTCTCCACATCCTCTCCAGCATCTGTTGTTTCCTGACTTTTTAATGATTGCCATTCTAACCAGCGTGAGATGGAAGGTCATTGAGATTTTGATTTGCATTTCTTTAATGACCAGTGATGATGAGCATTTTTTCATATGTTTTTTGGCTGCATAAATGTCTTCTTTTGAGAAGTGTCTGTTTATATCCTTTGTCCACTTTTTGATGGGGTTGTTTGTTTTTTTCTACCAAATTTGTTTAATTTGAATAAATTTTCTCCCATTCTGTAGGTTGCCTGTTCACTCTGATGATAGTTTCTTTTGCTGTGCAGAAGCTCTTTAGTTTAATTAGATCCCATTTGTCAATTTTGGCTTTTGTTGTCACTGCTTTTGGTGTTTTAGTCAGGAAGTCTTTGCTCATGCCTATGTCCTGAATGGTATTGCCTAGGTCTTTGTCTAGGGATTTTATGATTTTACGTCTTATGTTTAAGTCTTTAATCCATCTTGAGTTAATTTTTGTATAAGGTATAAGGAAGGGATCCAGTTTCAGCTTTCTGCATATGGCTAGCCAGTTTTCCCAACACAATTTATTAAATAGGAAGTGCTTTCCCCATTGCTTGTTTTTGTCAGGTTTGTCAAAGATCAGATGGTTGTAGATGTGTGGTGTTATTTCTGAGACCTCTATTCTGCTCCATTGGTCTATATATCTGTTTTGGTACCAGTACCATGCTGTTTTGGTTACTATAGCCTTGTAGTATAGTTTGAAGTCAGGTAGCATGATGCCTCCAGCTTTGTTCTTTTTGCTTAGGATTGTCTTGGCTATGTGGGCTCTTTTTTGGTTCCATATGAACTTTAAAGTAGTTTTTTCCAATTCTGTGAAGAAAGTCATTGGTTGCTTGATGGAAATAGCATTGAATCTATAAATTACTTTAAGCAGTATGGCCATTTTCACAATATTGACTCTTCCTATCCATAAGCATGGAATATTTTTCCATTTCTTTGTGTCCTCTCTTATTTCGTTGAGCTGTGGTTTGTAGTTCTCCTTGAAGAGTTCCTTCACATCCCTTGTAAGTTGGATTCCTAGGTGTTTTATTCTCTTTGTAGCAATAGCGAATGGGAGTTCACTCATGATTTGGCTCTCTGTTTGTCTGTTATTGGTGTATAGGAATGCTTGTGATTTTTGCGTGCTGATTTTGTATCCTGAGACTTTGCTGAAGTTGCTTATCAGTTTAAGGAGATTTTGGGCTGAAATGATGGGGTTTTCGAAATATACAATCATGTCATCTGCAAACAGAGAAAATTTGACTTCCTCTTTTCCTAATTAAATACGCTGTATGAGGTGTCTGTCAGCCCCTACTGGGAGGTGTCTTCCAGTCAGGACACACGGGGGTCAGGGACCCAACTGAGGAGGCAGCCTGTCCCTTATCAGAGCTTGAACACTGTGCTGGGAGACCCACTGCTCTCTTAAGAGCTGTCCGGCAGGGACATTTAAGTCTGCTGAAGCTGCGCCCACAGCTGCACTCTTCCCTCAGGTGCTCTGTCCCAGGGAGATGGGGGTTTTATCTATAAGTCCCTGACTGGGGCTGCTATCTTTTTTTCAGAGATGCCCTGCCTAGAGAGGCAGTCTGGCCGCAGTGGCCTTGCTGAGCTGTCGTGGGTTCTACCCAGTTCGAACTTCTCCCCGGCTTTGTTTACACTGGAAGGGTAAGACTGCCTACTCAAGCCTCAGCAATAGCAGACACCCCTCCCCCCACCAAGCTTGAGTGCCCCAGGTCAACCTCAGACTGCTGTGCTAGCAGTGAGAACTTCAAGCCAGTGGATCTCAGCTTGCTGGGCACCATGGGGGTAGGACCTCCAAGCCAGTCACCGGCGGGAATCTTCTGGTCTGCTGGTTATGAAGACCATGGGAAAAGCACAGTATCTGGGCCAAAGTGTACTGTTCCTCCTGGTACAGTCTCTCACAGCTTCCCTTGGCTAGGAACAGGAAATCTCCGACCCTCTGTGCTTCCCAGGTGAGGTGACGCCCCACCCTGCTTCAGCTCACCCTCCGTGGGCTGTACCCACCTTCCAACCAGTCCCAGTGAGATGAACTTGGTACCTCAGTTGGAAATGCAGAAATCACCCACCTTCTGCGTCAATCTCGCTGGGAGCTGCACACCAGAGTTGTTCTTATTTGGCCATCTTGCCAGCAAGAAGCAGAAAACATTAACTTCCGTCTGCTCTAGAATCCCTACTCGGCCAATTCCCCGTATGGTATCTCCCCTTATTTGTTGTTCGACTTTCCTTGGTTTCAGTTACCTATGGTCAAATGCCATCCAAAAATATTAAATAGAAAATTCTAGAAATAAACAATTCATAAGTTTTAAATTGTGTACTATATGAGCACCATGATGAAATCTCATGCCATCTCATTTTATCCTGCCTGGGACATGAATCAGCTCTTTGTACAACATCTCCATATTGTAGACCCTATCTGCCCATTAGTCATTTATAGTTCATCTCTGTTATCAGATTGAGCAAACATAGTATATATAGGGTTCAGTACCAAGCACAGCTGCAGGCATTTACTCGGGGTCTTGGAACATAGCCCCCACAAATAAGGGAGGACTACGGTACTTTTTTGCATCAGAAAAGCCAACATGTCCCTATTTTTTAATTGGGCAACCTCACCCAGTTATTTTTAGAGAGTAATATTAATTATCCAAAGACAATTTTTTAAAAAAATTTCCTGCTTGCCACAAGGAACAGAGAGGTTCATTCAAGTTACCTCATGCATAGTTAACCTGGTATTTATGCTAACTAGCAATGGAAACAGGGATCTCTCAGTATCTAGAAACAGACATGCAGACAGGCCTCTTGGGGAGGGAATCCAATTTAGGGACAAAATGGATGATTTTGATCCAACAACTCCAAAAGCCAGCTTATCTCAGTGCTTTCCAGCTGTACTTTGTTATGTTCACTGCACTGATGTTCATCAGTTGGCATGGCTCAGCTCTCTCTCTGTCTTTTATTCTTCCTGGGTATATCTTTCCACGTGTACTCGTACTACTGATTCCCTCTCCTCTAGATCAAATTCCTGAGGGTGATTGCCTGCCCTTGGGGAAGTTCCGGTTCAATAAAATTTGGGTAGGATTAAGGGGATAGAGGGAACTGGACACTGTGGGTACAGGAAATAGCCAGAAATGCCCAAAGACCACCTGGGAAAAGAGCCTTCAGCAGATGATGGAGAGTAGGAGGAAGGCTGAGGACAAGGCAGGCCTTTTGAAATTTGCCCCCATGGAAGATACATCAGGGACCGAGCTCATAGTGAGCTCTTTACCACTAGAGTAATACTTTCCCTCACCTATTACAAGAAATTACTTATTTCTCTTTTTTCTATCCTTACTGGTTGCTGCAGTTTCAAAGCATGATGTAGATAGGGCAGGACTTCAAATGTGTTTCTTATGTAGGCTTAGAAATATGACTGCTGAAAGGAGCCATGGAGTTGCAAACTCTAGGATTGGCCTCTGTGGGAAATATGACATTAGGAAACAGTCTGCTTTCTTTACAGATTGCACTAAATATAATCAATATTAGAGGAATTATATGATCTGGTCGTTTTTTTAGAAGGATAATCACAACAGTGGGGGTAATGAGATGTTGAAGGGAAAGGGATGAAAGAGCAGTTAAGATGCCTTGCAATCATTTAGATGAGAGAAGGTGAGGGTCTTACCTAAAAAAAAAAAAGACAATGTAAATGGAGAGAAGCACAATGCTGAGGTATTTATGGTCGGGAAAAATTAAGGTGCTGATGAAAATGAGACTATGAAGTGAGGTGGAGTGGGTGGCAGGAGTAAGATAAGATTGGTGAATTTAGAGATTTGAGCAGCTTTAGTTAAGGCAGGAAGTACAAGTGGAGCAGAGGATGGATGTTTTTGTGGGGAAAGGATTATGTATGACACATTTGATTTTGAACACATTGCATTTTAGTTTTCTTCAAGTGATTCATGTGGAACTTTCCAGAAGGAAGTGAAAATCTGTATCTGGAGCTTAGAATACAGGTTGGAACTCGTCATATACATTTGGCAACATGTGGTCTATTCTAGCCTTTCCACTTTGAATATTACTTTCAATAAAGCAAGCAAGCCAATGAGAATGTGCATGTCTGTCTTTCTGTGATCATCTCTCTCTAATATAGAGGTTATCTCCTTTCTCTTAATTCTTAAAACATGCTGAATTGCTGAGGAAACAGAAAAGCCAATCCCAAAAGATTACACACTAAATGATTTCATTTGTGTGACATTTTTGAAAAGACAGGAAAATACAAAATTTTGGCAATGGAGAAGAGATGAATGGCTTCCCGGGCCTCTTAAGAGGGCACTGAAGGGAAGTGGTAATGGTGGTGAGAGGGCAAAATGGAGGAATTCCTTGGTGATAGAACTGTTGGGCACCTTGACTGCGGTGGTGACCCCAGGAACCTTCATATGTGATAAAATTGTATATAACTAAACACACGCACATTAATACAAGAAAAATTGGAAAAATCAAAATGAAGATTGTTGGGTTATATCAATGTTTTTTTCCTGGTTGTGATATTATAATATAGCTTTCAAGATGTTACCTATCATTAGAGGAATTTCAGTAAAGGGTATACTGGATCTCTATTATTTCTTACAACTGCATGTGAATCTAAAATTATCTCAAAATAAGTTTAATTTTTTTAATATTGAGGCAAAATAATTTTTAGGGAAAAAAGTGTGTTTTCTCCCATGTGTTTTCTCCTTACCATTTCTCAGTTTACTTCCTTGATTCAGGCAAGGTTTGTGGGTAGCTTGTGTAGACAATAGGGTTTGAAGAGAAAGGAATATCCCCCAAGTCTAAGAACAATTTTCCCTCATTGGGATAGAGTGGGGTGAGAGAAGTTGAGAAAAAAAGAGAGAGAGAGAGAGAGATTGAAGAGTCCTTAGAGGGCATGAGACAACTGGGACAGAAATGCTTCAGCAAAGGTTCTTGTTACTATGACACATTGCTTGAGGAACCAGGAGTTAAATGAACCAGGATCATGAGCCGTGGTCCACAAACTATCTGACCTTCTCAAAGGTGAGCACAACCCAGCCTTATCCTATGCCAGCTCTCCTAAGCACCTGTGGCCAATGAAGGGCATCCCTTGGTCAGCAGCCAGCACTATTACCAAGCAAAAGGGTTCACTGCCTGATGCACATAGAAACCAATACTATGGTACCGGTTTCTGAGAAAATAAAGGCCTTATTGTGAGATTGACCAGCAAGGAAACAGGAGGTGATGCTCAAATACATCTCTCTTATCTAGGGTTTGGGGCAAGTTGTATGGGTTAGGGAAGTTTTATGGGTTAACCTGTACAGGTTGCTATACAGATGCACTGGCAGAGCAGGTTTTGATTACAAGAACTTCAAAGACTATTTATGGTAAGGTATGGGGAGGGTTCTACTCACCAGACATTCCTACAAAACAGAGCCCTTGCTTTTAAAAGAGGTCAAAGTTTCCTGTCCATACTCTTACTGTTAAATTTACAACTTTTTAGCTCTGTGCTTGCAAAATAACTGGGCATTCTGTTATCAACAGAATATGACCAGATAAGACAGATCCGGTGGTTATAGCACCTTATCCAGTGACTATACAAAGTAATACTTATCCATAACTTGATATTTTCTTGTCCCTGTCCAAATTACCACCACAAAATTCCAGCATATTTATAAACCCAAATAAAAGAGATGAAGCCTGTAAGTCTAGTGAATGGTGCTCCTTGAAGGAGATGTTCTTCCGCCTATAATATTTAGGAAATGATGCTAAACAGGGTCAGCTTGCGAGCCAACTTTCCCACCCTCCTTGAACTGCTTCAGCCCAGCTTTAGTTCCTTTCTGTTTCTCAAGCAGTCATCTTATGCCTGTGAAAATTCTAGATTTTAGTTTTCCTATCATCTTTTATGCCTTTTTGATATTGAAGTCTAATATTAAAGCAATATTAGTGGATTTCTTACAAAACTAGACCTCAGCAGACAGCATTTCATGCAGCTACATTGATGTCTTTTTATATCTCTACATTTTCAAGTACATTGGGGCTATATTTTGTTTTCTGAATTTCTATGTTTGGAGCCTTCTACCTATCTTAAGCCACATTCTCCCCCATAAACACCTGCCAATCAGCTATACTTTTCTTCGATTTTGTTTTGATTTGGGTTTTTTCAACAAAAATCTATATGTCTGATTATTCTGGGAATTATCTTATATCTTTCTTATTATGAAATCTGAGATGTCTTCCATTACTTCTGCATCACCAGTGAGTTCTTCCTTACTAGTAAGAATTAGCTTCAATGTTCTACATATTACAACTTCTCTCTTCTTGGAGAACAAAGTCTCATCAAGGCAATTGAAGCATTTATCAAAGCCCTGCTTTTAGCAAAATAAGGCTTCCAGCAGATGTCTGGATAGTTCAAGTTTCCTATCACAACCAGATCATATTCCTGCACCTGTTTTATAATCTGTATGAGGAATGCATCCTTCCCTCCTCTCACTGTCCAGTCATCCACAGTAGTGACATCACATCTGTTTCCTTCTCAATTTACCCTCAACCAGATGTTCTTAACTGTGTTTCCAAAATCAGTTCATTAACTTTTTCTGGAAGAAACTTCTTAGAGACAGCAATACTTTCCAATTATTTCTATTAGGTGTTATTTCTTTTGTCCATGTTTAATGTCACTTTCATTGCCTTTTATGGTATTGGTGATTTTTATTAGCACATGTGTATCCATTTGTGGTAAATTCTTCATTTATTTCATTACTCCATGAAATAGTGTGTAGGTGCCTGTAATCGTAGGTGGTAATCGTGACCTTCCTGTCTGTTTCACACCCTGAAAGTAATTAAGTTCTTTCTCATCTAAAAGGGAAAGCAATCTCACAACAGTAATTCTTGATGATATCAAAACTGTATCAAGTTCTCTGTGGAAATTTTTCTTCTTTACCCTCAATTTTTACCTTTCAGAGACCTTTTCTAACAGGTCAGTGAGACTCTTGTTAAATATGTTCTTGTCTGCAAATTGCCCAATGAGTCATTATGGACTGAGTTATAAATACTAAGAAAAATCATTCTCATGTGAATCATTGTTCAACTTGTTTGGCAGTGAGGATGCAAATTTAAATGAAAGAGAAAATTCTCCCATTGCTCTTTGTGGCTCTAAGCAACTAATTCTGACAGGACAAACTGCATTATGTGGGTGAGGCAGAATTTTTAAATAAAAATGTTTTCATTGTTTTTAGTTCTTCTCCCCCTTTTTTTTCATTTTGAGACATGCTTTATGAGATGAGTAACAGCACTGTACAAGCTTCTCACAGATGTCAATGATCCAAAATAATATTTTTTTAGTGTAATCTCTATGCTTAGCTTCCTCATATTACTGCAAAAGATACCCCTCCACTCCAAAACGTCTAGTTTAATGACGGCTTCCAGAACACAGGGTGATTAGTAGAGTTTTGTTTTGGTTATTTATATGCTTGTTTTAAACAATGTTAAACAAAAAAAGATCTCTTCTGTTAGTATTGAGTCCCATTACAAATATTTCTTTCAATCCTATGATACAGCAATAGGGGTGGCCGTTCTAAAATGAGAATGTTGCTGATATCCAGATACAGAACTGTTTCCAGAAAGG
Organism: Homo sapiens; assembly: GCF_000001405.40. Taxonomy (NCBI): domain Eukaryota; kingdom Metazoa; phylum Chordata; class Mammalia; order Primates; family Hominidae; genus Homo; species Homo sapiens. Next base: position 63,418,602 of record NC_000008.11, on the reverse strand, counting down.
AGAGTCCCCCTGGTGGCCAATTTTTTCCTAAGAAAATTCCTGGTAACAACTACATGACAGGGAAGTTAGAAGCTCAAATAAACCAAGCCTAAGGTGGCCAGTGCATAACACCTTAGCCGTGCAAGTCATCTGTTCTCAAGGAATATATGGCCAAAGCACAGCAGGAAAGAACAACAGAAAATAGGAATATGCAGAGAACAGACATAACGTAAATATAACTTAAATTGCAATTAATGAATAGCAGGGAAAACATCAAAATCAACAGTGTGGTGCAAGATAAGGAATGTAACCATAGGAAATAGAAAAGTTGCAAGAGGTAAATGGCAAAAAGGAAAAAATTAAATAGAGTGCAAAAATACCTGTGTCAATAAAGCCATAGTTGCCACTGGTATTTCAAGCCTAAGATGGAAAAAATAACACAAAGGTGGGCTTCCTGGGCCCTTAATGGCTCAGGATGGTAGGAAATAGACTAAGTGAAGACAGGTAGTTCCAATGAGAGAGGGGCAGGAACACAGCAGTCCAAACTAGAAGATCCAAAGAGGTATGGTACACATTGGCTTGGTATAGAAGAACTCCAATGGCCATAGAAATTCAGTCTCTGAGGTAGGACAAAGCAATAGAATGTTGCAAGCAGAAGTGAGGCCATGTGTCTAAGAACTCAGTTCACTCCTTGCATGACACCAAGCAGCAAGTGTAATTGAAGGGAAATGCTCTATCCAGATACCAAGAGGACTAGTCACGAGACCAGGCCTCAAAACAGGAAAATGGTTCCAATGGAGAAGTAGAGTATGAGTCAAGAATTGAGAGATGAGCAATATACATTAGCATTATAAAACACTAAAGAAAGTATACATGCCTAGAGCCTCTGAGGCACACTACAAAGAAGATGACCTGAAAAGTGACTGCTTACAGGGTCCACATATAGGTGACATGAAAGTTCCCTCAGCCTTGTCAGTATGAATGAGCCTGTAAAGTGAAGATGAATGAGAAAGGGATTAGATGAGTCATCTGAGTCTGTAAGGCCCTTGCAACAAGAGCATGAAGATGATAAAAGAGGACAGAAAGGGAACAAGTTGGGTGAAAAGAAAACAATGAATTAGGGTGAAAAGATCAAGCCAGTGACCAAACTCTCTACAACTAGAAAAGACTTATCAGTTTCTCATGTAAGTCTATTATCTTTACTCCAACTCATCTTTTCCATATTATTTAATTAATATACATAGGAAAACTGTTTGGTAAAATCAGAAAGTACTTATTCATAGGTAATTAGTCTTTTGGTAAGCAAATTACTACTTGTTTAACGTTCCAGTTAAGAAGCCAAATAAGATATCATTTACATCAAAAATGAAAAAATAAGGGGGCATCTACTTTCTATAATAACGACCTGGGAAACTCAGACCATCCTTCCTTCTGAGGACGCTGAAAAAAACTGAATCCAAGAACTAACAACATATTAAGGAACTGCCAGGTGGTGACCCAGCATGCTAAGAACACAGCAAGGTGAGAAATGCACTCAAGGCCACTTTTGCTGATTAAAAAGGGGAGCCTAAGGGATTCTGATGGATTTTTGGTAAACTTCTAGGACTAAAGGTGAAAAGTCAAGGTCTTGATCTGCCAGGATAGTAACCTTGGTAAATAACCTCCCAACCTACTTTGAGCCAAGGCTCCTAAAAGCTGTATCCATCCCAGTAGTAAATGTTAACAGATTAAAACTAGCATTGAAAGAGTTTTAGAATGTCTTCTTTCATCTGGATAGCCCAGGATATTTCAATCCTTAAACATGGATTAAAGTTATCTTGAAAGGCCAGCACATCCACGCACCTGGGAGGCAAATACAAATCACCTAAGGAGGAAGATACCCTCATTCTTGTCCTCAAATTAGCTCTACAAATAGTTCTTTAAACACAATATCCAGCTCAGAAAGGCAACCATACAGACAACACAAATACAAAGATGGAAGATAAACTAAAACATACCCACAGAAACAAGGGAAAACAGAAAGACCAACAAGAACTTGAGATATTAGAAATAACAGTTATATACTATAAAATAACTAGGTTTTCTGTGGTTAAAAAAAAAGTAAAAGACAAGCTTTAGTGACAGAGTATTTTTAACAGTAGATGAATGTAACAGTAGACTAGATACAGGTGAAAAGAGAATTAGTACCTTTGAAGGTACATGAGAAAAAAAATCCACAATTTAATATAGAGACAAAAGAATAAAAACTAGAGAAAAGATGGTAAGACATATTGAATATATTAAAAGCTTTATAATAAATGTTTAAATGAAGTCTGTGATGGTTAGTTGTATGTGTCAACCTGGCTAGGCTATAGTACCCAGTTACTCAAACAAACACTAATCTACATGTTGTTGGGAAGGTATTTTGTAGTTGTGGGTAACATCTACAATCAGTTGCCTTTGAGTAAAGGAGGTTATTGTCAATAATGTGGGGGATCTCATCTAAACAGTTGAAAGGCCCTAAAAGCAAAACTGAGGTTTCCCTAAGGAAGAAAAAATTCTGCCTCAAGATTGTAGCATCAACTCCTACCTCAGAATTTCCAGCCTGCTGCCCTGCCTTAAAGTTTTCAGACTTGCCAGTTCCCACAATTGCATGAGCAAATTCCTGGAAATAAATTTCTCTCTCTCTCTTTCTCTGCATAAATATAGTATACATATATAATACTAATATTGTTAATTAATATTGATTGTATAAAACAATAATGTTAGTGGGATTTAAAATACATTTTGAGAGGGAATGAAATTTACCAAATAAATGACAAAAGTTACACACGTGAAAAATGATGAAAGTTACACAAGTGATCTAAGATTCCTGTGTTATCTGGGAGAAGAGTATAAATTTTGACTAACATTGGACCTTGATAAGTCAAGGAGACTTGCTAATTTCTAGGAATAATCACTAAAAGAACAGAAAAAATAATATAGACTTCTAAATTAATAAGGTAAAGAAAATTGAATGATTAAAAATACCCAATTCAAGTGAAATAAGAAAAAAAATCAGAAAGAGCAGATCAAATAAAACAGAGGCAAATGGTAGAATTAAGCTAAATATATAAATGAGTTCATTAAATGCAATTAGATTATAAAGTTTCCATTAAAAGACAAAGTTTGTTAGCCTTTTTTAAAAAATAAAATATATGCATTTAGAAGAGATATTTAAAACGAAGGACAAAAAGATTTAAAGCAAAAGAATGTAACGAGGTATGTCATGCAAACATAAACCACCAAAAAACTGACGTAGCATATAAATACTACACAAAATAAAACTTAAGAAAAAAGGCACTAGGAAAGAAAAAGAAGCTCCTTCATAAGGATAAAATGTTCAATTCACAAGGAAGATATAATTCTAAATCACACTCACCTAATAATATGGTTCCAAAACAAAATAAAACATGACAGAAATGCACAGAGAAATTAATCCATAGTTACAATAGGGAATTGTGACACACCTTCCTTAGTATTTGAAAGAAGCACCAGACAAAATCAGTAAGGAAGCTGGGCGCAGAGGATCACGTGTGTAATCCCAGCACTTTAGGAGGCCAAGGTTGGCAGATTACTTGAGGTTAGAAGTTCAAGACCAGCCTTGCCAACATGGTGAAACCCTGTCTCTACTAAAAATACAAAAAATTCGCCAGGCATGGTGGCACACCGGTAATTCCAGCTACTTGGGAGGCTGGGGCAGGTGAATCACTTGAACGCAGGAGGCAGAGGTTGCAGTGAGCCGAGATCGCACCACCGCACTCCAGCCTGGGTGACAGAGCAAGACTCCATCTCAAAAAAAAAAAAAATTATTAAGGATAGAGCAGATTTGAAGAACATAATTAATAAACCTGAAATCAGTGGGCATGTAGAACAATCAAACTCAATAACTGCAGAATACACTTTATTTTCAAAAATGCATGAAACTCTTTTAGCAATAACAATATATAGACCAAAATGAATATCTCAACAAATTTAAAAGAACTGAAATCTCAGAGTATATTTTCCAATTACAATGTACTTATGCCAGAAATTGATAAGCACAAGATAACCCTTAAATTTTCCCAATATGGTTTAATCTGAGAAATAATACATCTAACTAACCAATGGATCAAAGGAGAAATCAGAAAGATAGTTTTTGAAATGATGAATAACAAAATTAGTATCTATTACGGAACTGAGAATACACAGGATTTAGAAGAAAAAATATATACTTAAATGCATATATTAGAAAAGATGAAAGACTTGAAATTTAATGAGCTAAGATTCCAGATCAATAAGTTAGAAAAAAAGAGTGAATTAAATCCAGTAATGAAAAATAAGGAAATAATAAAGGCATGACTATAAATGTAACAAAAAAGTATACAAATGAGAACCAAAAAAAGCTTAATTTATAAGTGCTTTGAGAGACTGATCAAGGAGAAAAAAGGAAAAGAACAAGTAATCAATGCCAAGAAAAAAAAAGGAGACCATGCTGCAGTTGCTGCAGATATTAAAGATGAGGAAAACACAAATGACATTATGCAAACAAATGGAAACATAGAAGAAAGTGACAAATTATTAGAAAAACATAACTCAGAAAGCTGACATAAAAATAAGTAGACTTTAAAACATTCCCACAAAGAAACTGCAGGCCTAGATAGCTTTACTAGTGAGTTGTTCTACATATTTAAGAAAGAAAGAACACCAGTCTTACAAGAAATCTTCCAGAGATCAGAAAAAGAGGATACATTTCAAGATAACCTTGGTACAAAACTTGACACAAAAAATCATAGCAGGCCAATCTCACCTAGGAACAGAGATTCAAATATTCTAAATAAAATATTAGTAAATTAAATCCAGCTATACATAGAATTAATACAATGTGACCAACTTTGATTTGCTCCAGGAATTCGAAGTTGTTTTAACATTAGAAAATCAACTGATGTGATTCAGCACATTTACTGAATATTATGATGACCTGGGCAGAGTCAGAAAAGACAACTGACAAAATTCAGATCCTGTTGAGATAAATATTAGCAAACAACCTAGAAAATCAAGCATTATATTTAATGGTGAAACATTAAACATTTCCTTCTGAGACTTGGAATGGACAAGGATGACATCATTACTTCTATTCAACGTTGTACTGAAGGCCCCAGACACTACAGTAAGACAAAAACAGAATGGAAGATAAAAGGATTGGAAAGAAAGAAACCAAACTGTCATAACTCACAGATCAGGTAGGCGTGTATAGAAAAATCTAAAAGATTCCATTAATCATTAGAATTAATGAAGATGTAGCAAGTTTACCTGATTCAAAAATCAATATACAGCAATGAACTGCGCTGACAATGTTCTATTTCTTTACTTAGGTAGTGGCTATATGCATACTGGCTTTGTAATCGTTGCTTAAGCCGTATTTGTGCTGTGCATTTTTTATTAACTCCTATGCATCGCCAGGACCCTGAAGGTGTCATACTCTTCCTGACAGGACCTACCAGCTTGACGGAGAGGCAAGTGTATACAGCACTGCTACTCTGAAAAGCAGCAGTACTCTTACATGTGAATGCTGAAAACCTCACTTAACGGATACTTTTGATGTAAATCCATTTATGCTCACAATTTTGGCTCCATTCCATTCTTGTTTTACTGTTTAAGTTTCTCTTTAAAGCAACAATTTTCTTTATATCATTTACAATAGACCCCACAATAGTATGACAGAAGCTATTTTTCTATCGAAGCATACTATTTTTCTTCTAGAGATGTCACCTTGAAAAAGACATTTACTTAACAATTCTATATTTCTAGCTTTCATTCAAAGAGACCTGTATATTTTACCTCACCCTGCTGCACTGATCTATCCGTAGCCTTTTCTTGAAGGAAAGGGTCACTCAGAAAGATCTGATAAAAACCTATAAAACAAGTCATTGTCAATAAAACCGAAATGTTTTCTTAAAGGCAAAGTATAACAATTTCCTTTTATCCACTGGTCAATAGATAAAAATAAGTTGGATACCAACTTAAGGGCACAAGCCAGTACTTCATTCATTTATTGTTAGTTGCTTTGAACATTGTTAAGAAAAAGAAAATACCCACTGGAAGCCCAAAGAGCCATTAGCAGAGGGCAGCAGTCATAGCATCATCATCACTGAGCCTAAAAGCAGAATAGAAAAGCAATATCAGACCTCATGTAGGGATACAGTTTAGAACTCTGGCAAAACTCCCATGCTCCTAGGGTACCTATTTCCTCTTACAAAAACATCATGTGCTTTAAATGCCTGAACCACTTTTCATCTAAAAAATACCATCCACTACTGCACGGTTATTGTATGTTCATTAGACATTAAAAACACAAACACTGACATTCTTTGCCTTACCTATTATGGCATAAGAAAGTATAAACGAGTCTGTCAAGTAACAAAAGGATTTTGATAACTATCCCAAAACTAATCTGTTATTATTCTGCCTGTCAGGAGAAAAAAAAAATCAGAAAACACAAATTCATATCATTTTCTGTTAACCAACTAAAAATAGAGGGTAAAATGTAATTCCACTAGAAAAATGAATAAGTACTTGAAAACCATCACATTCTATAAAGGTCTAGCTTTTGGAAATTGTAACCCTGTCATTAAATTATTTCCACAAATCCATTCACACAGTCATGTGCTGAGTCTAAGAGGAGGAGGAAAGATCATTTTTTTCCCCAAATTTGGTATCCAGCTTTCTAAAAAAAGACAAAGGCACATTTTATCATCCTGGAAAAAGTGACTTCAGTGAAGCAGATAAAGTGTCTAATAAGGCCTAATTATCTCATGTTGTGATTCTTTTTAAATCACTTTTAACCTCAGGAAGAATTTTAATTATCTTGTATAATAAAGTCTTTCCTTATTTCACCCCCTGTAGGAGAAAAACATATTAAACCTTATTTTTGTCAAAAGATAAGAGCAGTATTAAGTTTAAATTGATGTCATTATGAAATATTTGATATCAGGATTACAAATTTCAACTTCAGTAATTATTCGATTGGTCACAAAAGGGTATCATTCCACTGCCAACTCCTAGCAAGAGGCCATCAGAGTTATCAGCATGCATGCGATACACCCGGGACAGCTGGGGGAAGAGAAAAATGTGTTCTTTCTATTCCAGTAGAGTCTTGTGATTCCAAGGTTAAATTATTGAAGCAGTTTGGGAGGTACTTTTTAATATGATTTTCAAAAAGTTTTCTCCTCATTATCAACTCTTTAATAAACACTTCAAAGTTTCTGTGAGCTTCTCCATTGGGAAAAATATTAATTCATGAGCCTTCTTCCCAAACATACGCTCATTTCTCTCATTGGGATTCAAGAACTCAAGGAGGAAATGTTATGCAAGTGTCTGCATATAGAAAGACAAAGTTTTCCTTCCTCTTTTTTCTCATTTCTCCTACAAAGGCATTCCCTTCATGCCTAGCATATAACTAACTTCCATCTTGCCGTATGATTCTGGCATGAGGTGCAGTCTCTCCAACTTAGGAAGGGTCTTTGACACAAGGTACTAATCTATTCTTCTCCTCTTCATTCCTGATCTATAAAAAAATAACAAAAATAGCGTTGACTAGGTGCTAGGCATCGTGAGGAGCACTTTCCAATGCATTCATTTCATTTAATCTTCACAGCTCTATCCCCATTTCCTAAAGAAGAAACCTGATCCTTGGAAATGTTCAGTGGCTGCCCCAAGGTAATACAGCTGGTAAATGGTAAGATTTGAATGCATTTCTAAAGTTTGAAGAGAGAACCCATTCATTTAACTTCCACAACAATTCTGTAGTTTTTTATTCTGACAGAAAGGAACTAGCTGTGTTCATACCTTATAGAAGGATACCATTTGGATATGCATGGTGCCCTGAAAAAGAATGGCATTTTTTATATATACCTGTCTTGATATAGTTCACTTTGACTCTTGCTATAGAACTGCGTGTGGGTGAAACTTTAAAGCAGATCACTGGCATACTAAACTTCATGTTAACACTCATACTACAGAAGAATTAAATAAGTGCAAGATTCAATTACACCATAGTTTATTTCAGGGAGCTCAAATTACTACAGAAGAAGTCTATGTATTATTCTGCTAAAATCAGGATAAATACAGCGTGTAGGGGACCGGTAGGAAGATTAGCTCCATGCCTTTAAGGACCCAGGTGGTCATGGGCTCTAACATCATGCAAGATCATTGTAGTTGCCAACCTGCAGCCTGGGGCCCTAGAAAGAAAGAGTGGAGGACAGAAGGGAAGGGTTTGCTGGGTCAGGTGAAGAAGTGCCCTGAAAGAAGACAGAAAAGACTGGGTGAACAACTAGCCAGTTTCATTTACTTTAGGTATACAGAGTAATACAAAGTTGATGCAATAATTAAAATTTGAAGAATTAGTTATGGGTATTTCTAGGGCATGCACTAAAATTTCATTTTCTTTTTGTTTAATGTGATTCTTTTTTACTGTCTCTCAAATTTACTAACTGTTGTTTAGTTTGTGTCTTGGTAAGTCCCTTTAAATCTTCTCTGGGAGAAAATGGGGTGGGGGGGCTATACTTAGTTAATGAATATCCTGTGGGACCAAGTAATAATAATGTTAATACCTGCTAATATTTGTATATCATATATTATGTGCCAAGCACTATAGTACTATTCTAAGTATTTTACACATACTGACTCTTTTTTTTTGAGATGGAGTCTTGCTCTGTCACCCAGGCTGGAGTGCAGTGGTGCGATCTCGGCTCACTGCAACCTCCGCCTCCCGGGTTCAAGCAATTCTCCTGCCTCAGCCTCCAGAGTAACTGGGATTACAGGCACCCGCCACCATGCCAGCTAATTTTTGTACTTTTAGTAGAGACGGGGTTTCACCATGTTGGCCAGGATGGTCTCGATCTCTTGACCTCGTGATCCACCCTCCTCAGCCTCTCAAAGTGCTGGGATTATAGGCGTAAGCCACCACACCCAGCCCTGAACTTTTTTTTTTTTTTTAACCAGGAGCACGTGCACTTTATTGAATGCCATTGTAGAAAAGTGTGTGAGGATAAAGGGCTGATACAGGACTTGGCTCTGGGGGCAGCGCAAGGAATGAAAGATGAAGTGCGTGGGATACAGGTCATGGGCAGAGCTCCTGGCCTGGATGATGCCTCCTGATCTATCAATAGACTTGGAAGATCAACACTGGGATGATGATGAGCAGAATGGTCATGACAATGTCCACGATCAGGGCCCAGATGTTCAGGCACTTGGCAGTGGAGGTATAGGCCTGGGCCCTGGTCAAGTCACCAACCTTCTTCCTCTCCCTAGACTTCATAGAGTACACAAATGCTGTGAAGCACAGGCAGCCAGAGTTCATGAAGAGGGTGTTGAACAGCGACCAGACGACATGGTCAGGCATGGAGGTCTCACTGTGGAAGTGGATCATGGTGGACATCGGGGGAGCAGGGTTTTGGGGCGCCCCCACCACAGCCACCTTATGCTCCTCCTTGAGCATCTCATAATTGCGGGGGTGGCCGCTGTTGGCAGGAGTGAAGAAGGTTTGGAAAGTGTGGTTCATGGTGTCCAGGGAAGACCAGCTGTGGTCGGGTTGCTGGGATGGTTCTCAATAGGCCCTCCCTCTCCCCAGTAGTTTCAATTTCTCCTGAACTATTAATTTAATGAAGAAGCCCTTTTCCTGTTATCAGTCAATGCAAAGGTAAACTTCAGCCAAGCTTACCTACATAAACTGTTAAAACACAGATTGCAGGGCATCTCTTCCAGAGTTAATGATTCAGTAGGTCTGGAATGGGGCCAAGAATTTTGTTGCTCCAAGTGAAACTGATGCCATTGATATAGATGAAGCAAAAAGACAGTCTGAAAAGGCATGATAAAACCCTAAAACATATTAACCTTTGGAGTCTTAGGGAAATGCAAGAGAACAGGTTATAAGAGTGGGTACAATTCTGATTTTTATCAGAACCAAAGAAACAGTGTCACTAGATATTCATTAGAATATGGTTTCCAAAAGTCATGGAAGCAGACAAGACTTCAGCAGAAATGACGTCATATTGAGTTAGTCCATTTCCATAGAGTAAAGAGATGCTCTGTTCTGCTAGTGAGCTTGCTGAGACTTCCAAACCCCTTCTGGAAAGAAAACATCACGGGTTTTAAGGCAGACTGATATTTAGAGCCACCTTAATATGGAAAAATGAGACAGCATACAGGAAGAGATCTCACAGGCCAGCAGTAAGGGATGTCGAGATAATCAAGAGAGATGGACTCTCTAAAAACAAGCTGGAGGAGCACACTCCCCAGCCAGCTGTCATAACCAACATGGGGTAGACAAAAGCAGAATAAGAACACTATCCCTCAACTCTGGACTGAGTCTGACTTTGTAATTTGAGAACAGGGCAGAGCATGACAATGTGATGGATGCCCTATTCCTCTTCCTGCCTGCGTAATATTGCTTAGGATCTCTTTAGCGCCAGAGGCAATTTCAGGGGCTCTACAGAACATGATTGTATCTGGGGACTTTTAAGTTCCAACTGTGAGATTGGTTTATAGGACATTTTTCTAAAATGAATTGTTACATGTTTTGGTCTCTGCTCCTGATTCTCACTGCCTTTGCTAGATTGGCTATTTTAAAATCCTACTTTAACCATGAATGAGCAACATGATTCTTTCATGCGGGGAAAGAGATTGCTGTTGTTATATCCACAATTGATCTTTCCTATTTCTCTAAGATTGGGTTGGCGGAGAAAGGGATCACCTTCCTTGTCCTCTTCTTTCTTTCCACTTGAGAAGCAGTAAGAAGGATACCCAAGTGTCACTGACAGCCACAGGGCCTTATGTACTATGGGAGTTCAAACATGTACAATTCAATTTAGGAAAGGGAATTGCTCTCTGAGTATCATTAAGCCATTAAGCATTTTTTATTATAAAAGAGGAAAGGCAGGACATGAGCTGGGAGAGGGCAAAGAGGAATTAGTCCATCCTAGCAATTCTGCCACTATTAGTTCATTTAATCATTCAGCAAATCTTTATTAAAAATCTCTCCATACCACCACATGGCTGAACTCTGGAAGTAGACGGGAAAAACAGGTACACAGATCATCCTCTTGTATACATTATATTTCAGCAGGAAGACCAGATATTAAGCAGCTAAATTCATTATTAATTAATTGTGATAGCAATAAGGCCTGCGAAGCACAACTACAGCCCGGAGCTGGTCTGGTCATGGGATCAGGGAAAGCTTCCCTTGATGAACTGACACAAGCAAGTATGAAAGATGAGTTGAGTTCTCTGATAAGAGGGTTTTAAATAGGGAAAAGACCCGTTGTAAGGCTCAAAGGTAGGAGCACATGCTATACACTAGAGGAATTAGCAGAGGACTGCTGGAAAGGCGGTGAAGAGGACAGAACATTCAACAGGAGCTGGGGTGCCTGGACAGTCTGTGTGGGGCAATTGTTGTGATGACAACAAATGAATGTAAAACGTTCTCCAAGCATCAGGGACTTTGTCTAGAATAATCAAAGAGCCATCCGCCAATCCATCTTTTTGAATCCAAAGCATCTAGGGTATATAGCTCAGCAGAAGAAGGTGCTCAATGAATGTAGGTTGAATAATGAATAAATTAATCAAAAATGTAAGCATGTGTATAAAATCTATCTTTCACACATTGGAGTTGGCTTTGGTCCATTTACTGCAATATTTCAAAACCATATAAGTATCTGAGTTCCTTGAATTTGAAAAGACAGCTCAAAATAATTACTGTATTCTGAACCACTATGCTCTCAAATTAATTCCTATTGCAGCATGTGTACTCTCGTCCAGCCTTTTTAGTTTTCTGTCCAAATAAAATTAGGACTGTTTTCAAAAGACATATTGGAGCATTAATATCATATCAAATACTTGAAAATTTCATTAACAAGATCCAGAAGAGATCATAGTATCGGAAGCAGCTTGAAACAATACAGACAATGAAATGAAAGACCTTCTCCCTACAACATTCTTTTACTCTTCACACGTTTTTATCTTCCATTGCCATCTCTGAAAGCATTAGGCCAAAACTTGAGAAATTAAAATAACTTTTTAGACAGTTGATGCCTTTTCATTCATTCAAATTGCATTCACATTTTTATTCATCTGTTCATATCTACTGAGTTACTACCATATATGGAGCACTGTGCTAAATGCTGGAGATGCAAAGATGAAGGTAACATGTTCTTTACTGTCGAGAGCATTAGGAGAAGTACATAGACGATAAGTGTTAACATGTTTCAGGTAGAGAATCTGCCTTGGGGACAGTGGAAACACCAAAAAAGGAACAGTCAGTTCTATCTTGGGCGGGGCTGTGGGAAACCTGCTGCGTGGAGGAATGTTCAGGCAGGAAAGGTTCACAGAAGAGCTGACATCTTCCTAAGTCTTGAAAGTGTCCACCAAACAAACAAGGGACAGAGAGAGGTAGCATTTCAGGCAGAGGAAACAACAAGAGAAAAAGCATAGAGATGTGAGATAGCTTGTAAAGTTCAAAGAGCTGCACATGGTTTGGTAGAGAGGAGCACAAGATTCAAGGTAAAATAGGAACGAGTTTGGTCATGGACATATATCAGTGAAAGGGCAGTTATTGAAGGACCCTAAGCAGGGGAATGATAAAGCAAGCCAAGAATTTTATCTCAAAAAAAAAAAAAGTCCAATGACAGTGTAAAAAACTGGTTAGACGGGATTTAAGACTAGAGGCAATTTTCTAGTTGGAAGTAGAATGTTTATGAAGGTAGAACTGATAGGATTAGGATGGCTTCCTGAAAACTCATGTCTAAAATAAGAGGATAGTTATGCACTTTTTCTTTTAATTTTTTTTTTTTTTTTTTTTTTTTTTTGTTTGAGACAGAGTCTTGCTCTGTCGCCCAGGCTGGAGTGCAGTGGCGCGATCTCTGCTCACTGCAAGCTCCGCCTCCTGGGTTCACACCATTCTCCTGCCTCAGCCTCCTGAGTAGCTGAGACTACAGGCGCCCGCCACCACACCTGGCTAATTTTTTTTTTTTTTTAGTAGAGACGGGGTTTCACTGTGTTAGTCAGGATGGTCTCCATCTCCTGACCTCATGATCTGCCCACCTCAGCCTCCCAAAGTGCTGGGATTACAGGTGTGAGCCACCGCACCCGGACTTTATTTTTCTATTAACATATCAGTACCTTTGTACAAAATTATACAAAGCTAGAGTTGGTTTGAGCTACACAGCACTTAACCCAGTGCCCTAAGTTTGCCGAGGAACTGAGACCCAGAGAAAGTAAGAGCTGCAGAGCTAAGCAGGACAGAGCACCCCCAGGTGTCCTCAGTCTAGTTCATTACTCTTCTCCCGTCATCCTTCCCCAATTTACTAATCAATTAATGTTCAGCTATCAAATAGTAGTACTAGGATGCTACTTCAAGGAACTAAGCAAAAATTATTTATAATAGAAATCACTTAATTTTATATTTTTTGCATTTGTATGTTTACATATTACATTGTGCCTGCCTAAAATTATTTAAAAACGAAAATAAAAACTGCTGACACAGCTACTGTATGTGAGATGCAGAGAACTACGACAATTATGAAAGAAAACAATCATTAACATTTATAACTCTAATTCACGTTCATCTTTAGTTTCCTCAGTGTGGTCATTCCAAGGGAGTCTTTTACTCTTTGAAAATTATAGGCCTATGTTTGCAACCTAGTTCTGCCACTTGTTAGCTGGGTGATCTTTGTCAAGTCACTTAACCTCTCTAAGCTTCAGTAAAATCGTTGTAATAATAAAATCTATCTGATGAGGTTGTGGAAGCCTTAAATGAGTGAATGCACTAAACTAGGTTCAGCACATAGTTAAGTACTATATAGTGCTAACAATATATATCTAAAACGGTTCAACTAGCCATGGGGTAATGTGAAATGGGATGCTAAAATTGACAAGGCCAAATTTTTATTATATGTCACCAAAGAGATTTATCTATAGTTGTTTGCAACCTTCCACGAGTCTCTTAGGTTGCTTCACATGATCAAGTTAGATTTGGATGAGGTGATTCTCCTACTCACCTTTTTTGCAATTATTTTCTTCTGGCTTTCTGACTTTTCAAGTATTATCTTTTCTCATTAAAAAAAAAAAAATGATGGTCTATCATGGCACTAAACTTACTGAAAACATCACAAACCCTGTGGAATGTTTGCCAGGGATGCAGTTGAAGTTCTGAAAATAATGAGAAATCCATTCCTGCATTTCTTGATCCTGTAGTCAAATGCTAATTTTTAGTCTTCTAACAATGGGTACCCACTCATTCAACAATAAATGCATACTAGAGACATAGTATGTGGGGAACATTCTGTTAGGTGCTAGCAATGTAGAGACAGTACCCATACTCAAGGGAATCACCATGATACAGGGGGGTTATTAACTGAACCTTATCCACAGAGAATGAAACCAACCTGGCCCTCTTGGAGCATCAGGTCTAGTGAGGGAGACAGGGAATAATAGGGAAACAAAGAAGCACACAAGCACAAACTGGGAAGAGGCTTGTGAAGGTAAAGAACAGGTTAAAATTATGCTACCACTCCCCATCCAAGGGAGAAAGTCTGTATAGATAGTGTGAGCATTACGAAACTGAACATGGGTCTGGCTCACCCAGCACAGTAAAGCCAAACACTGACACTGAGGTTTGCAGCAAGAAAAAAAAGGACATTTATTCTCATGGTGCCAAACAAGCAAGAAAGGCAGCTCACACTTAAGACCCAACCTCCTTGATGGCTTACAGGCGAGGGCTTTTAAAGACAGGGGTACATTTCAGGGAAGCAGAAGTTATACAGGCAAAATTGCAAATTAATGTATGAAGGTCACACATTGGTTTGGCCCAAAAAAGCAGGATATCTTGAAGTGGGGGCTTACAGGTCATTGGTGGATTCAGAGATTCTTTGATTTGCAATTGGTTAAGGAAGCAAAGCTTTGTCTAAAAACTTGGGGTCAACAGAAGGGAAGGTTACAGTTTGGCCTGTGGATGTCACTTCCTCCAGGCCTCTCAGGAAGAAATTTAGAGCAAAGAACAGAGCTCAGAGTTTAGTCCTCAGTTTCCCCTTATCTGAGGTCTACATGACAGTAGTTGGCATTTTCCAAGTGGTGGGGGTCTGGGTTTCTAAAAAATAATTGAGTTACACATGTCAAGATGTTATCTTTAGTTTGTATAGAGAACTAAACATCTTGTGATTTTAACTTACTTGGGTGGCTATTGTTTAAGCTATTATTATCCTCTTGCTTATCACGTTGGTTATTTACTTCTCAAAGCTATTCAGGCGCCTTCAATTCTCCTCAAAATACTCAAGTTTTTTTTTTTAATTTATTTTTATGCTTGGGAGGCCCAGCAGGCCCCTAAAAAGGGTCCCTACTCTATTTCATGAGCAGGGAAAGCCACAGTGGGAAAGCAATGACTGGGCTGAGACCAGTTCAGAAGCGGGGGAAAAGGTCATCCAAAGAACAGGGGAAAAAATGATCAAAGCAAAGGGAAGAGGATGAGTGAAGGTCCTGTGATGGGGAAATACTTAACTGTGTCCAATAGCAGAAAGTAGCCCAGTGTGGATGAAACAAAGGTAGGACATACCAGGTGAGAACACAGAGGAGAGTAGAAGCAGTAACATGTACATTACAAGCCACAGCCAAGAGTATGTATGTGTGTTTTTCTTAATACAATGGAAGATTATTAAAGGATTTTAAGAAGTGATGTGCAGTCTACATTTTTTTTTAAGTTTCTCCTGGACTCTTGTGTTGGGAATGGGTTGGAAGGCAGAGCACTAATGTAGAGTTGGGGGAAGAGGATAGACCACGAGGCAGTCCATCCTATAGCGCCCTCTACAGGTCACTAGGAAGTGGCCTACCTCGGAGAGAAGCGGAGGAATTCTGATCTATTTGCAAGCGGAATGTAAGGTTTTCCTGCTGAATTCGAGCTGTAGGATGACGAAAAGGGAAGAATCAAGGATGATGCTCATGTTGAGTGAATAGAGGTGAACATCTGGGGAGGAACTTTTCTCCTGAGGGAAAATCTGTTCACTTTTTATTAGTCTTACACGGAGAGACCTTGCTATAATTATCTTACAGTAAATTAAATTCTAATAGAGTTACATATCAGTAATCTGGAAGACTGTTTTATGAGCTTCCTTGATACACACTGAATTAAACGCAGGGGAGAGTTGCAGTCATCCCTAGATCACTTTCCTCTCTGGACAACAGGCATCTAGTAATAAATGTACTTGGGAGAGTAACCCTGGGAGTTAATAATATCCCAAAGAAGTTTCGCCTCTTCTCCTCCCACTTCCAGCTTTGCTTGGAATGAGCACAGACCGCACAGGAATGCAGATGAATCCTTAATGAATCTGGCCATAGAACATGAAATGGGCAACCATCTTAGAATACCATATTACACTGAAATTGTGGTGTATTTTAGTAGTTTATGTGGCCCCCTCATTATTAATGCGACTGACATAAAGTGAAAGGGGAAGCCGAGAGTCAAATACTCCCCAGATGAATAGCCGAGGTCACTCATGGTATTTCAAATTCCCCTTGCAAATGACTGATTCGGGGATATGCACATGATTCAATCCTAGTCGTCAATTCAAAGTGAAGGAAAATCTGTTTGAGGGCATTTAGGAATGTGTTTCTGTGTTCTAACACAGAAACACAAGGAGAAACAGTTCTTTCTTTGTCCCCTGGACTTTGTTATATCTGAAACTGCTGTAGCCACCTTGCTCACAACCTTAGAAGGAAGCCAATACACAGAGGTAGACAGAATCAAGAGAAGGCACGCGATAGAACAGGAGCCTCTCTCCTTCTCCTGGAGGCTGCCCCGTTCCTCAACTTCCTATCACACGAGATAATAAACTGTCTTATTGATAAGCCAGTTTGAGTATGGGTTTTCTCTTGCTGAAACTAAATATATCCTTACTGACAAAGGTAAGTCCCATGACTTAAGGAAATGATAAAATTACTGTACACTCAAATCCACGAAAAACAAAATGGTCTTGAGGGTTCTACTCTATTTTTAAATATTATAGATACCCATTTTGGGAGAAATATGTATATTCTTTCAAGAATTTATAAATATGAATCAAGATATTTAGAATAAGTTTACTAACAAGAAATATGTCAATTGTTACAATACTTTTCAATAATGTTTTCTATGGAATTGTAGAATAGTTTTTAAAGAGAAGTAAGTGGAGGAAATCCACAAGTTTCAGTTGTAAAAAAAAAATGTGAAAATATAAAAGTAAGAACAAATTGAAAACTATCCTTTAGTAAATAACCCCTGAAAAAGAGAAAAATAAAAGAATCTATGGTAAAGGTGGTTTTCTTTCTCTCTCTCCTGTCTCTTGATTTATGAGCTACTAAGTCAGATGAAAAATAGAAACAGTACTATTGAAGTTAAGAGGAGAAAATTATTCGGAGGACACCTCTGAAGTTGTAAACAGCAGGGAATTGTTTGAGCATCAAAAAATGTCTTTGGATGGCAGGTTATGAAGAGAAAGGACTTTGTGGGCTTTGTGGTCCCCAAATCCTGAAACAAGCAAGCCACTAGAGCAAGGAGAGATTAAGATGGATCACAAGATGAACAGAAGATATTAAAAAAATATATTTCTTGTGAAAGTGAACACTGGGGTCCTGAGAACAGAGAATGACCTAGACCAGAAATATCAATATCCTCAGTGGAAGAAGAATGCAACTCTGTTTACACTGCTGCAAGTCACAGCGCCTCCTAAACCCCACGCCTCACTAGCTACCTCTCCATGAGGAAATTTTAGCTTGAGTTGCGCAGCGTGGCCATTATAGGATTTTGGTCATGATGAGTTAGTCTATTTTTCTGGTCATTCAAAAACTGTCAGGTTAGGTCTAAAAATTATAGTAGAATATTTTTGAAATAATTAACCTCTTAAAAACATAAAATCTTCCAAAATTTTCATCTTCTAGGTAGTGAGTAGGCCCGTGTTGTTTTCTTCTTGAGATTAAAAGTTTTTTCAATTTATTCCTTTATTTCATATGATTTGTATTAACTGCAATTTATTCTATTGGCAAATTTTCCACTAAACTCAGTCAAATGGACCCACACGAGTGATCACTTACATCTAAATATACATGGAGATGTCGTTTATTATAGCCTGAAATCTGAATAGACTAATCTAGAAAATAGAGATATCTAATCTCTTAATCTAACTTTACAAAATTCCCCATTATAAACTCCCCATAAATGCTGAGCTTCTAAGATAAATTTTTATAAAATTACTAATTTATAAGCACTGATTTATGTAACATGCCACTGCTCTCTCTCAACTACATCCACTTCAACATAGTACAAGTCCTCTTACGATGTATGTGTTTGTATAATAAAACTTTCATTACCTATGCAATTGATTTTTGCCCTTTAAAAATGTTTAAACACATTTTAATTTTTTCCCATGGTAAAAAGGTAACTGTAAATATGGCCAAATAACCTAGGCCTTGAGAAATGTACCATTATCAGAGTATTTTGATTTTTTCTTTGAAGTGATGGCAAGACAGTGCCCTGTTGTGATAGGGCTCTCTCCAGAAAAAAAAATGTGGTGCCAATTAATATGCCAGGTAGTTGTTCTCAGAGCTGGGTATGAGACAAGACTTTGACCAGGACCTCCTTCCTCTTTCTGGAAGGACATCTTATTTCCAGTGAGAGGCACAATGTAGCCCCAACCTCCGGAAGGATATGAGGAGTCTGTACTGTTGACCAGAGTTGGAAGTGGCAGTGGCAGTCGTGCAAAGAAATGGGGTTGGTGGGGAGGCCACCACCTAGAATAGCAGTCAAGTCCTATAGCTTCCCAGAGGCATGGCAACAGCCAGGACACTGACTCTTTGCACCTAAGACAGGAAGCATTCCATGGCAGACTAGCAGGGTATCCAATAGCATCACAGGGATGCCCGCTGTGCTCAACAGAACACAGGCCCACCAGGGTCTTAGCAGTAGAGGAAGCAGTGTGGCAACAGAATGGGAAAGCCAGAGCAGAAGCTACCAGCAGGTGTGTTAGGGAAGCCCTGTGAGGCACCCCCTGTGAGGACACCTGTGCTGTGAGGCCTCTCTCTGCGAGGACAGCTGTGAGGACACTGTGTGGTTTCCCTGTGAGGACACCTGTGAGGCTGCCTCTGTGAGCACACCTGTGAGGCCTCCCCTGTGAGAATCTTCCTGAGGCCACCCTCTGTGAGGAAACTCACAGAAATATTGGCAAACACATTGAAGGACACCAATTTATTTTAAATGAGCTAGAATGGGATTGTGTATATGGATCCAGGGCCTTTTACTTGCCTTTCTCCTTTTCTGAAATGTTCTTCCAGACAAGAAAATAGCTTCCTTTCTCACCTGTTTTGAATAGAATATCACTTTATCAGGAAGTATGACCTGACCACCCTTCTTAACATGGTAACACACACACACACACACACACACACACACACACACACACAGATCTAGTACCACCATTTTAATTTTTCCAATGCACTATTATCTTACATATCTGACATATTCAATAATATTTTTATTATTTGACACTTTCCACTGGAAGCTCTGCAAGGTAGATATTTATGCCTGTTTAGTTTACAATTTTATTCCTAGCACTTTGAGTAGTGTTTGGCACATAATAAACATTCAGTGATTATTTGTTGAGTAAGTAAAAAACTCTACCCCACATCACGGCCCATGCCTCACAGTTTTTTTGTCCTCCTCCCCTTCCCTGGCTTGGTCTGGCTGCTCCAATAGCCATGTCTTGGGACTTGTCATGACCCAACATCAGATGTCCCATGCCCACATCTCTCTCCTCTCTTGCCTGTTCAACTTCTCCCACCATTCTGCAGACTTATTAAGACTCCTTTACCATCTTCAAACCATCAACCGTATCCTTCAAACCCAGCTTTCTACTCCTGTAGGCTTAGATTCCACAAGATATTGTTTAAATGACATTTCTCAATGCTCTATATTTTAGTTGTCTTGTCTTGCTAGACTCCAGCACTGAGTGACTCAGCTATTCACTTCTCTGTGACTTCACCTGTTGCTGAAGAGAGTTACACAAGACAGCAGATTATGAATGACTTGAATCCTGTGGCCAACTCACTTAGGTCCTCAAAATTCCCCCTTGTATTTCTTCACTTTCATTAGACACCTCTCCCTCTAGTTTACAGAGAAAATAGAAGCCATCAGATGAGAACTCCTTTACCTTTTCAATAATGAACATATAAGCCTACCCACATTGCATACATTCTATCAGCTTTCTTACCAACTTGAATCCCATTCTTACCTTCTGAGGAACGTACACCAACAACTATCCTTCGTATGTTCATCTTTTTCCTATGATCTTGTATCAGTTTTCTAGGGCTGCCAGAACAAAGTACCACAGACTGGGTGGCTTAAACAACTGAAAGTCATTGTCTCACAGTTCTGGAGGCTCAAGTCTGAAATCAAGGTTGTGGGCAAGATTAGCTGTTTCTTAGGGTTGTGAAAATGAATATATTCCATGCCTCTCACCTAGCTGCTTGTGGAATCCTGGCAATCTCTGGTATTCCTTGGATTGTAAAAACATCACCCCAATCTCTGCCTTCATCTTCACGTGGCATTCTCCATGGAAACATCTCTGTATCCAAATTTCAGCTTTATAGAAGAATACCAGTCATACTGGATTAGAATCCAACCAAAACCAGTATGACCTCATCTTAATTAATTACACTTACAATGACCCTATTTCCAAATAAGGTCACATTCTGAGGTACTGGAGGTTAGGACTTTAATGTATGAGTATAGGGGGACTAATTCAACCTATAACAGATCTGTAACCTCCCTATTGGCTTTTACTAATGCTCAAAACTCTCCCCTGAAAAAGGTTAATAAAGCTCACATTTCTTTCTAGATCCCTTGTGTCGGTCTCTATTCACTCTTTAACAGTAATTTTTTAAATTGTTTTCTTTACCTGATTTCTCTATTTTTTATTTCCCATTCTCTTCTTGATCTACTTCAAATAACTTTCTGACAGCTCCCACAAAGGTCAACAGTGGCCTCCTGCTGAAAAACACAATGCTTATTATAGACCTTCACTTCTTTGGCCCCTCAGAAGCACTTGGCAACATCAAGCATGCCCATCTTCTTGAAATATTCTCTTCTACTGGGGACAGTGTTACCACTGACTTACTTTTATCTTTCTACTCACTCTTTCACTTTCTTTGCAAACTATTCATCATCTGTGCAGCCTATAAGCAAGTCTACAATCCTTGCTCCTAAATCCTCTCTGTTTTGCACACTACACTCCCCTCCCAGGGTACCCTGAATGCCTATGGACTCAATTACCACTCAGAAGTTGGTATCTCCAGCTCTCATCTCTCCTCTCACTGCCAGACCTGTGAATCCTACTCCCCATTGGCTTCTTATTGAAGGTTCTATACTTTCCTGAACCTCACATTACTAAAATTAAACACAAAATCCTTACTCCATCACCACCACTAATAGAGCAGTCCTCCTCTTGTGTTCCTGACTATAATAGGTTAAAGTATAATGCAGACTTGACTGGAGGACCACATGCCAAAGTTTTTACATCTTCCTTTAACTTCATGTTGTTCTCCGATTACTTGGGTCTAAAAGAATGTATTAAGCACTTACAGTTGTGATTATTCAAAATTTAATTTATAATCTCAGTTCTCACACAAGAAATTACAATCTAATTGACAGCTATCATTTGAAATAATTTAAAGGAAATCAAAACAAGCTTTTGATTTCTGTGTGTTCACTGTTAAGCATTTTACATGTAAAGTTTCATTGACTCTTAATAATTCTATAAGGTAATTTTATCTATTTACATTTTGCAAATAAGGACACTATATTTAGAGAAATTAGCAACTCCCTCAAGATGACCTAGAGAGCAAATAATGAAGACTTGTTTTAACCCAAATCAGAATCTGAGCCCTTATTCACACCTAAGTTGTGATCAAGTTCCTACTATATATTGAAGTCATCCAGAGAAAGCAGAAAACTGCATTTATTCTTGGTTTTGAGGAATTTGAGAAAGCATGGATAGAGAAGTGAACAAATCATGCTATCTGAGCAAGGTGTGGATTAAAATGACCCTGACATAAGACAGGGACAGCGGAATCCATTTCAGCAGCCCAGAGGCCCTGTTAAGGACTATTATATAAAGGTGAGCATGTAAGCTAGGGTCATCAGATGGAGTTTCTTGAATGCCAGGCTGAGAAGTTAAAACTTGAAATTCTAAGCAACAGGAAGTCAATAGCGAAAGCACAATGCTTTTGAAAAGAGTACAATAATACACTCTGGTTTTGCTTCCACTGTCTTTTGTGATAGCACACAAATCTCTAATAGCCATTTTTGGTTCAGATATACATTGAGCCATTAACTGTGAGAACATAAATTCTTCCTTCTTGAGTTAAAATTGATCATTTATGGGTAGGCACAATAATGTAATCCCAGCAACCAACACGCATAAGAATGGTTAGAATTTTAAGAGTAGATGTGAAGGTACTTGATATTACACAAATCATTTAAAAAATGTGCTTCACCAGACCCAGTTTTTCTCCATCAAAGATCTATACCAGAAATTAACCTGAAGAATGAAACACAGGAATGGCACCACAGTTCTAGGAGATGATAATAATACATTCCTTGTGATGACTGTTCATATCAGGTTCCAAAATGCCTTATTTTTTCAGCAGGGTTGACATGTCAAGAGATGAATTTGTTGACCCACAGGAAGGCTGAAGTCATTTATAGATTAAAAATACTTAAGATGGGCCAGTTTGCTAAGAGCTCCTTGATTTACTATGGTGTTATAACCCAATAAACCCATCTTAAGTTGAAAATATTGAAAGTTGAAAATGCTCTCAATGCACCCAACCTACTAAACATCACAGCTTAGCCTAGCCCATCTTGAATGTGCTCAGAACACACATTAGCTTACAGTTGGGCAAAATCATCTAATACAAAGCTTAGTTTATAATACAGTGTTTAATATATCATGTAATTTACTGGATACTGCACTGAAAGTGAAAAACGGAATCGTTATAGGCGTAATCAAAGTACAGTTTCTACTGAATGCATGTCACTTTCATACATGGTAAAGTCAGTAAATTGCAAGTGGAACCATCATAAGTTGGGGACCATCTGTATATGTAGCAAAACAGTCCCTAACTTCACAAAGCTTACATACAGTCTTTGGGGGAAGACAAATACTAACCAAATAACCACAAGCTCAAATTTATATTGACAAGGACTTAAATAATTCACTTCAATGTGACATGTGAGATCAATTAAAATCTGTTTTGGTTTTGCATGCCATAGGCCCTGATATACATCTTGGAATTCTTGCAGTACATGGGCGGTTTGCGTAGGTCCTCAGGCAAGTTATTTATTTTTGCAAAGGTTCAGTTTCCTCATATGTAAAATGAGAGTAATAATAACAAATACGGATTTTGATGAGGATAAGTGAGGTAACACGTGAAAATGCTTAGCATTATGCCTAATATGTAGTGAATATTAAAACATGTTAGCTATTGTTACTCTTCCAGAAGTGCCTCTTATGAATCTGCATCTTTCATGCTAGGGGATACAGAATCTGATTAGTCAAATAGTTCTTATCTGCAACAGTGTCAACAACGTTTTGTGGTAGCAATAAATGTTTACTAAACACCTCTTACAGGCAAATTATTGTGTAATATTCTGAAGGTAGTTGAGGAAGATAGCAGCTTTTATTAAGTAAGGGAAATGGCAATAAGGATATCGAGTGACATAGCCATGGATATGGGAATGAGGTGGGAGGTGGACATGGTGAGTATGGCTGAGGATGGGCCAGCCAGCCAGAGGATGATGTACTTGGGAACACTGGGATGATGGTTATGTCATCAGCAGAGAGCCTTATCTGGATTCTGAGGCATGAGAGGATGAACAAACAGGTAACATTTCAATTTCACCTCAGCTTCTTGGTGGGAAGAGCATCCTAACCAATATTTTACTGAGTCAGCCTAGAGAAGAAAATGTTTAAAAGACACATGTTTCAGGAAATGTTTCTGTTGAAAACACTATGGCAGTGATCATACTAGCTGCTTGAAACTGACTTCAATACAAGATGCATGTGAGAGATAAAAGGCAGTCCTATGTCCCAAGTGGTTACGATTTCCTTACATCTCAGAGTTATGGTTTTAAAAGTCTCAATCTGAAAACTTACATCCACACAAAAACCTGCACATGAATGTTTACAGCCGCTTTATGCATACTTGCCAAAGCCTGAAATCAACCAAGATGTCCTTGAATAGGTGAATAGAAATAGGTGAAGACGAATTTGAAGATGAGTGAGTTAAGACATGGAGGGACCTTAAATGCATATTGCTAAGTGGAAGGGGCCAATCTGAAATGGATAGATACTGTAGTATTTCAACTATATGACATTCTAGAAAAGGCAAAACTATGAAGACAGTACAAAGATCAGAAGTTTCTAGGGCTTTAACAGGAAGGAGGGATGAGTAGGTGAAGCACAGGGGAGTTTTAAGGCAGTGAAACTATTCTGTGTGATACTCTAATAGTGGATACATGTCTTGATAAATTTGTCAAAACCTGCAGAACTTGCAACACCAAGAGTGAACCCTAATGTAATCTGTGGACTTCAGCCGATAATGATGTGTCAATGCTGGTTCATTGATTGTAACAAATGTCCCACTCTGGTGTGGGATGTTGAAACTAGAGGGGGTGGCTGTGCGTATAGGGCAGGGGGCATCAGCATATGTTAACTCTGTGTGCTTTCCACCTAAAAACCTAAAACTGTAGGTTCTGTAAACCTAAAACTGTAAACCTAAAACTGCCCAAATAGATAATGTCTATTAATTGAAAAAAAAGACTCAGTGGATAGACACTGTGTAGGCAGGTGATAAGTATGGAGGGAGACTTGTTTTTCCTTGTTTACCCTTTCAACATGTTGGATTTTACATCTTGACAATATCGCCTATACAGTAAATAAATGTTTAAGAAATTAAAAGGTAAAAATGAAAATTCATATAAAAGATATTTGTTTAAAGTTTACAAGCACAGATGGTCCCTTGACTTAGGATGGTTTGACTTACAAGTTTTCTACTTCATCACGGGTTTATTGTGGTAAAAAATGTATTTTTTACTTCCCATATTTTCAATTTAGGAAGGGTTTATCAGAATGTAGCATCACCATAAGTTGAGGAGCATTTGTAATTCAATAATACTTAGTCATATACGTGGAAAACCAGATTGGTAATCCTGAAGCAGCTTTTAATTGTTAACCCATTTCAGCACTCAGGGAACAGATACAGGCACATGAAATACATTGCCCCAAATCACACAGCAGTGTGCTAGAAGCACATTGATCTGACCAGGACCACATTTCCTATTTTTCCTCCTGTTATTTTGTAACGCAGAAAGAATAACGGTTTCAAGTAAGTTCTAACCTGCTACAAAGGTCATACAGTCAGCACCACAGACTGTTCAAAATTAATAAACCTGGAACAAGCTATGTGGTTTAGAAATTATAATTGACCTTTACACCTGATCACTGACCTCTGCGTGGCGGTCAGGCCATATCATTCAGCCAGGTGAAAGGTTTAAAGGTAATTCCATCATACTTCCAATATTCCAATAACACAGCACAAGAATACACTCTCAGAAATTGAGAGGCTTTTTAGTTCAAGTTTCCAGATAAGGAAATCGATACTAGAAGTGAAGGTGAAGGGTAACAGTAATAGCTAATATTTATTGAGAACAATGTGAGAGCCACTGTCCTAATCACTGTTTAAGTATTAGCTCATTCAACCCACGTGCCACCCTTAAGTGCAGCTGTTGTTCCCATTTTATAGAACATACCCAGAGATAAAGTAACTTGTCAAGGTCACCCAGAAATTGAGTCAATGTAGAAAACTCTGGCAAATTGCATCCACTTAGTAGAGAATGCATCTGCCTATACATCCTCCCATGCATTCAGATTTCAAAACAGAGGCCACAGCTATCAGCAGGGTTGTGAGACGTTGTGGCAGGGAAGCTCAGTGGTTTAAAGTATTCTGGGGAAGCAGTCTGAAGATTTTGTTTAATTCAGAAGTCTAGCTTTCATGGAGCATTAGAGTCTGCAAGGAGGTACGAGTGGGAAATAGTCGTCGTTGCCTTAGAAGCCGGGATCAGAATCTCAGGCACCAATCCCACGTGGGAGCACATCGTTACTGTGACCAGTGTGCTGCAGATTCTCAGGCCCCATTCTCAGGATTAATGGAGAAATCTTAGGGATTTCTCCGTAGAATACTCCTCAGAGCAGTGATTCTCAATGTGTGTTCTCCAAACTGCAACCTCAGCATCACCTGAGAACTTGTTAAAAATGCTGATTCTCAGCCCCTATCTCAGACCTACTGAATCGAAACTGAGCTCTGTGTTTGAACAAGGAAGTATTCTGAGTGATTTTGATCTATGCCCAAGTTTGAGAACTACCGCCCTACGAGACCCCAATATTCCATCAGTGTCCTCTTTCCTGAGTGCCCTACTTGATAGCAATTGTCTGAGTATTCTTGGAAGCACTTGAGCTTTCTGTAGGACACCCACCTGTGGCAATAGCGCATAAACAGAGTGAAGGTGCGAGGGGAGGAGACCTGGGGCTCTGATTTCCATTCCCTGTTCTATTTTGAAAGAAAAGAGAGAATGTTGATTTCTCTTCCTTTGAAAATGCCAAAGGCAAACTAAATCATCAAGATCCTTTTTGAAGGAAATGAATCACTGTGGAAAAATCAAACTTAAAGTGATTAATTCCACTCAAACCCCAAGTCACCCCAGTAGCCTTGGCCGTTTTTGGCATGGTAAAAATTCAGCTAAATCAAATGGAGCCCAACGCCTGTGTGGGCTGATATTGCCAAATCTCCCTCAGGCATCGTTTACAAACCAAGGACAGGAAATCTCAAGGAACCTTCAGAACCTCCCTTTCTCCCTCTTCCGAGTAAACTGAACGTTAAGAGGACATGCAAGTGACTGTTCTAAGTGTCTCTTACTTCTGCTCAGAATACAGGAAGCTGCGGATGCTTCTGCTGTGGACTAAAGGAAACGGTTTCTGTAATCGCGGTTCCACAGAGCATTGCGTTCTTCACACTCCCTCTTGTGGCTGCTCAGAGATAATGCAACCAGGAAAGGCCTTAGACTGCATATTAAAGCCACACTTAACGGAATTAGAAATCTAAGAATACAGGATTTGGGAAGCTTGTCTTTCTATATATTATGTTTGCTTTGGGCCTTGTGGAAATCTATACAGCTATTTGTTCTTGGAGGATTGTGAGTGCATGTCCCAAATAAAGCTGTTGTGTAAAAAATGGCAAATAAATATTAGCTTTTTGTTTAAAGAATTTAAAACAATTAAGAGGGCTGCAAGTACAGGGTATAACTGAATTACTGTTTGCTTGTTGCTGTGTTTACACAGGCAAAGCAAAGGACAAGAGAGAGTTAGATCATTTGCAGGATTATTCATTAGTAAAACCAAAAACAAGTTGTAAAAGAAAAAATGGGTGCATACATGTATGTATTGGCATCGTGTATGTTCAGTGTACATCCGGCACTGCCCCCAGAACAAATTTCTTCCTACCGTTGGTAGGTTCTGAAATTTGGCATCCTCCACGTGACTATCCTACACCTAGCAGGGAGAAGGTGATGACTTCCTTGGCTCCCCCAAGGGATGTGTTACTGCCCTCCCCATAACCCTCCATTCTTCACCTGAAAACATTTTCCCTTTCTCATTAACCTCTGAGAATTCAAAGCCTTCCCTAAGATGTGTGTGAGTTTAGCATAGCTGTATTCCTGCTGGCTTCTCTTCTAGGCTTTAGTAAAGAAGCCTACCTAAGGTTATAAGCTCCTAATAGAAAGAAACAGATCCATTTCCACTGTGCAGTGTCTAGCCAATCACCTCTACAAAATATATTAATGAAAGTTTCATAACGAGAAGATTACATTCATTATTCAGTTTTTCTAATTGTCTAGAAATAAAAATGGATTGTCAGAAGGTAGGCAAAAATTTCCAGAACAAGGAAATATAGGGATGGGTGAGGGGATTAAGAAGCATGTAAGACTTGGGCCACAGCTTCACAACCTTGGCACTGATGACAATGGAGTGGGATAATTCTTTGTCGTGGGGGCTGTCCTGTGCACTGCAGGGTGTTCAGCAGCATTCCTGGACTCAACCAGCTACCTGCCAGTTTTCACTGCCCCAAATTGTGACAACCAAAAATGTCTCCCAGAATTGCCAAATGTCCTCTGATGACAAAATTACTCTCAATTATGAGCTGTTGATTTAGGAGGACAGTGTTGGTAGTAGAATTGTTAAACATTGCAATGAGTAGACCAAGCTGAGGTGGAAGAGTTCTGGCTGTGAGGCACTCACTGTGAGGTAAAACAGACAGAATGGACTTTGGAGTTAGTAAGACAAGGGTTTGAATCAAAGGATGTGGCTGTAGGCCTCTTTTTTTTTTCTAAGCCTCGTTTTACATGTTAAAATAATAATGGTATAACAATAGTAGTAGTAATAATAATGCTGTGGAGAAGTTAAATGAAATAAAGTATCTAAAGGATCAAAGAACATTGCCTAGTATATAACAATGTTGGTATACATCAGTGTCCTTTTCTCATCTCCAGAGGTCTCCAGAAATAAAACATAATTTCTTTGAGATAGTTTAAAAGAGCCTTGGAGCGTGACCTTAGGGGGGGTGGAAAGAGCCCTGTCCTTGAGATTCCTGGCAAATAATGTCACTCTCGCTTCCTTCTGAAAAACTGTTTCTGCATTGCAGGCTGTGCTCATTCAGAACAAAGTGCCGGGCAGAAATGTTAACTCTCCAGATAAGTGATCACTCTCCGGCAGCAAAGCAGATGAGTCCATTCCAAAAATGGAAATACAGATAGCCCTTAAATGCCCAGTTTTGTCTCTATTTTTCCAATCAGAAAAGTATAAAATCTTTCTTTTCCTATATGGAGTAAAATCTGTGTACTTTGCGTCAAAGAAATCTTCTTGGTGAATTTGATGCAGAAGAGATTTTTGCAATGTTATTTATGTCTGATACATGTCTCTTCTTGAAATGATGAATGTTGTGTGTTCAGATTAATCCTAAAATGCTTGATGGAAACCTAGAAACATCTTCATTGCCCCTACTGTTTATTACAATTTTAAGTAAATCATTTGTTTATATCTTATATAAGTTGCCTAAAAATAAAAAGACATATTAAAACTGGCTTAAAATACCTATAGATTAACAATCATGGCATTAGCAATTTATTCTTGAATTTCATCTGATTGAAGATTCATTCTCAGCCAGGCACAGTGGCTCATGCCTGTAATCCCAGCACTTTGGGAGGCCGAGGAGGGCGGATCACGAGGTCAGGAGATTGAGACCATCCTGGCTAACATGGTGAAACCCCGTCTCTACTAAAAATTAAAAAAAAAAAAAAAAAAAATTAGCCGAGTATGGTAGTCCCAGCTACTCGGGAGGCTGAGGCAGGAGAATGATGTGAACCCGGGAGGCAGAGCTTGCAGTGAGCCGAGATCACACCACTGCACTCCAGACTGGGCGACAGAGTGACACTGTCTCAAAAAAAAAAAAAAAAAGATTCATTCTCCTCTTCCCAGAATCCCTGTACTCTAAGCTGTTCACATTTCTGATTTTCCCCTTTCTCTATAACGTTCAGGAGCCCTCATTTGAAAATGGTGAGCCTGGTAAAGGATTAAAATGCCCCATTTTTTAAGTATTTTCCATGTCATCACTCTTACCACAAATATTTCTTAGGTGGAATCATATAAAATTATGAATATTTGACTTTTTGACCTACAAAAATGAGTTCATATGGTTCAAACTAAAACTCTCCCTTTACCTTTCATTATGAAAATTCTGCTTATCCAATGTCACTTTCCCTGTTTTCCACAATCACTCCCAATGCAAAATGATCTCCCCTTCCTAATGATACCTACTTTGCAATAGAACTGTCGTTGCTCCCTCCTTACATAACTTTTGGACGTGTTTCCTATGAGAGAGCACAAACTGCAGGCTTTAGCCGGGAGAACTGGATTTGAATCCCATCTCTTCCACGTACTTTTTGGGTGACCTTCAGTGAGATATTTGGCCTTCCTAAGTCTCAGTTTCCACATTCATTAAACAGTTGTGTTGAGCATGAGGATAATGGATTCAGTATTTTACATAATGTCAACTAAATAATAAGTTCTCAGAAAAGGTTCATTTTAAAAAACAATTAGCAGTAGTAATGAACTTCTGAGGCCATTTCCTATTTCTGCATCCTCCCATGGTTCTTTGCATGCCAGAGGTGTCCTACACATAATAAAAACAGAAACAACAATATGATAACTTACTTTTGTTAGGCACTTACTCTGCCTCATACTAAGCTGAATATTTTTCTTGCATTGCCTCATGTAATCCTCACAGCAATCTTATGAAGTAGATGCTGTTATGATCATTTTTAGAGGTGATTCAAGATGATCACTTTAGAGGTGAGACAAAGAGGGTTTAGATAAATGGACCAAGGCCACACCTATGAAGGATTCAAGACTGGAACCAAGGCCATGTGACATTGGAATACATAATGTCCTAGATGTTTTGGAAAGGCCTCAAAGCCTTCTTCCAACTTTAAAGAGTCCATGATTCAAATATGATATTCTTTAAATATCGATTGCTATTTTTATTCACAAAAAATAATCACTCATCCCATTTTTTTCTTTGTCCCATTTACTGTCTAATATTTCATTTCTTTTTTTTGAGACAGAGTTTCAATCTTGTTGCCCAGGCTGGAGTGCAATGGCGTGATCTCGGTTCACTGCAACCTCCGCCTCCCAGGTTCAAGCAATTCTCCCGCCTCAGCCTCCCTAGTAGCTGGGATTACAGGCATGCGCCACCACGCCCAGTTAATTTTGTATTTTGAGTAGAGATGGGGTTTCACCATGTTGGCCAGACTGCTCTCAAACTCCCAACCTCAGGTGATCCGCCTGCCTCGGCCTCCCAAAGTGCTGGGATTACAGGCATGAGCCACCGTGCCCAGCCTGCTCATTTCAGTTTTAAGTATCTAGAGATTTTGTTAACACAGCTGGGTGGTACTAAGTTGTGGTTAAAATTAATAGTTTAGTTCAATTCAACAACTTATCTGCTGTGTGCAAGATACCAGGTGGGGCCCTCCATACATATATAGGAATACCATACACTCCTTTGTTCAAAGAATTCATAGCTGTATCATTTTAAAAAAAAATTGAACTTGAAATAACTCATTTCAATTTGAACTTGAAACACATTCATTCCTTCAACAAACAGATTTAGAGCCACTACCTGCCAAGCCCATGCAGGGAGCTGGGACAAGGTTAAACACATTCAGGCTGGCTCTGATCCATGAATTGTACAATTTAGAATACATGATAGATTTTGTGAGAAGAGAAAAAAAAAACAGTCTCACAGTTTAGAGAGTTTATTGAGGATGAGGACCACTGTAATTGAAGAAAGCCTCTTAAATGAGGGTGGAATTTGACTCTGGTCTTCCATAAAGGATGGTAAAATACCATTTAGTACTTAATTCCCAAAGCAATCAACAAAGGCCTATGATGATGGTACTATTAATTTCCTATTGGTTGTAAAAGTTTCCAATGGAAAATAACTACACTAACAAAATATGCATTCATATTCACATGAACCTTAACATTTTAAGCTTAATACTTCTATTTCATTCCCTGAAAGAACTAAGGTAAAAGTAACATCAAATTTGAAAATATTCTTTACAAAGATTCCTATAAAATAATGTTAAAAAACCAAAGTCCTGCACTATAGTCAAAATTGGGGTGTTTTCCTTTCAATTCAAAACCTCAATTTTCAGACCTTAATATCTTAGACTTTTCAATCACAGGCAGTGGGAAGTTGGTTACAGAGAACAGTTACTATAAAGAAGGAGACTGCTGATAGCATACTTCTGAAGTACAACTGCTGCATGTCGTCTTAAAATGGTTAAGTAAGCAATCCAAAGAAAAATATGTTGAGGGGTAAATTGCTAACTCAATCAAGATGAAACATGTAGGTAGGTCAAACTGTATTTTTTTTTTTCATTTCCTTTACTACTGGTAGATAGTGTAAGAAGCCCAGCTGTTTTTTTTTCTATATAATGGTCTAGAAGAGCTTTTCACAATGTAATTTACATAGTATCAGGGATTATCTTTTTATCTGCAAACTAAACAAGATGAAATTACGTCGGCACAAGTCTCTACAGACAAGGTATGTCAAAAAGATAAATTACATGATTTATATTTGCATTCCTTTGCATTTTTAATATTGTTGTATTCTTTGCAATTCTAATTATATTTGAATTTTAAATATTGAATTCATTTTTAATTTTTGTGGTAAAATTATGTGATATAATTAGGAATGGATGGACATGAGACACTTTGAGAATCTTTTCTTTTGCTTTAACTGCAATCAAAGACTTTTTTCCTTCCCATGGTAGTATCCCCAAGTACCCCCAAAGACCACTATCATAAAATTAAGCTCTAGCTGATTAATTTGGTACATCTTAGTATTATTCACAATTATTCTTGTCCTCCTCTGTAAGCAGATTAAAAACCTCCACCCTTATGAAGCCTCCTTCTAGGCAGAATATATCTTCTACCTCACTGTTAAGACCAGTTATGTCAATGGATGTTTTACAGATGTCGGCACAACCTCTTGTGCTCTTGCCTCCTGCCACAAGAACATATGTCCCAGAAAAGGGCCACTCCATCAGCCTAGGTCCAGAAATGAGAGGACACATGGACTGAACTTGAAGATGGCCCACAGCAGACCTGCAGTCAACTCTCAGCCTTTATGTAATGCGGGAAAGAAGGAAATGTGAATATTATAGACTACTAAAATTCTAAAGTTGTAACATAGCAAAATGATCGATACAATTAGCAGTGGCAATCAGTCTAGCATATTGTCATGCTATATGCATGCTATAAAACTATTGAACAAAAATATCACTATCCTATCATGGACACATTGGACTTTTCTTTTCTCCTTATGACTGCATCACGTGTGATGATCAGAAATGGAGTGAAGACAGAAAAATAAGAAAATTCAAGAATGTGCTACAGAGTGATCCTCTCCCTCTTAGAGCACCCACAGAAACCACTCATGGCTTCTCTGTCTGCATCCTCTCCACACAAACATATTCTTTAAGGTACCAGCCCCATATCACATACCTGTATGTCAGCCCATAATAGGCCTTACCTTAGAAGCCAAAGATCCATAACTACACAGTATTCATGTTGTATAATGTGGAGCAGCACCAAAAAATAAAGTGGCAGACAATAATGCCTATGACTAAAGTGACCCCTTGATCCCCTCCCAAAGCAGTCTCCATATCATAACTGTCAATTGTAAAAATAGTATGTATTTTATATATTCTCCCTAATAGGTAACTCTGTATTTTAAAATCTTAGGCTCCAAGTTTTAATCTACTTCGTCCCATCGGAGTACTTTTTTTCAATTTTCTCATTTACAAGGCCATTTTTATTTTTGCCTCACTCTGTGCTGATGGCCCCAGATCTACTCAGTCAGTTTCTTCTCTTCTATGATGTCTATATTCAGACACCTAGGAGATTGACAACTCCTAGAAATACCACTCACTCAACTGCTCCTTTCCCCTTCTTTCGTACTTGGGCATAAACTTTACTGTATCTTAAACACATCTTCCTAAATGCCTCACGACTATGATAAACTTGACATGCTTACAACTGAGGGGATCTTGTCCAAGTTTTGTTCACTTGCCAATTTTACAGAAAGTGCTGAAGTGACTGTGTGTGTATTTGTGTGTCTGTGCTTAAATCAAAATGTTAACTGCAGTTCTCTCTAGCTATTGAGATTTAGGTTGTTATTTCTCCCTCCTCCTACCTTATCTTTCTTTTCTGTTTTTCCTTTTACCTCTACCTCTACCTCTCTCTCCTCCTCTAATTCACACCTCATCTCTGGTTACAATATTTTCAATACACTTATAATGATGTTTTTATAATGGAAGTGGCTCACTTTCTGTTAGCATCCAAGTACCATGAAGCCCATAGCTGTCAGCACTTGAAAGTTTGATGCCTACCAACTCAGCTACTCATTTTCATCTTCCATGTCAGCTTGGCGCAATGTTTCCTAAGGCAGAAGGTTTGCCAGCTACAGCTCCCTCACACTACTTAAGGTCATGGTATGAAAATTTTCCCATCCAAATGTGGACATCACCTGTGTTAAGTGGATATAGTATTGGAGACCCTAAAATAAATCTGTATCACCAAATGTAAAAAGTAGGTATAAGAATCAATAAACAGTAGCTCTATTAAGCCTCCCAGGATAACCCAAACTTTCACTGTATAACTGATGAGAAGGATGTGACAACTGGTGTTCACCTGAAAGTGACTTATGAAAGTGTGTCAATGTCATCATGCAGTCATTCATCCAGTATATTTATTGAACACCTACCATGTGCTAGGTGGGTTGTGAATGCTCTTTAGAATGAAACTTTTGGTAACTGATAAAGGGTATTCATAAAAGAAAGTTTGAATGTATCCTTATGTCAAGGATACAGCAAATATGACCAAAGGAAAGAATATTCTTGCAGCATACTACAATTAACCTGGTTCATTTGAAAAGGGAAGACCAAACCCACCAGTTTGGGCTGGCAGTCTCCTTCAAGATAATCCATCTACCTTTATTCTGATTGAACTCAGTAGGGGTTTCTTTTCAAAATGTAAATATCTGTATTAAAGGGGTTTTTTTCTTGATAATATAGAATCTTTTTTAAAAAATGAAATTAAGTGTAGAGAGAGTGGAAGTCCCCTTATAATTTCAACCTCTAAATGTAAACACTGTTAACAATTTGCGATACACTGGTAGACTTTCTAAGTGTATTTATGAATACATTATTAATATATAGTTCTTCATAATATATATACTGTTCCATAATCTTCCAAATAACCTGCTGATTTTTTTAGGAAGAAAGCTTACTTCTTATGAAACTGAAACAATAAATAAGCAATATGGATATTTTGAGCCACTTAGCATCTCTCTTGGTATAAATAAATACATTTACATTGTTATTTAAAAGATAAAGTAAATTCAAAATCTAGAGTTTGATCTCCTCACAGGGAAATAATTTTTTAGAAAGCCTTAAGGATCAATAAAGTAACAAGTGGCAAGTTCCAATTGCTCTCCCATCTAAAAAAAATAATAAAATCAAATTTTCTGAGAGGATTCTGTGAAGATGGCAAAGTAGAAAACATCAGGAATCTGTCTTCCACCTACACAACAATTGCATTGGCAGAACCTGTCTGATGTAACTATTTTGGAACTCTGTAGTTTATTGAAGGATTGCAATTTTCAAGGAACATCTTGGATGATGTTTTAGTCTGCTCAGGCTGCTATAACAAAATACTTTAGACTTATCAAGAATAGAAATTTATACCTTATTGTTCTAGAGGCTGGTAAGTTCAAGATCAAGGCACCGGTGGTATCTAGTGAGGTCTGCTTCCTCATAAACCACACTTTTTCCTGTATTCTCATATGGTAGAAGGGACAAAAAAGTTCTCTCAGGCCTCTTTTATTAAAGGGCACTAATAAATAAGAGAACTAGGAGCCCTCATGATTTAATCACCCTATAAAGGTCCCACCTCTTAATACTATTGCATAGGTTTCAACATATGAATTTTGGGGAACACAGACATTCAGGTCATAGCAGATGATAATTACAGTTAGTTTTAGTCAATTTCACCAATTAGCACAGTAACAGCCATTCATAATCAACCCCCATCTCTGGCAGGCAGCCTTATGCGTATTCTAAGAGCAGCTTGCATGTAGCTAGAAGGAGTCACTGTGGGCAAAAGGCACCCAGTCTTCCAAATATTAGAGATCTGATCTCTGATTACTAATTTTTGTTTCTGCTCATAATAAGGCAGCCATTGTTGTTGCATCTCCTCTCATTATTTCAAGCCCCTCCCCTTCTGGCTGAAGTGACTTTCAGAAGATTTAAAGGGCTGGCACCCTCCTGCACCCTTCATTTTTCTCCTTGTCTTATTTGGGGAGCCAGAGAGTAAAGACTAATAATAATAATAATTCAAAAATGTATTAGTCCATTTTCACCTGCTATCAAGAATTACCCGAGAGTGGGAAATTTATAAAGAAAAGAAGTTTAATTGGATCACAGTTCAGCAAGCTTAAAGGGACACATGACTGGGAGGCCTTAGGGAACTTACAATCATGGTGGAAGGCAAAGGGGGAACAAGCACCTTCTTCACATGGTGGCAGGAATGACAGAGCAAGGGTGGAAGTGCCGCACTCTTTTAAACCATCGGACGTCTTGAGAACTAATTCACTAGCATGAGAACAATTAGGAAAACCTGGCCCCATAATCCAATCACCACCCACCAGGTCCCTCCCACAGCATGCAGAGAACAGCCCCTTTGGCTGCTTTCACTGGCTGGCATTGAGTGCTTGTGGCTTTTCCAGGAACATGGTAAAAACTGTCAATATATCTACCATTTTGGGGTCTGGAGGACAGTGACCCTCTTCACACAGCTTCCTGATGCAGTGCCCCAGTGGGGACTCTGTGTGGGGGCTCCAACTCCACACTTCCCCTCCACCCTGACCTAGCAGAGGTTCTCAATGTAAGCTCCAACTCTGCAGCAGACTTCTTCCTGCACATTCTCGTGTTTGCACCCACAGGCCCAACACCATATGGAAGCTGCCAAGGCTTGGGTCTTGCACCCTCTGAAGCCACAGCCTGAGCTGTCCCTTGGCACCTTTTAGCCATTGCTGCAGCTGGAGTGGCTGGGACACCAGGGCACCATGTCCTGAGGCCCCACAGAGCAGTGGGGCCCTAAGCCTAGCCAAAGAAACCATTTTTCCCTTCTAGGCCTCTGGGTCTGTGATGGGAGGAACTGCCTTGAAGATCTCTGAAATGACCCGAAGACATTTTTCCCATTGTCTTGGCTATTAACATTTGGCTCCTCTTTAGTTATATCAATTTTTGCTGTCAGCTTGAATTTCTTTCCTGAAAATGGGCTTTTCTTTTCTACTGCATGGTCAGGCTGCAAATTTTCCAAACTTGTACACTCTACTTTCCTTTTAAATATAAGTTTTATTTGCTTATTCAAATGAGCATAGGATTTTAGGAGCAGCCAGGCCACGTCTTGAATGTTTTGCTGCTTAGAAATTTCTTATGCTAGATGCCTTAAATTATCTCTCTCAAGTTCAAAGTTCCACAGGTCCCTAGAGCAGGGGCACAGTGCCACCAGTCTCTTTGCTAAAGCATAGCAAGAGTGACCTTTTCTCCAGTTCCCAATAAGTTCCTCATCTTCATCTGAGACTACCTCAGCCTGGACTTCATTTTTAATATCACTATCAGCTATTTGGTCACAATCATTCAACAAGTCTCTATGAAGTTCCAATCTTTCCCACATCTTCCTGACTTCTGATCCCTCCAAACTATTTCAAACTTTGCCCATTACCCAGTTACAAAGTCATTTTCACATTTTCAGGTATCTTTATAGCAATGCCCCACTCCTGGTACCAATTTTCTGTATCAGTCTGTTTTCACACTGCTATAAAGAACTACCTGAGACTGAGTTATTTATAATGAAAAGTGGTTTAATTGGCTCACAGTTCCACAGGCTTAATAGAAAGCATGACTAGGAGGCCTCAGGAAACTTACAGTCATGGTGGGAGGTGAAAGGGAAGCAAGCACCTTGTTCATGTGGTGGCAGGAGAGAGAGAGAGAGTAAGCAGGGAAGTGCCACACACTTTTAAACCATCAGATCTTGTGAGAATTTACTCACTATCGTGAGAACAGCATGGGGAAATTCATCCCCATTATCCAATCACCTCCCACCTGTTCCCTCCCCAACATTGAGAATTACAATTCAACATGAGATTTGGGTGGGGACACATAGACAAACCATATCAAAAAGCAACTGCATATATGGGGAAAATTATTAAATAACTGTGCCTGCCCAGAAAAAGACACAGACTCAGAAAAGACCTGGGAAGACCTTAAGTTAACACCTCAGCATGATTCCAGGCACAGAGATAGACTGCAACAATATTTTTAAAAATAACAAAATAACAGCAAACCCTGGATAAGGGGAGAATCTGATTTTCAGGGTTACCCCATTATTCAACTCAAAGGTTAAATTTTCAACAAAAAATCATAAGGCACACCAAAAAAAAAGAAACGGATTGCTCATTCAAAGGAAAAATAAATAAATAAATCAAAACTGTTCCTGAAAAAGACCTGATGTAGATATACGAGACAAAGACTTTAAATCAACTCTCTTAAATATGCTCAAAGAACTAAAGGAAGATGTAGAGAAAGCAAAGCAAATCATGTGAGAAAAAAAGGGAAATATCAATAAAGAGCTAGGAAACCAAAAAAGAAACAAAAAATAAAATCTGGAGCTAAAAAGTAAAATACCTGAATTTAAAAATTTACTAGAGGGGTTCAAAAATACATCTAAGCAAGCAGAAAAAATAATCTGCAAATTTAAAGATAGGACAATGGAAATTATCAAGCCTGAAAAACTGGAAGAAAAAAGATTAAAGAAAAGTAAACAGCCAACCAACATGACTATTATGGCAGTCAAAGAAGGAGAAGACAAAGAGAAAAGGGAAGAGAGGATATGTGAATAGATAATAGCTGAAAACTTCCAAAATTTGATGAAAGACATGAGTATACATACATCCAAGAAGCTCAATAAACTCCAAGTAAGAAGAAATCAAAGAGACACACACCAGACACATTATAGTCACTTTCAAAAGATGAAGAGTCTTGAAAGCAGCAAGAGAAAATTTGCTGATAATTTTCTGATAATAAAATGTACTTCATTTACAATAGCATCAAACAGAAAAAAATACTTAGGAATTAACTTAACCAAGGAGGTGAAATACTTGTACAATGGAAACTACAAATTATTACTGAAAAAATTAAAGATATAAATAAATGCAAACATATCCCATGTTCATGAAATGGAAGACTTAATATTGTTAAAATGTCAATAATACCCCCAAAAGACCTACAGATTCCATCTAAGCCCTATTAAAATTTCAGTAACTTTTTTTGAAAAAAACAAAACAAACAAAAAAAAAACCCTGAAAAACCCACCCTAAAATTCATAAGGAGTTTCAAGGAAACTTGAAGAGACAGAACAATCAAAAAAAAAAAAAAAAAAAAAAAAACCAACAAAGCTGAAGGACACAGACTTCCTGATTCCAA
Source organism: Homo sapiens (assembly GCF_000001405.40). Taxonomy (NCBI): domain Eukaryota; kingdom Metazoa; phylum Chordata; class Mammalia; order Primates; family Hominidae; genus Homo; species Homo sapiens. Next base: position 63,379,331 of record NC_000008.11, on the reverse strand, counting down.
AACTTACTACAAAAGCTACAGTAATCAAAACAATGTGGTACTGCCATGGAAACAGATATGTAGATCAATGGAATAGAATAGAAAGGCCAGAAATAAACTGACATATGTGTGGTCAATAATTTTTTGGCAAGATTGCCAAGATCATTTAATGGGGAAAGGACATTCTTTTCAACAAATAGTGCTGAAACAACTGGATAGCCACATACAAAAGAGAATAGAATTGGGCCATTATCTAACATCATATACAAAAATTAACTCAAAATTGATCATACCTAAATATAAGCTCTAAAATTATAACAACTCTTAGAAGAAGAAGACATAAGGTAAAAGCTTCTGACATTAAGTATGACAATGATTTCTTAGATATAAAGACAAAGGCTCAGGCAACAAAATAAAAAATAGACAAATTTAACTTCATGAAAATTTAGAAGTTTTCTACATCAAAAGACATTATCAACAGAGTAAAAACACAACCCAGAAAATGGGATAAACTATCTGCAAATCATACATCTAATAGGTAATTAATATCTGGGATACATAAAGAATTCCTAAAACTCAACAGCAATTACAACAAAAACTCATTTCAAAAATAGGAAAATGACATAAATAGACATTTCTCCATGAAAGATACACAAATGACTAATACGCTTTTGAAAATATGCTTGACATTACTAATCCTTAGGGAAATGCAAAACAAAACACCAATGAAATGGCACCTCACACCCATCAGGATGGCTACTATCAAAAGAACAAAAAATATGAAGTGTTGGTAAGGATGTGGAGTAACTGGAATGCTTGTGCACTGTTGGTGAATGTATAATATTACAGTCCCTATGGAAAAGAGAATGGCTGCTTGTCAAAAAATTAAAAATAGAGTTATCATAGCCAGGCACAGTGGCTCATGCCTGTAATACTAGCACTTTGGGAGGCCAAGGCAGGCAGATTGCCTGAGTTCAAGAGTTCGAGAACAGCCTGGGCAACACAGTGAAACTCTTTCTCTACTAAAATACAAAAAATTAGCTGGGTGTGGCAGTATGCGCCTGTAGTCCCAGCTACTTGGGAGGCTGAGGCAGGAGAATTGCTTGAACTCAGGAGGCAGAGGTTGCAGTGAGCCAAGATCATGCCACTGCACTCCACCCTGCGTGACAGAGCAAGGCTCTGTCTCCAAAAAAAAAAAAAGAAAAAAATAGAGTTATTGTATAATCCAACAATCTAAAAGAACTGAAAGCAGAGACTCGAACAGATATTTGTACACCCATGTTCATAGCATTATTCACAATAGGTAAAACGTGGATGCAACCCAAGTGTCCATTGACAAATGAATGGATAAGCAGAAAGTCTGTGTGTAATGAAAAAGTATTCAGCCTTAAAAGGAAGGAAATTCTGACATCTACTACAACATAGATGAACCTTGAGAAAATTATGCTATGCGAAATGTCAATCACAAAAAGACAAGTATTATATGATTCCACTTAAATGAGGTACGTAGAGTAGAGAACATCATAGAGAAAGAAGGTAGAATGGTGGTTGCTAAGGGATAGAGAGGAGTGGGGTAGGGGGAGTTATTGTTTAATGGCTGTAGAGTGTCAGTTTTACAAGATAAAAATTGTTCTGGAAATGAATGGTGGTGTTCTGGAATGTTCTCGAAATGGACGCTTGCAGGCATTATGAATATATTTTATACTACTGAATGATACACTTAAAAATTTTTAAGATGGTATATTTTAAGTTATAAGTATTTTACAACTAAGAAAATGGAAAAAAATCAATTATCTAAATCCACCGTGTGTAGAGAACCAAGTCCTTTTATTGGAAATTGACTGTCACAGGAACAAAGGGAGGATTCTGAGCTATGGGAACTCAAAGGACAAAGTCTTTTTTTTTTTTTTTTTTTTTTTGAGACAGAGTCTCACTCTGTCCACCAGGCTGGAGTAGGGTGGCACAATCTCAGCTCACTGTAAGCTCCGCCTCCTGGGTTCACGCCATTCTCCTGCCTCAGCCTCCCAAGTAGCTGGGACTATAGGCGCCCGCCAACACACCCGGCTAATCTTTTGTATTTTCAGTAGAGATGGGGTTTCACCGTGTTAGCCAGGATGGTCTCGATCTCCTGACCTCATGATCCGCCCGCCTCGGCCTCCCAAAGTGCTGGGATTACAAGGGTGAGCCACCAAGCCCAGCCTCGAAGGAGAAAGTCTTGACTTAAGGTTTATAATTAAAGACATCCTTCCCACCAAAACTACAGCTAAGGGAAAAGGCAATAAATTACGATAATTTTCAAGGTTTGCAACAATAGAAATCCTATTCTTTAATACTTCTGAATAGAAGTTAAATCTTGACAATAAAAGAAATATAACAATAAAGTGAAATTATATGATCATTTTCAGAATGAAAACATAAGGTAGTTCTCTCTTCTGATATTTGTAAGAATCTCATGTTTACACATATCTTACAATGTTTATACATATCTTTTGTGAGGAGGGTTTGGTTTACTGATTGTTTCATACTTTAAGTAGTACCTGAAATGCTTTACTACATTGAACCTACTTTTTATCCTAAAGAAAGAGTGACTGTCTTTCTAGGCTTACTTTAATCAATTTTAAAAAGTTCAAATGTCAAATTATTGGGGTAATTTTTCCAAATTTTTTTTTCAAATTTATGGTCTTTCGAGATGATTTTGAAAGTGTAATATGATAAGATTTTAAATGGGCTATGAAAGCAGAACAACTTGTGTTTAGATCCCAGTCCTGACAATTAACGTGATTGTAGGAAATCAACTTAGGGTCCTTGTGCCTGGGAGTTTTTTAACTTATAAAAGGGATATATTTAGTAATACTCCATCAAATTGTCATAAAAATTAAATGGGATATTGTCTATGAAGTGTTTAAAATAATGTCTGATACAATAAGTTAAATTCTTGAATCTTATGTAAATATGTTTATTAATTATATAAAAATAAACATATTTCAGCTGCTGGCAGAGTGCACAAACACAGCGTTGGGTACTCAATAAATTCTACTGAGTGAAAGTTAAAAAAACACCTGCATTGGCAAGTAAGTGAAGTGTTATACAAAGTGATGTGTCGATCATTTTCCACCTTCTCCAAGTAAGGTTAGAGCTCCCTTCTCAAAAATCCCTCACCATTACATTAAGTTCATGTTTTTATTATAGGACTTTTTCTTTTCTTTTCTTTTCTTTTTTTTTTTTTTTTTTTTTTTTTTTTTTGAGACAGAGTCTCGCTCTATTGCCCAGGTTGGAATGCAGTGGCATGATCTCGGCTCACTGGAACCTCCTTCAAACAATTCTCCTACCTCAGCCTCCCGAACAGCTGGGACTACAGGTGCCCACAATGACGCCCGGCTAATTTTTGCATTTTTAGTAGAGATGGAGTTTCACTATGTTAGCCAAGCTGGTCTCGAACTCCTGACCTTTGGTGATCCGCCCACCTCGGCCTCCCAACTTGCTGGGATTACAGGCATGAACCACTGTGCCTGGCCTATTATAGGACTTTTAACTATAGAGTTCTCTACTGCCACAATTGTCTCTTGCTCAGATCTGTAACCTCAGAGCCTGGCATGGTGTCTGAGGTTTAAGAAGTTCTCAATAAGTTTTATTTGAATAATTGAATTTCAATTACTTAAATTAAAGATAAGACTCATTTGTAGCAGAACATTTGTCAGAATAATCCCCCAGCCAAACTGACTGTTCCTGGGGAAGGAGGGACAGCTCTGAAGAATGCTAAAATTCATAAATTTTAAGTAAGAAAGGTTCGTAATTTGTGGCCTCAATTATGCATTGAACAGTCAATTAATAAGTACCTTCTGTGTGGAAGACACTGTAGAAGATGCAAAACTAAAAGAAAATAACATTTCCCTGCCCTGAGAGCTTATATTTGAGTAGAGAAAATAACATTTTTACATAAGTCCCTCAACGTAAGATATGACAAATTCTGTATAATAAAGTTTCTTTAAAAAAAAAAAAAAAAAAGGCTGGGCGTGGTGGCTCACGCCTGTAATCCCAGCACTTTAGGAGGCCGAGGCGGGCGGTCACGAGGTGAGGAGATCCAGACCATCCTGGCTAACACGGTGAAACCCCGTCTCTAGTAAAATACAAAAAAATTAGCCGGGCATGGTGGCGGGCGCCTATGGTCCCAGCTACTCGGCAGGCTGAGGCAGGAGAATGGCGTGAACCCAGGAGGTGGAGCTTGCAGTGAGCAGAGATCGCACTACTGCACTGCAGCCTGGGCGACAGAGCAAGACTCCATCTCGAAAAAAGAAAATAAAAGAGAGGAGAGCAGAGGACAGGGGAGGGGAGGGGAGGGGAGGGGAGAGGAGAGGAGAGGAGAGGGACGGGCGCGGTGGCTCACGCCTGTAATCTCAGCACGTTTGGAGGCCAAGGCAGGAGGATTGCTTGAGCTCAGGAGTTCAAGACCAGCCTGGGCAAAATTGCAAAACCGGGCTCTACTAAAAAAAGGGGGCTGGGTGGATTTCCACCTAGTGTGATAAGGATGTGCATCCTAAGACAAAGGTGGGTGTTACAGGTAGGTAAGAGCTCAGTGAGGAGGGGGATGGATAAGGAAAAAGATGGAGAAAGGACATGTTAGAAGAAACAGCAAAACTGTAAATAGAAGAGAATGCAAGATGTTTTTAGAAAATTTCCAGCTTCTCAAATGTATTTGTAATGTTTGTTGAATGAATGAATGAATGAATGAATGATTTAGAAAAGCCCGTATAGAGGTGTACTGTCAAGAACTCTGAGAGCCTGGACTTTGTTGAGTTTAGGAAGATTTAGAAAAATTAATGTGGTATAGTTAGAATGCGGAATGGTTTGACAGCAGGAAGGAATAATGTGGTATAGTTAGAATGTGCAGAATGGCTTGAGAGCAGGAAGGAATCTAGTGTGAAAACTCAAGTTGAGATAATTAGTGCCAGAGCAAGGAATTGAAGGTAAGAGAAAAGCCAATGAGAATAATCTATGAGGTCAAATTGCTAATGTTTGCAACTGACTGAATATAAGGGATCAGTGGAGAGGAGGCAAAAATGACTTTTCATCATTAGACAGTCAACCTTTGGCCAGCAGATGAGAAATCCCTTCCTTGTGACTCATGCATTACCAGAAGTCTCTGATTTCCTGGAATTTTTGATAAAATTTCTGAATCTCTTAATGATAAATTTTAAAACCACAATTTTTAATATTTTGCTTATGTAGTAGTATCTCTATGACAGTTTTTGGAGCAGACATTCTTTTCCAATTCCTGATATGATCAGTCCCAGTGTTACCACATTTGACTAATAATTGGTCTCTGAGATATCTATTACCTGAATACAATTTGTTGCCAATCTTTTTGTGCTAGATTTGCAGTGAATGAATGGCTGGATTCATGGTGTTCTTTTAAATAGGAAAAATTCTTGGTGAACTCATAAAAGGTAAGATGGGCCATCCCACCATACTGATCACAAGTTTCCAGGATTCAATCTGTGTGCACACTGTTCACTGCAGCTACTGGGAGTAGATTCCAATGCATGGCAATTGAGGGACTACGTAGCTAATTCACATAACCTAAAGCCACATCTCTGGGTCAGATTTCTCTCTTTAACTCTTCTCTTCAAAATCCAAATATGTATTTAGAAATCTTCATCTAGATGTCCCATGGGCACCTCAAATTCAACATAGTCAGAACAGAGTTCATTATCCTTCACTGAAAACCTACTTCTTTTCCTGTATCTCTTGACACCTGTGTCTCAGAGTCATGCTGTTCCCTTTCTTCCTCTCCTTTTCTATGTTTAGTCCATCAGGAAGCCACTGCTTGGCAAATTTTATGACAGGACCCTCCTCTTCAGTTTAATTTTCTGTTTTTGTGATTTGCTTCAGTCCTATTTTGTCATTGTGGATGATGTCTGCAATCATCACTTGCCTAGGGTTTCTGCAATAGCTACAAACAAGCCTCATGCCCTCCAGACTCGGCCTGCTCCAATCTACTTGCTGCATTACAACTAGAGTTATTTCTCTAAAATGGAAATTTGAAAATTTGTTATCTTACTTGAAACTCATCAATGGTCTCTAATTTCAAAATAAAGTCTAAACTCTTAAATCTAGTCCTCTGCAACAGCATGTATTATGTTACACAATGACTGGTTACTCTTTTATCTAAATCTTCCAACATAATGAAAGCTTCTAAATGTTTTTGGAATGAACAAATGAATAGCATATTGTATACTTTTATGACATTGAATTCTCACAGAAGAACATCATCAAATAAATACAGTTTATATTCTGCAAAGGAAAAGAATAAGACTCAGAAAGGATATTTAACTTGTTCAAGTAACAGAGAGTAGCTGACAGAAACTGGATTGAAGAGCAAATCTATCTAATCCCAAAGCACTACAGCTCAATGCCCTTTCACATGGCCCTAGGTCTGTATTCGTTGTTTTCTGATTTTGTAGCAGGCAGGCCTAGATGAGCCTATGATATACCTCTCATTGCTATTGTGTATGTGTATATGTATGTGTGTCATTAGATTATAAGCTATTCAAAAGCCATAATCACCTTCACAGCCTCAGTACCTAGAATAACACCTTTTAGATATGCCTTTGGTATGTTCTCAACGATTATTTATTGAATTAAATAAAATAGTGCAATGGGGAAAATGATTTTGTTATTTAAGAAATAATGAAACTTAAACTAGTCATAAACATAAAGAAATTTTGAAGTACCATTTAAGTAGCACTGTGTATGAGATGTATAGTAGTATATAAAGAAAAAATATTTGCTATATGCATGTACCATTTGTAGCTTATGAATTTTAGCTACTAAAGGAGACAATATATGTCTAAAAGTTTGGTATTAGTAATAGCTCAGTGTTCACAGGGCAAAATTTTCCCATTAGATTATTAATAGGATTTCATTTTGCTTTAGATTCAGATCATCCTTGGCCAATGTTATTATTAGTCTTTCATCTTGAAGTCTCTATATAGAAAAATTTGTCTGGAATCATAACTCCTACCAATAATGAAAGCTTCCAGGGTGGGGGAAGTCAGTAAGTTCTTAGAGAAGTGATCTCCTAGGAACCCTCTGGTTTTTGCAGAGGTGATCTTAACTCTGTATTGATCAGCTCTAACTATTGAAATGAGTTCTAGAAGTCACACTTCCATGATAAAATTTGAAAGAGTAAGAGAACAAGATGGAGTTGTCCTTGTGAAAACAAAATCACTGAAAAAAGGTTGGGAAAATTGGAAGCGTGTAGCCTAGTGAGATGCTTCAGGAGAGGGTCATTTCTGTATTCAAATATTTGTATGGTGTTTGTAAGACACACATATAAAATTGCTTACTGCATGCCCTTTTTCTAGAAATTGCTCTTCTTTGTCCCCTTCTCCCACATGGTTGCAGCAGGAATGTCCATGTTCCCACATGACAGAGCCCACAAGCACAATAGATTTGTTCAGCAGTGGAACGTGTTCCAACCAGAGCAATCATTGTCTTTTCCAGGAATTATGGGACAAAGAATAAAGGGAGGAGGGGGGTGGAAGTCCTCTGGATGGCAGAATCTGAAACATGTAAAACTTGGGGGCTGGCCGGGCGCGGTGGCTCACGCCTGTAATCCCAGCACTTTGGGAGGCCAAGGCAGGCAGATCACGACATCAGGAGATCGAGACCGTCCTGGCTAACACTGTGAAACCCCATCTCTACTAAAAATACAAAAAATTAGCCAGGCGTGGTGGTGGGCGCCTGTAGTCCCAGCTACTCGGGAGGCTGAGGCAGGAGAATGGCATGAAGCCGGGAGGCAGAGCTTGCAGTGAGCCAAGATTGCACCACTGCACTCCAGCCTAGGCGACACAGCAAGACTCCGTCTCAAAAAAACAACTTGGGGGCTATTGGTGACCATGCTTTCTGCCACATGAACTCAAGAAGAAAGGAAATGAGGAGTGAGGCAGAGAGTCGGGGAGCGGAGAGAAACATAAGCCAGGTTAAATCACCAATGAGAAACATAGAGAGAATCTTGATATTTTTGACTCTCTGATTCCAGGTCATTCCTAAGACCTAACTCCATTTCTCTTCTTAGTTTGTAGTAGACAACTTGGCATTCTTATAATTAAATTCCTCTTTTTGCTGAGGTTAATTAAGGCCACCCAAAATGCTGGGATTACAGGTGAAAAAAAATTTTTTTTAATGTGATGTTTGGTGGAATGGAATGTAGCAACTATAAATGACAAGATGGTGATGAGAATTTGAGAGGAATTGCTAACCTGATACCAGCAGACTAGTCTTGCAGGGACAGTATGGGAGTTAGATAAGAAAGCGTATGAATGAAAAGTATGAGGGGCTGGGCACGGTGGCTCATGCCTGTAATCCCAGCACTTTGGGAGACTGAGGTAGGTAGATCATGAAGTCAAGAGATCAAGACCATCCTGGCCAACATGGTGAAACCCCATCTCCACTAAAAATACAAAAATTAGCTGGGCATGGTGGTGTATGCCTGCAGTCCCAGCTACTCAGGAGGCTGAGGCAGGAGAATCGCTTGAACCTGGGAGGCAGAGGTTGCAGTGAGCCGAGCTCGCGCCACTGCACTCCAGCCTGGTGACAGAACGAGACTCCATCTAAAAAAGAAAAGAAAAGAAAAGAAAAGTATGGGGAGGCATGACCTGGAGACAGCTGGGAGGCTCCACCAGCTTCATGACAGGATACCAAGTATTCCCAGCATCTAGACAGTGCCTGACACATAGAAGATGCTCAGTGAAGTCATTAACTAGATGGGTGCGTGGGTGGATGGATGGATGGATGGATACATGAATGAAAAGATAAAGCAATAAAAAAATTCAGCCAAGAAAATATGAGAGGAACCTAAGAAATTAGAATTAACTTACAGAGCTCAGTTGAAAAACCGTCTCTTTAAGGCTAGATTACGTGCGTTGGATCTAATTTCCTATTTCAAGCCTCCATTCACTTGGTTTCAGAAATAATTGTAAGTCTGACCACTAACATAGAGCCCTTACTGCCTTTCCAAACACTGAGTATATAAACTAAGGAATCCCAACCACAGCCACAAACATAGATTCTCCATCACCACAGCTCAGACTCACTCCCCGAGAGCATAAGACTCGAGCTAACCAATGTTACTTCTCTGTCCTTCAATCTGAAGCAGATTTTAAGTGGGAGAGGAATCTCTGAACTAAACAAGAGGTTTGAAAACAATTTTGATGGTTGGAAATAAATTAAGGTGCTTAAAATGCCCATTAAAGACAGTGAAGAGCTTGAGTCATGCTGGTAACAATATAGAAATCAGACACTTTTGAATCTGAAAACTCTTGAGTTACGTAAGTGACCTGAGGTTGCTGGGAAGAGAAGCCTCAGAGTGCCTTGTTCAAATTCCTAACTAGAGCTCAGGTGCTATGAGGATTGGAGAATAACAAGCTGCTCCTTTCCCCAGCACCCTTTCTACTCTTCACACATTCAAGCTCTGTTTAAAGGATTAAATTTCTTTTCCCTTTCTACTTTCAAACCCTTGTCTTTCAGCTGTCTCATTTCTTGCTTGGAAGTTTTGGTGCCCTGAATTCCATTTAACCACATGCATCAAGCACTGAAGGCCAAGGAGAGAAGGGCAGAATAATTCCTTTAACCATGGACACCAGCATACTAATCAAGTGCTCTGAATGGCCAAACTTTCCACATGCTGACTTAGCTTCCTACTCATTTCGTCCTTGATTTCTTCTTCTGATAATTAATCCACTTGTGTGATTAAAGAATATTATGCTAAGTCTTAGGCCAGGCAGGCAAAATATTAGCTTTAGCATTGATGGGGAGCAAGGGGTAAGGTGTTATGGGGACCAAGGATTTTGAGGGCTAAAATTTCACTGAAAAATCACTGAGGTGAAGCAGATTGATTAATAGGAGAAAAGGCATACAAACTTACATAGCATGCATACACAGGAGTCTTCAGAATGAAGACCCAACCGCCCAGTGAGGTACAAAAGCTTATATACCATCTTCAGGTTATAGAAGGAGTGGGGGTTTGGGTCCTGTTTAAACAGGTATGAGAAGGGGAAGAAGAGGAGTTCAGCTGAGAGGCAATAAATGATTACTAGGGAGAATGATTGGATCACAGAACAGAAATTAACTTGTAAATAGCTCTCTTTGGAATTTAAATGATCCTTGGAGACGGTCATTATCTTGAAAAAGGGTCTGTTCAGCTGTGGTTACATTTTTGGTCTGAAATCTTTCCTATAATGGATAATGAGATAACAAGGAGGGGAACAGGAACAATTGTTCTCCTTGGTGGGTCAGTCCTATCTTTATGTACACAGAAGGAAAGTTTCTTCCAGGGCTTGTTGATCTCTAAGGGTTTTTAATTCACAATACTCATTATGCCAAGGAACCATATTTTGGGGTAAAATATTTAGATTTCCTTCAGTGTTTTATTTTTTTCTTTTGTTGAATCTAGTTTATAAGAGGAGTAACATACAGAAGGCATTTTAAAAGGAGCCCATACCTTTCAGTTTTGCACTTGGTGCTAGTAAAAGACTGACTTATACACTCCAGGAGAAAGAATGACCCATTACAGTGTTGCCTACAGAGCACATACTTGTGCCACCAACATGTACCAGCATGGTTCACCTAAGGATTCAGCTTTTTAAAAAGCTCCTAATGTGGCTAGTGTCTGTCCTAGTCCTACATTAGTCCTGATGCTGATTATTTACATCTGATACCACGTCATTTCTTTCCCATCCACTTCACTATGTATTTATTTATTAATTCATAGCCAATTTTATTTAATTAATATAAAAACATTTTTAAACATGGATATTCAGGTTATTACCATATCCTGTGTCATAAGGCAAAAGTCCCTAACTATTGACACATTAATTCAGAAATCTCAGTAGCTTCACATAGCTCAAGTCCAGTTGGTGGCAGAGATAGAAAGCAAAAGGTGCTCACATCCACATAGTCATCCAGGGACCCAGGCTCCCTCCAACTTGTTGTTCCACTATCCCTTGATACACTGGGGTCCTCTACTGTATCATGGCATCCAGTACATGGAGGAAGAGAGAAACAGATCATGAAGATTGCCCATGAGGCTTTCATAGGCCAGTCCTGGAGGTGGTGTCCTCACTTCTGCCCACACTCCATTTCCTGTAGCCCATTTCAATGGGCTCACCTGTTACAATGAAGGCTGGGTGTGTGTAGTAGCTATGTGCTCAGGAGGAAAGAAAAATGGAATTGAAAAAAAAACTAGCCAGCCTCTGCCATATTTAGTCACTGAAAAATAACAATAATCTAATTAATATTCAACATTTTTGAATACACACTCTCTACCAATCACCGTGCCAAGCACCTGAAACTTATTCCTTAAATAATTCTTTCACAAAAACTTAAAAACTAGGCCTCATTATTATTATTACTGTAAAAAATAAAGTAGAGATTCCTCTTCAAAGACTTTCCTCCCCACTTAATAAGGAATAAATAGTAACTTCTCTTAGAAGCAAAATTTATTCAAAGACCTGTGCTAACATTCTTAAGTATCTGCTAGCCGTGATAAAGAAATCAATGTACTTTGTGTTCTTAGCTCCCACAATTTAGCTCCCACAATATTTGCCCTGGCATGCTTATACTGGTCCAAGCAAACGTTAGGTCATAGCCTGTTCCTCTTCCTTATTTAAAGGTGTTTTTACCTTTCTCAGCATTCCACAAGTTACTTCCTCCTTCCTTTGTTCTCCTCTACCTTTGCCTCTTTTAAAAAGTTCTAAGTTGCTAGTCAGTCGGGACAAATACAGAATGTGAGGTCCCATTCCAGCCAATGGAAACAAGACACAGCAGTAGGTGGACTTGTCAGATTATAAATGACTCTGTCTCCTTTGTTAGGTGTACTCTTGCAGCAAAACTGCTGGCAAGTGTACCCTTTCTGCAGGAAGTAAAAATCGCCTTGCTGAGTAAATTAAATTTATATTCAAGTGCTATTTCTTTGTGGCACCAGGGAACAAGCATTTCAAACATTACTATCTCATAAATGAGGATTCTGAGGCTGAGGAGTTGAGTAATTTAACCAAAGTCATACTGTTTTCCATGGCACACAGTGGGAGCCCAGGCAGCATTTCTGGAGTAGTGTTCTGCAATCACTGTCAAGACAACCAGTGTCTTCAGCCACCTGCCCTCTTGTCTTCTTCTACGGGGTTCCACACTTCAGCCCCAGGACCATGGTATCAGTTGCTTCCTAGGCCACCTCTTCCCATCTGATCTTGTCGTATCGACTGAATAGAGTAGTTATTATTTCACTTCAAGACTTAAAATGTAATCACAGAGTTTTAGTATGAGCAGCCCCCTTCCATATCTGTTTAGACTAGATCCTAAGCTCAGGTGGTCCAGCTCTGCTTAATGCGGCAGGTATGATATATATGTAGCCTGTGAATTCATTTGGGGAAAAATAGCTTCTGAGCAGTTAGGCAACTACAGGCATGATCCTCCATGGGCATATCCTATTTCCTACCTCCCTGTCTTTCTGCTAAGAATATTATAACTGCCCAAAGGTTCTCCTTACCTGCTGCCTAGACAGAGCTGATTTATCAAGACAGGGGAATTGCAACAGAGAAAGAGTTGATATAGGAGTTAAAAAGAAATTATTTAGGCAGATAGTGAGGGTAACAAAGTCCTCAGTAAGGTTTTTCTTTTAAAGAAAAGCAGCCTCAAAATCATTTCCTTTTCTAACAAAGAGCAGCCTGGAAAATCAAGCTCCAGACATAGACAAGCAAGCTGGAAACTTGCACAGGTGAATGCTGGCAGCTGTACTAATAAGAAAAGGCTATCTGGGGGCTAGGCATGTCCAACATGGAGGCTCCATCTTCCCTTTTTCTTGCCACTCAGTGTGCAGTAGGGAGCAGACAACATAGTGTTGTCAGGCAAAGACCCCATTTGCATGATAAGATTAGGGTGTGGCAGGCCAGCTTCCCCACATGCTATGTAAATGTCACACCTGGTCCAACCAATATTTGGGCCCTATGTAAATCAGACACTGCCTTCTCAAGCCTGTCTATAAAACCCTGTGCACTCCACCACCAGCCGGAAGACCCACTTCGGTGCCCCTCTCTCTCTGCAAGGCAGTTATTCCCTTTCCTCTTTCCTTCGCCTATTAAGCCTCTGCTGTTAACCTCACTCCACGTGTGTCTGTGTCCTTAATTTCCTTGGCATGAGGCAACGAATCTCGGGTATTACCCCAGACAATGGCACTGCTTCAGACTTTAATTCATGCAGAGCTGGCTGTACCGAAGACTGGAGTTTGATTACTACTCAAATTAGTATCCCTGATAATTCAGGAATCGGGTGTTTTTAAGGATAATTTGGTAGATAGGGAGTTGGGAAGTAGGGAGTGCCAATTGTTTGGGTCAAAGAATAAATCACAGGGGTTCAACGGGTTTTCCTTGCTGTCTTCTGTTCCTGGGTAGGATTGCAGAATTTATTGAGCCAGTTACAGGTCCGGGTGGCATCAGCTGGTGCATGGGAATACAGAATCTGCAAAACATCTCAAGCACTGATCTTAGATTTTGCAACAGTAATCCCAGGAGCAATTTGGGAAGGTTCAGAATCTTGCACCTTCTGGCTGCATGACTCCTCAGATATAATTTCTAATCTTGTAGCTAATTTGCTAGCCCCACAAAGGCCGACTGGTCCCTGGGAAAGAAGGGGGTTTGTTTTGGGATAGGGCTGTTATCATCTTTGTTTCAAAGTTAAACTATATACTAAATTCTTCCCAAAGTTAGTTCACCTGTGCCCAGGAATGAACAAGGACAGCTTGAGGTTTAGAAGCAAGAAGCTAGGTCAGATCTCTTTCACTGTCATAATTTTCTCACTGTTATAATTTTTGCAAAGACAGTTTCAATATGTTCATTCTCTGCATGATCTGGCTGTCAGAGATCAAAGTCCTCCCTCTGTTCCCTATGTTCTCTCTCGCTCTGTCTCTCTCACACACACATGCACACACACATACCAAAAACCACAAACAAAAACAAATGAAAATTCCATCTGGGACTGGAGAGAAAGTCTGCATTATTTTTTTCATCCTCCAAGTTTCCAAACCAAACGCATATGGATGACATAGGTGCAAATATGAAAAGTAATGGAAAAGGTGATAGAACAATATTAATTCTAACTGCTATGACTTAGGTGCTCTGGAATGGTTCTTAAAATATTGCAAATGGTGCGGAACCAATGCTGAACAACAGACATTAGAGACAAAAGGAAAAAAGTGGTTGCAGCTTTTGAACTAATTCCCTGACTCCTATCCTCCTCCAAATAGACAGTGGAGCCCGAGGCCATGCAATTTCAAACCGGTTAAGTGAGCCTGGAGCGTCCTCCTAGGAGCTCTGAAATTCACTGCAGGCTCAAGAGAGCCCTTTAATGGATTCAGTTTTTGGACTCAAATGCAAAAGGTGAACTCAAATGGGCTTCTCTAAACCTTAAGCTGTTAAACAGGCAAGAACAAAAGCTCACCAAGAGCCTCTTTCAAACTGCTCTCAGCTGCAAAACATTTTCTCAAACAGACCTGCTTTTGGAGTAATAGACAAGGCTTCTCTGTTAAAAATTGAGGCAAGATTTTTTTAGAAGCTTCATGTTGTTATGAAAAAGCACAAGTCTCATACAGTAAATTTTTTTATAATTCTCTTTATACCTTTAAAGGGAAAATGCTCTGGGTTACTAAAGCAGAATTTTTGATGGTTGCATTTCAGGAGGAAACCATCATAACTGCTTTAAATAGACAACACTGTAATAAGGGCAGCTGATAACACAATTAATTCACTGAAGGGAGGAAAAGAGATAGAAAAGGCAAACTTTTGGCAAACTATTAATAGTACTTTAGTAGAAATAAGCATCCTGTGAGCCTAAATTACTGCTACAGAAAGACTGAAGAAATTTTTTTAAGTGAGGTCAAAGCCATTCTAATAGGCCTCAGATTTGTATTTAAGAGTCCCAGGAGTTGCTGGTTTGGTTGCACTCTATGCCAAAGCAAGCTCATATTAGATCACCTTGGAGACAGGAGGTGCAGCAGGTGAGGACTCTGAGTCGGAATCTGCTCTATCACTCACTAGCTGAATGAGCTTTGGCAAGTCACTTTACCTCATCTGTCTGCATCTGTAAAAGGAGATATAATATTACCTAAAGCACGAGTCATTCTTGGCATAACTGATGTTTGTATGTCCCACGTGTGCTCCACTCCTCAACAAATGAAATTTAGCAGCAAAGTCTTAAAGAAAAGTGGCATGAAACTGCTCTGATTGGACTAAAGGACACTGCAGTGGAGCCAGCCCCAGGTCCTAGTGTGCAAACAAAGAAAGGAGATTGAGGGGACATCCAGACACTCTTGAAAACTGCTATTTGGCATGGGTTAAAAAGCAACTTTTGAAGTTGACGATTTAGGTCTTGTTTATCTCTGCATTTCCAGTGCCCAGAATATGGTAGAAATATTCGATTAATGCATGGAGAATGCATGCATACATGAGTGAATGAATGAATGAATGAATCTTCTAAATCTTTCACCAAATTTTGCTCAGTTTGCAGTGGGCCTTTCTCTGGCCAGACTGCTGATAGCCAAGACCCAGAATGTACATCTGCTGTTGTTAAAGTTAAGCAAGACCTGTAAGAATGGCCAGAATATATTGGGTATCTTGAATCTGCTTCATAAGTTCTCTAGAATTCAAAAAGAAAAATGTCTGGCTACTTGAAAAAAGTGTATTGCCTGATAAATATTCAATAATTTTTAAAAAATAAATAAAAAAGATAACCAAATCTGTTCAATTAGTACCTGTGTATGTAGCCTTCCCTCCCCAGCCTCCTTTGCCCCGGGCAAGCTGAGGACACTTCTTTCATTATAGTCTGGAGCTGAGGGATCTGCTGAGTTGAGCTGAAAACAGGAGGCTTTTGTGGTGGCCCCTCCTCTGCAGCCACATGCCAACAGAGATTCGCTGCAAAAACAGGAGAGCTGCAATGCAGTATTTTCCTCTGGAACTTTGAAGCTATATTAAAGATTTCAGACATACAATGAAAGCCTATTTGTTTTCAGTGTTCAAATGCAACTTAAATGGTAGCTGTTAAAGGAGGCAGATGAATTATAGTCAGCTCAGCAGCACTTTTTTGAGCTGGCCGATCATAATGGTATTTTTCTGAACTAAATTATTTTAGGTCCCCTTAAAAATTACGTAGCTCTTCCCTAGAAAGGACCTGCTGCTAATAAGTGTAGCCCTTTAGTACCATTGTGGAGAGTAGAGCTGGAGAGAACTCAGCTGTCTGCTGAAAACAATCAGCCCTGAACCTTCCAGACCCAGGGAAAGAAAACTGATAAAGGACCAGCAGGGAACTCATAGCAAAACAAAGGGAAATTTCAAGCTACCTCTCCTTTTTAAAGGTCATTTGTCTTACTCCTACTGATGGTAATCACAGGGATTAGGATTTCTCACTGGAGACCTGTATCTCACAGGAGTAAGATCTGTGCAATCTTACTCCTGCGTCCTCTCGTTTCTGCACACTCGGTGTTCCAGGGTATGCATTACTGTCTAACACGCCAGCACATTCTTTTTCTTCCCTGTCTTGCCTGCACTTTCACATGCATGCTGCTAAAAAAAATTTCTAGTCTCAATATAATAAAAATCTGTCAACACCAACTAGTAGAATACATCTCAGTTGCCAATTCTGAAGTCCGACTTAATTCTCAGAAATCAGAAGAGAGTTAAGGCGAAGAAGAGGATCTGCAGTATTGGAGCTAAATGTCATGGGTGAAGTGTGAGAATGCCAGAGAACGGAAATGCAGCATTCCTTATCCACTCATTTTCATTTAGTAGATTTTTATGGTGTGGTATGGAAAGTGGAATTTGGTGCTGCACTTTCAGAGGGTGATACTCAGAACCAACGTAAGACTCCATTAATCCTCCTAACCCTTCAGCAAGATAAAGAGCTGGCTACAAACTCGGCTTTATAAGTACGGAAATGGAACACTAACAGGTTAAGAAACGTGGCCAAACTACTTGTCATATTAATGCAGAAAACCACACTGTGTGTGTGTGTGTGTGTGTGTGTGTGTGTGTGTGTGTGTGTGTGGTGTTTGGATTTAGGTCTACCGTTCTATTATTTTGCTTTCTGTCTTCAATAATTTTTGTTTCTCTTTTCATCCTTCCTTGCCCTTTTAAATTTATTCAAACATGTTTTAGTAGTCTGTTTTAATTTATTTCATTCTTTGATTTATTCCTTTGTATTTTGCCTATTTACATAGATATATCTGTATGTATATATACACATAAACTTTTTATAAGACTTTTCCCAGTATCTTCCCATTTCAAGAAATTCATACAATCTTATTAGAGAGTGAAAATGAGTTAAAATGTCTTTCAGAAAGTCAATCTTTGTTTTCTTCCCTTCCAGCTCACTTTATTTCCCCTCTCTGTCATCTCATAACTGGTTAAAAAAACCCCAGGATGGCTCATCATCAAATCATTAAGCCAGGTCTATGAAATTGCCACTTGGTTAGCTAACATTACCCTGCACTCAGAGGTGAAAATATTGAATCTTTAATTAACCTGAAACTTTTCTGCAAGCAGCTAGACTCTTTTATTCCCGAACATTAGATCCCAACTCCTCTTCCCATAACTAATATCTTAAAAGGGAATTTTCACAAAAACCAAACAGCTTCCTAAATAAGCTTTCTGCTTCTCTTCTTGAGAAATTGCTTCTGCCATGGAATTCTTTGAATGTCCTTCTCATATTCCCTACCTGAATTAATTCATCAATATTCTGTGAGAGCAGCCATATATGGGTATGAAAGAGAGAGTTTATACAGCCCTTCACCCTGGGCACCCCTGAAATGAGACCATTGCTTAAACCAACTAGCCTATCATAATATTGGCAATTTATAGAGATTTTTATGAGCAAGGTAATGACCATCTGAAATGATCACCTTGACTTCTCCTGATCCTTCAATTCTTTTAGCTTATTGTTATGAGGCAAAAGCTATGAAATATCTTATCCTGAGAGGCACATAAATCATCAGTAGAGAGATCATAGCAGAGTTCTGACTGAAGCAGCACTGCCATCCACGTTCAGTGGTGACAGATCCTGTGGGGGCATCATGAAGACACACCCTCTCTGCTGGTCATGTGGACAGAACTTGTGCCTTTGCTCCGCCATGCATTTGACTGCCTCTAGCATCCTCGGATGGCATGATGCCCACCATTCCATCATCTCTGCTGATCTTATGCTGTGCTCCACAGCACAAGCACCTGTGGTTGGAACATGTCTGCCTGCTAGATGCACTCCTTGTTGTACATAATAATTACCCAATGAATTCAGATTTCTGGCCCCAGCAGTTCTCTTTCAAATAGTTTCTGTCTGTCCCACAATAAATAAGATTGACGCCAACCACATATTTTGATTTTCCATCAGAATCCAGGTTTAAGTTGCTCGTCATCAGCAGTACCCTCACACTTGTTAAAAGGTATATTCTGGGCTGGGCACGGTGACTCACACCTACAATCCCAGCACTTTGGGAGGCTGAGGTGGGCATATCACAAGGTCAAAAGATCTAACCATCCTGGCCAACATGGTGAAACCCCATCTCTACTAAAAATACAAAAATTAGCTGGGCGTGGTAGTGCGTGCCTGTAGTTTCAGCTACTTGGGAGGCTGAGGCAGAATGGCTTGAACCCAGGAGGCAGAGGTTGCAGTGAGCTGAGATCGAACCACTGCACTCCAGCCTGGTGACAGAGCAAGACTCCGTCTAAAAAAAAAAAAAAAAAAGTATGTTCTGGCATTTGCGCTGCAGGTTCAATGTTGTGACTAACTCATGTTTGTGCTCTTAACCTTAAACTGATTTCTTGCTCCCCATATCCTGCCAGCTACTTTGGCTGAAGGAAACCAGACTAGGCACGTGCATCTCAGGTTGAAGGAAGACAGGCCATAAGGGAACTCCTTTCCAAAGAGGAAAAGGATAGGAATCAAGACCACGTGAATGTCCTGTATAACAGAAAAAGACAAAGTTGAAAAATCAAGTATTGTCCCTCTCTTGGGATGGAACCCCAAGGAGAAGCATAATAAAAACATCCAGAGAGTTTGAAGAAGCCAGAGAGCAACGGGTGAGTCCATGGCACACCTCCAAGTCTAGCTTGTGTGCCTATGGGGAGGGAGTGGCAGGAGAATCCCCACGTTTAGCCATAGCCATCTGGTGCAGGAGCAATATTACGGCAGTGGGAAGGAATAGTTATAGGAGCTGGAGGTGGTGCCCATGGCTCTTTCATAGCCTAGCCAGTTCCTACAAAAGCCCAAAATTCTCCCTCTGTCTCAATTGCAGGATAGGACCTGCACAGTTACCTAAAGTGCTGGGAAAGCAAGAGAGGTTTGAAATTAGGTTAAAACAGCTTCAACACATAATGACTTCATGACCAACTGAAACCACAATATCCAGTAGTGAATGCAGCCCTCAGAGAAGGCCCAGCAGTCGACAAGGCCCAATAGCAGGATGAAAGGTTCTGGACCTTCCCACCTCCCCACACTGTCACAAGATCATTAGGCCCTAGATGCCACCTTAGCAAGGCACAGGGGAAAGAGGGGAAATGTGAAAACTTACCATCTACGTAAGATAACAGTCATTCAAAAGACCATTTCAATCAAAGGAGACTAGGTTACATTGATTCAACAAGCTAAGTTTCTCCTCTATATAGAGTGATTATTATAGGAAAGGATGGAGCTGGGGAGGTTAGACTGGGAATAAATGTATTCATTATTTAATAAGCAAACAAAACAAGACTCACAAATTCTATTTTTATGTACAAGCCTTAGAACAAATCTTGTTCCTGAGTATAAAATGCACTCATAGTAGGATTCTTTATTATTACAAAAATAACAGAATGATCCAGATGTCCTTCAACAGGAGAACGGATAAATAAATTTAGGTAAAATCACACTATGAAAGACTTACCATAAAAGAAAGTTATGTATATCAACATGGATGAATGTCACAAACATAATATTAAGCAAATAATGGAAGTTGCAAAAGGATACCTATGATATCATTTATATGAAATTTAAAAACATGCAAAAGTATGGATTTAAGATAACAATGATTGTAGACATTTAATATGGAGCTTCTAGGTACTATTCTAAGATTTTATGTGTATTCAAGTAGTTACTCTTCATAACCTTAAGAGGTCAGTACCATTATTATCCCCATTTTACAGATTTTTTAAAAGACCAAAGTATATATAAAGAAATTAAATAACTTCTAGAGGACACACAGCTAGAAAATGGGATTCCCAGGACATAGACCTAGGTTGTCTGGTTCCAGAGTGTATGCTTTCAACTACTATGCACAACTGCCTCTCAAACTGTATAAAAACAAAGTAAAACAATAAAGAAATATGTAGAATGATAAAGCCAAAATTCAGAATAAGTGGTAACCTATGAGAACAGAGAGAACAATAAAATGGGACCAAGTGCATGGGCCACAGAGAACGGGTTTGAAAATTGCAAAATTTTCAAACATTACATTTTGTACTTTGCAACTGATGGTTTTGGGGTCCCATATAAACACATTTTTTCCTCTTGGGAAAATGGGTGTAACTTCCAATCTCTGCCTAACACTCTTCTGAATCAACAGAGATGTAGGATTGATGAGTTTCCCATTTTTGTTGTTGTTGTATTTGTTTTTGTTTTTAAGAATTAAAGTTATTTCATTTCTTAAGTTTGGTGATATTTATTATGTTAACATTTACACGTTTATTCCAATATACCTGGAATATCTTACCAAAAATTGTTAAGTAGCTACATTTTTTACACATCTAAGTATAGTATGGGTTAACTTAAAATGCTATTACATACGGCAACATCATCTGGAATACTATTGGCTCGTGAATTTGGGTGTAAA
Organism: Homo sapiens; assembly: GCF_000001405.40. Lineage (NCBI taxonomy): Eukaryota > Metazoa > Chordata > Mammalia > Primates > Hominidae > Homo > Homo sapiens. Next base: position 63,358,450 of record NC_000008.11, on the reverse strand, counting down.
TTGGGTTGCAGTTTGGGCAGGCTGTTCAGCATCAATCAAGATCAGCATAAATAACTTTAAGAATGGCCCATGGGGATATACATCAAGCTGTCCTTCTGAGGGTTACCTTCTAGCACTGATCAGGGTAGTGAGAAGTTTAGGGACTCCAGTAAAGCCAGATTCACATAATTGGAGGAACACAGTTCAAAGTAGATGTCACAGCAAGGTTGAAATACCTATGGTTTTTCCATGAGGTATACCAGATTACTGCCAAAGAAGGATCCAAACGAGCTGAATGAAAGGAAGACTGTGGAAGGTAAGCTACGAGGCATTTTCCCTGATGCAGTGCACTTCAAATGGCTGAGCATTTGTGAAATATGGAGTAGAGCCTGGTCAGAGCCCATAACCTTCTTCACCCAACATGGAGAATTGGCTTCTTTACCAGGAATCACCTTTGGGAAAGGAACATTAGGCCTGAAACATTCACCCACAGCCGTGGGGCCCTCTCGGTAACTAGAAAGAATGTCTGAGTACCCACAGTCTGGTTTGGAGGGAGAGAAGAGAGCCAGAGGGCAGTCCGCATAACCTCATCAATGATCTCCAGAGGTCTTTGGGGAGGTGGCAGGTGGAAGCTAGTGCAGAAAGAGTGGCCTGGAACATGGTCAGATATAGGATACTGCTGAGAAAGTGGTGAGTATATTATCCAAAGGCTAAATAAGCTTACTGACCTTTTGTGGATAAAGAAGAGAGAAACTAGTGATTTTCCAGCCTTGTAAAACTCTGCCAAGAACTTTTCCACCTCAAATTTATGGATGATTCTTAATCCTGCCTCAACCTTCAGGTTGATTCAAAAGTTATTTTTTTTAATGTTCCAAGAAATGATAGTAGCTCTCCCTCCTATGGCAAAATACTTTCACTAAGCTGTGAATTGCTCTCCTTAGCCTGCTCCCTCGCCCTTGGAGATAAGCCAAAGCTCTTGACTTCAAGGTTCAGACAATGCTTGCTGCCAGCTGAAGAAAAGAAATGAAAAGAACTTGAAAGGAAGAAAAGAAGAAGCAGGCAATTTTATTGGCATTGTAAAATTTTCAAACATTACATTTTGTACTTTGAAATAAATGGTTTTGGGGTCCCATATAAACACATTTTGTCCTCCTGGGAAAATGAGTGTAACTTCCAATCTCTGCCTTAACATTCCTCGAATTAACAGAGATGTAGGATTGATGAGTTTTCCATTTTTGTTGTTGTTGTATTTGTTTTTGAAACAGAGTCTCATTCTATTACCCATTGCACATTGGAGTGCAATGGTGCAATCATGGCTCACTACAGCCTCAACCTCCCAGACTCAAGCAATCCTCTTGTTTCAGCCTCCCTAGTAGCTGGGACTACAGGCATGTACCACCATTCCCAGCTAATTTTTAAATTTTTTGTAGGGCTGGGTTCTCACTAGGTTGCCCAGGCTGGTCTCAAACTCCTAGACTCAAGTAATCCTCGAAACTTGGACCCCCAAAGTGCTAAGATTATAGACATGAGCCAGCACTCACAGCTGAGATTTCTATTCATTTTCCTAAATTTTCTGTGTCAATAACTGCTGTTTTGAAGAAGAAATAGAAGGGAAGACAGAATAAAGAAAACAAATTGGGCCGGGCATGGTCGCTCACACCTGTAATCCCAGCACTTTGGAAGGCTGAGGTGGGCAGATCATGAGGTCAGGAGATCTAGACCATCCTGGCTAACACAGTGAAACCCCATCTCTACTAAAAATACAAAAAATTAGCCAGGCGTGGTGGCAGGTGCCTGTAGTCCCAGCTACTCGGGAGGCTGAGGCAGGAGAATGGCGTGACCCCAGGAGGCGGAGCTTGCAGTGAGCCAAGATGGTGCCACTGCACTCCAGCCTAGGTGACAAAGCGAGACTCTGTCTCAACAAAAAAAAAAAGAGAGAGAAGAAAAAGAGAGATAATACAGGAAGGGAGGAGAATTAGAGAAAAGCAATTAAAAAGAGAAAAAGGAGTAAATGGATACATAGATTACAGTGTTTCCAATGAGGTATTAGCAAGAAAACCAGGGTTTTGTATCCTGGACATGAGGTTCTACTTTTCTAAGATAATTAAGGATTGTTCTCAAAGTTAGTTTCATAATACCATTGTTTGAGATTTTCTAAGATAAAGAAAGCTGTAGAATTGAAGGAGATAGAAAAGATCTGAGTTTGGCTGGGCCCAGTGGCTCAAGCCTGTAATCCCAAAAATTTGGGAGGCTGAGGCCGGCGGATCACCAGAGGCCAGGAGTTCAAACCAACCTAGCCAACATGGTGAAACCCTGTCTCTATAAAAACACAAAAATTAGCTGGGCCTGGTGGCGGACACCTATAATCCCAGCTATTTGAGAGGGCTGAGGCAGGATAATAGCTTGAACCTGGAAGGCTGAGGTTGCAGTGAGCCAAGATTGTGCCATTGCACTCCAGCCTGGGTGACAAGGGCAACATTCCATCTCAATAAAAAAATAAATATAAATAAATAAATAAAAGATGTGAGCTCAGAAAGAACTGAGTCCCCAAATGCTGGGGACAGGATCTCCCAAGAAGGACTCTGCCCTCTGTACGCAGCACTTTCAGGGCTTATAAGACCTCTAAGAAGAATCATTGCCAGTGTGCCTGAAGAGTTTAGGCAGTAAGTACTACAGCCTGGGAGGCTTGACAGAGATTTCATGACTCCACAAAGGGAAAATAGAAGCACAAGGCTTCAATGACAAGCAGACATTGTCAAAGACAAATGCCAATAGCCGCCATAAAAACTAAAACTGAAACTAGACCCCTTCCCAATTGTTCTAGAGCAGTGGTTCTCAACCAGGAGCAACTACCATTCAAAGGGATATCTGGCGATGCCTAGAGATGTAGAGGAGGAGGGTTCTACATTTCCCACATGAGCACCCAGATGATGCTTCTGATATCTTGTGAGCAGAGGCTGGGATGCTGCTAAACACACTCCAGTGTACAGGACAGCACTCAAAACAAAGAATTATCTGGTCTAAAATGTAAGTAGTGTCAAGATTAAGAAATTCTGCTCTAGTCTAAGCAAGTTCTACTGATCTTGTTTCACCCTGAAGAAATAGGGAAAAGTGGGTCCCAGATGACTGAGGTTGAATTTTATGACAACTCTGATGAGTAAACATCAAGCCATATTTGCTTTTTTTTAAAAAAAAAAAAGGTGTGGTGTGTTTGGAGCAAATGCATTTTGTTGGACAATAGGAATCTCCCTCCACATTGCTAAGAATCCTTCTAAGCATAACATTCCCCAGCATGTATTACAGCTTCTAGAGTTGGTGCAATAATATGATTTTGAGAAAATTATCATGACTATTTCACAGCTTCAGAGAATACTCAGAAATGGCTACTGAGTAGAGGGATTAAACTCCGTATCTGGCCACTTGGGTATGCTCCTTTGTCTGCTATCAATGTAGACATCCTGACCAGGCAATGCAGATGTAAATCTCTAGAAAAATGAGTAAGATATTTGCTTTGCCCAAGTACAGCAGTGGTATATTTCAAAAATATCAACCAATCTCTAAGGAAGCAGAAGTGCTCCTTTTTGCTTTGCTTGCAAAAATACGTTTCCTGATATCTATATCTAGTCTTACCATAATAGCCAGGACTCCAAGGAAGGAGAACAGAAAGAAAACCTAAAAGCCCATCTGGTAATGGATAGCAGGCTGAGGTGGAATTGGCCATAGTCATAAGAGCCACCTCTCCAATATGCATCTGAATAATCCATTGGAGGTAGCCAGGAAGGTATTAACGTGGGGCTCTCATATTATACTGAGGTATACCTCATTCTAACGTGGCTAACTCAGAGGCTGGGGAAAATAATATGATTCTGAGGATTTAAAACATTGTGGTTAAGCGGGGCCTGGATAAAATATTATTTAAAAATCAGTAAAATAAATGGATGTAGTTTTTTTTGTGCCTCAAGTGCCATGGAGCAAATTTTTACATACATATTAAAACATAGACCCATAGACATTAAAATACATACAAAAAATATGGAGAACATGGAATAATCTGAAGAATAAAGGACTAATCACGTATGAAAAATAAAATGAATATTCCATTGAATTAAAGACTTCATCTAGTTTCAGAAGAAAATCCTTTCATTTCCCTGCAATTTAGTTTTTTTGTTTCCCTTTAGAGAAAATAATAGTTGCTATTAAAAAAGTATGAGGAAAACTTTGTTTCCATAGCACTTTTACATAGAAAGCATTACATAAAAACATTTCCTTTCATAGACGTGCTCTAAAATGCCCAAAATGCTATTCCTCCAAAACACTTCCTGAGTAGAGAAAGTAAACTGTAATTTAAACACCAAATAATGTCTACTAAAAGAGTCACCCACTATTTAAAAACAAGCGTCACTTTATAACAATTTAATGTGTCTGAATGATTTAAACTCTAAACTGTTTGGGACCATTAATCAAGTTTTAATTCCTCTTCTCTAGTCTAACATGTCAAGTATCTGATATAAAGAAAGAACATTAACTCAGATAAGAAAGAGGAAAACTACATCTAACTATTAAAGTAATAGTATCATAATTTTTTAAAAGGATGCAAGTTAATTGATTCTTACATTTTATTCTCTTCTCAGAATTTAGTTCATCTTTATTCTTTTATGTTTTTATAATATGACTATAGATTATGAATTAATCTGCTTAAACGGGATAGTATTTCACAGAAAATGGACATCCTCATGAATCCCAGAACTCCTTACCAAGATGAAAGACCATGTTTATTAAAACAGTATTAAATTACTCTGCAATAATAATTGCTCTGCTTCCTTCTTCCATAGAGAATGATAATAAAGGAAGACTTCCTTACACCAATGTCCACTGCCATGTCAAAAACTGGGGCTGTTGGCTTGATTTAAAATTTGGCTGTAGGGCCTACCACTTCTAATTAAGATGAATAAATCTTGATTTAGAAAAGAGAAAAAAATGTTTTAAAAAATACAGCATGTCCTAATCAAATAAGAAGATAATTCAAAGGTTTTTATTTTGCCCATGGAAATGACTGCCAGTTGAAACATATAAAAGCAAATTTAATCAAGTTGATATAATCTAATATATAGGAACATACTTGAGCTGCATAATATAAAAAAAGAAGCTCCCTGTGATTCAGGAATTCAACACATAATGAAGACTAAGTCAACAGAATCAGTATCAGTAACTCCAGTCCTAAATAGGCATTTTTAAGGGTCTTAATTTTTTTCACTGTAGCTATTTATATTAATCAAACAAAGCAAATAAACAGTAAATGGTCAGTGTGACAACGACTACTTTTTTAGAAGCCAGAGACTTACAAAGCATAGCTAGAGAAGATATGTGGTATGGAAACCTGCAGATACTTGGCAGTGTGTTAATATATACCTTAGGTGAGTGACTGAGGTACTCTGTCAATTCAGACTTCTTTTTTCCCTTTTTTTTTTTTTTTTTTTTTTTTTTGAGATGGAGTCTCGTTCTGTCTCCCAGGCTGGAGTGCAGTGGCGTGATCTTGGTTCTCTGGAACCTCCGCCTCCCAGGTTCAAGCAATTCTACTGCCTCACCCTCCTGAGTAGCTGGGACTACAGGTGCGTGCTACCATGCCCGGCTAATTTTTGTATTTTTAGATGGGGTTTCACCATGTTGGCGAGGCTGGTCTCGAACTCCTGACCTCAGGTAATCCACTCGCTTCAGCCAGATTTCTTTTTAATGTTGGGTTCAGTCAGAGCTAGAAAGACAGGTACAATGAAATGGAAAACTATGACGTATATTCAAGAAAAATGGCACTCAATAGAAACTACCTCCAATTTGGGCCAGATGTTGAATTTAGCAGGTAAAGACATCAAAGAAGCTATTACAAATATGTTCAAAGAATTAACAGAAAATATGCTGGATTAAAAGGAAATTAAAAGAAAATTTGCTAGTGATAATAAGAAATCTCAGCAAAAGAGTAGAAATTATGTTTTTCAAAAAGATATAGAGCTGAAAAGTAAATAACTGAAATTTAAAATGGCTAAATGGGCTGAAGACCAGACAGAAGACCAAATAAAAGTAATTCATGTAATTGAAGATACATCCGTAGAAACTGTCCTAGCTGAAAGAAAAAAAAAATAGAATAAAAAAATTAAAAACCTCAGAAAACTCTGAGAACGATATATGAAGTGGTCTAAATAGGTATAATGGAAATCCCAGACTAGAGAAAAAAGGGAAGAAAAAATTTCAAAATAATGTCTTAAAACTTTCCAAATTTGTTGGAAAATATTAATTTATAGATCCAATAATTTTAATAAATCTTAATTCAAATAAACAAACAGCAAATTGTCCTCATACACAACATGGTCAAACTCCTGAAAGTCAAAGATAACAAGAAAATATTTAAAACAGCCAGAAAAATATATATTATACACAGGAGAGTCACAGCAAAATTAATGATTAACTCCTCTTCAGAAATTATGGGAGCCAGAAGAAACTGAAAGGAAATGCTCAGTGCTAAAGGAAAAAACAAACAAGAATTCTATATCCAGCAAAGCTATTATTTAAATTAAAAGAAAAATAGACACTTTTAAATAAACAAAAATTGAGTAGATACATCCCTAGGAGAAGAGTCAAGTGGAACCCTACTAAGTGGCAACTACACAGATCAACAAAATGAAGAGTCCCAGAAGTAAATGTATGATAAATATGAAATACTAGTAAATAGATACATCATTTGCTCTTTCTCTTAGTTTCTCTGAAAGAAATATGTATGTTTGAAGTAAAAATAACAGCACTGTATAATGGGTTTACGACATACACACACGAACTATATATAATATAGTACTGGGAGTTGGCAAAGAAAAATAGCCTGTTTTAACATTGCTATGTTTTCCCCCAAAGTAATTCAAATATTAACTCTGAATTGACTGAGGCTAATTTTTTTTGTTTGTTTGTTTGAAACGGAGTCTCTCTCTGTCACCCAGGCTGGAGTGCAGTGGTGCAATCTCCACTCACTACAAGCTCCGCCTCCCGGGTTCACGCCATTCTCCTGCCTCAGCCTCCCCAGCAGCTGGGACTACAGGCACACGCCGCCACGCCCAGCTAGTTTTTGTATTTTTAGTAGAGACGGAGTTTCACTGTGTTAGCCAGGATGGTCTCGATCTCTGACCTCGTGATCCGCCCGCCTCGGCCTTCCAAAGTGCTGGTATTACAGGCGTGAGCCACCGCGCCCGGCCTGACTGAGGCTAATTTTAAGGTCCTTACTGTACGGTGCTAATTTTAAGGTGCATATTCCCTACAGCAACCACTAAATTAATAATACAGAGAGACACAGCCAAAAATCTCACCAAGAAATTAAAATGAAATACTAAAAAAAATAATTGATTGGAAGTCCTAGCCGGAGCAATCAGGCAAGAGATAGAAATGAAAGGCATCCAACCTGGAAAAGAGGAAGTCAAACTGCGACTGTATGAAAGGAAAATATCCTGGGCCCCCAAAATCACTAAGGAAAACACGAGCTGGAAACTGCTTAGGGCAAACCTGCCTCCCATTCTATTCAAAGTTATCCCTCTGCTTACTGAGAAAGCTGCGGGTCTGATTAGATTGCCTCCTTTGGAAAGGCTAATCAGAAACTCAGAAGAATGCAACCCTTTTTGTCTCACCTGTAAGTGATCTGGAAGCTCCCTCCCTGCTTCCTGCCTTTGCTTCAAGTTGTCCCACCCTTTTGGACCAAACCAATGTGCTTCTTATATACGTTGATTAATGTCTCATGTCTCCCTAAATTGTATAAAACCAAGTTGTGCCCTGACCACCTTGGGCACATGTCGTCAGGACTTCCTGAGGCTGTGTCGCAGGTTCATCCTCAACCTTGGCAAAATAAACTTTCGAAATTATCTAAGACCTGTCTCATATTTTCTGAGTTCACAGCTGTTTGCTGATGACATGATCATATACTTAAAAAACCCTAAGGACTCCTCCAAAAGACTCCTAGATTTGATAAATGAATTAGGTAAAGTCTCCGGTCACAAAATCAAAGTACCCAATAGAGTAGCACTGCTACACACCAACAACAACCAAGATGAGAATCAAATCAAGAATCCAATCCCTTTTACAATAGCTGCAAAAATAAATAAATTAAAAAAACCACCTAGGAATATACTTAACAAAGGAGGTGACAGAGCTCTGCAAGGAGAACTACAAAACACTACTGAAAGAAATGACAGGTGACACAAATAGAGATACATCCCATGCTCATGGATTGTAATAATCAATGTCATGAAAATGACCGTACTGGCCAAAGCAATCTACAGATTCAGTACAATTCCTATCAAAATAACAAAATTATTTTCACAGAATTAGAAAACAATCCTAAAATTCATATGGGAAAAAAAGAGCCCAAATAGCCAAAGTAATTCTAAGCAAAAAGAACAAATCTGGAGGCATCACATTACCTGAATTTAAATTATACTACAGGCAACAGTTTCCAAAACAGCATGATACTGCTATAAAAGTAGATACATAGACCAATGGAACAGAATAGAGAACCCAGAAAGAAAGCCAAATACTTCCAACCAACTGATCTTTGACAAAGCATACAAAAACAAAAATTGAGGACAGGACATCCTGTTCAAAAATCGTGCTGGGAAAACTGGATAGTCACATGTAGAAGGATGAAACTGGATTCCTATCTCTCACTATATACAAAAGTCAACTCAAAATGAATCAAAGACTTAAATCTAAGGTGGGAAACCATAAAAATTCTAGAAGAAAACCTAGGAAAAATTCTTCTGGACATTGGCCTAGGCAAAGAAATTATGACTAAGACCCTAAAAGCAAACAGGACAAAAACAAAAATAAATAAATGAGACCTATTTAACTAAAAACCTTCTCTACAACAGAAGAAATAATCATCAGAGTAAACAGAAAACCCACAGAATGAGAGAAAATATTTGCAAAGTATGCATCCAACAAAGGGCTAATACCAAGAAATTATAAGGGATTCAAACAAATCAGCAAGAAAAAACCCAAATAATCCCATCAAAAAGTGAGAAAATGACATGAAAGGACATTTCTCAAAAGAAGAGCTACAAATGGACAACAAACATATGAAAAATTCTCAACATCACTAATCATCAGGGAAATGCAAATTAAAATCACAATGAGATACTACTTTACCCCAGCCAGAATGGCCATTATTAAAAAACAAGAGATCTTGGCATGGATGTGGTGAAAAGGGAATGCTTATACACTGGAGGAATGTAAATTCGTACAACTTCTATGAAAAACAGCATGGAGATTTATTAAAGAACTAAAAGTAGGTCTACCATTTGATCCAGTAACCCCACTACTGGGTATCTACCCAAAAGAAAAGAAGTCATTATATCAAGAAGACATCTACACACATATGCTTATCACAGCACAATCCACAATTGGTAAGATATGGAACCAGTCTAAGTGTCCATCAATCGATGAGTGGATACAGAAAATGTGTACTGGCACCATGGAACACTTTTCAGCCATTAAAAAGAATGAGGTTAGGCATGATGGCTCATGCTTATAATCCCAGCACTTTGGGAGGCCAACGCAGGTAGATCACTTGAGGTCAGGAGTTCAAGATCATCCTGGCCAACATGATGAAACCCTATTGCTACTAAAAATACAAGAATTACTCAGGCATTTGGTGCATGCCTGTAGTCCTGGCTACTCAGGAGGCTGAGGCAGGAGAATAGCTTGAACCTCGGAGGCAGAGGCTGCAGTGAGCCAAGATCATGCCACTGAACTCTAGCCTGGGTGACAGAGCAAGATTCCATCTAAAAAAAAAAAAAAAAAAAAGAATGAAAGTGGCTTGAAGCAACTTGGATAGAGATGTAGAACACTATTCTAAGTGAAGTAACTCAGGAATGGAAAACCAAACACCATATATTTGCACGTATAAGCTATGAGTATGCAAAGGCCTACAGAGTGGTATAATAGACTTTGGAGACTCAGAAGAGGCAAGGGGAAAGGTGGGAGAGGAATGAGGAACAAAAAACTACATATTGGGGGCCAGGCGCGGTGGCTCATGCCTGTAATTCCAACACTTTGGGAGGCTCAGGCAGGCAGATCATGAGGTCAGGAGATCAAGACCATACTGGTTAACACCGTGAAACCCCATCTCTACCAAAAAAAATACAAAAAATTAGCTGGGTGTGGTGGTGGGTGCCTGTAGTCCCAGCTACTCGGGAGGCTGAGGCAGGAAAATGGTGTGAACCCAGGAGGTGGAGCTTGCAGTGAGCGGAGATGCACCACTGTACTCCAGCCTGGGCGACAGAGCCAGATTCCGTCTCAAAAAAAGAAAAAAAAACTACATATTGGGTACAATGTACACTACTTGGGTGACAAATACGCTAAGATATCAGAATTCACCACTATAGAATACACTCATGTAACCAAAGCTTTTGAGAAAGAAAGAAAAGGAAAGGAAGGAAGGAAGGAAGGAAGGAAGGAAGGAAGGAAGGAAGGAAGGAAGAAAAAGAAAAGAAAAGAAGAAGAAAAGAAAGGAAGAGAAAGATATAAATCCTTTTGGATCAGGACTCTACCCTTATGACCCCATTTAACCTTAATTACTTCCATAAAGGCTCTGTCTCCAGGCACAGTCAAATTTGGGGTTAGAGCTTCAACATTTTGAAGGACACAAACATTTAGGCTGTAACACATGTGTATCATATACATGTAACTTATCTCTCCATATAAAGCTTTATATCAATTGAATCACATTGTATATGATACTTCAAAAATATATGGGTAACTTTTTATGGCACTAAACATAGAAACAAAAAATAAGTGGTTACCACACACACACACACACACACACACAAAACAAAAACAAACAAAAAAAACAGAAAAGGACAGAGAACAAAATCAAGTAAGATCAATATAAAACAAATAGCAAAATGTCAGACTAAAAACCATCTTATCAGTAATTATATTAAATGTAAATAGACCAAATACTCCAATCAAAAGGCAAAGATTGCCAGACTAGATATAAAAGCAAAACTCAATTCTTTGTTATCTACAAAGGGGGTGCACTTTATTTTTTTGAAACAGAGTTTCACCCTTGTTGCCCAGGCTGGAGTGCAATGGTGCGATCTTGGTTTACCGCAACCTCCACCTCCCGGGTTCAAACGATTCTCCTGTCTCAGCCTGCTAAGTAGCTGGGATTACAGGTGTCCAGCACTATGCCCAGCTAATTTTTGGTATTTTTAGTAGAGACGGGGTTTCACCATGTTGGCCAGGCTGGTCTCAAACTCCTGACCTTAGGTGATCCACTCACCTCGGCCTCCGAAAGTGCTGGGATTACAGGGGTGAGCCACCGTGCCCACCGGGGGTGCATTTTAAATACAAAAATACAAACACACTGAGAAAGCATAAGAAAGTTGAAGTGGCATATTAAATTAGACAAAATAGACATCAAAACAGGGAATATTGCTATGGACAATGATATAAGCTTCAATATATCAGGAAGATATAACAATTATAAATATCTATGTGCCTAACAAGAGAGATGAAAATATATGAAGAAGTTACGGAACTAAAGAAAAACAGACAAATCCAAATCATCTTTAAGACTCTAACACACTCTTTTCAGTAATTTATAGAAAAAATAGATAAAAATATTGTATGAATATAGAACACCTGAATGACATTAACAACTATCTTTACCTAATTGACATTTTTAGAACGCTGTATTCAGAAACCGAAGAATACACATTTTTTGGAAGTGCATATAAAGCATTCACCAACATGGATCATATGCTAGGCCTTAACACGTCTCAATAGATCTCAAAATATTTAAATCTTAACAGAGTATGCCTTCTGACCACAACAGAATTAAATTAAAAGTTAACAAAAATAAAAACATTTAGAAAAGCTTCAAATGTCTGAAATTTAAATAACTCTAAACATGAGTGAGAAACAAAAACAATAAATTAGAAAATATTTTAACTAAGTAAGAGTTTCTGGCAGGGCGCAGTGGCTCATGCCTGTAATCCCAGCACTTTGGGATGCTGAAGCGGGCAGACCACAAGGTCAAGAGATCGAGACCATCCTGGCCAACATGGTGAAACCTCGTCTCTACTAAAAAAAAAAAATAACAAAACTTAGCTGGGCGTGGTAGCGGGTGCCTGTAGTCCCAACTACCCAGGAGGCTGAGGCAGGAGAATCACTTGAACCCAGGAACCCGGGAGGCGGAGGTTGCAGTGAGCTGAGATCATGCCATTGCACTCCAGCCTGGCGATAGAGCGAGACTCCATCTCAAAAAAAAAAAAAAAAAAAAAAAAAAAAAAAAAAAAAGAGTTTCTGTGATATGCAACAAAATCAATATTTAGAGGAAAAATATAACATTAAATGCTTATGTCAAAAGAGTGCAAAGGTTTCAAACCAGTGATCTAAACATTCATCTTATAAAAAAAAACCTAGCAAAAGAAGAGTAAATTAAACTTACAGTAAGTAGAAGGAAGAAAACAACAAAGATAAGAAAATAAATCAATGAAATAGAATACTGAAAAAACAATTTTAAAAAAATCAATGAAGCCAAAACTGTTTTTTTCAAAGATTAATAAAACTGATAAATTTCTAGCTGAGCTGATCAAATAAAAAAAGAGAAAGAGAAGAAACAAATTACCAACTATCACTTCAGACCCTACAGACATTAACAGGGTTATAAGGGATTATCATGCCAATAAATTTCACAAAAATAGATTAAATGAATACATTCCTTGAAAATCACAAATTTATTAAGTCTCACTTAAGAAAAAGTGGATAATTTGAAAAGTGTATATCTATTTTAAAAATTAAATTTGATTTTTTTAAACTTTCCACAAAGAAAACTTTAAGTTTATAAACTTAACTGGTGAATTCTAAGAAAGTCCAAAAAACTCTTCCAAAAAATCATACAGGAAAAAAACACTTCCCAATTTTGTGTGTGTGTGGTGGGGGGTGTATGTGTGACACTAAGTCTCTGTCGCCTGGGCTAGAGTGCAGTGGCATGATCTCGGCTCACTGCAACCTCCTCCTCCCGGGTTCAAGTGATTCTCCTGACTCAGCCTCAAGCGTAGCAGAATTACAGGTACCCACCACCATGCCCGGCTAATTTTTGTATTTTCAGTAGAGACAGGGTTTCACTATGTTGGCCAGGCTGGTCTCAAACTCCTGACCTTAAGTGATCCGCCTGCCTAGGCTTCCCAAAGTGCTGGGATTACAGGCGTGAGCCATGGCTCTTGGCCCCAATTCTTTATTAGGCAAGTATTACATGACTACCTAAAACATACTACAAAATTACAAGAAAAATAAACCTATAGATCAATATTTCTCAAAAACATACACACAAAAATCCTCAACAAAATTTTTAGCAAATCCAATAATATATAAAAGAATAACACATCATCATTTACTAGGCTTTACCACAAAATCAAAACAACAACCATATAAACAGAATAATGAGGAAAAAACATGATAATCTTAATATATAGGAATAAAACATTTGAATAAAATCCAACATCTACATATGATAAAAATTCTCAGCAAAATGGGATTAGAAGGGAAATTCTCAACGTCTAAAAAATAGAACATCTATTAAACAAGCAAACAAAAAAAAACCCAGTAACTAACAGCATACATAATGGTAAAAGACAGAAGGCTTTTTTGATTTTCTCTTAAAATTGGAAAAAGGTAAGTATGTCCACACTCATCACTTCTAGGCAATATTATACTGGAAGTCCTAGCCAATGCAATAAAACAAAAAAAAGAGGGGGGAGGAACAAAAAACAGACAGATTGAAAAAAAAAAAACTCTCTTTGTTCACAGATTATGTGATTGTCTATGGAAAAAATCCTAAGTAATCTGTGACTAGAACTAACAAGTGAGTTTAGCAACGTCACAGGACACACTATACAAGCATTAACTGTATTTCTGTCTCCTGGCAATGAAAAATTAGAAGTTGAAATTTAAACAATAGTATCATTTACAATGCATCAAAAATTATGAAATATTTAAGAATAATTTTAGCAAAATATGTGTTATACTTTATCCACTGAAAGATACATAATTGCTGAAAAAAATAAAGAAACCCTAAATATATGTATATCAATACTCTGTTCATTAATTACAAGACTCAATATTGTTAAAATGTCAGATCCATCCAAACTGATCAACACAATACCAATCAAAACCCCAGTTATAGAAATTGATAAACTGACTATAAAACTCTATATGGAACTGCAAAGAAACTCCAGCAGCCAAATAATTTTGAAAAGGCAGAACAAAGCTGAGGACTTAAACCACATGATCTCAAAACTCACTACAAAACTACAGAAACACGACAGTTGTAGTACTGGCATAAAAGATTAGTAGATAAATGGAACAGAATAGAGAGCCCAGAAATATTTCCACATATATGCAGTAAATTAATTTTTTATAAAGGTAACAAAATAATTCATGGGGAACTGATAGTTTTTTCTAAGTGTTTAGAACAATTGAATGACCATACGTAGAAAAAATTCTTGGATCTTTACTTAATATCATATTCATAACTTAATTTGAAATAGAAAGCTATAAAACTTATTAAAGAACAAATCTTGGAAATCTGGACTCAGACAAAATGTTTTTACTATTCTATCAGAAAACAAAAACTATTAAAGCAAATTGGTAATTTGGAATTCATCAAAATTAAAAACTTATGCTCTTCAAAATTTACTGTTAAGAAAATAAAAACACAAGCCACAAACTGGAAGAAAATATTTGCAAAACACATATCTGGTAAAGGACATATCTCTAGAGTACATAAAAAACCTTAAAAGTAAATGATAAGAGGACAACCTTTTTTTTTTTATTGGGCAAAGATTTAAACTGAAGCTTCACAGAAGATGATATACAAATGGCAAATAAGCACATAGAAAGATGTTCAATATAATTAGTAATTAGAGCAATGCAAATTAAAACCACTTTGAGATACCACTACAGTCACCAGAATGACTGAAATAAAAAGACACAATCAATTACTAGTGGAAAACCGGAACTCTCAGTCACTGCTGGTGAGAATGCAAAGTGGTCACTTTGGAAAATAGATCGGCAGTTTTTTTTAATAAAATTACACACTTGTAATATAACCCAGAATCTCACTTCTAGGTATTTACCCAAGAGAAATGAAACATAAATGTCCACACAAAGGCATGGATGCAGATGTTCATAACAGCTTTATTCAGAGTAGCCAAAAACTGGGGGAAAAAAAAAAAAGGTCCATTAGCTACAGAATGGAAAACTTTAATATATCCATACAATGGAGCATTAATATAAGATATAAAGGAAAAATTATTGATGTTTAATAACATGTATGAATCTCAAAAGCATTATATGAAGCGAAAGAAGCCAGACACAAAATATTACACACCTTATGATTCTATTTATATGAAATTCTGGAAAAGACGAAACTATAGAATAAGAAGGTAAATCAGTGTTTTACTGAGGCTTCAGTGGAGGAAAGGAATTGATTACAAATGACCATTAGAAAATTTCAGGATGATGGAATGTTCTCTATCATGATTCTGGTGCTTGCTACCTGACTGTATGCATTTGTCAAATCTCATAAAATTATCTACCTCACACTGAGGAATTTTATTTTATGTAAATTACACCTCAATAAAAAATAAAAACAAACCTAAGGGTAATAAAGTTGCATAAATCTGAAACATGTAATAAATATAGTAAAAATATTAATAAATACTAGTAAATTATTAAATCTAGATGATGCATATGAGGGATTCATTACACTCTCTTCTACTGTTTCAATTTCTCTGTATTTTGCTAATTTTCTTTGTAAAAATATTTTAAGAATGGTGTTGATTTTTTGTGAAAAGACATCTCTAAGTGAACATTAACAATTTTTAAAATCTTAATAAAAGGGTTTTGGGTTTTTTTTTCTTTGAGACAGAGTCTCACACTGTCGCCCAGGCTGGAGTGCAGTGTCGCGATCTCGGCTCACTGCAAACTCCGCCTCCCGGGTTCACGCCATTCTCCTGCCTCAGCCTCCCGAGTAGCTGGGAATACAGGGGCCCACCACCATGCCCGGCTAATTTTTTTTGTATTTTTAGTAGAGACAGGGTTTCACCATATTAGCCAGGATGGTCTCGATCTCCTGACCTCATGATCCGCCCGCCTCGGCCTCCCAAAGTGCTGGGATTACAGGCGTGAGCCACCGTGCCTGGCCGGGTTTTTTTTAAAAAAACATTTGATTGTGGTCACCACCACATCTAGTGGTTCTTTGGAATGAGTTTATGACCCCAGCTGAGACTGAACTGACATCTCTTGAACTTTCTTTAAAAACAGTCTCATGAGCAAGAGAAAACCAGGTAGTAAAACTACCTGGTGCTATTTTATCACAGTGAATAATTTTTTATTGACTCAGATTCCTTTCCTTTTTTCCTTTTTTCTTCTTCTTCTTTTTTAATGCAAAGTTTGGTTAAAAGATTTTTTCAGGTTTTCTGTTATTTATTTTTGATGACTTTCTTTTCAGCTTGACTACTCACAAGTTTTTTTTTTTTTCTTTTGGTTTTTTTTTTAATCAGTTGGTCATTTTATTTTTAGAAAATGAAGGTATAAAAAAGAACATATTTCACTTCTCTCAGTTTCTGAAGCAGCTCTGAGAAACTGGGTGAAACAGAGAAAATACTAATGCTGACAGTTAGCAATTATTAAGAGTCTTTGTTAAAAAAATTCTGAAATTCTATATTAAACACTCATTAAAATTAATGAGAATGGTTTTATTCTTACCTGTGAAAAAAATTTTAATGCCTGGTTTAGATTTAAAAATTTTAGTCTTGAAAGTGTTCTGTAAGTGTTAAGAAGTCTGGAGGGACCATCTGAGAGAAAGTGAGAATGCATAGAGTTGTATGAAAAAAATAAAATTGTTAAGACTATGATGGGTAAGAAGACAAATGATATCACAGCATTCTGCATCTCCCTTTCTACCACAACCGTGAATTAGCACTCAAGTGAAACACTCTTCTGGAAGTTTAAACAAAATCAATATTTTCCTCCATGTCAAATACATAAAAACATATTTTCAAAGGAAAAATTTGTCTAGTTATCTATTTGTCATAGTGGAAATGATCAATATTTGATATTGGGGAAATCATTTACTCTTGTTTATGTTTTCAAGTAAGCAACTTTCCTTTAAAAAGAGTCATGTTTTATCTAAAATTTCTCATTCTATCCTCTTTCTCTGACTTGATAAAAGAAAGGGGATGGGGGAAAGAAAATTCTCCTAACTTACTAAGTATGGAAGGAGTTAACTATATCATTCCCAATAGAAGGAAGAAAATAAATATTATTTCCTGAGAAATAAAGAAGACCACGAAAGTAGCTAAAATCTGAAAGTCTTTCCATTTATACTGTAAATCTAAACCCATTCGATAAACTTTGTAAAATTAATCCAGGAAGAAGGGTAGGAGACACATGAAAATTAAACACAGCTTGCAGCACACTCAGCATTATCATTAGGTCAGCCTGCTGTCTGACCTGCTTCCTCATAGCTGTTTGCTGACTATCACACCAGAATCACATAAACACTGTCACAAGATTATAGTCTCCCTTACTTGCTCTATAGACAGCAACTTGAACATTATGAAATGTTAAGTTTTCCCTTTGAGACATTTTTTCATGTCTTGCATACCAGTGAAACTATTGATTTCAACTGGTCTAAAGGACCCCATGAGAAGCCAACTTATGAAAGAATGCAATTTCTACATCCTGATGATTTCATCCTACTTACTTTGACCAATCAATGACCCCAGTTTTCCAGCACATTGCCCTCCATGATCCCCTTAAAAACCCTAAACCAGGGCTGGGCCCGGTGGCTCATGCCTGTAATCCCAGCACTTTGGAGGCTGAGGCAGGTGGATCACTTGAGGTCAGGAGTTTGAGGCGAGCCTGGCCAACATCGTGAAACCCCGTCTCTACTAAAAATGCAAAAATTAGCTGGGCATGGCAGCAGGTGCTGGTAATCCCAGCTACTCGGGAGGCTGAGGCAGGAGTATTGCTTGAACCCAGGAGACGGAGGTTGCAGTGAGCCAAGATCATGCCACTGCACTGCACTCCAGCCTGGATGACAGAGGAAGACTCTGTCTCAAAAAAAAAAAAAAAAAAAAATCCGAACCAGAACGCCTCAGGAAGATGAATTTGAGAGTCTCCTCCCATCCCCTCACTTGGGCATGCTGCAATCGTTAAACTCTTTCTCTGCTGCAAACCCTGCTGTCTCAGTATATTGGTCTCTTGCTGCGAAACAGACATATGAACCCGTTGCAACAAATTCCCCATTCAGTGTCATTGAATCCTGTTAGCACATAGTTTTCTCATAATGTCTCAAACACAGTGGAAGCAATTTTGAAATCTTCTTTAGGAATCTTTCACTTGTACTCCTGAGGATGTTAATTTCTAACAAACTAGAAATTTAAAGGTCACTCAGACAACATTTTTTCTTAACTCAGATAACATTTTCTTAACACTAACCAGCTACTGCTGATTTTTACTTACTTTATTTTTCAAAACAATATTTCACAAAGAGAGAGATGGAAATTTCAACATCGAGGATTTCATATCTGTTCACATGTGCTTTTTTATTATTAGGCAATTCCTTACCACATGCCAGTAAAAAGAAATTACAGAAAAATCACACAGAATACAAAATTTTAAAGTCTGTCATCTATGTAAAATTTACAAGGTAACATCAAAGACAGTTTTATCTCACACTATTGCAGAAAAAAGTCACCAAATAGTAATTTAGTAACACTGTGTAGATGTCATTGGGCTAGGCACTGTGTAACCTACAGAAATATTTGCCTACCCTTAGGAAGAGTATTGTTTTATTAAAGAGAAAGACTTACAGATCTAAATCTCAGGACAGTAATGCAAGAAAAGCCATGCGGAAAATCCATGACTAAATGCCAACAGTAAGGTCCCAATAAGTACAATGCTCCCTCGGAAAACATAACTCCTGTATTCCATGGAAAATTCTGTGAACTTCTCAGTGTATATCAGCATTGGTTTTAAATCATGCTTTTTGAATAGTTTGTCATACAAGGAAAGACAAAGAAATCAAATTAGTCCCACTTTAGTGTGAAATCAGATTCTATCGTCTAGAACCTCATGGTTAGCATTAATAAAAATGGAAGTAATAATATTTTCTCATTCGTTTTGAGGATTACATCAAACAACATAAGAAAGTTAATTTCAAATAATTGAATATGATCTTTTTAAAGTAAGAGGCTATTGTGTTTACCATTATTGTTGGATTCCAAGTATTGGCTATGGGTTTTCTATTCCTTGAGAATCTTGTTATCCTAGACCTAAATCTTAATTTCTACACACATAGAATAGAGAGTCCTTCCCATGATTCCTGCAGGATTCTTCCTTATGCTTCTGTCTCCATCAATCTGGTCAGGAAGCACAACCAAGCCCTCACCCTTCTTCTGAATCCCACATTAATATCTACTGGTCCATAAGCAGAGGCTGTGTGTACCAAGAGATGTTTAGGGGAGAGCGAAGGAGCATCATCCCAAAATTTCAAACTTTCAATGTCTCCACCAAAGTCTCTCAAAATAATCATGCGGTCTGAGTAACAATAGTACACTGGTTCACCAAATACTGCCTTGAGAGGAAGCCATTCCCTTCACCATTTTTTTCCTCCTCAACCTATTCTATATTTACTGAGGCCTGCTGGCTACCAGTGACGGGCTTGCAAGTGATTCTAGCTCTTCTTTTTTGCGACCAGGCTTCCCTCACTGGCAGCAATTGAAGGATTTGGTCCCATCCAGGGCCCCATATGGGATGTGGAGATCCAAAAAGATCTGAGGAGCACTGCTCAGACCTCACCCTGAGACTCACCTCTGCTCCATCTCTAGTCACAATCCTACTGTTATATTTTATCCCTGAGAGCCTCATTGACTCTTTTTTTGCTTTTCTGGAATTAGTTTCACTAATAGCAAGGATTTGAGGACTGCTATAAGCCTGAATTTCTCCAGTGAATGTTGCTGTAAGCTTCTCACACCCCCAGCAGCATATTCTAGGAGAGCCTGATTTTTCCAAATGGCATTCCATAGTATCCTCTGGTACAGTTTGCTGCAAGAATCACTCAATTGTATGTGCATATGATGTTTTTCCCCCTAGGATGTGGTCAGGCATTGACCAAAAAGTGTCCCTGAAACTTCTAGCTTCCCAAATATTGGTTTGAATATTGTCAGGTATTCTGCCATAGAAACAGACCCTGGCAGAAACAAAGCCACATATAATCCCTAATATCAGACCCAACAGACTTTCTTTAATTACTGATACTTCTCCATCCCCAAGGCCTCCCATGCTCTATCATGCTATATATGTCAATAGCATGTTTTAACAACTACTCAGAATTACCTTCTCCTCTCTGAGGCACATAAAGTCCTTAAAACACCTCCAACTTCTAGAAGAAAATTCCCATTATGTACAAGAGTCTGGTCTTCAGAAAATTCTGTTTCACCACCTGAAGCATTTAATAATAAAAGCTTGTTATATACCAGGAACAGCTAATTATACTTTACAAGTATTGTATCATTTAAACCTCATAATTCCTCTATTAGGAATTAATCATCTGAGCAGGAAGCACAACTAACTTCTCACCCTTCTCCTGAATTCCACATTAAAATGGACTGGTCCATTAGCAGAGGCTCTGTGTACCAAGGGATGGTTAGGTGACAAAGAAGGGGCATCATCCCAGAATTTCAAAGTTTCAATTTATTGGTGCCATCTGCATTTCTGAAGTGAGGAAACCAAGGCACAGAAAAGTTAAGTAAGTTTCTTAGGTGACTGACAGAATTTCATAGCCACCCTCTGGATTTGTACAACATAAAAGTATCAGAATTACTAACCCATGACCCTGGTCTGGAATCAGCCAAAGCTTGTCTGTCATAGCCCTCCTAAGACTGTTTTATTTTTCAAATGAAATTGAGTGTCATTTGAAATAAGTCAAGCAGAGCTTTTGGTATCCTTCTGCATTGGTTTCTTCATAAGAAAATTTTCCTAGGAAAATTTTTTCTTGGGCTTCAACAAATAACATTGCAAAACATTGAGTATGTATGGTTCTAGCAGAACAGCCTATAAAGTCTATAGAACAGAACTCATTCCAAGCCTCACAGTTTCCCCCAAAAGCTGCAGTCGGACTTCCAGGAGCACCATGACCCTGGCACAGCAGATCCAATTCTCTTGCACCCTGAATCCAGTGATTTGACATTCAGAGTGAGGGTGCATTTCTGGACCAATTTAGGGTTTATCTGATTAATCTAGTTCAACAATTCCATGCAAGCCCATATAACATCCAAAGCCTCCTTAAAAAAAAATCTAGACAACTTGGCCAGGCATGGTGGCTCATGCCTGTAATCCCAGCACTTTGAGAGGCTGAGGCGGGTGGATCACTTGAGGTCAGGAGTTCGAGACCAGCCTAGCCAACATAGTGAAACCCCGTCTCTACTACAAATACAAAAATTAGCCAGGCGTGGTGGTGGGCACCTGTAATCCCAGCTACTTGGGAGGCTGAGGCAGGAGAATAGCTTGAACTCTGGAGGTGAAGTTTGCAGTGAGCCGAGATCACACCACTACACTCCAGCCTGGGTGACAGAGTGAGATTCCGTCTCAAAAAAAATAAAATAAATAAAATAAAATAAAACAAAACAAAAAATATCCAGAAAACTCAACAAGTCATGTTTCTGTAGTTTTGTGATAGTTTGGAGTCCATTCTATGATTGGGGAATTATTTTCTAAGGCCTCATTCTGCTTCCTCGTTCTCACACATACTTTGGTTGCCTAGCTCTGCCCCAATTTAATTAGGTATATAAGGTTCAGCCACTCAACAATTTTCACTAAGCACATGCACATAAAAGTGAAATAAGAAAAAAACTACCAAAGTAATTTCACTGAAGTTTCAGAAGTAGGAAGTATTAAAATGAAAAATGCTTGATACAAGCCCATCTTGCTTGATTCATTTTCCCTGCAGAATAACAGTAACTCTTCTTTTTTTTTTTTTTTTTTGGCATTCGAGAACATTCCACAAGAATTCAGATCCCATCAGGGTCTAACTTATTAGCTCAATCAATTTTCTAAACACTATCTTCTTCCAAATGAAAGAAAATAATTTTCCGACGTAATTTTTTTCAGCTCATTAGATGATGGTTGTTCTCACAAAGAAAATAGTCTAATTCATGCCCTTCTGTTGCTTACTTTTGCTCTAGATTTAGGTGAATTGGCAATGAAAGCACAATAAATTAAATGCATTTATTTTCCATTATTTCTCAAAGGCATGTAGGAGTATATTTTATTTTTAAGCTTTTGAAGCATGCATAGTATTTCTGTGTATATTTCCAAGGTTTGGGCTTATACATTTGTACACAAAACTAAAATATTTACCCTGTTTCCATGGTTTTCAATGCAATAGTGATACAGTATCTAATTTCCATAGCTCTCAGTAATTTGTTAATATATACTAACAATGTTTCCATTTTTAATTAAGATTAATATTTTACCAAAGATGGTCTTTTCTGTTTTATGTATATACTGTATTTGCACAACATATTGTATACACACAGACACCTCTTATCCTAATATCAACCTCAATTCTAGGTTATTGCACTAACTAGTTATGGTAAGTTGATGTATTGGGAATCCTGAAGACAACCCTCAGGCTAGATGATTGAATAGAAGGACTCACAGGACTCAGAAAAGCTATTATAAACACAGTTCCAATTTATTCCAGTGAGAAGATACATATTGAAATTTGCAAGGAGAAAAGGCATACTGGACAGAGTCCAGGAGAAGCCTGACACAAGCTTCAGTTATCCTTTCCCAGTGGAGTTACATGGACAGTGCATAATTCTCTCACTAACAAGGTGTGACAACACATGCTAATTGCTAAGTGTTGTGAACCAGGTAAGCTCACCCAGCCTTAGTGTCCAAAGATTTTATTAAGGGGTCAGTCACATAGGCATGTAACATTCATATGACTGACCTTAGCTACTCAGTCTCCAGGCCCCCACTCCCAAGAGGTCAAACAGAACGTGACCCATGGCCTCAAGCACACAAAAATAGGCATTCGCCATAAATTATATTGTTGACATGAACTATCTGGTGTGGCTGAAGACCTTACAAAGAAACTTACCAGGTAGGATACTCTACAGACTCAGAGGTCTTCTCCTAGAGACTAGGCCAAGGGCCAGTCCTAAAGACATTGAGAATGTGCAGGATTTAAGCAACATGGGCCTCCTGAGTTAACCCTTTCCTGAACAACTGAATAATAGTCCCCAAAGATATCCAGATCCTAATTTTTGAGATCTGTGAATCTTACCTTATATGGCAAAAGGGACTTTGTGGATGTGATTAAATTAAGAATATTGAGATTATCCGGGATTATTTGAGTGGGTTCTAAATGTAACCATAAGAGTATTTTATAAGAGGGAGGCAGAGGGATCCTGTATCCAGTGATCTTGGAGAGATCATGCATCAGAATTAGAAGCTGATGACCCTGGTCCGGAACCAGACAGACGGCAACATGAAAACTAAATCAAGATATGAAGCTGCTGGCTTTGGAGAGGAAGGAGCCACAGGCCAAGTGATGCAAAGAATGCAGCTAGAAAAGACAAGAAAAAGCATCCCCCCCTGCAGGCCCCAGATGGAGGATGGCCCAAACAATACCTCAATTTCAGTTCAGATTTCAGACTTCTGATCTCCAGAACTGTAAGCGAATAAATGTGTCTCGTTTTAAGCCACGTAGTTTGTGGCAATTTGTTACAGCAGCCATAAGAAACTAATACACTTGGGAACAAAACCATGTAATGAGATCACTTTGGCATTTCAATTACTAAATCTTCTTGGAAGTCACCCTTTCATTTCATTCAGAGTGAACTGTTAAAGCAAGATGTCAGTATATACATGAACACACATGCATGCATTTAAAATGCAAATGATCATAAGTACAAAACATTTCAAGAATTTGAAAGCCTAAAGAAATAGCAGGCAAGCTACCCTAAACCAGATGGCTAACTAATGGATTCAGCAGTTGTCCTATAAGGATATTAAATTCAAGTATCAAAAGCTGTAATATCCTGAGTACTGTGACTTGAATATAAAAAATAATTGCTAACATGAAAATTTCAAAAAGCAAACTGGCATCATATGAAGGATAAGATAATCAAATGGCATGGGAAATATCAATGAACATGACTGTGTTTCTGGTGGGAATTTCTATATTCTATAGTAAACCTGAAGTCTACTCAAAATACCATGTTTCCTGTTTTTAACGACGATCACATTCCGCCCCTGATGACTTGCCCAGCTTCAGGTAACATACATATTTTCAAGTGCAGAGGAGATGCTTTCCCGTTGTAATTCACATACATGTATTTTAGCCATTAGATCAAAACAGGTTTTTTTCCTTCCAAGTACACTGGTGAATCTTGAGTCTTTTTCTCACTGAAATGTACCTATTAATATTATCATATTTGTTTTTATAGTTTATTAGCCTCCCTTCTATTCATAGCCTAAGCCAGAAGAAACATCACATAACCAGGATGATTTTCCTGAGCTCTATTTTTGTGATAAAGGTAAGGTTGTCAAATATGAATTTTTAAAATTAAATTAAAGTAATTTTAAAGGGGAAGAAGGGATGTTTATCCATTGTTTCCCATTTTTAATGTTTGACACTGTGCTCTGTAAACTGCTTTTCATTGTATACTATCCATATTACACAATTAGTGAATCATCAAAGACTAAATTGTGTGCAGTATAACTTTAGAATATATCATATTGTATTACATTGTTTGAAAATTGATGGGCTATATATGGATTATCTTTAAACAACAAATAAAGCAGAATATTAATTTTCTCAGAACAGCCCAATGTGTGATCATTCACAAATGGTCAAGATTTAGTTACATCTACTTGTTGGTACACTTTAGTAAACATCCACCCTCTATCAGGAACTTTATGACCATTTCTGTCAGAGTAGACTTCAGTCTTCACTACTCCCACTTCACTGAAACTTTATTTAATAAATTAGGAAACAAAGGCAACAAGAAATTGGACAGTTTAACCAATTCCCCTGGTAAGTTACCAGCAGGGTCTAAAAATGGTTACAAAGTTTACCAAAGATACTAACACATATTCCCAATTTACCATGAAATATTTGAGAACATATTTCTTATTGAATATTCATAAAATAAACAATATTCAGGGGTTTTTCCCCTAACGAAAAGATCGGAGAATTTTTAACAATCTGGACAAGTTCATATTTATAAAAGTCACTTATTAACCACTACATTAGATCTATGAGTCTAAATTGAAGGGAAATGTTAATATTTGACATTGAAAACAAAAATATCCAATAAGTAATTTGTTTCTGAAAAAGTTTTTCAAGTTATAACCAAAAATATCAGATGTCCTCAGCCATTTGAAGGGCTGGAGCTTTAGGGCCTACTCAGGGGTCATGACAGCCTGCCATCCCATCCGTGCTGGCGATGGGCTCTGGATGTCAAGGGGAAAAGCACCTCTCCTCAGAGTCCAGCTGGCAGCTCTAACAACTCAGGCACATGGGGCCGTTTCCACTGTCATTTCCATGGAAACCACTGGTAGCATAGCTTACCGAACCAAGAACCAGGTATGACGCTTCTCAGCTAACTGCATGGCAAGTTCAATCTCTGATGGACAAAACGAGGATGAAGTATTTACATAAAAACCAATATCCTATACACTGACCAAGACCCAGGTGAAGATTTTATAAAATTAAATTAGTGTGAGAGTGGGTCAAGGCCTCCCTTCCCTGCTGAGTAATAGATGCCTATTTGCATATGACTGTCCACCCCAGAGGCCAGGGCTTCCCAACAGCAAAAGAAGTAAAGGCTTTGGTGGTTTATGTATTTTTGCGTGTGAATGTAATCGCTCACCTTTACATATGACTTTCTACCAAGGAGACCAGGTAATAGCACAGATTCTTACTTCAGTTCTATGAGTGCTCTTACCCCCTAATATTGTAAAATTATTGAACATTTAAAAATAATTTTCCATTTATATTAATGTCTCTTACTTGAGTCAACAAAGAGAGAGTTCCCAGTTTGTCATAATAAAGTACTTACCTAAATTTGCAGTTCTTGGGTATGTATGACTTGACACAGATACAAAGAGGACTAGGAAAATTCACACCCACATCACGATCACTTCAGGAGACTCTGTCATCCTAAAAGTATTTACTGAACACCTACTGTGTGCCATGCTCTAAATGAGTGCTAAGGATATAGTGGGAGCAAGACAAACATGATCCCGTGTCTTCAGAGAGCTTGCAGCCTAGGGTGTTCGTACTTTGGGTGATCAAAGCCTTGTAATTATTGGGCAAAAATTCAAAGAAGCAGTCATGTGGGTAGAAGAAGTCTTTGCTAGCTGGAGTAATACTCATCTAACACACATGTCTTTCTAGTTAGCCTATAAAACACGAATTGCTTAGGGGAAATAAAGTTGGCTGTTATTAAAAAAATAAATAAACCCTGAAATCCCAGCTCCTGACTTACCTCACGGGAAGGGGTGAGGGCACTGTTTTCCATGATGTTCCTCGGGATCTAGGCTACTTCCAGCTTGTGGCCCTACACTCTTCCAGGTCCCTGGAATTTTTATCTATTCAGTGAGTAAAGAAAGCAGGAAGATTACGGATGGGAAGATTTTATAGACCAGGCATGGGATTTGGACACGTGACTTCTGTTCAAATTCCACTGGCCAAAGCTTGGCCACACCTAACTACACTAAAATCCAGGAAATATCATCCAGCCGTGTACCCAGGAGATGAAGAGAACACCCACACCAGGTCCTCCCAGCTCTCTATATTCCACCAGCTGATAGGAAAAGAGAGCAAAGAAAGCATGAGAGGGCTGGGCACAGTGACTCACGCCTGTAATCCCAGCACTTTGGGAGGCTGAGGTGGGTGGATCACCTGAGGTCAGAAGTTCAAGACCAGCCTGGCCAACATGGGGAAACCCCATCTCTACTTAAAAATTAGCCAGGCGTGGTGGCAAGTGCCTGTAATTCCAGCTACTTGGGAGGCTGAGGCAGGAGAATCACTTGAACCCGAGAGGCGGAGGTTGCAGCGAGCCGAGATCGTGCCATCGAACTCCAGCCTGGGCGACAGAGCGAGACTCTGTCTCAAAACAAAAAAAAAGAAAAGAAAAGAGAAAAGTAAGCATGAGATAATTTTTGTGAGCTAGAACTAGACGGGAACACATGACCTCCTCACATTCCACTGGCCAGAACTCAGTTTCCCAGCCACACTTCACTGTCAGGGACCCTGCAAGTTTGCACATGGGTGCATGCTTAGGAGTAGAACACCGGTCTTGGGGATTTCCTTCTGTACCGAACCCAGGCTCCCTCTCAATCATTAGTAAGACAAAGAAGAAAAGTGTGCCCTTATTTGTTTATGTGCATTCCCTTAGCTGCCCCAGGTGATTAATTTTTTCTTTTAGCAAAGTCCATGACATTTATTTTTTCCTATTTTACATGAGAAATTAGAAGACTCAAAAGGTAAAATGATGAGTAGCCCAGAGTCAGATAGCTAACCAAAAACAACTTGCCACTAAATTTCAGGTCTCCTAATTCACAGTACATTTAGTTTATTTTCATTAAATATGTACTGTGCATTTAGCACTGTGTTAAATACTTGAGGGATAAGAAATAAATAAAGACCTAATATTCATCTCAAGAAGCTTTAGATGTTTTCTTTTCTTTCTTTCTTTTTTTTTTTTTTTTTTGGAGACAGTATCTCTCTCTATCGCCCAGTGAAGTGCAGTGACGTGATCTCAGCTCACTGCAACCTCCACTGCCCAGGTTCAAGCAATTCTCCTGCCTCAGCCTCCAAGTAGCTGAGATTACAGGCATGTGCCATCACGCCCAGCTAATTTTTGTATTTTTAGTAGGACAGGGTTTCACATTTTGGCCAGGCTGGTCTCAAATTCCTGACCTCAGGTGATCCTCCTACCTTGGCCTCTCAAAGTGCTGAGATTACAGGCGTGAGCCACTGTGCCTGGCCCAGATTTATTCTTGAGAAACAAAATATTTACATAAAACAAATGCACATATTTAATTGCTATTTAGAGGAAAATGCATGCAATGTGTCACACATAATGTGATGCCAGCCTCTGAGCATGCACTCCAGGAAGGTTTGATGACAAGAAAGACCTGTGCAGAGCGTAATGCCTGGGAAGAACTTTGTGGAGTTCAATCTTGAAAAATAGTAGAATGTGGATGAATAGAGAAAGGGGAAGGACTTTTTGAAGATGACACTTATGGTGGGAGGAAAGCATGAGCACAATTGTGCTCTGAACAAAAAGAGGAGATAAGTGTGGCTGAGAATGAGAATTGGTACTGGGAACAGTGGAAGTGGGAGACAGAATCTAGGGGCCTTGTGGTAGGTGGTTCTGAAATCATAAGCAATTACTGAACCATAGTAGGCACATGAACTGGCCATAGCATGCCTGTCCAAGTGTTTAAGAAATATCTCTTTAAGAAGAAAGAGATGGACCTTTATAGAAACCAAGGAACAAAAGGATATGCAAGAGAATTTGTATGAAGAAAGCGTGGGAAAGGAGAAGACATCATCTGACCACAGAATCTCACAGTTATGGAACCACGTATACAAAATGTTAAGATGTTACAGGATAAATGCTGAACCCAGTAATTTAGGCTGACAGCCCTACGTGGTGGCCCACTTATAGTAAATCTATGCATTCATGTCCTGTTTACATTTTTACTGTGAGGGGAAATTATATAACCACCTAAATAAGACCCTGTGCTCTCCCCTCAAAACAATAATATTTTTTGGCAAAGATAATTAAGTAAAGCCACAAGCCTATTAAGAAATGCAAGATTATACACATTATCTCCTACAGGCAGGCAGTGATGTTTGTAATACACTAAAGACATGTCTTCTCAAAAGAAACAGATGTTCTTGGTTGACAACAGAAACGTAAACAGAATCATACAGAATGTTCTCATCGTTTAGCCTATTTATTTATATACTGCCTTTGCTAAAAAAAAAATTAATTAGACAAGCTTACAGAGATAAAATAAAGCAAGATAAAATTTAAAAGGTGATGGAACCAGGGCAAAAGAATAATAAAAGTAGGAAAAATAAGATAGAGCCATGAGTAATGTTGGTGTATTTTAAAAACAACAACAACGACGACAAGGTAAAGCCCTTCACTGATTAGAAGTGAATCCAAAATTTGATCCTCAATTTTCTGCCCAAAGCAGAATTGTTTATATGATATACAGTATCCATAAAATAAACCATTTACTCAGAAGGGAAAAAAGTCATTCCTGGATCTAGGATCTTGAAGACTCTCAAAAAAAAGAGGTAAAATTTCCTATGTTGTAGTGGTCAGTACTCTTTCAGTTGCAAATGAGAGAAAGCCCAACTCAAACTGGCTTAAGCAGAAAAGGGAATTTACTGACTCATGTAACTAAAAATGTGTAAGCTAAAAAAATTAAAAATTAAGTTCTTAATCTATGATTTCAGGTATTGCCGATCCAAATGTTCACAGTGTTGTCAGGAATCTCTCCCCAGATATCAGTGCTGCCTTTCCTTTGTGGGGCTTGTATTAGTCAGGGTTCTCTAGAGGGACAAAACTTATAGGATAGATAGATAGATAAAGGGGAGTTTATTAAGGACTATTAACTCACATGATCACAAGGTCCCAAAATAGGCCATCTGTAGGCTGAGGAGCAAGGAAACCAGTTCAAGTCCCAAAGCTGAAGAACTTGGACTCCGATGTTCAAGGGCAGGAAGTATCCAGCACAAGAGAAAGATGTAGGCTGGGAGGCTAAGCCAGCCTAGTCTTTTCTTGTTTTTCTGTCTGCTTTATATTCTGGCAATGCTGGCAGCTGATCAGATGGTGCCACCCAGATTAAGGGTGGGTCTGCCTTTTCCAGCCCACTGACTCAAATCTTAATCTCTTTTGGCAACACCCTCACAGACACATCCAGCAGCAGTACTTTACATCCTTCAGTCCAATCAAGTTGACACTCAGTATTAACTGTCACAAGTCCATCCCTTGTCAACTTGAACTTATACACATCTCCTGAGATCAAACATAATATTAAGACAATAATAAGGTCATAATTACACGTAACATAATACAACTATCTTTTGTACAACCAGAAATGCTCCAATCCCCAACCCAAATGTTATTACATAAAGTTAACAATATTTAAATGCTGATATGAAGTCAATAAGTCTTATGTCACATGATAAAGGAAAATGGAAATAAAATGAAGATATTTTCTTAGTATAAGTGTATACACACACAAACATGTTTTTAACAAAAGAAGGAAGAAATACTCATGGAAATTACAGTCCTCGTTTCTGCAACTGGTCACGTGGTCGTACTGGTATTAAGGACTACCTTCCTCTACTACCCATTATGTATTCCCTTTGCCTTCAGGAAGCACATCAGCAGGTCATGGGTTTTTTCCTGGTGGAGTGACACAAACCTTCATTCCCCAACAGTCTTGGCCATTTGCAGTTCTGCCTGGATTGGGCCGTTGTAGTCTCCCACTGACTTTAATCACAAGGCATGGTAATAGTAAGAGACACCCTAATGGATCTCCTGTATTCCATGCAGACTCTTCCTTACCTCCATTGTGGAGTAGTAGACTAATTTCATCTTGATAGTGGGGTCAATCACCCCAGCCAACACTGTAACTCTCTTCTTAGCCTGTTGACTGAAAGGTAGGAGCCCAAAGTGTCCAGATGACAATCTTTAAACTTCCAGTTTAATGGAATCATTGTTGTGTCTCCTGGTGGCGGTGTTCCTCCCTCTGGAATTAAGACCCTTAGGCCAGCAGAACATAATGTCACAGGAACAGGAAGCAAAACTTTTGCTAGTGAATCACTAGGGGTGATGGTGAGTGGTGCCACTTCCACTTTCACCCCTTGATTCCTGTACCCATGAATCCTGGCTATAGGAGAAACATATATTGGATGCCGATTCAGGGCATACACAGCCTTCTGGAGAACTTTGCCCCAGTCCTGCAAAGTATTGTCACCTAGTTGGCATTGTAATTGTGACTTCAAAAGGCCATTCCATCGTTCTTAAAATCCAGCTGCTTCAGGATGATGGGGAACATGGTAAGACCAGTGAATTCCATCAACATGAGCCCACTGCTGCACTTCTTTAGCCATAAAGTAAGTGGCTTGGTCAGAGGCAATGCTGTGTGGAATATCATGATGGTGGATAAGACATTCTGTGAGTCCATGGATGGTAGTCTTGGCAGAAGCATTGTGTGCAGGATAGGTAAACCCATATCCAGAGTAACTGTCTATGCCAGTGAGGACAAACCTCCACTCTTTCCATGATGGAAGAGATCCAATATAATCAACCTGCCACTAGGTAGCTTGCTGATCACCCCAAGGAATTGTGCCATATCGAGGGCTCAGTGTTCGTCTCTGCCACTGGCAAATTGGGCACTCAGCAGTGGCTGTAGCCAGGTCAGCCTTAGTGAGCAGAAGTCCATGTTGCTAAGCCCATGTGTAACTCCATCCCTGCCACCATTGCCACTTTGTTCATGGGCCCATTGGATGATGACAGGGGTGGCTGGGGAAAGAAGCTGAGTGTTGTCCACAGAATGGGTCATCCTGGAACAATAAAAGTTCCTGTGTCCCCCTCACAGTTTGTGCAATGGGGGTGTGGCTCGCTTCTTCAGTGCTCTGCTACTCAAAACTCTCAGGCAGCATACAGACAGGCAGGCTGTGGGGCTCCAACCCCAAGGCAGTGTCTAGGGGTGAATGTTTACAGCTCCTGAAGCCCCAGTGGGCCTGGAGCAGGGCTGCTCAGTGGCACAGGCTCTCCTCTGACTACCCCGGCCAAATTCTGCCTCGTTCCACTGGTCGATGGCCTGCCAGCATGGCAGCATCTCCTACACCAGTGCATTTCTCTTGACCTCCAGCTGCCGTGTGCTCCTCCACTGATGTGCCCCTCTTGACATCCAGCCACCTGTGTACCTGCCTGCTAGGGTCTCAGGGGTTTTTATAGGCACAAGATGGGGGCGTGCTGGGCCAAGGTGGTCTTGGAAAATGCAACATTTGGGCACAAAGGCATGAGTACCTGTCCCCACCTAGGTATGTGGGCACAGGCCTGGGGATGGAACTCTCACTGGGGACCTGCCCTTCTCCTCCCCTTCCATATCACATCCCCCTTCTGAAGAGGCACATCTAACTGCCTTTAGAATATAGACAATAACAGAGCTTAGTGCTTCCTGCTTACAGGGGGCATTGTTTTGCAGAAAACAGCAGTCAGATTCCTCCCAGAGTTCTATCTAAGGGTTCTTAGCAAAGGGAAACCACCATCCGAGGCTCTGGTTGCCTGACTGTTTGGAGTTTGATGGCTTGTAAGTGAGAGGAAAATAACAAGTTTTATAATGGTAAGTATGCACAGGTTAAACATGTGTATTATACAAGGAAAGAATTTCATGCCAAAGATTACAGAAACAAGAAGTAAAATATACTAACAACAACATTGTACCCCAAGCTGTTTCACCCTGGTGAAAGAAATTAAACTTTAGAGCGGTTAAACTTTTAGAAGAGAGATAACTGTTCTTGCCGTATCTTTAGCAGTTAACAGGTGCACCCTGGGAATTCTAGGGTTTGTGGGCTTGCCTGGCAGCCATTAAAGCTTTTGTCTCTTTCCTTTGTTTCCTTTCTCTATTGTAGAAGACTGAGGTGGCTACTTTCAGGAGGTCCTCTAAAGTACTATCTGGTCCCAGGGTCCATTTCTGCAACTTCCTCCTGATATCAGGAGCTGCCTGAGTAATAAATTTATCCTTTAGGATTAGCTGTCCCTCAACTGAATCAGGAGATAGAAAGGTGTGCTTTACCAAGGCCTCTGTTAGCCTTTCCGGGAATGCAGTCGGATTTTCATCAAATCCCTGGTCAATCCTGGGCAACTTAGTATAATTGAGAGGCTTGGTCCTAGTTGTACATAAGCCCTCCATTATGCACACCTGAAAGTGTCTCTTTTTCCAGTCTTCCACCTCGTCATTGGGATCCCATTTAGGGTCATTCACTGGTACTGCTTCTCTTCCAGTTGGATAATATTTGCCCCCTTCTCTGATGCTATATGTGAGGCAAAGCTCATCCCCAAATCTCTCTGCTGCTTGCAGAGCAGCCTCCTTCTCAGTGTCCATCAGGGTCTGATTCAAAAGTAACATAATGTCTCTCCAGGAGAGTTCAAATATTTGACTGAAATTCTGGAAAGCCTCTATATATCTATCAGGGTTGTCTGAAAACTTTCCAAGATCCCCCTTAATTTGCTTTAAGTCCTGTAGGGAAAAAGGAATCTGGAACTTACTGGACCCAAATTCACTGGGCATCTGTTGGAGGGGCAAGAATGAGACTGGAGCTTGTTTAGAGTGAGGATTTCTAGGAGCGGGTAAGTGACAGGCTGAAGCTAAATAGGAAGGATGGGGTGGACCCAGAGAAGCAGGTCTGGGGGGAAGCTGGCTCCTCTGCTGGGGGTGCCTCTGGGACTCATGTCTTTAATCCCCTGGGTTTGCCCTTTGCAGCCTTCCCTGAGAGGGCAAACAGGAAGGCTGGATCGATCCTACATTGTCGGCAAAGATCTGGATTGCCTTGCAAGGTGTAGAAAGCCTGCACATATGGGGCCTCAGACCATCTGTCCTCACATATACTGAAAAGCTCCAATTGCCAAATTGTATCCAAATGAATGGTTCCTTCCTGAGGCCAAGCCAGTCCTTCCTGTAAATCATAATTTGGCCAAACCTTTGTGCAGAGGGCTATGAGGTGCTTTTCCTCCAGATTCTGAGGGTCAAAGCAATCCCAGTGGTTCAGGATACACTCCAGAGGAGTATAAGCTGGGGGTGGTGAAGAGACCTGGTTGCCCATTCTGAAAGACAGAGGATAGAGACGTCCCTCATTCCCTTCCTTCTCTCAGAGAAAACTCCGGGTGAGATGGAGAGAGAAAGCAAGCATCCTCCCTTCACTCCCCACCACTTATCCCTCAGCCCTGGTGACCTTGGCAGGTGCCAGCCATGGGTATCGATGTGGTATGCACCCATGAAGCAGGGAAAACCTGGAGAATAGGAATTAACCACCCTCACCTATGCCTTCATTTCTCCCTGGTATCAGCAAACTTTGAGTGCCCTGGGCCTGTTTATGCCATGAAGCATGGCCTCCTTCTGTGGGGTGGGATTCGGTTGGCAGAAATTTGTCCTGCTCATTTACATTGTGCCTGTTGCCTGTCTTTCGATCCTTCAGACCTCGTTTTCCTTTCTAGGGCCTGAGCCTGAAGCTTGGAATTGAGTTTGGGACTGAAAAGATATTTTAGAGGCTGTTTTTATGTGTTTAGAGTGTCTCAAATGTGCCCTGCCCAATTTGCAGTTATCAGCCAGCAGGGGTCACTCCTCTGTTAACTTCCCTATCAGAAACAGAGTTGGAAGTGGGGAGCCCTCTCACTTTGAAAAGGAAAAAGAGAATAACAGCTTAAGTGGCAAAACAGGCAGATTCTGGGGAAGAAACCCTTGCTTAGTGTAACTGGGCTTTTCTAATCCTTACATCTTTCCCCCGGTTCAGACGGGGTTGAATTCTTTGGAATGAGGTGGAGTTTGGCCAGGGGAGTTGGAGGAGAGCCCAGGCCACCAAGCAGCCCGACCCCAAGGGAAAACCACCTCCCTGGTTAATTCCTATTCTCCAGGTTTTCCCTGCTTCATGGGTACATACCACATCAATACCCAGGGGAGGAAAGGTTCCATTGGCACAGCAGGCGAGAAATATTCATTTGTCCATTAGCCCTGTGGGGTCATGGCTACCACTGCGGCTTTCTCCTGGTCTCCCATCCCTCCATGGCTGCTGGGCTCAGCCTTTGTCTGCTGTGGGCATGCCCAGGCACACGAGCTGGGAGGGGAAAGGATAAGGAGAGGTGCCCTGAGCCGTGCGTGCTTGCGGCTGTGGAGGTGGAGGCATATATGGCAACTCTAGGAACAGTTGGTCTGATATGTACCTTTGGAGCCTGGGCCAGATGCTCGTTTTACTTAGTAACTTTGCCGCAGCCTGTAGCAAAACTCTTAACATTATAAAGGAAGAGATAAGAGCCACTTCAAACCATGAGAAAAGAGACAAACTCGGGGGGTTTTGACCATCCCAGTTAGGGCAGAGGCAGAGGCCAGCGGATCACCTGAGATCGGGAGTTCGAGACCAGCCTGACCAACATGGAGAAACCCATCTCTACTAAAAATACAAAATTAGCTGGGCGTGGTGGTGCATGCCTGTAATCCCAGCTGCTTGGGAGGCTGAGACAGAAGAATCACTTGAACCCGAGAGGCGGAGGTTGAGGTGAGCCGAGATTGTGCTATTGCACTACAGCCTGGGTAACAAGAGTGAAACTGCGTCTGGAAAAAAAAAAAATTCTGTGAAGGAAGACAGAGCTTCTTACCCACAAGAAATAGAGAGAGATGGCAGGGTTTTGGAAGAGAGAGGCAGACCCCACAGTTTTACATTCGTTCATACTCACCTTCTAGGATCCAGGCGCGGTCCCCAGTTGAAATGGGAAAAGTTCCCTTGTCTCCCTCACAGGGAATGTGATGGGGGTGTGGCTCACTTCTTCAGTGCCCCACTGCTCGAATCTCTTAGGGAGCATACAGACAGGCAGGCTGTGGGGCTCCGACCCCACAGCAGTGTCTAGGAGTGAATGTCTACAGCCTCTTAAGCCCCAGTAGGCGTGTGTTACAGGGTGCTCTTTTAATTTAGTTGTCCATGGGTGGCTTGTGTTAGCTCAATTAGATCCTCTGCCTTATTACAAGGACAGAGGGCTTTCTGTATCCCAGGGTTCTTGCCTTGGTGTACCAGAAGAATCGGATCACACATGGGCTTGGAGAATCAATGCAAGGTTTTATTGAGTGGAAGTAGCTCTCAGCAGATGGGGGAGCCAGAAGGGAGATGGTTTTCCCTTGGGGTCGGGCTGCTTGGTGGCCTGGGCTCTCCTCCAACTCCCCTGGCCAAACTCCACCTCATTCCACCAGTTGATGGCCTGCTGGCATGCCAGCATCTCCTACACCAGTGTTTTCCTCTTGATATCCAGCTGCCCATGTGTTCCTCCGCTGATGTGCTCCTCTCAACAAGCAGCCACTTGTGTGACTGCCTGCTAGGGTCTCGAGGGTTTTTGTAGACACAGGATGGGGGCATGGTGGGCCAGGGTGGCCTTGGGAAATGCAACATTTAGGTGCAAAGGCAGGAGTGCCGGTCCTCACCTAGGTCTGTGGGCACAGGCCCAGGGGTGGAGCTCTCTGTATCAATCTTATCCACTTGATTATTAAAATCCTCCTCTGCTGAGGTCACCTGTTGGTGAGCACTCACATGGGATACAAATATCTGCACAGTTTTTGACCACTCAGAGAGGTCCATCTACATACCTCTTCCCCAAATTTTTTTGTAACTGATTTTCCAATCATGCTTCTTCCAAGTCCCTGACCATCCAGACAAATCATTGACTACAGCCCATGAATCAGCATATAATCACACATCTGGCAATTTCTCCTTCCATGCAAAGTGCACAACCAGGTGCACTGCTCAAAATTCTGCCCACTGGGAAGATTTCCCTTCACTGCTGTCCTTCAAGGATGTCTTATAAAGGGGCTGTAGTGCTGCAGCTGTCCACTTTCGGGTGGTGCCTGCATATCGTGCAGAACCATTTGTGAACCACACCTTAGTCTTCTCTTCCTCTGTCAACTGATCATAGGAAACTCCCCATGAGGCCATCAGTGCAGGCTGGGCGACAGAAGGCAGGGTGGGAGGCATGGAGACCATGGACATTTGAGCCAGTTCCTCATGTAACTGACTTGTGCCCTCAGGACCTGCTCCAGACTGATCATGTATGTATCACTTCCATTTGATGATGGAATGCTGCTGTGCATGACCCACTTTATGGCTAGATGGGTCAGAAAGCACCCAGTTCATGATAGACAGTTCAGGTCACATGGTGACTTGATGACCCATAGTCAAACGTTCAGTTTCCACCAAAGTCCAGTAACAGGCCGAGAGCTGTCTCTCAAAAGGAGAGTAGTTATCTGCAGAAGATGACAGGGCCTTGCTTCAAAATCCTAGAGGCCTCCGCTGTGATTCACCTATGGAGGTCTGCCAAAGGCTCCAAACAGCATCCCTATCTGCCACTGACACCTCAAGCACCACTGGATCTGCTGGGTCATATGGCCCAAGTAGCAAAGCAGCTTGCACAGCATCCTGGACCAGTTGCAGAGCCTTCTCCTGTTCGAGACCCCACTCAAAACTGGAAGCCTTTCAGGTCATTTGATAAATGGGTCAGAGTAACACACCCAAATGAGGAATGTGTTACCTCCAAAATCCAAATAGGCCCACTAGGCATTGTGCCTCTTTCTTGGTCATAGGAGAGGCCAAATGCAGTAACTTATCCTTCACCTTAGAAGGAATATCTCGACAAGCCCCACACCACTGGACCCCTAGAAATTTTATTTAGGTAGAAGTTCCCTGAATTTTAGTTGGATTTATTTCCCATCCTCTGGCATGCAAATGTCTCCCCAATAAGTCCAGTGTGTTTGCTACTTCTTGCTCACTGGATCCAATCAGCATAATGTCATCAATGTAATGGACCAGTGTGATATCTTGTGGAAGTGAAAAGCGATTGAGGTCTCTCTGAATAAGATTGAGACACAAAGCTGGAGAGTCAATATACGCCTGAGGAAGGACAGTAAAGGTAAATTGCCGGCCTTACCAGCTGAAGGCAAATTGCTTCTGGTGGGCCTTATGGACAGGAATGGAGAAAAAGGCATTTGTCAAATCAATGGCTGCATACCAGGTGCCAGGAGATGTGTTAGTTTGCTCAAGCAATGAAACCACATCTGGTACAGCAGCTGCAGTTAGAGTCACCACTTGGTTAAGCTTATGATAATCTACTGTCATTCTCCAAGATCCATCTGTCTTCTGCACAGGCCAAATGGGAAAGTTGAACAGGGATGTGGTGGGAATCACCATCCCTGTGTATTTCAAGTCCTTGATGGTGGCACTAATCTCTGCAATCCCTCTAGGGATGCAATATTGTTTTTGACTTACTATTTTCCTAGGTAGAGGCAGCAGCTCTAATGGCTTCCATGTGGCCTTTCCCACCATAATAGCCCTCACTCTACCAGTCAGGGAGCCAATGTGGGGGTTCTGCCAGCTGCTAAGTATGTCTCTGGCAATTATACATTCTGGCCCTGGGGAAATGACTACAGGATGAGTCCGGGGACTCACTGGACCCACTGTAAGTCGGACCTGAGCTAAAACTCCATTAATCACCTGACCTCCATAATCCCCTACTTTACCTGGAGGACCACAATGACGTTTTGGGTCCCCTAGAATCAATGTTTCAAAACTATCATTTTGCCACATTTATCCCTCTCTATCTCAAAAAACAAGTTACTTCTAACCCAGGGTGTAGGTGTTATTTGCCCCAGCAACATCAGCTCAGAGCCAGTGTCCAGTAGTCCCTAAAATATCTGATCATTTCCCTTACTCTAGTGCACAGTTACCCTGGTAAGAGGCTGGAGGTCTCCTTGGGGAAGGATGGGAGAAAAATTAACCGCATAAATTATCAGTAGTATAGTGGGTTCATTCCTCAAGGGGACCCGGCCTCCCCTTCATTCCAGGGGTTCTGGGTTTTAAACTGGCTCAAGTCTGGAAACTGATTGAGGGGCCATGATTCTCTGTTTTTATAATTCAAATTAGTCTTTTGTCCATTCGACCTGGAATTTTTCTGCTTATATAAATTATAGGAATGGGCCGGGCACAGTGGCTCACGCCTGTAATCCCAGCACTTTGGGAGGACGAGGCAGGTGGATCACAAGATCAGGAGTTCGAGACCAGCCTGGCCAATATGGTGAAACCCTGTCTTATCTAAAAATACAAAAATTAGCCAGGTGTGATGGTGGGCACCTGTAGTCCCAGCTATTCAAGAGGCTGAGGCAGGAGAATCGCTTGATCCCGGGAGGCAGAGGTTGCAGTGAGTCAAGATCATGCCACTGCACTCCAGCCTGGGCAACAGAGCAAGACTCCATCTCAAAAAAAAAAAGGAAGAAAGAAAGAAAGAAAGAAAGAAAGAAAGGAAGGAAGGAAGGAAGAAAGAAAGAAAGAAAGATGCAGTAGGCTTCCTATCAATTTCACTGCTAGGAACAATGTGATTAATTAGCCAATGCCATAGCTGTATATGAGTCAGACTATTCTGATTGCTGCTTTGCTTCTGCTGTCCACTACGGTAGCTACGCCCACCTTGCCTTTGATGATTGAGTGCCACCAATTGGCCCCTGTCACCTTGCGATCCAATTATTCCTGTTGTATTTATATTTTGTAGTTGAGTAGTTGCGGTTCCCACGATTAGATGTGACATACAGAGAAGAGCAATTACAGGGCTCTTCAAAGATGCAGGTGCTGCCCTCACAAATCTATTTTGCAAAACATTGATCGAGGGTATATCTTCTGTACTCTCCCAGCTGGGATGAGTAGGTGTAAAGTGACTAATTCACTCCACCATTTCAATCTCCCTAAGCCTTTGGATCCCTTCCTCTCCATTAAACCAAGGGAGATCAGGCATTTCCAGCTCGTTCACAGTGGGCCATCTTTTAAAAAAAGACATAAAGTTTAATATGTTGTAGTGGTCAGTACTCTTTCAGTTGCAAATGATAACTGGCTTAAGCATAAAAGGGAACTTATTGACTCATATAACTAAAAATGTGTAAGCTAAGAAAATTAAAAAGTTAAGTTCTTAATCTATGATTTCAGGTGTTGCCGGTCCAGGCGCTCACACAGTGTTGTCAGGAATCTCTCCCCAGATCTCAGTGCAACCTTTCCTTTGTGTGGCCCCATTTGCAAAAAGACTCCCCACTCAGAAGTGACAGTGACCACCAGCAGTTCCGGGTGTAAATTCTACCAGATTAGCAACTCCAAGAAGAATAGATTCCCTTTTTTTAAAAAAAAAATCCCAGCTTCCACCACAGCTTCTGTCCAGGAAAAGTTCTGTGTCTCCTGGTGGTAGGGTGGAATTCATGGCATCCAAACCACATGGACTTGGAATCGGAGATGGGTGGTTCCTTAAAGGAATCCTGACCAAGCAGAATCATGCTCCCTGTACATCCCAACAACATGATAATAGCAAAACAGGTAAGTATTTATCTAATAACATTGAATCTTATACATTCCCCTAAGTGGGGTACATGTTCTTACAACAAAACTCTACAGTTCTACAAAGGTCAATATAGTGTTGGTCAGGTACACAACTCTCTTTTATTATGGTGTAGTGGGGTTCTACTTGTCAGGCCTCTGGAATAAACCAGAATTCACCCAGATGGTTTAAACAAATAGACTTTAAGAAAAAAGCTATGTATAAAGATGTGGGAAGGGATAAGAGCAAAATAAGAAGGGTGTTTTGGCACCCAAAATCTAGCGGTATTAGGATGTTGTTAAAACTCCTGCAGCCAAAGGGACATGGCTTTGCCAGTGGAGCTGTGGCTGTGGAGGAAGGCACTTGCTCCCAGTGAAGCAGCCCTACAGCCAGGAGAAGGTGGGAAAGAAATATCTTGATGTCTCTCTTCTCTTTACCCTCTGATTTTCCTGTTGGTGCCAGAAGAGTTGGCACAGATGAGTAAGTGATGTAGTCTGTAGTGGTCGACTTCCTGTGACACAGAGTGAGAAGAGAAGGATGGAAATGAATCTGCAGGAGCAAAGAGGAACAGAGGGCATAACCTAGCATATCAGAGTATTAGACATAATTTAGGTGTTGGCCCATGGGTCCCTCTTTGGCCATGCCCACCTACACACACCTCCCAATGTCCACTGGCTGCAGTTCACTAATCCAAGGATAGAGATGCCTGACTCAAGCAAGTCAACAAAACTCTCCTCCCTGAATTTCAATTTTGAACAGACATACAGAGTCTTCAGGGTGTGGGAGCTGAATCATCATACAGCAGCACCCTAGAGAGAAATTCCTATCGTTTCTGATGCTGAAGTCTCACAAGCTTCTCTGGTTCCTGTCCTTCCTGTAGCTTGTTTTTTCAGCTGTTTCTCCACTTACATGAGCTACCCTAGTATTACTTAAATAAATTCCACTTTAAATTTTGAGCCAGAGTGATTTTTCTATTGCTTGGAACAAGAAACAGGCTAGTTACAACATTTGGGATGGACTTTTTTTCTCATTTATACATTAACGAGGACTAGGTGGCTCCATAGCTGCGTCCAGTTTGAGCATGGACATTACATGTTTCTGGTTAATGTCCAGACTTGTGCTCTTTAACTGTCGATACAGTGATATCTTTGGGTCGAAGTTGATGAGCTTAATGAGGACAAGTTCCTAAATATAAAAACACAACTTGAAAATAGTGCAAAGAAAGACCATTGCCAAAGATGAAATTCACTTCACAAAACAATTTTGGGTCAGTTCTGACAAAGATGAATGAGAAGCCAAGTTCACAATAATTCCTATCTGAAAACATTCAAAAACTGTTATATGCAACCTTTCCATTCAGCTGTAAATAATTCATAGACAATAACATCAGTTCTTGGATATTTTGCTGGCTTGTTTGTTTTGTCCTTGACCAGCTGGCCCAGGTTGATATTTCACTCTTGCCTACCTGCATCCTTTCTGCCCTTGCATCCACTGGACCTGGTGAATGGCACTGAGCTGATGGCAATGGGACAAAGGGGACAGGGAGCAGTTCTGGCTTTGTGAAGATTACAATCTAACATTTGTTAAAACTAGGTAGTGGGTCTCTTGGAAAAGGGAAAGAGGAGGCCAGATAAATGTGGGTCAAGGAAATCAGGAGTCTTCTAGGGACAATCTGAGATCCATTTTGAGCCCCACTTTAAAATCCAGGAAAA
This sequence comes from Homo sapiens, assembly GCF_000001405.40. Lineage (NCBI taxonomy): Eukaryota > Metazoa > Chordata > Mammalia > Primates > Hominidae > Homo > Homo sapiens. The sequence goes on along the minus strand of NC_000008.11, from coordinate 63,316,503 downwards.
TTACAACTCAAGAGAATTGACTAGGGCAGAGCTTAAGATGGACAGACACTCTCCCAACAGTATATCCACCAACCACTTGCATCTTTACCTTTTATCCCCACAATCCTCAGATGCAATAATGGCTAGTCAACTAACTGGGACCCTCTGGGAACCTCTGGAAAATAATTCTGGACAGTGACATGCTGAATCTTCTAGAGTTGACCATGACTTTGTTGGGCTCTTTTAAAGAAACAGCACTGAGCAACTTGCCTACCATCCTCTTAATTTACACCATTATCCCCTGCGCCCACAACATCACACTTCAAATAGACCCTGTCAGTGCATTGAATCCAGACATGAGCAAACGAACCGTCCCATGACTCATGACATGGGGAAAAACATCTAACACTTTTCCTCAAGGTGGGCTCTGTATGATGAAAACTTGACTGGAGACTAGATGGCTTCCAGACAATACTCAGCTCCTCCATAGCTCCTAGCTGGCTTCAGTGAGTAGCATTCCCCAATAGAGACTGGGTCCCTCCAGATGTGGACTCCACCCTTACCAGATGGCCCACCATCCTCTTTCCTTTCTTATATTCCCTCCATCCATTTTTCTTTTCCCAGCCAAGGAAATCCTTTCAAATCCCAAAGGCTGAAAAGCTTGGCTTTTACTCATTACGTATCATGGTCTAGCTTGGCACTACCCAATTTCAGCCATAGTAAAAATGATCTGTAATTCTGAGCCATACAATACAGTAGCCTAGCCACATTTATCTATCAAGCACTTTAAATGTGGCTAGTGCAAATAAGAAACTGGCTTTTTCATTTTATTTACTATTAATTAATTTAAGTTTAAATAGTTACTTGCTATAGGCTGGTAGCTACCATGTTGGACAGTGCAGGTCTAGCCCTTGACACTCAAACACTAAGAATTTACTCTTTTTTTTAAAAAAAAAAGAATTAATTCTCTTTTATTTTTCTTTCAGATTCTTTCTGATTTTCTTCTGATGTTTCTAAGAAAGCAAACTTGGAATATTCTAGCTAAAGATTGGGATAAGTGAGGACAATATTTCAAAACTATCATTTTGCCACGTTTATCCCTCTCTATCTCAACAAACAAGTTACTTCTAACCCAGGGTGTAGGTGTTATTTGCCCCAGCCTGTCTGAGAAGGATTTCATATGCTTCAGTACTGGGTAACATTCTTGCCTATCTCATGTGTCACTTCTTAGGTCTCCCAGGCAGATATTTCATGGTAGAAATAAAGGGCTTAACAAAATCAAAGAGGGCAGAGAGAAGTAAACATCATGCCCATGACTCCACACCACTTTTCCTGTATGTCACACTAAGAGGTGTTTGAACCCCATGTAACATTGTGAGGTGGAGGTGGCCTGATCTCACCATCCAGCCTGAGTCCTATAAAGGTGTGTCTAGGTAAACAGAGCCTTGTGCCCAGGAATGGCCAGCCTCACAGGTTGCCAGGGTCCTGGAGTGGCTTGGAAGTGGATGACTGTGTGCCTGCTCGAGGGCTAGCAAAAGACCAGCAACAGCAGCCTGAACCTGAGGAGGCCTGGAGAGCAGGGGCAGAGGATGACTCAGCAGTGACTTTTATAGACCATTGGCCAAGGACCAGGTGGGTTCAATGACACCTCAGTGGATACAATCATGGACAGATGGCAGCTAAGACCAAATGTCGCCCCTCCTTCCAGGTCTTTGGCATAGTTTAAGTCTCCCAGAAATATGATGGAATCAGAGAGAAAAATAGAAGACCAAGGAAGTTGAAATTAAGTTTTTATAGACCCCAGAATATTAGCATACAAAAGTAAAATTTAGTTATAGAAAAATAAATTTACATTTATTTCTTACTTAGGTTGGTGAACTGCTACATTATTATAATGAGATTATTACTGTAACACATATTTTTTATATTATATTCCCCCAAAAGTGTCCACTGAAAGTGGACTACAAAACCTAGGCCCCAATTCCTCCTTGTAAAGGAGGAATAGGTTAAATTAGTACATGTAGTCCTGAGTTTCTAGTATGCTCCAATAAACAAAGGCAAATTAAATGCAAACTAGAAGCCTATGATACTCAAAGATTTAGAATTTTACTTAGGGGGAGGGAAAACAAATAATTTTTTTTATGCTAAAATATATTAACACAAAACATAAAATTTGCCATTTTAACCATTTTAGGTGTTGAATTTAATGACATTAAGTCCATTCACATTGTTGTGCAACCATAACCACCAATCTCTCCAGAATCCCAAATTGAAACTCTATACCCATTAAAGGATGACCTTTCATCCTCATTCCCTTCAGTCCCTGGCACCCCCCATTCATTTTCAGTCTCTGTGAATTTGACTACCTTAGATACCTCAAGTAAATGGAGTCATAGAATATTTGTTATTTTATGTCTGGCTTTTTCACTTGGCATAATGTCTTCAAGTTTCACTTAGGTTGTGGCATATATCCAAATTCCATTTTTTTTCATACCTCATTGTATGTATTCACCACATTTTGTTTATTCATTCATCTGTTGATGGACATTTGGGTTCTTTCTACCACTTGGCAATTGTAAAGAAAGATGCTAGGAACATGGGTGCACAAATATCTGTTTGAGTTCCTGCTTTCAATTATTTGAGGTGTATAACCAGGAGTGGAATTGCTGGATCATATAATAATTCAATGTTTAATTTTTGAGGAAACACCATAGTGTTTCCCAGAGCAACTGCATCATTTTATGTTCTCCCCAGCAATGAACAAGGGTTTCAATTTTTACACACCTTTACCAACATATTTTTTATTTTAAAAAATCAAGTTGGAGTTAGCTTTGATCTATTAGAATAGAAATAAATTCTATGCTTACTTTTTCTTTTTAATTGGGTTCATGTTGCTGCTTTTGTCGAAGCATCCAGCAAATTGCTTCTAACACTCATTCTTTTCTCCTTGTCTCCCTGATTTTACTACTGTGACAAAGCAGATCAGAGAAAAAGTCAAGAAAATAGTAAAGTTTGTCTTTCAGTCCTCTCAGTAGTACATTTACCAGGGAGCTGCATGCTCTCTGCCTCCCCAGCCCACCCTGGCACTGCTCATCAACCCAGACGCCTCACTCCCAGACCTTTCTCTTTTTCCCCCCACTCCCCACACCCCAGTGTAACTTGGGGAACCTAATATAGAGTACCATGCTAACACAATACTTTGAAAAGCAATGTGCATACAGACTACTTTTGTAAATAACACCTTAATCATGACGAATGACTTGAAGGGGGAAAATGTCAGGTGCACCAATAGGATGCGGGGGAATTGCAGAGGCTCAGTGTAGACGAAAGACCTGGACAGGAAGTCCTACCATATCATTTCTAATCAGACACAATCGCCAACTAACTGGAAAACTTTAAGCAAGCCATTTAATGTTTCTGGGACTGTTTCCCCATTTGTAAAGTGCAAGATAAACTCCTTCCAATGAAAAAGCTGGATGATCATTTCATCTGTCTAAACATTTGAATGTATATGAGTGAGTAAAAATAATGTCCTTCAACAATATACTGTGCAATTTCTAAGATGTGTCCTATCAAATATAAACCCACAATAATAGAGTATGGCGAGAGTGCAGAAATACGAAAGCACAACCAAAAGCTTGGTCTAGAAGTAGACCCAAGGATATCAGATAAAACTTATGCATTGTTTAATCACTCAACATGTGCCAACTATAGTAAGTCCTCAATGCCTTCAATAGATCCTTGGAAACTGCGACTTTAAGCAAAGTGACATATAATGAAACCAGTATTTTTTTCTCATCAGTGTTATAATGAAACAACACTGAAGGAGACAACATTATTGGAGGACTTGTTGTTCATTGTTTCACTTAAAGTCACAGCTTCCAAGAACCTATCCATGGTGTTAAGTGAGGGCACACTGTGCTATATTTTGTATATTAATATTATTAATTTATCACTTAATTTCTGCAACATGATTATTGAAGTAAGAGAGTGAGAAAGTAATGGATGTCATGTTATTTATTTATCTATTTTTATGTATTTATTTATTTATTTTTGAGACAGAGTCTTGCTCTGTTGCCCAGGCTGTAGTGCAATGGCACAATCTTGGCTCACTGCAACCTCCACCTCCTGGGTTCAAGCAATTCTCCTGCCTCAGCCTCCCAAGTAGCTGGGATTACAGGTGCTCATCACCACATCCAGCTAATTTCTTGTATTTTTAATAGAGACTGGGTTTCACCATGCTGACCAGGCTGGTCTCGAACTCCTGACCTCAGGTGATCCGCCCGCCTCAGGTGATCCGCCCATTTGTTTTCTTTTCTTGCTTTATATTCCTTGGAATTGAATCAAAAGCCATTTCTTCCTCTTCACACCAGGAGAGTTAGCTGGGACAGACTGTACTGGTAAATTCTAGCCAGAGGTTATAACTGTGACCCACAATGTAAATTTGGTTTCTAAATGTAAAATCTACGGTGTCATTTTTAAAATATAAATTAGTCAATTTACCAATATTTGAAATTAAAGGTGTTTCACATGTTTTCTTTTATAAAATCCAAATTTTCAACAACTCTTGAAAAGTCATTAGAATTAGGCAACACTGGGCATTTATTACCAACGAGATCGGCAGAATACAAGTAACACCTACCTATTTAGACTGAGTGTGTGCTCTGCAGTTCACTAGACACTCCCACTCTCCATTAATCTGTGTGTTACTGCGTAACTACCCGCAGAGGGTATTTCCATTTGCACCTTCTGAGATGTTAAGTTACCAGCTTTCGTTGTTTAGGCTCTGAAGGGAATCCACATGAAACCTCAGATGGGGAGGGCATGGAAACTTTTGTACACAAATTGTAAAATAGGAAGGCATGGGAACCTACCATGGGACAGTAATTAGATGCAGAACACTGGGGAATGGGTGGTTACAGCTTCCACAGGTGCATGAGACCCTGGCCACTCTGAGTGGGCCCGGCCAAAACACCAAAACCTCCTAGGGGATGAGGACATGACTTGATAACAAGCCTCAGGTTCTTACACGCCTGGGTAATGCCTGCGGTTCTTGCAAGCCTGGGCAATGCCTGGGAGTGGTGCCCCTGTGGAAGATCCTCACTACGAAGGGCTTCATAGTGGCCTGTGCAAGCAGGATGACAAGCCATGTAGATCTCCATGAAGACGTAGCAAATGACAACGCCTGAGGGCAGCCCCATTAACTGTGAAGGAAAATGGCAGAATTTCCTTGGGGACCTCTTTACAAGGGATGTAGGAGCACTTAGGGCTTCTTTTATCTTCTGGAGAACTGAAGAGAACCCACAGAGAACAACTAATGAACTTCTGACACAACTGAGTGAGGTGGTGGCAGCGTGGTGGATGGTGAGGGCAGGAGCTCATATTCTTTGTGTGTGTGTGTGTGTGTGTGTGTGTGTGTGTGTGTTCCAATAAAACTTTATTTAAGAATGCTGACATTTGGCCCAGTGCGGTGGCTCATGTCTGTAATCCCAGCACTTTGGGAGGCCGAGGCCGGCAGATCACGAGGTCAGAGATCGAGACCATCCTGGTTAACACGGTGAAACCCCGTCTCTACTAAAAAAATACAAAAAAAAATTAGCCGGGCTTGGTGGCGGGTGCCTGTAGTCCCAGCTACTCGGGAGGCTGAGGCAGAAGAATGGCATGAACCCGGGAGGCAGAGATTGCAGTGAGCCAACATCGCGCCACTGCACTCCAGCCTGAGCAACAGAGGAAGGCTCCATCTCAAAAAAAAAAAAAAAAAAAAAGGAATGCTGATATTTATTTAAATTTTATATAATTTTTACATCATGAACTATTATTCTCCTTTTGATTTTTTCAACCATGTAAAAATGTAAAACTATGGTTAGCTTTCAGGCCATACAAAAACAGGCAGGCAAAGGTTTGCTAAACACTGAAATAGAGGAAGGAGGAGGAGAAAGAGCAGGAAATAAATGACTATGGTAGAGCAGTATATTAGTTTAGTGTTTATATTAGGCTAGATTATGGTGAAGTAACAGACAACCTCAAAATCTCAGTGATTTACAATAACAAAAGGGTATTTCTTATTCACAGCACATGTGTACTTTGTGCTGGCTAAGTTCTATTCCATGTTATTTTCATCCTGGAATTCAGGTTCATAATGCAAACTCCATCTGGAGTACTGCTGCATCTAGGAGCAGAAGAAACACAGAGAACATGGCAAACCAAGTGCTGGCTCTAGATGTTTCTGCCTGAAATTGACATACATCATTTTCACTCTGTTTCATTGGCCAAAACAAATCACATACCATGCTAAACTACAATGGGGTAGGATATAGAATCCTCTTCCAGACCAGGGCAATTACTATTTATGAAAAATAACACAAGAGCCCATATTTTCAACAAGCTTTCCTGGAGGTTGTGCTAAACAAACAGGGTTGGGAGCCCGAGTTCCAGCTATTTGCTCATTAATGTCCCTTACATCTCCAAAATTCCATGATCCTAGGAGTTATTTTGCATAAGGTTCCCATGGATGGGTAAAGGTTGAAGGATGTAAGAACTTGGGTGCAGAGCATGTTGGTTGGCAGAGGAATTTATAAACATAAAGCTGCCTTACCAGGGCATAGGCCCAATGTAGGAATTCTAATTTGCCCATCTATTAGTACCATCACCAAAAATTAAAGAAAACTTTCACTCAGGAAATGGCACGTGCTTCCTAAACAGTGTGATGGTAATGGCCACTGTTGGCTGCCCAGCATGCATTTTCCCCTCCTGGTAGCACCCTGAGTACCCTTCAGGGCTTTCCCTTTCCCCTGGTGGTTGCAGCCTCAGAATGCAGACTAGGCTATTTTGACAAAAGCTCATTTAAACAAGGTAGGCTTCTCTTACAACATTCAAGGTGGTCCCCAGTCCTGAGGGGCAGGCCAATAGTGTCGGGCACACAGGCTCCTTCCATGCTTTTTTCTTTGTCATCCTTAAGGTATGGCCTTTGTCCACGAGGTCAAGGATGACCATCCACAATCTTTACATTCCACTATAAAAAAAATGAGAAAATGAAAATAGAATAAGTACCTTTCCTTCTAAGGTACAATCTAGAAGTTGCATAAACCATTTTTGCTCATATGGCCCCATTGACTAGAATTAAGATACACATACTTCTGTGTGAGGGAGCCTGGAAAAATGGGGTGTGTGGCTCCAATAAATTTTCTTACTAAAAAAGAGGAAAGCAGACAATGGGTAAGTGGTAACTATAATAGGCTGTTTTGCTTCCCTATAAAGGAGTACCTGAAGCTGGGTAATTTATAAAGAAAAGAAGTTTAATTGGCTCATGGTTCAGCAGGCTGTATAGGAAGCAGGGCATTGGCATCTTCTTGGCTTCTGGTGAGGCCTCAGGGAGCTCTTACTCATGGTGGAAAGTGAAGTGGGAACAGCATGTCACATGGTGACAGTGGGAGCAAGAGAGAAAGGAGAAAGCATCACACACTTTGAAACAACCAGATCACAAGAGAACTCACTCACTATCATGAGGACAGCACTAAGACATTCATGAGGCATCCACTCCCATGACCCAAACACCTCCCACCAGGCCCCACCGCCAACACTGGGGATTACATTTCAACATGAGATTTGGAGGGGACAAACATTCCAACTCTATCAGTAACAGTCTCTGCCACAAAGGTTACATCCCTGGTGCCTGCCCTCCATTAGGAAGGCCAAAGAGCCCCCATCTTCCTTTCACAACACCGATATAACCAGGGGTGGGCAGGTAACTAAGCATGGCCAATGGAAGGCTCTTTTCAGGGCTCTGAATACTGAGTGAATGAAGCAAGGATGGAAAATAGCATCAGAAGGTAGGTATTGCAGTGCTGCTGTGTTGAACCACTGATGCTAAGACAATGTTGTGAAGCTTCCTTTCCCTGGCTTCTGGAACTCTGCGGCCTCCAACAGGTTCCCAAGCCTGCTCACAGCCTCCTGTTGATTTTATACCCCCATTCCACCCCATCTACCCCATTCCAGACATCTTTCCAATAAATTTACTTTAGTTGGCTAAATTCTATATTCGTTGCTCTTAATGAAGACCCCTATCTTAGTCTGTTTTGTGTTGCTATGACAGAATACAATAGACTGGGTAATTTATAAAGAAAACAAGTTTATTTCTTACAGTCTGGAGGCTAGGAAGTCCAAAATCAAGGAGCCGCATCTGATGAAGGCCTTCTTAATGTGTCATAACATGGCAGAAGGTACCACATGGCGAGAGGGCAAGAGCACGTCAACTCAGTTCCTTCCTCCTCTTTTTATAAAGCCTTGAGTCTCATCATGGAGACCCCACTTTTATGACCTTATCTAATCCTAGTTATCTCTCAAAAGTCCTACCTCCAAATATCATTAATATATAAATTTGGGGAAAGTTTCCAATACATGAAATTTAGAAGACACATTCTCACCATAGCAAATCCCAATTTAGCCTCAGCCTAGGGAAATGGAAAGAAACTCAAAACCAAGAAGTTAGATAAACCCTAGTATGCTCTCAGCCTCATGCCACACTGGAGACTTGGGATTATATCACTGTGGCTCCTGTTTACAGTGACCTAGGGCCCACTGTAGAATTTATCATTCCCATTGCACACTTCATCTATCTTATCTATTGCTGCATAATCAATAACCCCAAAAATTTAGCATTTAAAGCAATAAGCATTTATTATCTCACAGTTTCTGTGCGTCTGAAATCTGAGAGTCACCTAGCTGATTTCTCTGGCTCATGAGGAGACTGTCAAGCTGTCAACAAAGGCTGTGATCTCATTTGGATGCACAGCTGGGCCTTGAGGGGAGGGACAGAGATCTGTTTCCACGTGCATTCAGAGGATGTTGGCAAGCCCTGGTCTTCCTCATGTGGGTCTCGCCACAGGGCTGCTTACAACATGGTGGCTGGTTTCTCACAGGGGAGAGATCTAAGAAAGAACAAGAGAAAGCACCCAAGATGAAACTCATAATATTTTACAGCCTAATCTTGGAAGAGACAGCCCCTTATTTCTGCCATTTCCTATTTGTTACAGTGAGTCACTAAATCTAGCTCACACTCAGGAGGAAAAGATCACATAAGGGCATAGGTACCAGAAGGCAGAGCTCACCAGGCCATCTTACAGTCAGGCGGCCACACCATAACGCTCATCCATCATGAATCAGTGAATCACAATCAGGGGAAGAGGATGAAGGGTAAAGCTTACCTAAAGCATAATTTCATTTTTTTAATGAAATGGCCTAAATACATTTGTGACTATTTTGCTTTCAAAATATCAGGCAGCAATTGTCAGGCAGAACCCACCATTGCCAATTTTTTTTTTTTTTACTGTACTATAATTTACATCACACTGCTACAACTGCTATTTTATATGACATTCCCAAGGATATTTTAAATGATGCTAAAAAAGACAGTTATATCAATTTCTGGTATTTTATTATTATTATTAACAATAACAACCAGATGAGCAAAAAGAGGTAATATGTCCCTTTCCCATTTATCTTATTTTAGTTCTCTGTTAGGATTTCTTTAGCTGCCATTGTAGCTTTCAAAAAGATAGCTCAATTGCTGAAGTACTACCCATTAAATTAGAAATGATAGGTTTGCCAAAGAAATAAGCTATTATTTAGAAGTAAAAAGCATAGGCAACGACACTGCTAACCCTCAATGAATTTCCAGAAGTCTTAACACCATTTCAAAGCCATTGTGAACAGCGAAACTAAGTTGATACTTTTGAAATCTAACACATCGTTAAGGCACAAAATGACAATACCTGTAAATACCTAGGATTTCTCAATTATTTAATAAAAGATCGCATGTGCAAACAAAGTAATGTGTAAGCATCTATGTGCCAGTTGTTTAAGCCCGGGAGTCCTCTGTGACTTTTCATAGTTCCCACCTGAACAAGTGTGATCTTCCCTGGGGTTCTACCTCTCAGGGCAATCACAAGCAGGGAGAGCTCATGCAGGGTCAAAAAAAAATGTTTTATTTCAACATATGAAAGGAAAGGAAAGGGAACATTATTAGCAGGGTGCCCAGATTTCCCTTTACTAAACACATCTTCTCATTTAATCCAATCTTAAACATCACTTTCCTCAAGGAAAACTTTCCTAACCACTGTCTCTAATGGATCTCAGACACCCCTTCCCCATTTTTCTTTGCCACACACACTGTTTATTTCCTTCATAGCACTTATTTTATTTTTAATTGTGCATTTCTTTGTTTTCTTACATATGCACCATCCTAAACTGCAAGCTTCATGATGGTAGTGTCTCCACTCACACCATCAGGCAGTGCAGCAGATGGGCTGAGCACACACTTCTGGAACCAGGTTGCCTGGGTTCCAGTCCTGGGTATGGAAATCACCAACTATGTGACCTACACAAGTTTCGTAACCTCTTCGGGCCTTACTCTTGTCATCTGCAAATTGGGAATCAAAGTAGTACCCCCAGCGCTTTTGTTAGGAGGATTAAGTCAAAAACTGTGTATTAGTTATCAATGAATGCCTAGCTTTGGGCTCAGTAAATGTATGTTTAGGAATAAATTCAACTCTCACAATAGTTCTACCAAATAGACATCATTGCTAAGTCTACACATGAACAGTCCAATCCTCAGAAGCCAGCTAAAATCACACACTACTAAGTCAGTCCTGGTAGTCCTAGATCATACATGTTACCTCCAAACAATCTGTAGTTCTTGGGTCAAATTATCTAGTTTTGTGTTGCCTGTGATGTTACTCTTTATTGTTTTCTAGCCTTTAGTAAAGTTTCCCAGCTTTAAATTAACCATATTATGGGTTATTAAAGAAAATATCTCCAGAAGCTGGACTTACTTATCATAAAGACTTGGCAGTTTCCTTTCAATAGTGTTTGCTAATTTTCACAAGAACCCTGCTAATAAGGTATTAAGATCCCCATTTTACAAAAGAAGCATTGGGAAGGGGTTGAGTAACTGCCTCCTTCCTTCAGCACAGTTGTATAGCAGGGCTCCAAATTGCAGTGGTTCCATCAATGAGTTCTGGAAGCACATACCCCCGTTCTGAATCCTGGTCCACTCTCTTAAATATCTCTGATTTAGCTTCCTAATCTAGAGAAAATAAGGAGTTCATTTCTCAACTCCTCATTGAGTTGTTGTATAATATAAACAACATCTACACATGGAAAGTGACTAACATATTTCTCAGCTCATAATGTGTTCAATCTTGATAAATTCTAGTGCTGATGGTAGTGGTAGTGGTGGTAGCTGGTAACTGGTAGCAGCATCCCTACCGTGTACACAATGATATTTGAAGGATGAGTTGTCCAGATGGACAAGGAGAAGGTAGATGAAAGCCCATTCTTACAGAAGATACAGTCTATGAAGGCATGAAACAGGATGGCAAGTTTGAGCAATATGGCTCCAGGAGAGGCATGGCATCAGATGAAGAGAGAAAGGTATAAAAGACTGGGTTTGTTATGAAAAGGAGTTTTAAGTGGAAAAAAGATATGGGTAGATTTGCATTTAAGTCCAAATGTGCTGAGCTCTTAGGGTTGAATCAGAGGAGACAGTCATGAAGACCAGGACACAATCAACTGTGAACACCTTAATTGAGGCTGGATTTGCAAACAGCAAGAAGGCACACAATTTAAACTTTTGGGAAACAGACACGACAGGATATGACTGTGTCTTGAAGGGATCTAGAAAGCAAAGAGGCTAGGATCTTATGTGTTTAGGATAGGTGACTAAGTAGATGATCCAACCATTAAGAAAGACATTCAGAAGGAACACCAAGCTTCAAGATGAGGCAGAAAATGAAAAATTGTATCAATGAATTCAAAACCCTTAGAGTAAAAACTCATCAGACAGCTAAATCTTATAGGGCAAGAGATCAAAAAGTGGGTGGACATATATCTTCTTGTGTTTTTACTGAAACAACCTGACTTAATGGTCTCCGGGACAGGATTCCTGGGTTGTTTATCTTATAACGTAGTTCCTGGGCATGGTGTCTTTCCCCCAGAATTATGTCTGAGAGCTAGGTCTGAGACTGGTGCTGTTTCTTCACTTGAGCAGCAGAGGAGCTAGTTGGCTTGTGTTTAGGACCATGATGTGAGAAATGGGAGAATATTTAAACAGGCCGGTAGTATAAAACTCAGCATGGGCCAAGCATGGTGGCTCATGCCTGTAATCCCAGCACTTTGGGGGGCCAAGGCAGGAGGATCGCTTGAGCTCCGGAGTTCAAGACCAGCGGGGGCAACATAGTGAGGCCTTGTCTCTATTTTTAACTTAAAGGAAAATAAAATAAAATAAAATAAAATAAAATAAAACTAAGCATGAAGATAGGTGCCAAGACAAGAGACACTGTCTCACTCCCACCCAACACATGCATACACTGAGTGGAAACCAGGCAGAGCTGTCTGGTCAATTCAAGTTGTTATTTCTCTGCCCTAATGCTCCCCATTTTAATTTGCTGAGTGAATATAGCTACATATAAGTTAAACATGTAATGTGAGTCCTCCATACAGGTTTGATCAGTCTTCAATGGATAATTGAGTTAATGAATGAGAAAACCTTCTGAACTTCACAAGCTTTCTCATGCCTACCCCAGTGGAAGGTAATACTGTGTGTAAACTCAGAAAATGGAGTCCTGTTAACCAATGGTCTTCAAATTTTCTTGTGTGCTTACTCCTTGAAGGAATTTGGACCGACCAAGAGGTCCTTTGCATATTTTTAAGTTGATAACAAAATGTTTTCAGCAAATTTAAATAGTTGCAAAATGTATAATTTATAGGATAGTGTCAATAATGAATTTTTAAGATAAAACTATGAGCTTACTCTTTCAAATATACTCAGTGGAGTATAATACTGTATGATTTTGACAAATCCTCATTCACTTCTAAAGTATCCACTAACAGCTGGGATCTGTGGCTCATGCCTATAATCCCAGCACTTTGGGAGGCCAAAGCAGGTAAATCACTTGGGCCCAGGAGTTCGAGACCAGCCTGGCCAACATGGCAAATCCCTCACCCCACTGTCTGTACTAAAAATACAAAAATTAGCTGGGTGTGGTGGCACGCACCTGTGATCCCAGTTACTCGGGAGGCTAAGGTAGGACAATTGCTTGAACCTGGGAGGCAGAGATTGCAGTGAGCCAAGATCACACCACTGCACTCCAGCCTGGGCGACAGAGAAAGACTCTGTCTCAAAAATAAAAATCAAAATAAAATATCCACTAACAAGCTCTTCTTTAACAGTAAAAATTCTTACATTATTCCTTTTTTGCTCTTTATATACTTATTTCCATTCTACTGTCCTGTCATAATTCTGTCTTAATGTAATGTATTGATGTTTAATGATATTTTTATTATTCTATCATAGTTTTCTATTGAAAAATATGTATGTAAACTGAAATCAAACTTATTTCTGTAACTATACAATTATATGTTAAAGATATTTTCTTTGAGAATGTTGTCAATTTAAACATTACTATTGATTACAAATGATCACAACAATGTAAAATACATTAACTATGTTGCTTAAATACCATTTAACATAACAAGTAACTATTTGTTGTTATTGTTGCTGTAACAAATTACCACAAATTTAGCAGCTTAAAACAACTCATTTGTTATCTCACTGTTCTGTGGGTCAGAAGTCTCAGTCTGCTCAGTTTTGCAAACAAAAAATCAAGGGTTAGCAGGATTGAATTCCCTTCTGGAAGCTTGAGGAAAGAATCCACTTCCAGGCTCATTCAAGTTGTTGGCAGAATTCAGTTTTACACAGCTGTAGGAATGAGGTGCTATTTCCTTGCTGGCTGTGGGCTGGAGACCACCCTTAGCTCCTAGCACCTGCCCTCTGGTCCTTGCAGGTGGGTCTCAGGACCAGCAAGGGTACAACATATCCCTCTCACTCCACATCTCTCCTGCCTCTTCTTCAACTGCTGCATCCCTCAGACGGATGCTTCTGCTTCTACAGACTCATGTGACTACTCTGGGTTCACCATAATTCAAGATAATCTTTCTATTTTAAGGTCAATTGACCCATCGATTGATTGGTAAATTTAATTCTGCAAAGTTTTTTCACAGCAGTGCCAAGATCAGTGTTTGACTGAATAACCAGGGGTCAGGAATCCTGGGGGGACATCTTTAGAATTCTGCCAACCACAGTAATCTGTTATTAGAAAAATAGCTTTTAATGAGATAGACGAGGCATTTTTTTTAATTAGCCCATGTGTCTGCGGGTGAATATTACTCATTGCCAGGATGAGACACATTTTTAAAGATTGTATTTCTGTTTTTCACTTTCAAATATGTAAGTGCTGAGGAACTTTGTTCACATACATAAGTAGACGGGAATGGAAGGAGTTTTGTTATAGCAACACAACTGGTCTGTAAACACCTTCTAAATTATTCTCGAAAGTATCATAAAGTGATATATCATTTGAAGTTTTCTTTTGTTCAATGATTCATCAACTAAAAAGCCACTGAGGGTCTCCTGCAATTCTGTTGAAACCAAACAATTAAAAGCCATCTGATACGCAACAGGATTCTTTACACAATCATCTCATTCCCAATTTCTGGAACACGCAGTGGTCCCTCCTTCTCCATGGACCTCAGCAGATGCCTGAAGCAGTGGATAACACCAAATCCTATGTGTACTATGTTTTTTCTATACATATATACCAATGGTTAAGTTAATATACAAATTAAACACAGTAAGAGATTAACAAGAACCAATAAGAAAATAGAACAAATTATAACAATATACTATAATCAAAATTATGTGAATCTGGTCTCTTTCTCTCAAAGTACTATAATATTTTCAGACTGTAGCTGACCACAGGTAAGTGAAACTGTAAAAAGAGAAACAGTGGATAAGGAGAGACTACTATGTGCCAAAAAGTCTGTACCATGCCCATTATTCTTTCATTTATGAAAACAATGAAACAATTTTTGGAGGCACAAATAAGTTTGAAAAGAAAGAAATGTTTCATTCCCCAGCTATAGCTACTATGTAAACAATATTTTTAAAGTAAATACCCATGTTCCAGACGTTGGACTTGTCCCCACAAGCAACCAAAAACCCAACTATACAGAGTGAAGGTCCAAGGCTGCTTTAATTATACATTCAGTAACAAGAAAAGATTCAGAAGTGGTTTAATCATAAAATCTACATTAACCTGAAATAAAAGGGATTTTTTTTCAGATTGGCAACAATAACAATAATAAACAAACATCCTCAATACCCCTCAAAACTAAAAAAGGAATACCTGTAAAAGAATACCTAGTCCAGTGGGCTAATAGGTTCTTTCAAAAGAAATGCAAGCTCTGTAGAGAACAACTGGCAGGACCGAGATAGATTGTTTGGAATTATGCAGGATCTATATTATCACATCAACCTCCTCACCGCATCCTGAGAGGCCACAAAGCATAAAACCAAAGCCAACATTCTCTCTTAGCCCACCTTACACCTTACCTGTTGCCATCTCAAAAATAACCCTTGTGCCAGTTATCAATCTATTCCCTCATCTCCAAAATCACCCTTCTTTGCCTGCTGTGCAAAAATGGATCTAGATGCTTTTTCTTTGCCAGTTGGCACAATATTAAACTTTGTCAGTAGAGGGCACTGGAGAGACATCACAGGAAGGAGCAGTTTTCTTCCTGGTTCAGGTGTGCTTTCCCATAAGGCTGCTGAAGTACAGCTGGCTCTTCCAGCACCCAGCTCTGGCAGTGCCTACGGCATCTTCAGGGCCCAGCTCATACAGTACTCACAGCTTCTCCATGGCTAGCTCCTGCAGTGCATAGCAGTCAGCAGCACCTGAAAGCCAGCAGCTTCTCTTTGCACCCCCTCACCAGGAGGCTTTGTAGCAGGGTGTCTCCACTGACACACCTCCCCATCAACAGCCTTCCCTGGTACCCTAGAGGGTATACTTCCAGCAACTTCCACCAGAGCATGATCACAGCAACTTCCCTGCCATTCTATGGACCACAGCCATGCCTTCTACAACAAGGACTTGATCTGTACCTGAGGAACTAGGAGAGAGCTTCCTTCTTGGGTACCCTGCCCCAGCCCTAGGAATAGGGTTGCTTCATGTATCTGCCATTCCTGTATTCTTTGCCATTCTCTTTACTTCCTCCTAGTTAATCCCATGTAACTCCAATTCCCTGTTATAATTAATAATTCTTCACATTAAACTTTCCCTGTGCAAATATCTGTGTGGTGCCCATTTCCTGGTTAGACCCTGATACAGCCCTAAAATCAGACACTTCCAAGGGGATTTGCCTTAGCTCAGCTAACATAGGTATGTCTCTTTGAGATTCACAGAGAAGGAAATTTTTTAAATATGTCACAGTTTCTCTTTTAAACAGATCACTTTGTCTGAGACAAATTAATATTATTTTTAGCAAATTCCCTTATGATACAGAATGAATAATCCCAATTCATTTAACCTTTCTTCACAAACTCCTATTTGAATCATTCAGCATACTTTTCATTGGCGTTTTGGGATCTTCTAAATGTGACAAGGGGCTGTATGATCTCAGACAGACTTCCAGACATGCTGCTGTGCACTTCTGTTATAATAGTTACATTTTCACAAATTATGAAAAGTGAGAAACATGCCGATGCAAAGGTAAAATTATTTAAATAGGTGGAAAGACACTCTCGCTTTCATCTTTGTTTATTAAAAATGGAAGTGTGGAAAGCAGAAGAGAAAAGAAGGAAAACCACAAAATGTTAGGCAACCTAATCAAAACTAGAAAAGAAGCTGGTGATATCTCAATAATAAAATAACAACATGGAATTGTGAGCGCAAGGCATCTAAGGAGCTTTTAATTCTAACCTCAGACTTCTAAAAAGATTTCTAGTTGCCCTCAAGATTATTTGATGGAGCCTAAGGTACATATTAACCCATCATTTGAATTAATTCTTCTTTTGCTATTGTCTTCTGAAACGAGCCCAGAGAATTCTTCTATCCATCAAGGTCATTTTCTGTGGCAAGGGCAACAGAATTCTGCAGCCAATGTAAGTTGATTCAGCAGCTGTAATAACATGAAGCCATCTGCAGCCCTACATTTAGTATGCAAATGAGAGAAAGCAAAGGTCTAGCATTAGATGCAAGATCTTAAATTCTGTATTTCTCCTCTCTGGCTTTCTATCTGTTTACCTCCAGTAACATCTGATTCATTCTTTCTTACATCAAATAGTTATTGAGCATCTGAGGATACAGACATGAACTAGAACAATAGGAGAAAGCTACTCTGGCCACTTGACATTTTCTTATTCTACCTAGTCTACCAACCTCCTTTTAAATTTATTTGCCTCCCTTAAAAGCCAGGACCAGCCAGTTGTTTACTTCCTCATTTCCCACTCCCAGGTCATGAAGCATTGTTGCTGTCTCAATGTTTCTGATGATCCTCTAGCCCCAAGCCCATTCCTATGCCAGCAGCTCACAGCACTTCACTGCGACTCACTCAGTTTTGTGGAAACTGGGGCCATACAGCATTAAACCCTTCAACTTTGGTTCTTTCCTCCTCAACATTTGTCCTGATTTGTTCTCATTTTTTCAAATTCCTTTTTGTCTGATCAGTGACACCTATCTGGTAAAATGTTCCTAACATTTTTCAAATTTGTGCTCCGAATGCATCTCTATAATTCCTCCCTGATGCAAGCCCTAATCAGCCCTCATTGGAAATATGGCAATATGTTTATTGATGTCATCTTGTATTGGTAAGTGTTCTTAGTTGCAAGTAAGAGAATCTTCATGTTCTGGTTAGCTGCAGAATCTGCAGAAGGGCCAGGCATCGAGCTCTGGAGCTATGCGTCCAGGAACAATGTCCAACCATACCCTAGGGGCTGCTCAGTAAAAGCTCCAGCGCCACCACCTCCTGGCATCTGGGAGGATGAAGACAATGCCAGAGACTCTGCCACAGCTGCTTCCAAAGAACCAGATATGTCTGTCACTGTACTTGCCACAAGAGCTGTTTTCCCAGTTAGCCAACTCCTATCGTGGCTCAGTTCCAAATCCAAGTCTTGCACAGGTGCCTCTGAATGGTGTAACTGAGATCACACACCTGTACACTAGCTTCAAGGGAGCCTAGGAATATGAGTTTCCTGAATTATAGTTTGGAAAGGTAAAATTCACAATGTAGAATATTCATAAAATGTAGAAAGTACTCAACAATGTTGGGCTGCCACAGAAGCAAAAGACCACTAAATATACCCCTTCAATCCATCTTCTAATATAAAATATAATTATTTTATTACTATTTTTAAAAATAATTTTATGGATTCTCTTTTACCCAAAGATTAATGTAAGCTGCTAAAATAATATGTAAGCATTTGCATGGTTTTGCCTTCATTTCTTCTGTTCATTCCCTATTATTCATTCTCGTAAAAAACTAAAGCATTATAAGATTTTTTTAAACCCATTGGTGGTTTACGACTCTCTGCCCTTGCATGTGCTTTTTTTCCTGCATAGAGTGTTCTTTTCCCTTCCAGTCTCTTCTTAGAGCATATATTGCATGCCAATCTGTGGACTATGCACTAGAAAAACAAAAATTAATAATTAGCTCCCACCTCAAGGGATTTAGCAGGGTGAGAGAGATATTTAAGCAAACAGTATGAAAACATAAAGCTACTCCTGGGATAGAGTGGTGCTGTTGGGCAATCCGATAGGTCCCTGTCCAGAGAACTATGTAGACTTGGATAAGGAGGTTAATCACTTCTGTTTGGAATGGCAGAGATAAAGAGAGTCAGGAAAGGTGTGGCAGGATAATATTTTCAAATATTAATACTTGGGGACTTTTTGATACCTGATATTTCCCTCTGATTCTCTTCCATGTTAACAGAAGTACCTTATAAGCTTTATGGCTTTTCTCATTCAAAACTCTAAGCCCTTAGGGCCAAGATCACATACCAGACGTGCCTGAAGTGTATGCACCCTACAGACATGATTTGTTTGGCTTAAATGCTGTTTTTATTCATGTAGAATTAGTTGCCAACACAAAAAAGTTTAACAATTTCACGTAAGACTAAATTTCCAGCTTCTCTTGAAAAATCTGGAACTTCTGCAAACTTTAGGTTCACAAGTTTCATGGCATCAATCAGCTGGAGCTGTGTAGTGGCTGCACCTTTAAATATACCCAGTCCCCACCACCCCCTGTTGTCTCCTACACTCACCTGTTTCACCTTTTTACACTAACTACCTTACCCCAGTAGGCATTTTAAGTTTCAACACGTCTTAGAATAACTGAGATGGTTTTTAGAGGAGCTAAACGTGAGAAGAGGATTCTGGAATATAGATAAATATCAGTAAGACTAGGACTTCTCACCCATCATAGAAAGAGCTGTTGCCTGGCTAGGAGTGGAACAGAATAGCAGTCTGTGGATCTGAGAGCAGTGAGAATGCAGCCCATCTTCATGGCCATATTGCTTCAGAGATTCTAGCCCCCAGCAATGCATGATTGGTTGTGAGTCTATAGTCAGAATGCACTGAGAACCTGACCAAAACCTCTATACCCCAAGAGTGCCATGAAAGTATCAGACAGCTGCTGGAGCTGCTGAAGCTATCAGGAAAAGGACACAGACGGTTGTGAGCAACCTGGGTAACCAGGTTTGAAGACTAACGAAAAGACTTTTTTCTTTAATTTTATTAAACAAGCATTTATATAGCACATATTATATGCCAGCCCTTTTCCAATTACTTTATCAATATTAACTTAATCTTCATAACAACATAGTGAAAT
Source organism: Homo sapiens (assembly GCF_000001405.40). Lineage (NCBI taxonomy): Eukaryota > Metazoa > Chordata > Mammalia > Primates > Hominidae > Homo > Homo sapiens. The sequence goes on along the minus strand of NC_000008.11, from coordinate 63,296,805 downwards.
AAGTACTGTCGCTATTCCAATTGTCAAATAGAGAGACTGAAGCATGGGGAAGTTAAAAGAGTTGCCCAAGTTCACACAAGTAATGAGAGATAAAGCTGAGATCCAGCCCCAGACAATTTCTCCAGAGCTCCTGCTCTTCCCACAACCTGGTGCTACATCTTAAGAGAGGGGGATAGCCAGGCTCAGTCCTGGGAAGGCTGCAAGGGATGGAGTGTAGGGTGCAGCCAGATACAAACATTAGACAGAGAGAAGCAAGCCTCCTCCCGCGTAATAAGAGGGACAGAAAAGGTGGAAGAGACACAGGTTAGGACCAGGAGTTTTTTTCTGAAAAAAAAAAAAAAAAAAAAAAATTTTCAACTTGTATTTTAGATTCAGGGGGTAAATGTGCAGCTTTGTTATATGGGTCTATTGTGTGACACTGAGGTTGGGGGTATTAATGATTCCATCACCCAAGTACTGAACATAGTACCCAATAGGGAGTTTTTCAGCCCTTGTCTCCTTCCCTTTCTCCCCTCCCAGTTGTCCCTAATGTCTATTATTTCCATCTTTATGTCTATGAATATCCAATGTTTAGCTCTCACTTATAAATGAGAACATGTGGTATTTGGTTTTCTGTTCCTGCATTAATTTGCTTAGGATAATGGCCTCCAGCTGCATTCATGTTGCAGCAAAGGACATGACTTCATTCTTTGTTACGGCTGCATAGTACCCCATGATGTCTATGTACCACATTTTCTTTATCCAATCCACCATTGATAGGTGCCTGGGTTGACTCTATGTCTTTGCTATTGTGACTAGCACTGCAATGAGCATATGAATGCATGTGTTTTTGTTTTTTTGTAGAATGATTTATTTTTCTCCAGGTACATACCCAGTAATAGGATTGCTGGGTTGAGTGATGGTTCTGCTTTTAGTTCTTTGAGAAATCTCCAAACTGCTTTCCACAGAGGCTGAATTAATTTATACTCCCACCAACAGTGTATGCATTCCCCTTTTCCACAGCCATGAAGAGTTTTTCATCTGGTGACTTCTATTTCTTTTTCTCTAAAGTAAGAGATAACACTGTTTGCTGAGATGAAGGTAGAGGCAGAAGGAGCATAATTTGGGGAAGGGTGGAAAATGTTTAGCCACTATGAACAATGAGGGGACAGCTGGCCAGAGAAATGCATGGGGCTGGCTAGCTGTGTGGAGAAACCAGCTGAGGCTGGTAACTGCCTATGCATGATGATTGCCACCAAGGCCGGCAGCACAGTCTGCAGGGCCAAGTGCAAAATGAAAATGTGGGGCTCCTTCTTCAAAAACCAGGACAAAAAGGGCCACTAAAGATAGTAAAATAAACAATTTTTTTCCTTTCTACATAGTCTCTCTTGTCTTGTCCTGATGTTTGCTATATGCTATGTAATGTCACACTCCCTCCCTCCTGCAGGGAGATACTCTTTGGATGAGTGTGGAACCTCTCAGGCCCAGAGCCTCTGACTCCATGTGTGTGCTTGTGTGCTTGTATGTATGTATGTGTGTGTGTGTGTGTGTGTGTGTGTGTGCATGTGTGTCCCACCAACTAATGGTTTCCCTTCCACCAGCCCCAGGACCAATATCCCTTCCCACAAACCCATCCCAGCCTACAGCAGATGGGCACCAACCAGGGGACAGACTCTACACATGGGAAAGCATTGGGCACCTGGATGGCAGGTGGGGTAGGAACCCCACCACCTGAGTCACTAGCAGGTGTTGCACTGCAACCAGCCTGGAAGGAGGACAGCCACAGCCACACCCCACCCCAGACAGTGTGGGCACTGGCGCCAACCTCTGGGAGCAGAGCAGAGGACAAGGTAGGGAGCAGGGAGTGGGAAGCAGCAAATGGGGAGGCCGTTCATATGAATCACAGCAGCCCCTCAAGAAAGGGGCTTTTAGATTCTAGCACTCCAACCAAAACATCTGCTGCCTCTCCAACTAGGGAGTGCAGTCATTCAGGCCGGGGGCTCCTTTCACCAGGATGACCTTCCCAGAAGAAATCTCAGGCTCCAAACACAAGCAGCTGAACATGTAACAACACAGTTTCCAACAAGAACAGGTACACGGACACACCAAAATCCAAACAGAAGATAATTTCCTGCCTAACTTGAAAGAGTGGAGATTATGAAACCTGAGAAAAGAGAACTTGTATAGTCTTAACATCCAAATAGCTATGGCACTTCAGAGAAGCTTGTGTTTAAGGAACATTTTCTAATTCAATCCTTGCTTCCTAATTCACACATCCCAATAATTTTTGGTCTTCTTAATGAGGTACTTCACCTTGTGGCCATCCACTCATGTGCAGAGCAAACATCTTGCTTCCCCAAATTAAGGTGGAAATAAGCTTGTGGATTCAATCTCTTCTGGAAGGTCAGGTGCTAAGTAACCTGGTTTTGCTAATTCGTGTCTCAAATATCTACCTGTGAAGTTTCTATCCTACTCCAACAGTGAACATTTCAGATTTACTTTATAGAATCAACTTTCATTTTCTCAGACAGTTTTGATCAACCTAATCCATTACTAGTTTCAACTGGGAAGAAAATTTCTTTAAATGAGACAAACTTTTGGAGCATTCTCAGATAGATTCAGTTTATAATATACTACTAATAAAGGAGTCCCTGTTGAAGAGGAAACTTCTGATCGAATACTCTTGGAAGATTCTGCCCAATTTAAAAATCTCTTTGAAACATTAGAAAAGGATTGAAAAGTAAAAAGACCACTCTAGCATCATGTCATCTCATGCTTTCTCTGTGGAGGCTTAAAACAGGTATGGGAAGATTTATGTTCTCATATTTCTCTTTGAAATTGGCAGTAAAAAATTAGTAGTTATGCAATTTAAACAAAAAAAAAGCTTTAAAAATTATAGGCCCTTCCAAAATTGATTGAATTTGTAGAAAAAATGTGTATCTTTTTATTGCCTCTGAACTCAAGGAAACTGAACTGAATGAATGCCTATATTGAACCAAGAATGCCTATATTAAACAGCTATGTGAAATAGTGCTGATTTTCATGGCTCTTAACTAAAAATTCATTTCCCTCACTCTTAAGCCCAAATCACATTCAATTCTATTACTGTATGAAATGATTGTGACTTGAAGACTTTTATAATCTAACTTTTGCCGATGACCTATATGCTCTAAAAAGCTGAGCTGCCTTCTCCCTAAGAGAAATGGCAGTGGGGTTAATCCAGCTTATTTGAAGGGCTGCTAACTCCCTGCCCCATCCAACTTGGCTTAATGCAGGCCAGAGGTATAAGCATTATTCTTAGAACCTTTGAACTGGGTGAGGCTGTAGAGATCATCTAGTACAATGTCCCATTTGCCTTATGGATTTCACACACTTGCAAATGAATAATTCTTTTTCCAAATGCACTACAAGTTACAAAAAATAACCTCAGGGAACCAGAGGTGCATGATTGGATATGTAGAAATGGTAAGCATTTTCTATATTAACACATAAGTGGAAAGAAATCATTTCTATTTTTGTCAAATTTTAAAGAAATCACTCCTAACTGATCATTAAAGTTTAAATATTGAATTTTATCCAAGTAAAATCAGTATTTCTTACAGAGATATTGTATATGTATATACACATACATATAGAGTGTGTATATATATATAGCCATATATATGTATATCTCATCATGTAAAAGATATAGACTAATACAAGTTCAAGCTAATATTTCTCCCAAAGAAAAATAAGAAAAAAGAATATCCTATTCCCTTCTTAAAGGAAAAACACTTGATTTTAAATAGTGTTAATGCTATAGTTGTTATAGTAATTTCTCCCTTTTCAGTACACAAAATGGCAAATACTAGAGAATTTTTAAATGCTCAAAGTAGAATCTCAATAGATCATATCCCAGAACAGTCAACAGTTTGGGGCAGTTGATTATTCTCCTCCCTGAACCACCGTCTCCATTTGCTTTGCAGGACACCACGCTCACCTGTTTGTCCCTCTACCCATTGGGTACCTCTTCTCAGTACCCTTTGCTAGTCTTTCCTCTTATTCCCAACTTCTCAACATTGAAGTTACCCAGGACTCTTTCCTGTGCTTCTTCTCTTCTCCGCTTGTTTCCCCAGTGATCCTTTCCAAGCTGATGGCTTTAAATACCATCTATTCATTAGGGATTCTAAATTTATATAATATCTCCAACCCAGAACTCTACTCTCAACTTCAGAGTCAAGATTTCAACTGCCAACTTGACATCTCCGTTTGAATGTCCAGTAGGCAACTCAAATTTAACATACACACAACTGAGCTTTAAACCTTCTTTGTCTTGACTCATCCCCATCTAAGTTATTGGCAATTCCATCCTTCCAGACATGAGGTAAAGACCTTCGAATTGTCTCTAACTTCTCTTTCTCTAATACCCTAGATCCAGGCTGTCAGCAAAATCTATTGACTCGCCTTTGCAATAAATACAGAATTCAACCACACCTCGCCATGTACATCACTCTCACCCTCATCCAATCCACCATCAACTCTGCCTGGACTATTTTAACATCTGCCAGAAGGGTGTCTCTGATTCTACCAACTCTTTTTCTTTTTTTTTGAGACAGAGTCTCACTCTGTCACCCAGGCTGGAGTGCAGTGGCACGATCTCGGCTCACTGCAACCTCTGCCCCAGGTTCAAGCAATTCTCCTGTCTCAGCCTCCTGAGAAACTGGGATTACGGGTGTCTGCCACCACGCCCGGCTAAATTTTGTATTTTTAGTAGAGGCGGGGTGTCACCATGTTGGCCAGGCTGGTCTCAAGCTCCTGACCTCAAGTGATCTGCCCACCCCGGCCTCCCAAAGTGCTGGGATTACAGGTGTGAGCCACCGCACAGGGCCCTGCTTCTACCAATTCTTAATACTGCAACCGAAATTATCCTTTTAGTCTTACCTAGTCTTGCTAATCTGTGTCCCAAGTATCTACTTATGACTTTCCTGTCCTACTCCAATAGTAAATACTTCAAATTTACTGAAGTCAGATTATATTATACCTCTGCTTAAACCCCTCCAGTGGCTTCCCAGTTCACTCAGAGTAAGCCATATCTTTACAATGGTCCATGAGGCATGATTTGTATGAACCTGTGTACACACACACACACGAACATCTCCTACTGCTCTCCTCCTTTTTCTGCTCTCTTCTACAATTGCCTCCTGACTGAGTCTCAAAGACTCAAGATATCCTCCTGTTTCCAGGGGCTTTTCACTAGCTGTTCCTTCTGCTCTTCTTCAAAGAGGCGCAAAACTCCCTGAACCTCCTTTGCTCAAATATCACATTCTTAAGTCTGTCCTGATTAATCTATTTAAAGTCCAATAGCCCCCATCTCCCAGAACTCACTAGCCTCCAGCTATGGCCTGAATGTTGGTGTCCACCCAAAGTTCATATGTTGAAACCTAATCATCAACATAATATTTTTAGGAAGTGGAGTCTTTAGGAGGTAATTAGGTGATGACCGCAGAGCTCTCTCATGAATGAGATTTGTGCCCTTATAAAGGAGGCCCCAGAGAACAGCCCTGACCTCTTCTGTCACGTGAGGACAAAAAAAAAAGCACCATTTTGGAACTAGGAGGCAGGCCCTCATTAGACCCAATCCATTGACACCTTGATCTTGGACTTCCCAGCCTCCCAAACAGTGAGAAATAAATTTCTGTTGTTTATAAGTGGCCCAGTCTTTGGTATTTTATTACAGCAGCCAAGTTGACCAAGACTACTTCTTTCTTGCTTTCTTTTTTCCCTTTATCATTTATCAGTTTTAAATATATTTTGTAAATTGCATATTGAGTTTATTCATTTTCTTTCTTGCCCACTAGAATGCAAGCTTCATGAGAAGGGGGATTATCTGCTCTGCTTACTCGTATTTCTCTAATACCAAGGTCAGTACCTAGCAGTACTCAATAAATGACTGTTGAAGTAAATTCAAATATAAACTTTAAACAGCTAATATAGTACGAAATAACTCTAGGGTAAATTTTGTTTTCTTAAAGTTAGATGCTTTTAAAATTATAATCCTTAATTTTTGCACATTTAAATATTCTAAAGATCTTCTTTCAGCTACAAATTAGGAAAAAAAGAGATATAAGATAACGACAAGTAAAAATGGTGAATATATTTTTGTAACTTACTTTGGTTTGATTTTGTATCTTTATAGAAGCCAATGAATTGATTTTTTCTGATCTTGGCCAGAATTTTATATATCAGCCACAAGCCTTTTCCAGCTTTAAAAAGTTACCTTTCCATTAAACAAAAAGATATCAAAATAAAGGGCGACTTGCTCTAAAGCTATAATGTGATTAAAATACAGCCAGAAAGATCAATAAAGTTAATATGGATTTGTAGACTGTATTCCAGAAATCTGTCTGCCAATCAGTCTAATGGAATTACTCTTACCTTATTGAGATCCTATTGAATATTTGAGATCAAATATTCATAAAGAATGCTGTGCTATTATTTAAAAACCAATTACAAAGTATTTGGTTATTACATCTACCACCTGATATTAAGGAACCAAGATCAACAAGATTTTACAGTCTGTCTCTCTCACATACACAAATGCATGTCCACACGGCACAAACACAAATAGGCTGAAATTTTTTACCACAAAAGGAAAATATTTAACTCCATTTTCAAAGAGTGAAGACCAGAAAATAAATTACACATTTAAATTCAGAAAGATAATTAGAGAAGTAGAATGGGACGTTTCTCTGATTTTAAATCTAATGCTTAGTTCATAATTAGAGAAAGCATTGTTCTTTCAAGAACAATATAAATAACAGACTATGCTAACTATGCCAAAGAAAACTCAACACTGCTCCCACTATTTGTCATCTACTCATAGCTCACAAACACAGTGGTAATAAAAATTATAAAACAGTGAAAATCTGGGTGGAAGGGTAAGATAATTTCTGGAGATTTCAAAAGTAGGAATCAAAAGAGCTGATGCTTTCTTCACAGCTGAAGAGAAATTTTCAGGTAATGTCCAATCTATATGTTGGCCTCTTCTGCCACTAAACAAAAGAAAGTACACACATAGACCCATCTTCTTCACTACAAGACATAGAAAGTAATGACTCCCAGGGAACAGACTAGTATTACTACTTCAGTGGATTTCACCAAAAAAGAACATTGGAAGAGAGCAAATGTCCTCATTCTCTCGCACCATAGCTGAGCTAACACAAAGGATCAGGTTATCAAGACATTCACACGAATCAAGGATCTTACCTAGTATTAAGCTTACTAATTTAAGCTTGAGAATATAAATGACTAAGATGCACATACACAGCAAAGAGATGTTTGATGTTTCAAGTACAGCTCTCCAGGTGCTTATTTTTTGTCTCAGTTGTACCTCTGGCCCAGACAATAGATACTTCACCTGCTCTCCAGGTGAAGTACAGTTTTCTCTCATAGCAGGGGGCATTTTAGGTTACGAAACATCTCTGAGTTATTTCCAGAAAGTTACATCTGAGGCATCTTCTAGGAAGTTGTGTCTCATAAATCCACAGATTCTGAGTTTGTTTGCTGTAGGCATTTTAAACCAGAGACATCTTACTAAAACATTCCACAGATAAGAACTTCCCTTCTATAAATTATCATTAGTTATGCTGGTTACTGACATGTTCACAAGGATACTGTGCCTGGCCTCCTATCTTCTCTCCTTCTTGGGCATGTACACCATCTCCTCATAAAGGGAAAGAAACAGATCACAGGTCTTCTCCTTCCTCCTGGTATTGATCTGTGAAGTAGCAGAAAAGAAATAGCAGTAACTATTACTATGGAAATATAGTTAATAATCACCCAATACTTAGTTTGAACCTGTTAAGCAAATATAGACAAAGTATCTAAAAATTATTTGCAATTGGTAGACAAGTTTTGATACAAGGAAGAAACTTTCCAAACTCAACAAATTTGAAATAGCATGATGGATCAGGAAACAATGCCCCAAAAGACAACAAAACACATGGTCTTGATAAAATCAACATGGAGCTAATGCCCTTAGTGCTATATGTTATTTGTAATCGTTGTCCACAAAATTATGCTTAAATTAAACACGTATTAAATTGCATCTACTGTGTGGGCACTGTTTTTCTCAAGAAGTCTCATTGCTATTAAAATGGTTCAAATTTAGTGGTTCCCTCCTGGAACTGTTAAACAGAATCAGGTGGATAACCAAAACACTTGGCAGTGTCAAGATTATGGTACCCAAAGCTGGGTTTTAAAAATTATGCTGTGTTGCTGCTGGTGTGTGGTGTCCATCGTACACTCTAATATTTTCATAAAGTTCTCCCAGGTACCATAAAGAGCAAATTAAACACGCAAGGCCTTTACTCTCAAGAAAATTACAGCTTAAAAGAGTCAACAAACTGAGAAATCAGGAAAATGACTGTTTCGACTCTGACCCAGCTGAACTGACAGATGTCATTAAAACAAATGATTAGACCACAGAAGGATGTGCTGTTCATGGATAATGGAGACCCAAATGCTGTCTTTGCTACTAACTATCTGTTGGGTCCTCGTGCACCACTTCCGTTTTCTGCATCTCTATTGTATCCACGAAATAACAAAATTTGGATTAGACGATGCTCAGTCTGTTCAAAGTCTAAGCTTATGGAAGAAATATGTAAAGTAAATAGATAAAGAAACTTGGCATTCATGATGTTGGTATTATGGAATGTGTCATTAAGTCCCAAGAACTGAGTGCTGCACCACGTGCAATTTGTTTGAAAAAAAAGAAACATATTCTTTCATTTATTAAAAATCATATGCATGCCCAGCACTTTGGGAGGCCAAGGTGGGCGGATCACGAAGTCAGGAGATCGAAACCATCCTGGCTAACACGGTGAAACCCCGTCTCTACTAAAAATACAAAAAAATTAGCTGGGCATGGTGGCAGGTGCCTGTAGTCCCAGCTACTAGGGAGGCTGAGGCAGGAGAATGGCGTGAACCCGGGAGGCAGAGCTTGCAGTGAGCCAAGATCGCGCCATTTCACTCCAGCCTGGGTGACAGAGCAAGACTCCATCTCAAAAATAAATAAATAAATAAATAAATATTTTAAAAAAATCATATGCATGAAGAAAGAACTTGAAGTGTCTTGGCTCTAGTGCTTCTGTAAGTGTAATATAACTGTGGTTCATATTTTGGTCCCCAGTTATTGGAAGGCCATGAGCCCTGACCTTAGCCTTGTACTCAGCAGGCTGTTTAAGTAAAGTATTCTAATAAGTTTTATACCTTTAGTTAGGTCAAATACAAAAAGAAAAAAAAATAGCCTGTTTGCCAAAAAAGCAGAAACCATTTCAAAACATTAAAAGAAACATTCAAAAATATTAGGGAATGCAACCATATGTTCTGGTCAAAGTACTCCCATAAGGAGCCAAAAGCCAAACTAATTTTGTGGACATTTGAAGGTTTGCTGTTAGTGTAGTCCCACTTGTAGGGCATGGAGAAGACAAGGGGTTCATGTGCTCTTCCCAACCCTTACAAGCATGAAAGAGAACCCTGCTGAGGAGCTAAGATGCTAAACCTTAGCCTAAGCTAATGGCAGAAGTTATTTAATTGTTTTCTCTGACTCTAAAAATAAAGAGAAGGGGCAGAAATTCAGCTTAAGTCTTTTTTTTTAACACCTTATAATGGCAGAAACATTTGAATTTTCTAACTGGTGCACAAGAGAGAGGAAGAAAGCATGATGGGTAGAGATTTAAATTCAATTCTTTTTTTCTATTGTCTGAGACTACAGCATCAACAACTGGCAATTGAGAGAAGAGACACATCATTATACTTATTTATAGCATTAACTACTTTACATTCATCCACACAAGTGAAACTGTAAAAAAAAAATTATAAAGGGAGTGTGTGGTTCTTTCATTAGCTTGTCTGTAATACTGGATTGGTCCATAAATTAATGTGTATAAGAGGATGGGGGGGAAAAAGGATTCAAAGCTCTGCCATTCTAATTACAGCTCTTTAAATATCAAAAGACACAAAGAAAGATTCCTTTTGAAAAGCCTACCGACTCTCTTGGCAAGACACTATTAATTACTTGCATAAATCTGCAGTTTGTACACCCAGAGTTATGGGTGACATTATTATATTATCTGAGCTTTTAACAGTTCCTGTTGTTCTCAGGGTGTTTCTTTAAACTCTTGTTTACCAAGCAATCCCTTTGTAAACTTCAGCTTCCTGCTCAGAGGGAATGAGCAGAGCTCTGAGACAACAGGTACCTTTGAGCCACTCATATTATCTACAACTCACACAATTCAATTAAAGAAACTGTACCATGCGAATTATTAAATTAGGTTGGAGATCGCCATGGGCAGTAATAATATCACAATCTTATTTAAAAACAACACATATAGCTTCCATAAACAAACTGTTTATAAACAAACCACATGGGCAATGGAAAATACAAAGTAGGCCTCCCATCTAAATTAATAGGTAAAGCCCCAGAGAAATGACATCTAGAGAAATAATTATAGCTTAGAAAACATTGGCCTCCAAATTTCTAACTTTTATGTATACACTTAATCAGAATTGCTCTTTTGAACATCCATTGCATAGAAAAGTTAACAGAATTAAAATCTGGCCCATGGCTCTATATTTTTGCAATAAATACATACTCTAGAGAACATTCTCCAAGCTGCTTTGGAGGACAGAGGAGAAGTGTGCTGCTTGATAAAATTCAAAGCAGCAAATGTGTCCCCTGTTGTGCCCAAGCGCCAAGTTTCAGCTTTAATCATGCACCAGAACATTTTGCAAAATATTTAAAAAGGGAAATAGACTTATGACCAAACTGGATTGGTCCACATTATCTATCTGGGGAGAAAGAAGCAGGCAAAGCAGGCAACAAGTCAAAACCTAAACTGTCTGAAGGACCCCATGCCAAGGAGGAAGTGGTAGGTACTCTTTCTCTTGGGATCCCCGATGCAAAACCAAAGCTTAAGCTTCCCTCCAGTCAGACCCTTGTAATGACTGTGAGTGTCAAACACTCAAAGGTTGACCCAAGGCAAGTCTGCTCTTACAGCGGTTAAACCTGATGTGACACCATTTAATAATACAAGTTTATGTGTTCCTCCTAATTGGCCAACAAGCCCATCAATTATAAGGCTTGGCCAACAGCCCAATCCTATTGGCATCATGAAACTTAATCATGTAACAAAATGCAACTGCTCCTTTTAATCTTCTCAGTCTTTTCTGCTTTTAATCACACAGATGAACATGGGAATATTTTGAAGTTTGGAGTTATGGGGGAAGGTCAAGAGTGTCCAGATATGTGTGTCAGTAGATAAATCTAGGTGAGTATAGATTGACTCAATAATAGAGATTATAAGACAAAAACAGGTGCCATCTTAAGCAGATGCCTATATATTTGTTAATAACTTGCTGGGAACTATTCACACTAGCAAAGACACGGAGTCAACCTCAATGACCATCAACAGATGAATGGATAAAGAACATGTATTACAGGCTGGACATGATGGCTCATGCTTGTAATCCCAGAGTTTTGGAAAGCCAAGACAGGAAGATCACTTGAGCTCAGGAGTTCCAGACCAGCCTTGGCAACATAGCAAGACCCTGTCTCTACAAAAACAAAGGAAGGAGGGAGGGAGGGAAGGAAAGGGAAGGAAAGGCAAGGCAAGGGAAGGGAAGGGAAGGAAAGGAAAGGAAAGGAAAGGAAAGGAAAGGAAAGGAAAGGAAAGGAAAGGAAAGGAAAGGAAAGGAAAGGAAAAAGGAAAGGAAAGGAAAGGAAAGGAAAGGAAAAAGGAAAGGAAAGGAAAGGAAAGGAAAGGAAAGGAAAGGAGGCCAGTGTATATATATATACACAATGTAATACGATTTGGCCATAAAATAGAATAAAATCATGTCATTTGCAGCAACATGGATGAAACTGGGGGTCATTATGTTACATGAAATAAGCTATGCACCCAAAGATAATTTTCATGTTTTCTTACTCATATGTGGGAACTAAAAAAGCTGATCTCATGAATATAGAGAGTATAATGATATATACTAGAGCAGCAGTCCCCAGCCCTTATGGCACTAGGGACCAGTTTCACGGAAGACAGTTTTTCCACAGACCGTGGGGGCAGTGATCGTTTGGGGATGATTCAAGTGCATTAAATTTATCGTGCACTTTATTTCTATTATTACTACATTGTAATACATAATGAAATAGTTATACAACTCACCATAATGTAGAATCGGTGGGAGCCCTGAGCTTGTTTTTCTGCTCGGGGGAAATCTGGGGATGATGGGAGGCAGTGACAGATCATCAGGCATTAGATTCTTGTAAGGAGTGTGCAACTTAGACCCCTCACATGCGCAGTTCACAATAGGGTTTGCGCTCCTATGAGAATCTAATGCCACTGCCGATCTGACAGGAAGTGGAGCTCAGGCAGTAGTGCTCATTCACCCACTGCTCACCTCCTGCTGTGCAGCCCAGTTCCTAACAGAACACCAACCAGTACCAGTCCATGGCCTGGGAGTTGGGCCCCCCTGTACTAAAGGCTGGGAAGGGTGGGGAGTGGGGGCAGTGAAGGCAGGCTGATTAATAGATACAAACATATGGTTAAATAACAGGAATAAGTTATAATCATAAAAAATAATAAGTGCTAACATTTGATAGTAGAGTGACTACAGATAATGGCAACATATTGTATATTTTGAAATAGTTAAAAGAGAGGACTTGAAATGCTCACAACACATAGAAATGATGCATGAAATATCTCCAGGTGACAGATATCCTAAAACCTCTGACTTGACCATTACACATTCTAGGCATATAACGAAATATCACATGTACCTCATAAATATGTATAAATATTATGTATCGATGAAAGAAAGAAATCACTGGGAGCTCCCAGTGCCTCCTGGAGAAAGGCTGCAAAACGTTCCAGCTAAAAGATATTCTGTCAATGTGCTGAAGCAACTCCTTTATTTTACTGATAAGGAAATAGATAGGGAAGGTGCATGATTTTTTCAAATGTTCACAAATAATTGGTAGTAGAGTTACAATTCAAGCTCAGATTTATCTTGTACTTAAGGAGTTTTCTGCTATTATGCTGAGAGTAGAAAGAGATTCTTAAATTTAGCAACTGTTTTTTATCATGGTGGCCATGACTAGCTAAGTAAATATAAAAAGAAAAGAAGACATCAAAGTTGAAACAATAAAGATAAACATATTGTGTGGTGGAAGATGTTTTATTTTTTGATGTGTTTCTTTTTTTTTTTTTTTTTTTGAGACAAGGTCTCACTCTGTCACCCAGTCTGTAGTGCAGTGGCACCATCTTTGCCCACTTTAGCCTCAAACTCCCAAGCTCAAGTGATCCTCCCACCTCAGCCCCCAAAGTAGTTGGGACTACAGTAGTGTGCCACCACACCCAGCTAATATTTTTGCATTTTTTGTAGAGACAGGATTTTACCATGTTACCCAGGCTGGTCTTAATCTCCTCAACTCAGGCAATCTGCCCCCCTCAGCCTCCCAAATTGCTGGGTTTACAGATGTGAGCCTCTGCGTGTGTGGAGGACATTTTAAAGACTGTCTGGAAAAAGAAATAAGAGTCACAAATTGGATCATGTCACTGTCTTACATTTCAATGACATTTTTATTGCTCCTATAAGCTTGGATTCAAATTCCACCCTGGCCTTCCAGGTTCTGCCCCAGCCTTCTCTCCAGTCTACTCACATGACTTTCTCCTTCAGCTTCTGCATTCCTAGGCCATCAGACTTCTAGTTGGTAGTGGTAGCATATTATCATCTTCCTCCCTAGATCATTTGTCCTTGATTTCTAGCCTAGAGCCAGTCATGCAGCTGGTGTTCAGAGTATGTTGAATAAATGTGCGAAATCATACAGATAAAAATGCATGGAATATTTTCAGGATGTAAACCACTATTAAAATATGAGGTGTTTCTTCCTTGAGAAGACATTAAAAGTTCATGGAAAAAATGGAATTAAAAGATAAAAATAAAAACTATAAACTTTATTGAATGAAAATGGATGTGCTTTAAAGATTTTTTAAGATTAGGAAACAAAGAGAAGCCAGAAGGAGCCAAATCAGGACTCTAAGGTGGATCTAATGACTTCCCAATGAAACTCTCATAGCCCTTCTTTGATGAGAAGAATGAGCAGGAGCATTGTCGTGGGTAAGGACTCTCAGGTGAAGCTTCCAGGCTTTTGTTCTGCTAAAGCTTTGGCTTTCTCTAAACACTCTCATACTAAGCAGATGTTATTTTTCTTTGGCCCTCCAAAAAGTCAATATAAACTTTTTGTAAAGCATCAAATATTTCATCATTCTTCCACCCAAGTTTTATCATAAATTTGATATTTGCTTTTGCTTTGATTTTAGCAAAATTCATGTTTCTCTGATAGGGGCTCTTTTCAAACTGATGTCATATCCCTCTTAATACCTCAAACTAGATCCTATTCAGACACATTATATTAAGTTAGTATGGGCTTATTTTGGTGTGAAAAAATTTTGAAATCCATGCATAACTTTTTCATAATACTCATTTTCCATGAACTTTTTGATGACCCCTCATATTTATTTCTTAATGCGTTTGGAATTTGATTTTCACATACAACTTTTCAGGGACATATTTATGGCCTAAAGATGCATGCATTGTATTACACTATGATATCTGGATGAGCCAGGGTAATTTAAAATGCACTAGTTTCATTACCTCTCACCCAGCTCTTGTACTAACCAAACTGAGCATTCTTAACTCTAACTCTTATTAAAGAAAAAGGATATTCCTTGTCCAGTAAGCAAAAAAAAAAAAAAAAAATAGGCATGAACTATTCAACTCCTTTATTTTCCCATTCCTGGCTGTAAGGCAGGGTACTCTCTGTCACACAGTCATCCTCTGAGGACAAATATGTGTGATGGCAAATATGATGTCATTGGTCCACCTCCAAACATGATTTGATGGATTGAGCTGAATTTCTGCCAAGGGTCCACTCTAGGGATTGCAGAAGGTGTCTTGGACATTATCCAAACAGAAAGCAAGGGCCAGCCACATCTTGAACCCCGAAGGAGACTTGGTTCTCCTCCATTGGTTCCCACCTGCTCTTCACTATCAGAGTGGAGCATGCTCCCCATTGGCTCATCTCCCCAAATGCTGTTCAATCAGGAGGTGGACTTACCTCATAAATGTGTATATATATATATATATATATACACACACACACACACACACATATTTATTAGTGTGTGGTGTGTAGGTAAAAGGATTAACTGCTTTATCTTGATGGAGGTGCCATATGAATTAAAGCATTTTAATGTCCAGGTCATGCTGTCCAGTATAGCATTATTTCTGCTTGATTTATTTTAAAAGCCCACACAATTAGTATCTTAAGCTAAGCATTTCATTTGTTCATTTATTCAGTTTCTGAGGAAGGTGTGTGTGTGTGTGTGTGCATGTGTGTGTGTGTGAGATATCCCACAAAGTCTCTATACTAATACAGTTTACATCCTAATTGAGAG
Organism: Homo sapiens; assembly: GCF_000001405.40. Taxonomy (NCBI): domain Eukaryota; kingdom Metazoa; phylum Chordata; class Mammalia; order Primates; family Hominidae; genus Homo; species Homo sapiens. Next base: position 63,281,329 of record NC_000008.11, on the reverse strand, counting down.
AGACAGACAATAAGTAAATACATGTCAAAAGTGATAAGTGTTAAAGAGAACAGAAAAGCAGAATAAGAGGAAGATGATGGGGCTGAGGGAGGGAGGGCCAGATTGAATGGATGGTGGTCAGGGAAGACCTGGTGGATAAGCAATCCTGAGCAGAGACTTGGTGATAAAGCAATTCATGCAAATATCTGTGGAGGTGACAGAACTCACACAGAAATGAGAAGTGCAGTTGTGTGATATGGGAGCATGTCATATTACCTACAGGTTCTTTTTGGTTTTTTGTTTTGTTGTTTTTTTTTTTTTTTGAGACACAGTCTTGCTCTGTCACCCAGGCTGGAGTGCAATGGTGCAATCTTGGCTCATTGCAATCTCCACCTCCTGGGTTCAAATGATTCTCCTGCCTCAGCCTCCCAAGTGGCTGGGATTACAGGTGCATGCCATAACACCTGGCTTATTTTGTGTTTTTAGTAGAGACAGGGTTTCACCATGTTGGCTAGGCTGGTCTGGAACTCCTGACCTCAAGTGATCCGCCCATCTCAACCTCGCAAAATGTTGGGATTACAGGCATGAGCCACCACACCCAGCTTGCTGTATGTTCTTATTTTTAGAATTTTTGATGGTCTGGCCTCTGGGGCCTTGCTGGATCCTGGAGAGACCACCCCTCCCAGGGTGAGCTAGTTCCTAGAGAGAGCAATGCCTTTCACTTGCAAATCAACCAACCCAAAGCCAATACCTCCAGCCACCTCTTTTATTGAGCTCCTACACTGAGGGCCAATATTCCCATGTCCTAATCACCCCAGGGCCATGTATCAGACAACCAGAGACAGCCTCTGTACTCCAGAGCCTGCTGAAATCATTCAGACTGGTCCATCCTAAGCCTGGTTACTCTGCCTTGCCTTTCCCCATGGAAATCACAATAAAAGCTTTTCCCCATACCTCCTCTCACCCCTTTGCCTCCTGACTGACACTGGTGCTTCCTGTGTGGCCCAGCATGGCTTACAATTGTCTCCTGCTTCTAGGAACCATGAGTAAATACTTTTTCCTTCATAACAATCATTTCTGTATCTATAAGTCATGCCATACCTGATTAAAACAAATACTGGGTATACATTTTTAAATGCATGCCTGGTGCATTCAAGGAGCAGCTAGAATGCCAGTGTGGCTCGAACAGAGAGTGAGGGGATGAGACAAGGGAGGGAAACAAAGGGCCAGCCCATGTAGACACCTACAAGGATTGGCTATTAATCTGACTAAAGCAAAGAACCACTGAGAAGTTCAGAAGAGAAAAATGACGTGACTTCATCTACCTTTCAACAAGAAAAATCTGGCCACTATGTTGATAATAGAATGAAGATTGGCAATGGAGAAGCACAGAAGCAACTTGGGGACTTATTACAATAATCTATTCAAGAGATGCTGGTGGACAGGACCAGGGTGGTAACTGGGGGAGGCAGCAAGCAATGGTTGAGTTCTGGATATAAAGTCTTTTGAAAGTGAAGTCAATTTGATTTGCTGATGAGTTGATGTGTTGTGAGAGAGAGCAATCATAGATTACTGTAAGGTTTTTTGGCATGTGAAACTATAAAAATGTAGTCACCACTTACTGACACAGCAAAACTGCAGGAAGAATGTACCTGGGATGGGGAGATGGATTGCAAATCAGGAATTCAGTGTGGAACATGTTATGAGATGCCTATTACACATCATTGATTTTATGATTACAGCAAGCAGGAATAGGTAGAAGTAGATCTTGAAGGATAATGAAGCAAGCTTCCATGTTGGAGAAGCTTGCATGGCAAGGAACTGAGGGGGGCCTTCAGGCAGGAGCCAGCCAGGAACTGAGGCCCTGATTCCAACAGCCGAAAAGAACTGAATCCTGCCAGCAATCATGTGAGCTTGGATGTACATCCTTCCTCAGTCAGGCCTTCTGATGAAACCTTAGTCTCTGCTGACACTTTATTGTAACCTGTGAAAAACCCTAAGTTAGAGGACTCAGTAATGTTATGCCCAGATTTCTGACCCACAGAAACTGTAAGATAATAAATGTATATTGTCTTAAGCTGTAAATTTGGGGGCCAATTTGTTATGCAGCAATGGATAACTAACGCATGGTAATTGGAATCTATGTAGATAGAAAACAAAATTGGGGCTTGGCCCTGGGTCACACCATTGTTTAGAAGTCAGTAAGATATAGAGGAGCATGTACAGAAAACTGAGAGCAGTCAGTGAAGAAGGGGAAAGAAAAGACTGTACAATAAAGGATTGGAGAAGGAGGAGGAAATTATCAATCGGTCAAATGCCCTTGATAGGCCAAATATAGATGAGGACTGAGAATTTGTCATTGAAGTCAACAATGTTGAGGTCATTCATACAATAACATTAAGAACAGCGAAGTAAAAAAAAAAATCTACACTTTAATTTCTTTTATAAAAATAGCCCAAATTTCATAAATGAGTTTTCCTTTAAGGAAGATAGAGTTCTACCTATTTCTACTTGCTGCAGCAATTTTAACACTGGAGAAAGATTTAGATTTTCAACTTTAAGTATATCTTTTATAGATGAACACAATGTGCTATGTGAATTATCCAAGGTGACATAGCTAATAGAAGAGTTAGGAACTGAAATGAGACTAAAGTTTCTTGATCTACTGCTCTTTCTGCTACATCAAACTACCCCTTTGATTTCCTACTTCAAGGTGAACAATTAAAAATCTTAAAAAGCTGTATAGCAGTATTAAATACAGTTATGCACCACATAATGATGTTTCAGTCAGTGATGGGCCACAAATACAATGGTGGTCCCATAAGACTATCATATCATATTTTTACTGCACCTTTTCTAATTTTAGATATGTTTAGATCGCAAATAGCATTGTGTTATAGTTGCCTGCAGTATCAGGACAGTAACAGGTTTGTAGCCTAGGAGCAATAGACTATATCATATAACCTAGGTGTGTAGTAGTCTAGACCACCTAGATTTGTGTATGTACTCTCTATGAGGTGCACGATGATTAAATCACCTAAAAATGCATTTCTCAGAACTTGTTTCTGTCATTAACAACACATGACTGTATAGCTCACCTTTTGTACCTGAAGCTGATTTATGTATGCTTTCCCTTATTTAAAAATATGTAAAAATCTTATTAAGAGCAAGGTTATGGGATAATTTTTAAGCTACTGAAAGGATCAACATGTAAAATACAGAAGATAGTCATATGAGAGGTCCCAGAATTTAATTTCAAAGCTCAATAAAGCAAATAAGATTCTGTTAGTTAGAACATCTGCCAGTCACTGTACTACTTTAAAGAATGATCTACAAAGCTCATCGTTAACACGTAAAATCACTTACTTCATAAGATTTTCCAGCTTTCTTTGCCTTCAAATGTAAGCTCATGGATCTTGTTGGTCTTGCGTGCTTCTGTATCTCAGGGCATGTAATAGTTCCTGGGAATCAGTAGGAAGTACAATAAGTTTGTTGGATGAATGAATGTTTGAACTGAGACTCAAAGAACTTAAGTGGAGGCATGAAAAGCAGAAGGAAAAGCCTAAACACAGGCCTGGAAGCATAAGAGGACCTGCCATACTAGGAGATATGAAGGGGCTTGGGTCCCTGGACAGAGAATGGTCAATAGGGAGTGGTGGGAAAAACAATTTGTGTAGTTGAGTGGAGTGAGTCTGCATAGTCCTTGAGTGACAGATGAGGAAGTTTGAGGTCTGGCCTCCATTCTTAAAGCTCAGGGGAGCCACTGAAGAGTAATGATAGGGAGAGTAATACACATAACAAGGCCTGGAGTTTAGAAAGGACTTGGACTTGAGGGTGGATGAAAAGCTGAGACTGAGATAGGAAGCAGGAAGATTCATTGGCTTGTTCTGGATTCATTAAAAAAAAAAAAAAGATGCCACCATATACTTGAGCTAAAACAGCAATCAAGATATTGACCACTCAATGGGATCTCACAAGGGACTGACAGTCCAGTGGGGACACAGATGCATCACAGACCATGGCTGCACAGCATGGTAAGTGTAATAAATGAAGTGAACACAGAATGTGGGTGGTGCAAAAAAAGAGGTTCTGAGAGCTGGGCACGGTGGCTCAAGCCTGTAATTCCAGCACTTTGGGAGCCCAAGGCAGGTGGATCACGAGCTCAGGAGATCGAGACCATTCTGGTTAACACGGTGAAACTCCATCTCTACTAAAAATACAAAAAATTAGTCGGGCCTGGTGTTGGGCGCCTGTAGTCCCAGCTACTCGGGAGGCTGAGGCAGGAGAATAGCATGAACCTGGGAGACGGAGCTTGCAGTGAGTCGAGATCCCGCCACTGCACTCCAGCCTGGGTGACAGAGTGAGACTCCATCTCAAAAAAAAAAGAGGTTCTGAGCTGAGATTTCACTGCAAGTGACATCTACTCTTGATGCCAGAGGCATATGAGAAGCATCAGTAATCAGGAGGGTAGCCCAGGAAGAGGGAGACACATAATCCACGGACAGCAAGGGCCGATGGAAGAAGAGAGCATTCAGTGAGAGCAGAAAGCAAGAAGGCAGTCAAGGCATTCAAACCATAATCTCAAAAATCCAGGTGAACGTGAGTGCAAGTGGGGAGGGGATGGAATAGCTCCAGAAACCCATTCGTTTCCTCAGGCCACTTCACAGTCTGTATCTTGCATTCCCATCCCCCTCCTGTGCCCACCACCAGAGAGCCATTATTCTACCTTCTTCACTGTAGATTAATTTTGCCTGTCTTAAATCTCATATAAACAGAATCATAGAGTATGCACCATTTTTTTTTAATCTGGGTGGTAGTTACACAGGTGTGTCTATACAGAAATCAAGCCATATGTTTAATATTTGTGCACTTTGCCATAGGTATAGTATACCCCAATTTTCAAAGTGGGGAGAAGAAAGGGAAAATCAAAGATGACTCCTACCTTGTGTCCCTCAAAGTTTCCACCAGGCACCGGTTTCACAGGATGGGGTTACATTTTTTAAAGTGTCCCATGTTCAAATAAGCTTGGGAGATGCTAGGTTAAATTGAGTTAAAGCCACTTCATTCTGCAAGTCTTTTCTGAGCTTTCACTACATTAGGAAGCATTGGGAATCTCCAAAGGGGTGATAAATATCCAGTTTCTCAGACTTTTCCTTTCGCAGTCTCTCTTGGGACTCAAATATTAAGGAACTCATGGTGGAAAAATTTTCTAGCCTGAACACTGTGGGAAATGGATTATGTTCTTCCAGGGAAATAATTTTCTTAGGCAAATTGAATTTGAGGTGCCAGTGGGTAAATACATCAGGCACCAAGTCTCCAGCAGCCTGAAATGCAGGAAAGCCCTTCCAAACGCGATCAGGCCTGGGGATATATTTGAACTCTCTGACATATGGTTGGTGTCTGAAAATCTGTGGATAGACATGGATTACATCCCCCAAAAAGAGGCATTGCATGAGATGTTCGCAGGGCCCCGGAGGTAGCTGGGTGCAGGGAAAGGAACCAGGAAAATGACAAATAAACAGAAGTTATGGGATAACAGTGCTCCTTCTTGGGGCAACAATACAGGCTGGATGCCTTCAACAATATTTCTTTCCCATCTTAAGATTTTGCTCAATGCTCATATCAACAGCCAGCACTCAGAGCTCCTTAAATGTCTTTAGAAGTTCCATCATAGGTCAGATGACAGGATTCTTAAGTTGCTAAGAAGAGAAGCTTAGTCCAAAATACAACACTTTCTAGAAGAGTTTACAAATTTCAAACAAACACATGGTTCTGAAATAAAAACATTTCTGCCAGTCTAAAAATTGGTTAAAAACAAAAAGAAGAAGAGGGGCAATATGAGTGTGATTTGCTTGTATTTTGTACTCTAAAGAGGCAAAGGAATTTTCAAATGTGTAAGCATTTTCAAATGTTGATGACATTAAACATTTCACATAGCTAATACTAATTTAGTACTACTTGATAAATATAGTTATACCAATAGTTTGCTTTCATTTGCATTTCAAAGCAGATATATAAAGATTTGTCCATAAAATATAGCAAAGATGGGTTGAATCTGAAGTTAAATGTTAAGCAAAAGGAAAAAAAAACTAGTCAAAAAGAGGCAGCAGTGACATGAAAAAATGTTGGTAATATCTTACGAAAAATTTATAAAAATACAATTTTGTAATACCAAAGAGACAACCAATAAAGATCTTGTTTCTTCCATCTGACTAATCCGGAAACAGCAGAGAATGTCGTTCATTTTAACCATCTTAAAAAAATGATCTTATAATATTGCCATCTGTTGGCATATGACAGATACAGCATTCCAACGATGCAAATAATGAAGCAAAAATACAGAAAATTAAAGGGACAGATGTGAAAAGCTCACACACTCATTTGGCTTAGCATTTCACATCTGTTCTCTCCAAAGCCTTCCCAGTAACACAAATCTAATTCCTAGATCCAGTATCTTGAAATGCTATGCGATGCAGCAGGCAACATATCTATGACTTGCTGAAGATCCATCCATTCCAGCACATCATGTGTTTTCTCATCAATATTGGAAATCTTCTATCCAAAACTCAGTTTCTGTCACAAGGGAGAATCTACATAGGTATACATAGGTGTATACAATGTTGCAGTTTATTTATTCATGTTTCTAAAAAATTGCCTCATAGGCATTTGAAATCAACTGCGACAAGAAACACATAAATATGGTCCTCCATATATTCTACATACCTTTCTATTATTATCCACCTTCTTGACTGGCAAAGAGATGAAAAATAGTACAGATATTAACCAGTTCCTGCACAGTGTATAAACTTATTGATTTACACCTCAAAACTTTTTTTTATATACTTTTAAAAGTTTGGACTCAGGAGGCTGAGGAGGGAAGATCACATGAGCCCAGGAAATCGAAGCGACAGTGAGCCATGATTGCACCCCTCCAGCCTGGGTGACCGGGCAAGGCCCAGTCTCTAAAAAAATAAAATAATATTTTGGACCATGTGAATATATTGCCTATTCAAAAAATATAGTTAAAAATGTAATGAAATACATATTTATTTCACACTTGACACACACTTGCTGCAACCAAACCCTTTCTGTCCACTTTTCTGTTGTCAAGGCAGCATTATGAAGACCAACACTGTGAAGATCGGTGCTTCCCTGAGGCCCTCAGACAACTGGGAGTCTTAATTGTACTCTTGATAGCATGAGGATTCCTAGCAAAATATTTAAAGTTGGTGTCGCTGGCCAGGCGCGGTGGCTCACTCCTGTAATCCCAGCACTTTGGGAAGCTGGGGCTGGAGGATCACCTGAGGTCAGGAGTTTGAGACCAGACTGGCCAACATGGCAAAACCCCGTCTCTACTAAAAATACAAAAATCAGCCAGGTGTGGTGGCGAGTGCCTGTAATTCAAGCTACTCGGTAGGCTGAGGCAGGAGAATAACTTGAACCCGGGAGGTGGAGGTTGCAGTGAGACGAGATTGTGCTACTGCCCTCCAGCCTGGGTGAGAGTGAGACTCCATCTAAAAAATAAAAATAAAGATGAAAAAATAAAGTTGGTGTCTCCATTAAACTAATAGCCTTTAAAAAAGTAATAAAACTATAATTTCAATCAATGGATAACAACCTTATAACTTAATAGGACCAAGAAATTCTTTCTCCTTTAAAGAGGCCTATTACTTAAATTTGAGAACATTGGTATAAACTGCCTGCCTCAGCATTTGTTTTTATGAATGTGTTGGCACCCCGTGGCACTGTATCTAAGGCTAATGTGAAATTAACAAAAGTGAATTTCATATGGAAATCCTGCTTTTCAGCCAAACGAAGGCCCAATGACATCAGAGGCTACAAGACAAAAGGCCTTGCAGTAGTTCCCATGGAGAAAAGTGGCAGGAAAATTGGAGTATGGCAGGGCCCGGAGTACAAGAGTCATGCTGATCTCAAAAGTTCTTTTGCCTTTAGTAGTCGGCAGCATATTTGGGCTGCAACAAACAGGAAATCAACATCTCTCTCACATACTATCAGATATATACTTACATTTTTCATCTTAAACTTACATTTTCAGCTTATGCAAATATCAATATTTAACAGAATAGTTTACATCCAAATAAGGGCCCAATAATTTTTTTTCCTTAAAAGGATTAGTACATTAGTTTAGCTTAAGAAAAACTAGTATCAATGTTAAGGCCACAACATTGAGACCTACTGGCTTGGGTTTCCCCAGGCTCTGGCTCTTACCAGCTGTTTGACATGAGGTAAATTATTCAATTACTGAACTAGAAGCTCAGGCAATCAGGGCAGCACTTCTGACTGACCCTCTAAAGCTGTGTCTTCACGGCAATATGGAATAAGAAAAAACAACCTGGTGCTTGTCAGGAAGATAAAATAGATAGTGTTTATAAAAGACGTACCACAGGCCGGGCGTGGTAGCTCACGCCTGTAATCTCAACACTTTGGGAGGCTGAGGCAGGTGAATAGCTTGAGCTCAGAAGTTCGAGACCAGCCTGAGCAACATGATGAGACCCCCCCCCCACCACCACCCACCGTCTCTACTAAAAGTACAAAAATAATAAGCCTGGCGTGGTGGCACATCCCTGTGGTCCCAGCTACTCAGGAGGCTGAGGTAGGAGGATCCCTTGAACCCAGGCAGTGGGTGGGCGAGGGCAGTGGTGGAGTTTGCAGTGAGCTAAGATCATACCACTGCACTCCAGATTGGGCAACAGAGCGAGACCCTGTTTCAAAAAAAAAAGAAAAAAAAAGACATAGCACAGAGCCTGGCCCAAAACATAAACTCAATATTTGTTCATTATTTTTATTATTTATCCCTCACAATAACACTTCAAGGTAGAAATTATTGAGTCCATTTTATAGGTGAGGAAACTCAGACTCAGGAATTTCCAGTAACAATTGCACAGACAGAAACTGAGAAAGCTATAATATAAGGCTAGATCCGGCTGGCTCTGAAGCCTGTAATCTTTCCACCGTACCACACTGCTCCTCTAAAAGCAGCCCAAGAACTCTCATTTCTCTAGCTGAAGATACACCTCCCTGGCCATTGGTCAGAACCTCCAACTACAGCTTCCTCTCCTCTGTTTCCAGAAGCTGGGGTAATCGAGGCAGCACTTCTGACTATAGTGATTAAAGTATCAGTGGGCCAGGTGTGGTGGCCATGCCTGTAATCCCAGCACCTTGGGTGGCCGAGGCAGGCAGACTGCTTGAGGCCAGGAGTTCAAGATCAGCCTGAGCAACATGGCAAAACTGTATCCCTACAAAAAAATACAAAGACTTAACTGGGTGTGGTGGTACGCGTGTGTGATCCCAGCTACTCGGGAGGCTAAAGTGGGAGGATCACTTGAGCCCTGGAGGTTAACGCTGCAGTGAGCCGAGATCATGCCACTGCACTCCAGCCTGGGTGACAGAGCCCGACTCTATCTCAAAATATATATATATATATATATTAGAGATGATCTTCACAGGAGCAGCTTCTCGGGACAAAGCAGAGGCAACTACTTGCTAATGAGACAAAAACTCTTCTATTCCACCTCCTACTCAGCCTCCTTGGGCTACAGGAAGCCATGAGCAGAAAGGCATCAATGCTGAATCCAATTGAAGGGAATTTCAACTGGATGGCCTGTGAACATTATATTTCCTTTTTCCTGCCAGAGAATTTCCTGGTTATGCATTACAATTTGAGGATCTGTTGAAAACAAAAGTAGAAATAAATACTTGTGGGGTTTTTTTCTGTTTTTTTTTTTTCATGGAAAAACCTCCTCTATATTTTGATATGCCCTCAAGAAACTAAGGAAGCAAATGGATGAAGAGTTGAGTCTATAATGAATGTGGTGGCTCACACTGCAGACTTTACACTGTCTTCACCACACAACAGGGAAATAAAATTCTCTAGACTATCAAATGTGACAAGTCTGCAGTGACAGTCAATCCTTTTTATTTCTTGTCATTAAATGTGCTCTGCATCAGTATAATATGTAATAATTGTCCATGAAATGGATGCCTTTAGACTGACTTACTTTCAGTGAAGGGGAAATAATAGAGATTTGCAATGAGGAGATATTAGTAGTGGTGAGGAGGAGGAGGATGAGACAGTATTATTAAATGTTATTTGAAACATTATTATTATTCAAGTATTATTTGAAATCTCTTCTTTCAAAGAACTAAACACAGACTATAAAAACGTCTTGACCATAATCCGTGAGCAAGAATTCTACAGCCATTTTTTAAATAAACCCTTGCAACATTGTCATTTATCCTCATCCAATTTCTGTAGGATTCCTATTAATGGCATGAGTCACAATATGGATTAAGAGGCTTACACCATAAACATTCATCTTTGTCTCTGTTCCCATTGCCACGTGGAGACACAGAGGCAGGCCACCGTGATAAGGCCCATGTAAGGAACCCTTACCCTGATGGTGTCCTACTTTCATGCACAGTGCCAGGCTCAGCTTCTTAGAAATGCATTCAACCAGTATTTATGTGAGCCTATGTCATGCCAGGCATTACTAAAGGCATGTGAAGGATGCAAGCCACAAGGAGCTTACAGTCAGCTGAACTGGCCTCTGCAATCAAGTGTAGTGTGTGTGACAATAGAATTAAGTATGGGGTTCTGTGCTAGCACATAGGACGGGCTCCTAATCCAGTCACAGAGGGTCAAGAGAAGACTTCCCAAATGAAGTGCCATCAAAACTGGGACCTGAAGTTTGGATAGGTGATATCTAGGTGCAGAAGGGTCCAAAGGAAGAGTGTTTAGGGCAAAGAGAACACCACGCACAAAGCACAAAGGCAAGAGAGACAGCTTGGCATATTTGACAAATGGTAAGTGACTCAGGATGTCTGGAGGGAGGAGCAGGAGAGAATGGGGAGAAGTGAGGCCTGTGGGCTAAGAAATGGCAAATCAAAAAGTACAACCTTGAAAGCCTGATTAAGGAATTTTGTTTTGGTCTGAGGCTGATGGCTAGCTATCAAAAGGTTTTAAGAAGGGAAGTCACACAAGCAGACCAAAGATTCATAAAACATCATTCTGCAAGTGAGAATAGAATAGAAGGAGGTAAAAATGAGGACCTATTGCAACTAGGAGACAAGTAGAAAAGCTGTGTGAAAGGGTGGTTTGAATTAAAGCAAAGCGCAGTGGTTGGTACACAGGAAATGCCGAATGAATAAGTGGGTAAGTACTACTAATAACACTAACAATGATGTGAAGGCAGAAAAAGATGGATGAGGTACGTTAGGAAGAGGAGGGCATGTGCCTCATGGTTATTTCACTGAAGGTGATGAGAAAGCAGCAGCAGTCAAGGATGTCATGGGCTTTCTGACTCAAGCAACTAAATGCACGGCTGTGCTGGTCACTGCCATGGAGATGTGGAAGAGGAACAGGTTGGAGGGTCACAGATGAGGAGGTTGAATCTATTTGGGGACATGTTCTGCTCACTATGGCAATGAATATCTCTCAGCTTCTCTTTTCCAGTCCTCTCTTTTTTAAAAAATTCACCATTTTAACCATTTAAACTGTAAAGTTCAATGGATTTTAGTACACTCAAGATGCTATTCAAATGTCACCACTGTCTAATTCCAGAACATTTTCATCAGCCCAAAAAGAAACCCTATACCTATTAAGCATTCACTCCCATCCTCCCCTCCTCCTATCCCCCTGAAAACCACTAGTCTGCTTTCTGTCTATGGGTTTGCCTATTCTAGATAGTTCATTTGAATGTAACCGCATACAATATGTGATATAACCCAAACAATGGAATATTATTCAGCTGTGGGAAAGAATAAAATACACACTACAACATGTAAGAAATTCAAAAACATAATGCTAAGCGAAAGAAGCCGAACACGAAAGGCCAACTACTGAGAGTGATTCCATTTATGTGAAACATCCAAAATAGGCAAATCCGTAAAAACAGCTGGGCGCAGTAGCTCATGCCTGTAATCCCAGCACTTTGGGAGGCCAAGGTGGGCAGATCATGAGGTCAGGAGATCGAGACCATCCTAGCTAACACTGTGAAACCCCTTCTTTACAAAAATATACAAAAAATTAGCCGGGCGTGGTGGCAGGCACCTGTGGTCCCAGCTACTCAGGAGGCTGAGGCAGGAGAATGGCGTGAACCCGGGAGGCGGAGCTTGCAGTGAGCTGAGATCACGCCCCTGCACTCCAGCCTGGGCGACAGAGGAAGACTCCGTCTCAAAAAAAAAAAAACAAAGACATAAACAAAAAAAAAAAAACGGAAAGCAGTTCTGTGGTTGCCAGGAGCTGTGGAGGGAGGAAACAGGAAGTGATTGCTTAATGGATACAGGGTTTCTCTTTGGAGTAATGAAACAATTTCGGAATTGTATAGTGGTTGCACAGCGTTGCAGAGGTCCTTAATGCCACCAAACTGTACACTTTAAAATGGCAAATTTGGCCGGGTGAAATGGCTCACACCTGTAATCCCAGCACTTTGGGAGGTTGAGACAGGCAGATCACCTGAGGTTAGGGATTCAAGACCAGCCTGGCAAACATGGCGAAACCCTGTCTCTACTAAAAATACAAAAATTATCTGGGCATGGTGGTGGAGTCCTGTAATTCCAGCTACTAGGGAGGCTGAGGCAGGGAGAATTGCTTGAACCCGGGAGGTGGAGCTTGCAGTGAGCCGAGATTGCACCACTGCACTCTCAGTGACAGAACGAGACTCTGTCTCAAATAAAAACAAAACAAAAAAAGGTAAATTTATCTTATATGTATTTTGTAAAAGAAAAACAGAAACACTGAAGTGCTGATACAATCCCTCTCTGAAGAATAGTGTTTCCACCTTTGAAGGGAGTAAGAGCTCTCTAATGATCATCACAGGTTCTGGAGTCCAACTGTCTAGATATGAATTATTGTTCCTCCTCTTAATAGATGTGTGAATTTGCACATCTATTACTCAATTTTTCTAACTCAGTCTTTTTCTATAAAATGGAAATAATAATAGTACCTGCATAGGAAGTTATTGTAAGGGTTATGTGAAATCATAAACACACATCTTGAGCATGGTGCCTGCCCCAAAAATAAATGTATTCAACAATGTGGTTACCTTTAAAATTATCGTTGTTGTTATTGTTATTATTATGTGGCGACAGTGATTGGTCTTCAGGGTAAGCACATGTAGTATGGGCCAGGAGGGACTTTCCCAGGTATTTCTGAAATGGAGCTAAAGAGAAGCACTCTTTTCCTCTCGTACTATGGAGCTCTGCAATAGGAGTTATGATCTACCAGCCATCATCCTGGAGCCAGTACACCAAAAGAATCCAGGACATGTGATTGCGGCCAGGTTCAATGTACTAGAGTTCCCCATGCCAGGTGCCCATGATTTGGTCACATTATCCAATGGCTTCCCCATTTTGGACTTAGTGAATTCAGATTTCAGTTTTGTTTCAATATTAATTTGAACCAAATAGTGCTCAATAGTATAACTGTTGCCTGGTAGGACCAATGGTGCATTGAAGTAGAGATGTTCAGCAGACAGCTGGCTGCCTACATGGATTCAAAAGTAGAATCTGGGGTAGAAACATGGGGATAGGAGCCCTTAGCCTATAAAAAGTAACAAACCTGCGAGAGTAAATAAGATACATAGAGAGACAGCATAGAATGAGAAGATAAGACCAAACTTCAGGGAACAGAAATATCTAATGCAAAGACAGAGACAGGCGCGCTAAAGACAAGATGGGAAAGCTAAGCAGAAAGGAAGGAGAAAAGCCAAGTGAGCATAAAATATTAATAACAGAAGCCAAAAGAAGAAAATGTTTTTAGAGGCAACTGGTCAACAGTCAGTTACTGAAGAGAGGCCAAGTATAAAAGGAGGACCCAAACTGTCCTTTGGATTTGCCAAAAAGAAACCACCAGTCTCTAGCACATTCATTTATGAAGACCAGGAAACCACAGGGCCCTTGTCGCCCCTTCTCTTTCCCTTATTTAGGAGCCCTGAACTCCCCCAGACTCTATCCATTCATGCCTCTTGTATGTTGATGCCATTTCTTGGAAGAAGATGAGGGCAATGAGTTAGGGCCCCTTTACCCCCTTCCCTCCCACCAGATTGCTCTCCCTCCTTTCATTTCTTCCTCCAGGCTCTACTCTGTCAGCCCTCCCCTTTTTATGCCCCACCGATACACTGGGACCACCCCTTACCTGGGACAGGATGAATGGATCAAAGGAGTGAGTTTGCTAAAGAACATCCTTTTCCCTCTCATTCTATCCCTTTCCTCTCCTCGATTCCTTGTAGAGCTGCTGCAGTTCTGAGAGGGGCAGTTCTACCTCCTCTGTCCCTTGGCAGAAGGACGTTTCTACACCTCTTAGGGGATGGGCATTAAACTTCTTTTGCCCCCTTCTTGTCCCCTTTGAGGGGTATTTAAGGTGGAGAAATCAGTTGTGGTTTCACTGAATCATGGTCACCTGTATTTATTGCTGGGAGAAGCCTGAGGGTGGGGGGAGATGATCATGTGTGCTCGGGGTTGGCTGGAAGCCCTGGGTGGGGGGTTGGGGGAGGACTAATGGGAAGTCAGCGGGAATATTTGTGGGTATTTTTTTTACTTCCTCTTGGTTCCCAGCTGTGACACATTTTGATAAAAGGAGAAACAATAAAAGGATAAACCATAAAAAAAAAAAAAGAAAGCAAGCACCAGTCTCTTGCATAAAAACCATCTCATGAGGGATGGGCAAGGAATGTGGCTGGGGAAGGAAGTAGGAATGAGCACGGCTTTGAGGTTATCACTCTGATCCCAACACTAGTTGTACAGCCTTGGACAAGTGTTTGCCTTCACTGAGTCTAGGTCTCATTATTCATAAATCTGCAAACGAGAATTGAAATTACAATAATTGAAGGCTACACGTAAAGCACACCTTTTACAAAGGTCAGAATAAATATTAATGTGAACTGGCTAGGGTAGCAAACCCAGTCAAGGACCTCTCAGGAATTTCCCTGAAAACTCCTGGAATTCATTTTGCATAGGTCCAAGTAGGCTTCCTTAAAAAAATAATAATGATGATGAGGACTTTGGGATTTGTGGACTTTGGGATTTGTAGAACTTCAGTGTGACCCTGCACTGGAAATGCCATAAACACCTGGATGGGAACAAAGGAAGGAGGGGGTAAGTCCTAAGTCTTCTAGTCATGGATAGTGTGGTGTGCACCACCCAGACGCCTTCTGTACGACTGAAGCCCTCACAGCCCAATGCTGAGGACTTAGGTGGCAGACAGAACTTAGCTATAACTCAACCCAAAATTAGCCTCAGTCAGAGAGTCATGTGGCCAAGATCACACCCCGCCCCGCCCCAGAGCAGGCTGCAGCCAAATGACTGGCCAGTGTGGCTCAAAGACCAAAGGGCTGTCCCTACCCAGAGGCCCTCAATCCAGGGAAATTGTGCTGAGCCAGCATCACAGTCCACCTCCACGGCCCCGTCCTGCTACATTCACACCCCTGCAGTTGTGCACTGTGACACCAGCCCCAGGGAACCTTCTGCACACAAATCTCTATCCCAGAGTCTGTTCCCTAGGAAACCCCAACTAAGACACCTACATTTAAAAAGTTGATGCTGAAAGAGAAGGAAAGGTAGGCAGACTGGAATTAGGAGTGAGTTAGCTCTGACTCTATCCCCAAATATTCAGCAGCATCAAAAAGGATAACTTGTAAGTGGTGTTTCTCAAGTGCTCCCTGGAGCACTCTCTGAAGACTTAAAACCTGAAAAACCCGGCGACCCTCTATAGAACCTGATACTAAATTTGTAAAGTGAAGGAGAGAGTCTTGCCCCAGCTTGGCCCTGGTTGGAGCCCCAAATCTGTAGTGTCAAGAGTGGCACTGGTGGTGGCAGTAGAGTCATTTTAACAGTCATCAAGAACAGGAGAGCTGCCCAGGGGTCAAACAGGGTTGTGGGGAGAGCAGGTGAGGTCTGAGGCCGAAGGAGCATGCCAACACCTGTGTCCACCCACAGCCCGGATGCTAGAGCAGTTTTCCTGTACACCAGCACCCAGATCCATCTACAGCAAATGAGGACAACGCCAACACAGAGTAATACTTACGGGACAGGAATGTGAACTGCACAAAGCCAAGGCAGCCTGCTTCTACTCATAGATTCCTTTAAAAAAAATCAGTTCATGATCCTAAATTGTTGAAAAATAATTTACTTTTCACTTCGGTCTCTGAGAAAAAAAAAGCACACCAAAATTTTTCAAAGTCCTCTTTCCTGTCCATCATTCTTCCACCCTACAGACTCTCCTCTATTCAGGTTTTCTTAGATTCTACTCATTCTTTGTCTTTCCTGCCCCTTCACCCTTCTCTGTCATTTTTTCCTGCCAGTGGCTCACTAACCTCAGAGGTACCACCCCACACCCTCTCGTACTGCTTCAGGGGGTGGGGGCATGTCTGTGCTGGGGGAGAGACACTTTACCTGTTGCCCCCGTGCACAGGACACAATGTCCTGGCCTTTTACTGCCCATGACATGAGCTCCTTTCTTGTGGAACAAGGGCAGCTTCTTTGCTTTCATTCCTGTCATACTAAATTTATTACTTTTAGAGACTGTCCTTTATTTCAGGACATCCTCTCTGCCTTTGAGTGTTGGAATGTCATACCTTTGACAAAATAATGGTAACAGTAAGTGGTAGATATTTTGGCGTTTCTTTTTCATGTATTTTGCTAAATAAAACATTTGCGTCCCTATGGCAGCTCTCAAAACTCTCCTTAAATTTTACAAGTCCAAAAGTCTGAGAATCATTACAGGAGGACAATATACAAAGACAGACTACAAAGCAGGAAGGAGGAAGAATTTAGGACCATTGGTCTGCAACAACATGACTGCTATCACGCTTGGAAGATGAATTTGAGGAGAGGCCAGGCGCAGTGGCTCACACCTGTAATCCCACACTTTGGGAGGCCGAGGCCGGTGGATCACTTGAAGCCAGGAGTTCAAGACCAACCTGGCCAACATGGCAAAACCTCGTCTCTACTAAAAATACAAAAAGTAGCTGGGTGTGGTGGTGAACACTTGTAATCCCAGCTACTTGAGAGGCTGAGTCAGGAGAATTGCTTAAACTCAAGAGGCTGAGGTTGCAGTGAGCCAAGATTGTGCCTTTGCATTCCAGTCTGGGCAACAGAACCAGACTCCATCTCAAAAAATAAACAACAACAAAAAACAATAATAATAATAATAATTTGAGGAGATGCTGGGGAAGAAAAGGAAAGGAACAACAGGGTTTAGTAACACGCCAGTCACTACGTGAGGGCTCTTTACATGCATGATTATATGTAGGTATTACCAATGGTACTGATGATGAAACTGAGTTTCAGAGAGGTTAAGGAAATTGTTCAAAACCACTGAGCAGGAAGGTGGCATAGCTGGAGATAGTCGGGGCTGCCTCACAGCAGAGGCAGGACATTAGCAGTTGATTTTGGAGACAATAGAATTAATGGTTGGGTCCTAGGTCAGTGTAGGACCCCCAAAAAAAGGGTTGGGGTAAAGTCTGCCTCATTCCCTAACGATAGACAGGTACATTCTCCTGAAGTATAAATCATTTGAAGAGCCTCAGAGATGGAGCCAAGCAAATAAAAGATGATTATCTTCAACCTCACTAAATCACCGCTCATCACACATCTACACACATCCACACAGAGGGTCATACAGAAGTTTAATTCCCCATCCACCAGCTGCTTCTGCTGTGATCTCAACCACAGAACTTTGCCTCAAGTTATCAATAGTTTTTTTTCTTTCTTTCTTTTTGACTGAGCTAGCTCTACCGGTGCATCCTGACAGTATAATTAACACTAGCCTGGGGAGAGGAATTGTTCAGCATTAAAAAAATAAGTATTGTAGACAGATACTTTTAGATCTTCTCGCATGGCTGAGGAAGAATCAGTACACAGAGCGTGAAGTCAAGAGAAGTCAAAGAACAAAAGAAAAAGAATGCTAATGAATTCTCAGATGTGTTGGAAACCTGTTAAGTCCTAGATTTGACACTAGACATGGAGTTAAGTGATTTTTAATTTTTCTAAATTGTAATTTTAAAATTGAATATAATCCAAGAATGCTGTCTGCCACTTTACAAAACCTCACTAATGGTTACACATGAGGGACATATTAACTCCAACCAAAGGGACTCCCCTAGGAGTCAGCCTTCAAGAGTTTGGGACAAAGGTGATCTTCCATGAAATTATGCATCTATTTTCCTGTACGTATTTCTAACTGTGCCGCTTATGTTTGTCAGGAGGGCCACATTGCAAAGTCATGAGGTTTTGGAGGTAGATAGGGAGGTTATCTAGTTTAGTATCTCAGTTTAAAAAGCAAGGAAATGGGCATATTACAGTCCAACAACTACGACATCAGTGACAACCATAGGATAAAAACCAGACCCTGTGGATCTTGATCCAAGACCCATTCTGTCTCATCACTGGACAGTTCTGGGGTTCAGGAGTCCTCTCGATACAAGTATCCCCAACTCTCATCTTTCAGATTGTCCTGTGAGTTTAGTGGTAATAAAATGCTGTCTTTCATAAATCAGCAACTTCTTAATTGAACACAACGGCATTGTCCCCAAACAATCATCTAGGAAAGTAAGAGTTAGAAAAATATTTCCTGGACTAATTCTCTGAGATGTTTCTGAATTCACATGTAAATTAGTCTACTAGCTTTTCATGTAAAATAAGACAATGTATAGGAAAATGCATGGTCGATTATTTAGAACTCTTTTAATGTGATATGTTGTTATTATTATCATTATTATTACCACTTCCACTATTACCATATTTGAATTTGGTGTTGTGTTGAGACATATAGTAAAATAAACACTAATTTAGGTTAGCTGAAAGAGAACAATCTAACTCATACTCTATGTTATTAAAATGTACTCTTGGTATGGTTAAGTCCATGGTCTGACTCAACATTACTGCTAAAAAGTATAACCAAACACGGGTTTTTGTCTGTCCTGCTACAGGATAAGAAACATTTATATATGAAACAGTACATTTGCATGCTGTGACAACTGTGCTAGATTCTTTAAAAATAAATTTATTATCTTAATTATTATAAATATGTCTATATATTAAAACCTCTTGAATTCAGGTTTCCAATAATACAGAGCTCAAACTCATTTTCTCTTTGTCAAAATGAAATGTACCTTTTCTTTCAAGGTAATGTAAAGGTATATTTCAGTACAGCACAAGCTGAATTAATGAAATTTAAGTATCTGGTCTCTGGAAAGTAATTCTACTTGAAAGTCTTTCAAAATCCTACATTGCTGCCATCTGGTGGTCAAATGTGGTTCTCTACTATTATTTTTAAAATTATAATGATTTTTCTTGATAAATAACAATGTAAACTCTACCAATAGGTGGATACTGTTGCAAATTTAAATGTATTGCCATAAAGAAAATGCAAGTACATAATTAAAATAATTACCTGCAAAAGTATATGTTTATATTAGTATTTATACCTAAAGAAATTCTTTACTTGGATATGTTCTATAGTGGGTTATTAATTACCACATAGAACAAGGTCCCTGCCTGGTGAATACAACCCCAAAACAAGGAGGAATCATCTTTGCTAATTACACTTTATGTATTTTGTTAGTATACCATAGAGTTTAACAGTTTGTGGATTTTAGAGTTTCATGGCCATGGGTCCAAGGCACATAAGGTCCTACTACTTATTAGCTAAGTGACTTTTGACAGATTGCCTAACTGTTCTGTACTTCCTCTTCTCATCTGGAAAATGAGAATAATTACACTGAACTCTCATATTTGTTGTGAGGTTTAACTGTGCAT
The DNA here is from genome assembly GCF_000001405.40 of Homo sapiens. Taxonomy (NCBI): domain Eukaryota; kingdom Metazoa; phylum Chordata; class Mammalia; order Primates; family Hominidae; genus Homo; species Homo sapiens. Next base: position 63,261,574 of record NC_000008.11, on the reverse strand, counting down.
GTATATAAAGTGTCTGACACTTAGTAAGCATAGAATTAATGATAGCAATTACTGTCCTAAACAGCATTTCTGAGCTAAACAGCAACATAGATTAGATGCAAGGAGAATGTACAGTTGGTATATTTTCCCTAACCCTGAATTTTCAGTCAACTTGTACCTAAAGTGCAAATCAATCATCTTCTTCCTACCTTTCCCATGTAAACATTTATGAAGAGATTGTCTCTTGAAAGACAAAATATTTGTCTTAGTCCATTTCGGATTACTGTAACAGAATGACACAGACTGAGTAATTTATAAAGAAAAGAAAGTTATTGGCTGGGCGCAGTGGCTCATGCCTGTAATCTCAGCACTTCAGGAGGCTGAGGCAGGCGAATCACCTGATGTCAGGGGTTCAAGACCAGCCTGACCAACATGGAGAAACCCCATCTCTACTAAAAATACAAAATTAGCCATGCGTGGTGGCACATGCCTGTAATCCCAGCTACTCAGGAGGCTGAGGCAGGAGAATCACTTGAACCCAGGAGGCCGAAGTTGCGATGAGCCAAGATCATGCCATTGTACTCCAGCCTGGGCAACAAGAGCAAAACTCTGTCAAAAAAAAAAAAAAAAAAAGAAAAGAAAGTAATATTTTACAGTTCTGGAGGCTGGAAAGTCCAAGGTAGAGGGGCCGCCTCTGGTGAGGACCTTTTTGTTGTGGCAGAAGGTTGGGGGGCATAAGAGCACAAGAAAGCAAGAGCAAGACAGGGCTGAAATCACTTTTATAATAAAGCCACCCTCATAATGGCATTCATCTGTTCATGAGCCCTCATGACCTCATCGCTTCTTACTAAGCCCCACCTATCAACACTGTCACATTTGGGATTAAAGAACTTTAGGGGACACATTTGATCCATAGTAATATTTCTTGCTCTTTTCAAAATAGCCAAGAATATAAGAAATTTATACTCAGACATAGGAAGGATGGGAAATCTTCACTGAATTCAGTCTATCAGCCGTCCCCAACCTGTTCTGGCACCAGAGAACAATTTCATGGAAGGCAATTTTTCCGCAGGGGATTGGGGGAGGTTTCGGGATGAAATTGTTTCTCCTCAGATAATCAAGCATTAGTTAGATTCTCATAAGGAGCGCACAACCTAGATCCCCAACATGCGCAGTTCACAATAGGTAGGGTTCAGGCTCCTATGAGAATCTAATGCTGCTGATGATCTGACAGGAGGCGGAGCTCAGGTGGTAATGTTCAATGGCCTGCCACTCACTTCCTACTGTGCAGCCCAGTTCCTAACAGGCCACAGACTGGTACTGGTCCACAGCCAGGCGACTGGGGACCCCTGCTTCAAATGACTGATTTCAAGGGCAAACTAGAGATAGTGACATAATTTAGAGGTTTTCTGATTCTGACAATTCTCTATCTTTCTGGGCATTCCAAACTAGAAGCAGGTGTTTTCTGGATAGTTGGTTGCTACCCTCTGCTAATCCCTAAAAGAGGTAATCTACCACCCAGGAACTAACATTGACTCATCAGAAATTGTTTCATACACTCTGGTTTCCCAAAGGACTTGACTCAGATGCTTACCCTTAAATTGTTCTGTATTAGGGTATTTTGCAGCAGGAAAAGAGCATGAGAAGTTTGATCTTACTGACATGGCACACTCCAGGTGACTGCAGAACCCACCCAGAACAGCCTGGCCAGACTTGACCCTCCAAATCTAATAACATTCATTAAGTGCCACATGTATGCTTGTGTTGACTACTGTGCTAGATAATAAAGACTGGTCAGTAATAAATAAAGACAATGTCTATTTTCAAGGAAAATAAGTCAGGCTGGGAAAGTCCAACAGTAGCAAGAAAAGTATGAAGAAACATCATATTATAGTAATATGATGCAGAGACAGTACATGCTTCTGTGCAGTATGAAGAAGGATAAGATCAGACCACACCGACTGGCATGTTTTTAATGCTCGAGTGTGTCCTACTCACAATAAACATGATTATCAGGTACTCGGTACCTTCTGTCTACCACATAGCTCATCCCTGGTCTACATTTGGCCCCCCCAAAAGTTGAATAGCTGAATCACTTAAAGCATCCTTTATTAATCACCAGTTACTATGTACATGGAGCCTCTGAAACAATTCAGTGTTACATTCTTATTCTAGGGGCATATAAACAGAAATTGGTTTATAAATTTGAGTTAATAAGCTTGAAAACAAACTAGAGAGAAATTAATGTACAGTTCAGGTTTCTCATAATCAACCCCCAGATGCGAGAGTCTAGACAGGCAATAATAAAGATTAACAATCTTATCAGGATTGTGAGGCCGCAAATTATTGAAAAAGATATCTATGATTTATTATCATCATCAAAAGAACTATTCCGGAGCCACAGAAAATAATGTGAGTCAAATTCCAGAAGAGACAGAGGCAATTGTTAATCCCTAAGATGACTCGTATCTTGGTATCTCCAAGTTATTTGAAAATGCAACAAAGAAATTAATTTTGTCTATCTTGGAAAAAAGGACATGATGTCAAATTATTAGTACACATTTATAAGAGCCTGAACCACATCAGACCACATCACATCTTTTGACAGAACTGAATGAGTACACAGGAACACCAGGCTAATGATAACTTATTTAGATTTTAACAAAGCACTCAACACTGTTTCATGATGAAAATCCATGAAAAGTCTTTAGATATGTAGATAAAGGAGCTAATGTTGAAATAGTAATTAAATAATTGGTTTCTAGAAAGCTTAGATAAATAACAGTGCTGTTGTCTGTTATATTTCTTCTTGGGTTCCAAATGGCAATACAGGGATTTTTTTATGTGTCCCCACTTTGTAAATCAAAAGATGTGTCTCAGAGCACATAAACTCTGAGAGCATGTGACGCATCAAAGAAAAGATATAGTGGAGGGTCATTGAGGGGGAAAATTGCAGAAACCTCAGAAGGTGGCACAGAGAATTCAGAAAAGTTAGGTTGAAAGGAGAATCAGCATCTTGGTTGATCACTGTTTTGTCATATCCTGCAGGACACCATGAAGTCAAATAAATATTCTGAGTTTGTTCCTTTAGCTAATCATGTCCCTCATTCTCGATGACTGAAACCATATTTTCCCTATTTTCGCCTCTGATCTAGGACAGGGGTTTCGTATGTTTTGTCAACTGCTATATCCCTAGTACTTAGAAAATTGCTTCATAAATAGTTGTTGGATGAATAGTAAATATGGTCATATGCTCACTGAAATTATCTACCCATTGGATACAATGTATTAAATCAATAGCTTTTCTCTGTGGTAATAATAAACACAAATGCAAACGGAAGACTATTCCTTTCCCAAAAATGATAAAAACTATAACATAGTAACAATACAAGCACAGCACATATATGAAGAACAATGTAAATCTTATCAGAAGACACAAAACAAAATTGGAACAAATGCAAAGATGTACCATTGTTGGATGGGAATATAATAATAAAAATGTCATTTTTCCCAAAAGTAATATGTAAATCAATGAAATTCTAATTAGTATCCCAAAAGAATCTTTTATCTCAATACAGCTATCATAAGTTTCATGTGAAAGTGTAAATATCCAGAATAGCCCAAAAAAAGTATTTTAAAATATCTAATGACAATAATAGACTATACAGCCACTGTAATACAGTTGTTATTATGTTGACATGAAAATAGATTAAAAATAATAAATCAGTGGAATAAAATAAATAACTCAGAAATAAATAGACATAAGTACATATGTGGCAAAGGGATATATTAATTTTCCCTTTAAAACCATTTTTATTGATGCATAAGAGATGTACATAGTTTTGGGGTACATGTGATAATGTAATACATTCATATAATTTGTAAAGATTAAATCGGTATATTTGGAATATCTCAACTAAATATTTGTTTTTTCTTTATGCTAGAATCATTCAAATTATTCTCACCTATTTTGAAATATACAATAGATAGTTGGAAACTGTAGTCACCCTACTAATCTATTGAATACTGGGTCTTATTTATTCTATCAAACTGTATATTTACACCTATTAATCAATTTATCTTTATCCCCCAGCCCCTTAAAATATTTTAATTTCTTGAGTAATAAATTTATTATTCAATTTTCTAAATAATATAATAGTATAATAGTAATATAATTTTCTAACCCCTAGAATAATACTGGGGGTAGGAGGAAATAAAGTTGGACCTCCATTTATACCATGTACAAAACAAAAATAAATAAAATTAAAATATTTAAACAAAATGTAAGAGACTACACATACAATATAGGTGTACAGGAAATTATATTCACCAAATGAGAAAAACCAAAAGCTTAAAGAAAAAAACAATGAAGAAAGAAGGATGGAAGAAAGGGAGGGAAGGAGGAAGAGAGGGAGGGAAAATATTTGACAATATAATTTTTAAATTAGAGTAAAAGTTCACAAATAAAATCAATAGATAAAGACTGCTTTGGGGGAAAAAACATTTTACACCTTAAGACATCAAAAAGTTATCTATAATATCTGAACACCTCTTACAAAATAATGTACAATAACATAAGTAAAGAATATAAATAGACAGTTCACAGGAGAGCAAGTCTAAGTGACCAGCAAACACATGAAAAGATGTTCAAATTCATTGGTAGTTGGGTAAATGCCAAAAAAGAGGTAACGATGAGATGTCACATCTGACAAAAAGTAAAGCAAAATAAGGATCAAGAATGTCAGGGGAAGGGAGACTCTCCTACATTACCTGAGGGAAATGTCAGTTTTACAGTCTTTCTGAAAGACAATCGAGCAGTATCTGTTATAATTTAATATATTTGCATCCTTTCATCTAGCAATTCTACCGGTCACATAACAATATATCACATTTTATATCATATAAAAATAAAAGCATCAGGCCGGGCGTGGTGGCTCACACTTACAATCCCAGCACTTGGCGAGGCCAAGGCAGGTGGATCACTTGAGATCAGGAGTTGGAGACTAGCCTGGCCAACATGGTGAAACTCCTTCTCTACTAAAAATACAAAAATTAGCTGGGTGCAGTGGCGCGTACCTATAATCCCAGCTACCCAGGAGGCTGAGGCACAAGAATCACTTGAACCTGGGAGGTGGAGGTTGCAGTGAGCCGAGATCACGCCACTGCACTTCAGCCTGGGAGACAGAGTGAGACCCTGTCTCAAAAAAATTCATTAATTAATTAAATGGATAAATAAAGGCATTAGTATCTAAAAATACATACAAGTACGTTTACCGTAGCATTGTTGAGAATGGTCAACAACTGCAAGCAAGTGAATGCCCAACAACTTAGGGAGTGGTTGAATATATTAAGATTAATTTACATAATGAAATATTATGCATCTATTAAAATGAGTTTGGATTTCACTAGATACTTAAGAGAAATTTTCTTGAAGTTCCTTTGAGAAAAAGAAAATGCAGAGGAGTAGAAATAATATAATCTCATTTTTTAAAACAACTGAAAAATTGCCTCTATCTGTACAGTTGTGCATATATCAGTGTGCATATATATGTAGCTTCTTTGTAATTATAGAGCATGAAGAAAAACAGATTCATAAGAGGTAAGGCCTGTCTGATTTGGAGAAGAGGAAAGGAGAGTGGCTAAAGGAGGCAAACAAAGATAAAAAAATTATAGCCCTAAAAAATTATGATATGATTCCATTTAAGCATTTATGTAAATGTATGTGTGGGTATGTATGTGTGCATGTATATAAAGAAACATTTTAAATAAATTTTTAAAAATTAGAAAAGAGAAAGGAAAGGAATAAAAAGATGGAGCTGGAAAGGGTGACAGGGAGAGACAGAGAAACAGAAAGAAAGAGACAGACAGAGAGAAATTGACAGTGGCTTTGGCAATCAGCCTTTTTAGACTCACATTACATCAACTGACTACTTCATTTGCTAGTCACTTAAGACTCAACATTGATAGTTTTCTCTGATATATCAGAGAGCTGGGCATTTGCCTGTAGTCCCAGCTACTTGGGAGGCTGAGATGGGAGGGTCACTTGAACCTAGGAGTTTAAATTCAGCCTGGGCAAAGTAAGACTCTGTCTCTACAACACGCACACACACACACACACACACACACACACACACATCTATATGTATATAATAATATCAGATACTTAAACAACTTTAGTTCAAAATATGAGGACATTTTTAGTTTTGTAGTTTTTCTTTTCTTTTTCCATTCCTTGTTCTCTTCCCCCTTTTAGAAGCAGGAATAACCCATTCCCAATGTTGAATATCAAGCACATAGCTCAGAACATTCCTAACTGCTTGAAAATCTTTTAAGCTGATATGTCTACCAAATGATTTTCTAAGCATTTTATGGCATATATGAAATCTTAGATAATCTACTAAGTGAGAGGCTTCTCCTAAAAGTAAAACTGTTCAATTTCAAAAAAGCTTACTTTTGCAAAACAACAACAAAAGCCTCAATATCTTCTAAGTTCCAAAGACTAGATGCTGTTTCCAACACAGAAGGAATAATTTCTGAAACACCTTAATAAATCTCAGTAATTGTTAGAACACCATGAAGACAAGCAGAAAACAAAGAAGGATATCAATTTCTCAAAAGATCAAGGTCAATAGAATTGGTTTCAGCAACCATTCAACAATTTATAATGAAATCAAACTTGTCACCAAATATCTTAGGAAAGTAATTACAGTGGACATACTTTGAGGCTATGGGTTAGCGTAAGATGTCACCGGGGAATTAAGAATGATGACGATGTTATAGATTTAGAGAACAATGGATAAGAAATACGAATACTGTGGAAAGAGGTTTTAATATGGACAGCAAGTCTGTAGGGCAAAATTAATATAAAACTTGAATTCAGTTTGGTATCAGCCAAATAATCTATGCCCATTAAAATTTTACATTCAACCTTGATCTAGCCATTCATTCAACCTGCCTCCCTCATCCTTTCCTGCTTTAGAAACAGAGAACTGACCCTGAAATACCTTGATTAATAATAATCTCAGCTTATTTTTTGTTGAGTCCCTTCTCTATAAAAAGTGCTCTTAATGTAATCTCATTTAAGTATAGTTGCAATTTTATGAAACAGGTATTTATTTCACCATTTTAAGATGAGAAGACCGAGGCATGGAGAGGTATGATGAATATGGCCAAGGTCGAATGGCTAATAGGTGGCAGAACAGGAATTCACAGTCATAGATAAGTTCAAAATCTGAGCTTTTTCTATTTCACTGCCATAAGTCTTGTTAAGTCAATCAGCCATAGGGATGGCTTAATATAAACAACCTGTCACATCCACAGCTATGTAGCTTCGAGTCACCAACTCATAAAATTTGGATGTGTGTCCCTCCCCAAATCTCATATTGAAATGTAATCCCCAATGTTGGAGGTGGGGCCTGGTGGGAGGTAATTGGATCATAAGGACAGATTTCTCATGAATGGTTTAGCACCATCCCTCTTGGAACTGTCCTGATGATAGTGAATGAATGAGTTCTTGTGAGATCTGGTCATTTAAAAGTGTATGTGGCCAGATGTGGTGCCTCTGGCTGGGCACAGTGGCTCATGCCTGTAATCCTAGCACTTTCGGAGGCTGAGGCAGGCAGATCACCTGATGTCAGGAGTTCGAGACCAGCCTGGCCAACATGGTGAAACCTCGTCTCTACTAAAAATACAAAAATTAGCTGGGCTTGATGGTGGGTGCCTGTAATCCCAGCTACTTGGAAGGCTGAGGCAGGAGAATTGCTTGAACTCGGGAGGCAGAGGTTGCAGTGAGTCAAGATCATGCCACTGCACTCCAGCCTGGTTGACACAGCAAGACCCCATCTCAAAAAAAAAAAAAAAAAAAGAAAAGAAAGTGTGTGACACTTCCCCTCTCACTCTTCTGGCTCCTACTTTCACCATTTGACATACCCGCTCCCTCTTCACCTTCCACCCTGATTGGAAGCTTCCTGAGGCCTCCCTAGAAACAGATGCCACTATGCTTCCTGTACAGCCTATAGAATTGTGAGCCAATTAAATCTCTTTTTCTTGTAAATTACCCAGTCTCAGGCATTTCTTTACAGCAATGTAAGAACAGACTAATACATTGACTCAGCAATATTCACAGTAGACCCTTGTTGTTAATTCCTTCAACATCAGCAAAACAAGTCAAAAGCTACCCACCCCCATGAACCTCATCTTTCTTAAGCACCTTTCTTCCAGTGGAAGACACCCAGCCTAGTTCCCCCAATCAGTGCACATTCTTCAACCCACCATTGTCACTATCCCAAACTCCCAAAACTCATAAGCAAGTGACTTCCAGAAATTAGTCATAACCCATCCTCATATCCTCTTATCTTGGGAAACATACACATTTTGTCCTCCTAAACTTAGAAAATCTCATGAGAAGAAGAATATTAAAGGCTAATGGGTCATTAAAATAAGACTCCAGAATCTTATCTCTGAGAACATCATGGGTTAAGGCTCTCAGAGACTCTACCTAGAGGTCTGTAGTTTGGCACTTTCATTTTGCAACTAAGAAAATGCTCCTGTTTCAAATGGAAGAAATTGGTCAATACAAAGGGGCCACAGGCCCCATGCAAGTCCAAAACCCAGTGGGACAGTCATTAATTCTTAAAGCTGTAAAATGATCTCCTAGACTGGGTGCAGTGGCTCATGGCTGTAATCTTAGAACTTTGGGAAGCCAAGGCAGGTGGATCACCTGAGCTCAGGAGTTCAAGACCAACCTGGCCGACATGGCAAAAACCCATCTTTACTAAAAATATAAAAATTAGCCATGCATGGTGGTGGATACCTGTAATCCCAGCTACTCAGGAGGCTGAAGCAGGGGAATCTCTTCAACCCAGGAGGTGGAGGTTGAAGTGAGCTGAGGTCACATCACTGCATTCTAGCCTGGGCAACAGAGTGAGACTCATCTCAAAAAAAAAAAAAAAAAAGATCTCCTTTGACTCAATGTCTCACATCCAGGGCACACTGATGCAAGAGCTGGGTTCCCAAGGCCTTGAGCAGCTCTGCCCCTGAGGCTCTGCAGGGTACAGTCCCCACAGCTGCTTTCACAGGCTGGCATTGAGTGCCTGTGGCTTTTGCAGGCTGATGGTGCAAGTTGTCAGTGTATCTACCATTCTGGGATCTGGAGAATGGTGGCCCTCTTCTCATAGCTCCACTAGGCAGTGCCCCAGTGGGGACTCTGCACTGGGGGTCCAATCCCACATTTCCCTTCTGCACTGCCTAGCAGAGGTTCTCTATGAGGGCTCCGCCCCTGTAGCAAATTTCTGCCTGGACATCTAGGCATTTCCATACATCCTCTGAAATATAGGTGGAGGTTCCCACACCTCAGTTCTTGACTTCTGTGAACCCACAGGATCAACATCATGTGAAAGCCACCAAGGCTTGTGTCCTGCACTCTCTGAAGCAATGGCCCGATCTGTACCTTGGGTCCCGGGCCTCACCCACAAAACCATTTTTCCCTCGTAGGCCTCCAGGCCTATGATGGGTAGGGCTGCCATGAATGTCTCTGACATGCCCTCAAGACATTTTCCCCATTGTCTTGGCTATTAACATTCAGCTCCTCGGTACTTATGCAAGTTTCTGCAGCAGGCTTGAATTCTTCCCCAGAAAATGTTTTTTTTTTTCTTTTCTACCACAGGGTCAAGCTGCAAATTTCCCAAACCTTTATGCTCTGCCTCCCTTTTAAACATGTTTCCATTTCAAACCATCTCTTTGTGAATACATATAACTGAACACTTTCAGAATAAGCCAGGTCATGTCTTGAATGCTTTGCTGCTCAGAAATATCTTCCACCAGATGCCCTACATCATCTCTCTCAAGTTTAAAGTTCCACAGATCTCTAGGACAGGGGCAAAATGCTGCCAGTCTCTTTGCTAAAGCATAGCATGAGTGACCTTTACTCTAGTTCCCAGTAAGTTTCTCATCTCCATCCGAGATCACCTCAGCCTGAACTTCATTGTCCATATTGCTATCAGCATTCTGGTCAAAACCATCCAACAAGTGTCTAGAAAGTTCCAAACTTTTTCACATCTTTCTGTCTTCTGAGTCCTCCAAATTGTTTCAACCTCTGCCTGTTAACCAATTCCAAAGTTGCTTCCACATTTTCAGGTTATTGTTATAGCAATACCCCACTCTGCCAGTACCAAATCTCTGTATTAGTTCATTTTCACACTGCTATAAAGAATACCTGAGACTGGGTAACTTATTTAGAAAAGAAGTTTAATTGACTCACAGTTCCAAATGGTTGGGGAGGCCTCAGGAAACTTACAATCATGGCAGAAGGTGAAAGGGAAGAAAGACATTACATGGCAGCAGGAGAGAGAGGAAGTACCACACTTCAAAATCATCAGCTCTTCTGAGAACTCACTTAGTATTATGAGATCAGCCTGGGGAAAACCACCCCCATGATCCAGTTACCTCCCACCAGGTCCCTCCCTTGACATGTAGGGATTACAATTTGAGATGAGATTTGGGTGGGGACACAAAGCCAAACCATATCATCTCCTCTATAAAGTCTTCCCCCCTTTTCTAGGAACACTTACTGGATTCCTTCTCCTCTGGGCCATCTTTGTACCTATGTCAGTTATTGAAATATCTATGTTGTATTTTAATACTGTCTTTCATATCAGTCTTTCCTCTCTTCCCCAAATACTGAGTTCCTTGAAGGCAAATGGGGATTGTGTCTTATTCATAGTAGCAGTTTTTGCATTTAGTGGAACAGCAAGGGCAAAATAGATTACCATATCTGTATGCTGAAGAAAGGAATGGCCTGCCTGAGCTTATACAGTAAATTGGTCACAAAACAAGAGATCTCTAGCTTCCTGATTCTCTGCCCCAGGTATTTGTCTTTCTATCCTGCTGCTTCTTCGAATCAATGGAGAAAGGGGCCACAATATGCCAGTGCTGAAATATTATAGAGCAGCCTCCTCTGTTTCTCAAAAGGCCTAGATCAGTCAGGGTTCAATCAGGAAACAGAAACTATACAGTAATTTAGACAGAAAAATTTAATATAAAGAATTACAAAACAATTACAAAGCACTGAAGGGTAACGTTAATAAGTAAGAAAATTCTATACAGTACTCTAGAGATAAAGAAGAGTCCTCAAGGAAGGAAAAACACTGAAGGGGTCCCCTTCCCAAGGTTCAGGTTCAGACCTCACTGGAGAAGATATTGTTGCAATCTACTAGATGACAGAGAAGTTTGCTGGTCTACAGTCCTAAGGCAGGCAGGAAGCAACCCTGTGTGGTTCAGGCAAGCTGTAGCTGGTGGGCAGACATACAGGCCTGCAGAGGGAGCTGTGGGGCACCCGTTTAGACAAGAGGGCTAGAGGGCCCAGTGACTGTGTTAGGAGAGCTTCTGGAAACAAACCTGGGATGCAGGGAGTAGAAAAGCAGAGGGAGTTGTTGGGGTTCAGTGTGGGCAGGGTGCCTAAAGTGCAGTGTCTGTGACCATCAGGATAGGCCAGGGCGCGGGGTCAGAAAGGGACTGTGCATTCTGGGTTCACGGCTGGGGCAGACCACCACTGAAATCCTCTCCCCTAGTGCAGCCAGCAGAAACAAGAGGAAAAGACCTTTCCTCCTGCAATGTCCTTCCCCACCCTTTATGAGAAAGCTTAACATCATGTTCACTGTCAAGAAGAAACGTGTAAAGGCAGTCTGTCCATTATAGCAGAGCAGGTATTAAAATATAAATTTGGAGCTGACAGCTAATAAATTGATAACTGGCACAAAGCCTAAATGGAATTCTAAAGATGCAATAACTGCTTATGCTGACTCTGTTAGTCAGTTAAAATGCCAGTTAAAAGTTAACAACAAGGCTTCACCACTATGCAATATATGCATGTAAGAAATCTACACTTGTACCCCCAAATATATTTTTTAAAAATTTAATTTAAGTGGAAAAACAGGGTTGATCTGAAGAATAATGAGATAATACAGATAAAAATGTAGCACAAAATGGACTTTTAATTAATATTTTTATCCAACCCCCTTAATATTGTTATAAAAGTTTGCTGTATTAGTTATCTATTTCTGTGTGACAAATTACCCCAAAATTTAACTTAATACAATGTACATTTATTTTCCCATTGTTTCTGTGCATCATGAATTGAAGCTTAGCCTAACTTAGTCCTCTCTGTCAGAGCCTCTAAAAAGGCTTCAGTCAAGGTGTCATCAAGGGCTATGGTCTCATCTTAAGGCTTTATTGGAGAAGGATTTGCTTTCATGCTCACTGAAGTGATTGTTGACAGGATTTAGTTTCTCAAGAACTGTTAGACCGAGGGCCTCAGTTCTTTGATGGTGGTTGGCTGGAGTTTACCTTCGGTTCCATGCTACATGGGCCTCTCCAGTTTGTTCCATTAGAGCAAGCACATGAGAGGAGCCAAAGAGAATGCAAACAAGACAGAAGTCACTGACTTTCCAAACTTAGTTTCATCAACTTTGCCATATTCCACTCACCAGAAGCATGCCACCAAGTCCAGCCCACACATATGGGGAGGAGGTTCCGCCAAGGACAGGTACACCAAGAGGTGGGATCGTTACAAACCCTGGCAGAAGTTGTCTGTCACATTGTCTTTTGCTCTTCACTTGTTACTGTTTTCCCTTAGAAGACAAAATGAATACATGAAACTTACTGTTTCAAAAGCCTTATTGGAAACCTAAAGATGTTATTTTGGTGAGGTTAGAGGTGGCAATGCTGGTGGCAAGCCTGTGATCCCACTGCTTTGGGAGGTCAAGGTGGGAAGATCGCTTGAGCCCAGGAATTTGAGACCAGCCTGGGCAACATAGCGAGAGCTCATCTCTACAAAAAATTTAAAAATTAGCCAGGGGAAGAATGGCAGATAGAAGGCAGGATTAACTTGCAGTTCCCACTCAGATAAACAGAGCAGCTTGTAGAGACCCAAACTGTGAACTTTTGCTCCAAGAACTATCACAGGAACATACCAGGAGATCCAAGAGAAGCCACAGACCCTCTGAAGGATGTGGATTGCCACTCCAGGCTCCGTGGGACAGCCAAGGAACTGTGAGCTGGCTTGCTTTCCTAGCTTGGAGGCTTGTAGCCTGGGTCAAGTTCCCAGCCTGCTCATTAGCTGCCTGGAAATAAACTTGGTGCTGCTGGGGTGTGGGGGACACCGTGGGAGTGAGACCAGACTTTTGGGCTGTGGGCTGCACGGGAGCTGCGTGAGGCCTGTGGCTGCTGGCTTTCCCCAACTTCCCTGGTTACCTGTATGACACAGCAGTAGCAGCTATACTCCCCCTGGGAACATAACTTTATTTTCCTAGGAACCCATCCCCATCCCCCACAGCAGCCACAGCAAGCTCCACCCAAGGAGAGTCTGAGCGAAGACATACCCAATCCTGCCCCTACCTGATGGGTCTTTCTCTATCCACCTTGGTAGCCAAAGACAAAAAACAATCCCTTGGGAGCTATATGACCCCACCCACCATCTGATCCTCCCTATATCACCACAGCTGGTGCATTCTTGAAAGCACCACCTGCTGGCTGGAGGCTAACCAACACAACAAAAATACAACTAAGGACCCTCACAGAGACCACTTCACTCCCCTGCTACCTCCACTGGAACAGGTGCTGGTATTCACGCCTGAGAGACTTGAACATGAATCACATCACAGAACTCTTTGCAGACACCCCACAGTACCAGCCCAGTGCCTGGTAGCTCCACTGGGTGGCTAGATCCATAAGAGAAATAGCAATCACAGCCAACATTATACTGAATGGGGAAAAGCTGAAAGTATTGCCCCTGAGAACTGGAACAAGACAAGAATGATCACTTTCACCACTTCTATTCAACACAGAACTGGAAGTCCTAGCCAGAGCAATCAGACAGGAGAAATAAATAAAGGGCATCCAAATTAGTAAAGAGGGTGCCAAACTGTCACTGTTTGCTGATGACATAATTGTATACCTGGAAAACCCTAAAGACTCATCCAAAAAGCTCCTAGAACTGATAAAAAACATTGAGCAAACTTTACAGATACAAAATTAATGTACACAAAATCAGTAGCCCTGCAATACACCAATAGTGAACAAGCTGAAAATAGGGAACTCAACTCCTTTTACAATAGCTGTAAAACAAATAAAATACTTAGGAATATCTTTAACCAAGGAAGTGAAAGACCTCCACGAGAAAAACTACAAAAGACTGCTGTAAGAAATCATAGATGACACAAACAAATGGAAACACATCCCATGCTCATGGATATTTAGAATCAATCTTATGAAAATGACCATACTGCCAAAAGCAATCTACAAATTCAATGCAATTCCCATCAAAATACCACCATCAGCTGGGCACAGTGGCTCATGCCTGTAATCCTAGCACTTTGGGAGGCCAAGGCAAGCGGATAACTTGAGATCAGGAGTGTGAGACCAGCCTGGCCAACATGATGAACCTCATCTCTACTAAAAATACAAAAATTAGCTGGGCGTGGTAACACTTGCCTGTAATCCCAGTTACTCTGGAGGCTGAGGCAAGAGAATTGCTTCAGCCCAGGAGAGAGAGGTTGCAGTGAGCTATGATTGCACCACTGCACTCCAGCCTGGGTGACAGAGGGAGACTCTGTCTCAAAAACAAACCAAAAAACCCACCATTATTCTTCACAGAACTAGAAAAAAAATCCTAAAATTCATATGGACCCAAAAACAGCCTGCATAGCCAAAGCAATTTTAAGCAAAAAGAACAAAAGTGGAGGCATTATGTTACCGACTTTAAACTATACTATAAAGCCATAGTCACCAAAACAGCATGTTACTGGTATAAAAATAGGCCTATAGACCAATGGAACAGAATAGAGAACCCAGAAATAAAGCCAAATACTTGGAGTCAACTGATCTTTGACAAAGCAAACGAAAACATAAAACACTGAAAGGACACCCCGTTCAACAAATGATGCTGGCGAGAATTGCTTGAACTTGGTAGGCAGAGGTTGCAGTGAGCCGAGATCACATCCCTGCACTCCAGCCTGAGTGACAAAGTGAGACTCTGTCTCAAAGAAAAAAAAAATATCATGCTGGGAAAACTGGCAACCACATGTAGAAGAATGAAACTGGATCTTCATCTCTCACCTTATACAAAAATCAACTCAAGATGGATCAAAGACTTGAATCTAAGACCTGAAATCATAAAGATTCTAGAAGATAACATCAGCAAAACTCTTCTAGACATTGGCTTAGGCAAAGACTTCATGACCAAGAATCAAAAAGCAAATACAACAAAAACAAAGATAAATAGATAGAACTTAATTAAACTAAAAAGCTTCTGCACAGCAAAAGAAATAATCAGCAGAATAAACAGACAACTCACAAAATGGGAGAAAATTTTCACAATCTATACATCTGACAAAGAGCTAATATTCAGCATCTAAAAGGAACACAAACAAATCAGCAAGAAAAGAACGGTCTTATCAAAAAGTGGGCTAAGGACATGAATAGATAATTCTCAAAAGAAGATATACAAATGGCCAACAAACAAATGAAAAAATTCTCAACATTACCTATTATCCAGGAAATGCAAATTAAAACCACAATGCAATACCACCTCCCTTCTGCAAGAATGGCCATAATCAAAAAATCAAAAAATAATAGATGTTGGTAGGGATGCAGTGAAAACGAAACACTTTTACACTGCTGATAGGAATGTAAACTAGTACAACCACTATGGAAAACAGTGTACATATTTTTTAAAGAACTGAAAGTAGCTCTACCATTTGATTCAGCAATCCCACTCTTGGGTATCTACCCAGAGGAAAAAAAGTCATTAAACGAAAAAGATACTTGCACACACATGTCTGTAGCAGCACAACTCATAATTGCAAAAATATGGAACCAGCCCAAATGCCCATGAATCGACAAATGGGTAAATAAAATGTGGCATATAGTAATATATACCGTGGAATACTACCCAGCCATAAAAAGGAATGAAATAATGGCATTTGCAGCAACCTAGATGGAATTGGAGACCATTATTCTAAGTGAAGTAACTTAGGAATGGAAAACCAAACATTATATGTTCTCACTCATAAGTAGAAGCTAGGCTATGAGGACGCCACAGCATAATAGTGATACAATGGACTTTGGGGACTCAGGGGAAAGGGTAGGAGAGGGGTGAGGGATAAAAGACTACACGTGGGGTACAGTGTACACTGCTCAGGTGATGGGTACACCAAAACCTCAGAAATCACCACTAAAGAACTTATTCATTTAACCAAATACCACCTGTTCCCCAAAAATCTATTGAAATAAAAAAGTAAAATTAAAATTAAGCAAATGAACTAAAAAAAAATCTTTGATAACGTGAGATGTGAATAGAAAACCAATAGAAAAAAAAGTTTCATAGCTGATCCATTGGCTACCAATCAAAGTTAAACTAGTCATATACACTTGTAAATTCTTTCTCAAAAGATTGATTTGCCATTCTGTATTTATAGCTACCCAATATAATTGACTACAAAGCACTATTATCATAGTTAAAGGGTATTTATTTAAGCCTTCAGTTATGCCCACCCCTCTATGCACATAGAGGAGTCTTACTTTTTAGCAGTTCACATTCTAAAAGATATAACTATGGTATGACTAAACACAGATATAGCAGTAAGGCAGACAGCTTATATTGCGCTTCCTTATCTACTCATAACACCCTTCCAGGGTCAATAGATATTCAGAAAATGATACACATGATAAACATTAATTCAACAAATACTTGTTAAATCCCTGTTGTGTGCCAGAAGCTACATTAAACACTGGGAAAACAGTGGCAAATAAGACAAGAAACATTCTTCCCTGATAGGACTTACTCTGTACTGGGAGAGCTAGACAATAAATATTTAAACAAATAAATAATATAATGACAGGTTGTGATAAGTGCTACCAAGGAAATCAACATGGTTATGCAATATCTGAGAGAGGTTAACCTCTGTAGGGTGGCCGAGAAAGACCTTTGTGACAAGGTGATATTTCACCTGAGGTCTAAAGAATGAAAATGCACTGGACTTCCAGAAGCCCAGAGAAAAAGTATCGCAGACAGAGAGAAAGGTAAGTACAAAGACTGTTTGTGGCAAAGAATTTGAGTGACTACGAAAAAGAAAAGGAGATGGTGCACCTGGTGCACAATGACGATGAAGGAGAGAACATGAAATGAGCTCAGGGAAGTAGGCAGAGGCCAAGCATCCAGGAAGCTTGAAGGCCAGAGAAAAGATTGTGATTTTAAGAACAGACAGGATAGTGGAAGCTGATGTAAATTTTTGAAATCTCCCTGGTTGTTGTGTGTGAATGGATGGGTACATAAACTTAAGAGGAAGTGGTAGGGACTGTGAGGAAGCTGTCCCAGGCGGACAGGTGCCAAGCGATGACAGCTTGGATTAGACTAGTGGCAGTGAAATTGGAAAGAAGTGAGGGATTTCAAGAAATAGGTCTGAAGAGTTAGATGTGAATAGTGAAGAAAAAGGAGGAATCAAGGTGAGCCTCCTAAGTTGGAAGGCTGAGTTTTTGGAGAGACTGAGCAGAAAAGGTTTTGGAGAGAGCAGGGGGCAGCATTGAAGATGTCTGCAGTAGGATTTACAAGTTTGTTGCTCAAGAGACAAAACTGGGCTGGAAATATCAATTCTAATGTAATCAGCAAATCCATGGCATTTCAAACCATGACAGCAGATGAGATACCTGTGGAGAGATTGTAGATGGAGAAAAAAAGAATGCCCACGGGAAAGCCCAGGAGTGTGGAAATAGACATTGGGTAGAGGAGGAAGAAGAATCAGCAGTGGGGGTTAAGCAGGAGGAAAGCCAGGTAGGTGGAAAACCAGGATGTGGTGTCAGGGAACCCAGGAGAGGAGAGCATTTTAAGAAAAGATACTGGTGCCAAATGCTGCTGATCTAAACACTGAGAAACTGTCCTTCATATTCAGTAGGGTGGATCCTGCAATGACTTTGACATAGAAAGCTGGAGTGGCATGGTAGAGACTGACTGAATTCGAGTAAGCTGAAGAATAAATGCAGAGTGAGAGAGTGGAGACAAGTGGAGACTACTGATCTGAGAAGTATTAAGAAGGCAAGGGAAGCCTTGAATGAAAGGCATTGTCTTCCAGCTCTTTGAATAACTCACCCCAGACCAGCCCCAGGGTTCATGCCTGCAATCCCAGCAGTTTGAGAGGCTGAGGCAGGTAGATTTCTTGAGGCCAGAAGTTCGAGACCAGCCGGGTCGAGACCTCGTCTCTACAAAAAAAAAAAAAAAAAAAAAAAATTAATAATAGCCAAGCACCGTTGAGCTTCTTTGAAGTTCTTTGAATAAATTGAGAGAAAGAGGAAAATGGGGAGGTAGCTGAGAGGAAGAAGGTAAAGGGAAGTTGTCGACATCTATAGCAAGGGAGAGTTGAATACATTTAAGTGCTGTTAGAGCCAAAAGGGAGTGAAAGACAGAATGCTGGAGAGAGGTGAGATTGCTGACAGATGGGAGCCTCTGAGCAAGCAAGAGGACACACCATTCAGAGCCCTACTGGTGGAACCAGCTTTGGCCAGAGAAATTCACTTGGCAAGGAGGAATAATAGAGATGTAGCACACGGGTGGGGACGGTGGTGGGCTTGGGGCAGGGGGATTTCTACATTCTATGTGAAACCGGAACAAAAATCATCTGCTATTGGAGAGGAGGAGGAGGACACGTCTCAAGAGAATGCGAACAAGGGTGTATGAATTAGGAATTGGGGAGACAGACTGGGCTGAACTGAAAAAGGAAAGAGAGTGGAATCAAATATCAGACATTCAAATCTCAGCAGGATTTTCCATTTTAGTCAAATACATTTCTTTGTACTGAGAAGCTGTAAAGTTAGTGTAATGGGGACTTTCTCCAAATCGCAAGAGCAGGGGAATGCCAATGCCCCTTCTGCCTACAGCAAATCAGCTCACTGGACTCCCCAGCTGAGAAGCAAGGGAAGCAGCCTCCAAGCCCCTTCCTGCCATTGGGTTCCGATTTTTTCACAAAGTGCTGTCTTATCCCTAGTACCATTCCTGGCCCTGCCCTAGGCTTTTGAGGGCCTTGCTCTGGCCTTGCAGCCAGACCCCTTCCCACCAAGCAAGGATCAGGGGCAGAGCTCACACCCCAGACCTCCAGAACAGGGCCAGAGCTGCCTCTTCCCCTGCCACATTCATAGTGGGGCAGATCACTCCGTGGATGTACTCTTCTCTAAGCCTGAGTCGTGCCTGCAAGATGGCTGCTTGAAGGGAGAGGGCTGTGGACAGAGTTGGGGTTGCAGGTGGAGGGGTCCACATACACACTTACACACACACACACACACACTTACACACACACACACACACACAGCACTCCTGGCATAGGATGGAGCTGGGGGTGGCAGACAGAACAAGCAGCGTTGTGAACTGTGTCAGCCACATTCTATTATAATAGGAAATTCTAAGGCATCTAAGAATTTTAAATTAGCCTGGATCTTTTAGGTCATTATGAATGTATATTTATCATGGCGAGAGGATAAAACATATTTGACTTCAAAATGTTTTCTCCTGATTTATAACTTTTAAATATCTGGGTAAATGGCAGGTAAGCCTGCATTTGTTCTCTTGCCTCAGCCTCACAAAAGATAAGGAGGACCACGTGTCCACACAGTCCTCCTGACTGTCCTGTCCCAGGGGGCTGGCGTGAGCACTCTTAATTCCCTTTATACATTGGCATTGCTGCTGCTGTGGCAAACCTGAAGAATTCAAGTTCTAGTCTTGCCAGATCCAGAAAATGCTCTCTGAGAGGGTGTCTCTTACTTTGTGTACCCTGGTCTGCATAGAGTCGGTTCACCACCTTGGTGCCTGCACAGCGATCACTGTTTAGTTCCCGGCTAGAGGTGGAGTTGTTTTCCAACTCTCACTTGAGTGAGGCCTGCACAGTCAAACTCTGTCCCGCCTCTGGGGGTGAGGCTCGGCATTGCAGTAGGTTAGGGCAGCTCCTTCTTCCATTTGCCCTCCACAGCTGATCCTGGCCTCTGTCCAAAGGTTCACTCTCAAATAGGAAAAGCAAATTAATTCTCCTTCTCTCTCTCTGTGTGTCGCTCTCCCTAACTTGCACAATGCGAGGATTCAAGTCTCCCATTTCCTATACTCCCTTCTCCTCCTCCATTGCCCTTCCCTTCATTGATTTTTCTATACAGCTGTCACCGTTGATTTTTCTTGATAAGGATTTTGACCACAGATGACTTACCTAAACATTTTTTATATTTCCTCAACCTCCATTTGCAACTTGGGCAGACAAGCTGGAGCTACTTAGTGTAGTCTTGGGAGATATTAAAGAGCATCTTTAAGGTCATTTGTTTCGAATATTCCACACTTGCACATATTGTAGTATGAACTACTTGAGGAATTCAATCCAGTTTACTTATGCACCCAAACTAAGGCTCTTGTTGCAAACTCTGGTCTTAAATGCTTCATCCATTCCATGCAAATTCAACTTTATTTTCAGAGTTGGGGGCATGAAACAGATTATTGTCACCATTATTGAAAATGTGTGTAACTCTTCACAACTGCAAAATGATGTACTAATGTAAGAAAGCAGATCGCTTTAAATCAGGGTCCGAAGAGGGCTGTCACAACAAGAAAATCAGTTATTCAGTGTGTCTCCTTCAAGAAACTTGCTAATGACATTTCTAATAAGAGCAATCACAAACGTTTCTCCATGATTCTCTGGGAAATCATTCCTAAACTCTCAAGCCAGTGGGGAGAAACTGCTTAAAAGGCTAATTTGATATCTAAATTATTCTAATTTACCCTTTTCCCTCAAATATGGGAACTTAAGCCTGCTCCAGTAACACATATTAATGTCACATTTTCTGTCATCCAGTTTTAGTTACATTTAAGTGAAACTAATATTCACTTATTTTCCAGTTGCTTATAATAAAATAAAAAAAAATCTGTGGATTTAGGGCAGCACTAAAACTTTAATGAGGTAGAAATTTCTGTTTTGGTCACATTGCCTTCAATTAACATAGCTCTTGCGCTCACTGTTACAATTGCAGACTGCTGAAGAAACTTGACTATTAAAAGTAAAATAAATAATTAATTAATTAATGGATAATATACACACACATACATATATATACATACAGGCACACCTCATTTTATTGCACTTCACTTTATTGTGCTTTGCAGACATTGCATTTTTCACAAATTAAGGTTTGTGGCAATCCTGCATTGAGCAAGTTTATCAGCACCATTTTTCCAACAGCATGTGCTTGCTTTGTGTCTCTGTGTCACATTTTAGCATTCCTCACAATATTTCTAACTTTATTATTATTATTACATCCTTTATGGTGATCTGTGGTCTATAAGCTTTGATGTTACTATTGTAATCGTTTTGGGACTCCACAAACCCTACTCATATGAGACAGTGAACTTAATGGATAAATGTGTGTATTCTGGCTGCTCTACTGACCGGCCATTACCCTAACTCTCTTCTGCTTCTCAGGCCTCCCTATTCCCTGAGACACAACAGTATTGAAGTTAGGCCAAGTAATAACCCTGCAATGGCCTCTAAGTGTTCAGGTTAAAGAAAGTGTTGCATATCTTTTACTTTAAATCAAAAGCTAAAAATGTTTGAGCATTTCTACTGCTCAGAAAAAATATTCTTTCTAAAATATTACTGCTCATTGGCAATGCACCTGGTCACTCAAGAGTTCTCATGGAAGTGTGCAAGGAGATTAATGTTGTTTTCATCCCTGCTAACACAACATCCATTCTGCAGCCCATGAATCCAGGAGGAATTCTGACTTTCAAGTCCTATAATTTAAGAAATACAAATCATAAGGTTATAGCTGCCACAGGTAGTGATTCCTCTGATAGATCTGGGCATCTGTGCAAAGTTAATTGAAAGCCTTCTAAAAAGAATTTGCCATTCTACATGCCACTAAGAACATGCATGGTTTATGGGAGGAGGTCAAAATATCCACATTAACAGGAGTCTGGAAGAAGTTGATTCCAGATCTCATGATTGACGTTAAGGGGTTCAAGACTTCAGTGGAAGAAGTAACTGCAGATGTAGTAAAAATAGCGAGAGAACTAGAATTAGAAGTGGAGCCTGAAGATGTGACTGAATTGCTGCAATCTCATGATAAAACATGAACAGATGAGAAGTTACTTCTTATGGATGAGCAAAGAAACTGGTTTCTTAAGATGAAGTCTACTCCTAGTGAAGATGCTGTGAACATTATTGAAATGTCAACAAAGGATTAACAGTATTACATAAACTTAGCTGATAAAGCAGATGCCAGGTTTGAGAGAATTGACCACTTTTGAAAGAAGTTCTACTGTGGGTAAGATGGTATCAAACAGCATCTCATACTACAGAAAAGTCATTCATGAAAGTAAGAGTCCACCAATGCAGCAAAATTCATTGCTGTCACAGCCACCCCAATCTTCAGCAACCATCACCCTAATCGGTCAGCATCTATCAACACCAAGTCAAGGCCCTTGATTAGCAAAAAGATGTACTCACTGAACATTCAACTGAATGTGAGCATTTTTTAGCAATAAAATGTTTTTTAATTAAGGTATGTATATGGCTTTTTAAACATAATGCTATTGCACACTTAATAGACTACAGTATAGCATAAACATAACATTTACATACATTGGGAAACTAAAAAATTCATGTGACTCACTTTATTGTGATATTTGCTTTATTAAGGTGGTCTGGAACACAATATCTCCAAGATTTGCCTGCTAAAGAGAGATTGGCCTGGGATGGTGGCTCACATCTATAATCCCAGAACTTTAGGAGGTCAAGGATGAGAGAATCTCTTGAGGCTAGAAGGCCAGAAGGATCACTTGAGACCACTGGATAGCCAGATCCCATTTTTACATAAAACTAAAAAAACAATTAGCCAAGTGTGGTGGTGTGTACCTACAGTCCCAGCCTCAGGAGGCTAAGGCAGGAGGATTACTTAAGCCCAGGAGTTCGAGGCTACAGTGAGTTATGATCACACCACTGCACTCCAGCCTGGGTAACAGAGCAAGACCTTGTTTCTAAAAGAGAGAGAAATCACTACGTAATGCTAAATTAAAAGTCATATATCATTAAAAATCCTCTCACTACATAGTATTCCATAAGTAGCAGAGATCCAGAACACCAAAGAGAATTATGTCATTGTGATTGGTAAAACTTAGGCATTGTGAACAAAGTTCTGAAAGTAATTCTCTCCTAATCAGGCAAGCAGGCACATAAAAAAAATCTGTGAGAAAAAATGTGCCTTTTTTTTGCATTTTATCAACTATGGAAAAAACATCAAGGACTTGCCACAGTCTCAACTATTAGCTGGACACTATGGGATTTCACTTGCCCTAACTTGAAGATAAAAAGCTCCCATTGTCCCTTCTACCCTTGCACTTTTTTATGCTTGTAGATATAAAGGATCTCCATTACTTTTACATTCCCTTTGTACAAATTGAAACACTTATTCCATTGTACTATCTTTTTTTTTATATTCCTATCTTCTATTTGTCAGCCCTCTAAGATGGTGAAAATGTTATCAAATGATGAAGAACAGTGGGAATTCTTAAGCACTGCTGGCAGGAGTGTAAATGATTATAACAACCTCTGAAAACAATTTGACAAATTCTAGTCTAGCTGTTAAGTGTCATACCCTAAGACTCAGTAATTCCATTCCTAGATATGTTCCCTAGAGAAAACCTTTGCACATTTACATATAGATATGCACAACAATGTTCAAAACATTGCATCTCTAATAACAAAATAATATAAAGAACTTAAATGTCCATTAATTTAAAAAATGAATTAAAAATTACAACGTACTCATATACTGGGATATTATGTTAAAGTAGAAATTAATGGATTACAGCTACATGAATCAACATGAATGAATGTCACAAACAAATTTGAACAACAGCCCGGGCACGGTGGCTCACACCTGTAATCCAAGCACTTTGGGAGGCTGAGGCAGGCAGATCACTTGAGGTCAGGAGTTCGAGACCAGTCTGGCCAACATGGTGAAAACCTGTCTCTACTAAAAATACAAAAATTAGCCCAGTGTGGTGGCACGCATCTGTAGTCCCAGCTACTCAGAAGGCTGAGGCAAGAGTATCACTTGAACCCAGGAGGCGGAGGTTGCAGTGAGCCAAGATTGCACCACTGCACGCCAGCCTGGGCAACAGAGGGACACTCTGTCTCAAATAATAAATAAATAAATCAATCCTAACAAAAAAAACAAGTTACAGAAGGAAAATGCAGTATAATGTTATTTACATAAAGCTTACCAATATGCAAAAAAAGGAAATGCCAGCTGGTCGTGGTGGCTCATGCATGTAATCCCAGCACTTTGGGAGGCCGACGCGGGTGAATTACCTGAGGCTGGGAGTTCAAGACCAGCCTGACCAACATGGAGAAAGCCTGTCTCTACTAAAAATACAAAATTAGCTGGGCACAGTGGCGCATGCCTGTATTCCCAGCTACTCGGGAGGCTGAGACAGGAGAATTGCTTGAACCTGGGAGGCAGAGGTTGCGGTGGGCTGACATCGCGCCATTGTACTCCAGCCCGGGCAACCAAAGCAAAACTCCGTCTCAACAAAAAAAAAACAACAACAAGGAAATGCCCAAAGAGATGATTAATTTGCCCTGATTTTGCCCTGATCACATGGCATGTAAGAGCAGAGGTGGAATTTGAATACAACTCTGTCTAAAATCAAATGTTATGCACTTCCCATGATACATTCATTGTCTTGACTGATTTTTCTTTGTGGAAGCAACCTTCCTTCTATCTAAGGCCTATGGCTCACTCCACCCCGTAACTCTCAGGATACACATATAATCTATAAATAACCAATCAGAAAAGTCCATACTCAGGCAAAGTAATAGATTCTAAGGAAGACAGGTGGCAGAGCCAGGTAAGTGAAACATAATCCAGGGACTGTTACAAAATTATTGAGAAAGATATCTATTTATGGGGTTTGCTTCAACAATAGAAGACAGTTAAATTAGGTGTTGCAAGTTGCTTTGTTGTCTAGAATGGAGTTGCTAGGCTTATATGATGTAAACCCAGACCACGGGTAGCCATCTTTGTTACCACTTAAAGAGAACCCACTAGAGGATGAAAACAACACAAAGTAAAAAAAAAAGACAAATGATGAAAAGAGATAGATCCCTATTGTAGACCTGGACTCTTCACTAAGCCATTAAATTTCCTTTTCATCAGTTCAGCTTCACATAGGTTTCTGTCACTAGCAGCCAAAAGTATCCTAATACAATAATTTATTTTATTATATGCTTTCATATAACTGTGGTCTTTTCATCACATGTTAGTGGGTAATTATTCATTTATTTAAATGTATTTTGATTACTATCTCTCTTTCTAAAAGTAAGATCGATGAAAGTAAGAATCATGTCATATTTTGCTCACCATGGTAGTATCAATATTGCCCAGAACAACCAATAGGTGCTTATAATATATTTGGGGGGTTTTTTGTTTGTTTTGTTTGTTTGTTTTGTTTTTTTGAGATGGAGTCTTTCTCTGTTGCCCAGGCTGGAGTGCAGTGGCCGCAATCTCGGCTCACTGCAACCTCCACCTCCTAGGTTCAAGAGATTCTCCTGCCTCAGCCTCCCAAGTAGCTGGGATTACAGTCACCTGCCACCACGCTCAGCTAATTTTTGTATGTTTAGCAGAGACAGGGTTTCACCATGTTGGCCAGGCTGGTCTAGAACTCCCGACCTCAAGTCATCCTCCTGTCTCAGCCACCCAAAGTCCTGGGATTAAAGACGTCCAACCCTATATATTTGTTGAATTAATAAAAAAGCAAGGAAACATAGAGTTCTCACTTCTTGTGTTCATGGAAGAAGCTCAATAGCAGAGTAAAGTCACACCAACTATCTATGGTAATCCACCTGGTCATTCATTCTTAAACAGAAATTACCAACCAAGGGTCTCCAGATATTTGGAGAAAACACTTCATAGAACTACAATTGTCCCTCAGTATTCATAGGGTCTTGGCTCCAGGACGGCCCCCAGATACCGAAATTCACAGATGCTCAAGTTCCTAATATAAAATGCCATAGTGTTTGCATATAACCCACACACATCCTCTTATATACTTTAAGTCACCTCTAAATTACTTAGAACAACAAATAACAATGCCTACAGGTCACTTCATTTATGTGGATTCAATGTAATACTCAGCATGTTGCAAATCAAGTTTTGTTTTTTGGGACTTTGTGAAATTTTTATTCCCAAATACTTTCCATGCCAGTTGGTTGAATCCATGGATGTAGAATCCACAGATACAGATACAGACACCTGACTGTACTGGGTGAAAAAAAAAGCTATCAAAATGGAGAACTTGAAAACGAAGAAAAGAATTTGATAAAAGAAAAAAGAGGCATGGAAGTTCATTTCAGAAGGTTCAAATCAACTAATATAAAATCCAATAAGAGAGAATAAGTAAAATAAGGGTGAAAGATAATCAAATAAATACAAGAATAGAATATTGCAAAAGTAAAGAATGCCACAAATCCTGTTTGGAAGTACCCAGCACCATGAATTTAAAAAGATCCATATGTACACATATTGTGGAACTTAGGTACCAAAGCAAATGCTACAAAGGAAGACGTTTCAGATTGGCACTGGAGTTTTTATCAATAACACTAGATTTAGCTGTAGTCCCAGCCACTTGAGAGGCTTGTATGGGAGGATGTCTTGAGCCCAGGAGATCTGGGCTGTGTGTGCTATGGTAATCAGATGCCCACACTAAGTTCAGTATGAATATGATGACTTCCAAAGAGTAAAGGGCCACTACGTTGCCTAAGAAGTGGGGCACTGGTCCAGTTTGGAAACCAAGTGGGTCAAAGCTCTCATGCTGATCACTAGTGGGATAGCGCCTGTGAATGGCCACTGCACTCCAGTCTGGGCAACACAGCAAAATCCCATCTCTAAAAAAACCAAAACCAAACCAACCCAAAACAAGCAAACAAACAAAAAACAACACTAGATTTAGGAAGAAAACAAAGCAATGGTTCAAAATTCTGAAAGGAAAACAGTTTTGAATCTAACAATTTTGAATATCAACAAGTGGGATAGAAAACCATTTTTCACACGTGCAAAGGCTCAGAAACTTTACCATGTACTTATCCTTTATGAAAAAAGGATTTCACACTTGCTTGGGGCCTGTAGCCCCTTTGTTTTGGCCAATTTCTCCCATTTGGAATGGCTGTATTTATCCAATGCCTGTACCTCCATGTATCTAGGAAGCAACTAATTTGCTTTTGATTTTACAGGCTCATAGGCAGAAGGGACTTGCCTTGTCTCAGATGAGACGTTAGACTGTGGACTTTTGAGTTAATGGTGAAATAAGACTTTGGGGGACTGTAAGGAAGGCATGATTGATTTGGAAATATGAGGACGTGAGATTTGGGAGAGACCCGGGGCGGAATGATATGGTTTGGCAGTGTCCCCACCGAAATCACATCTTGAATTCCCACATGTTGTGGGAGGGACCTAGCGGGAGGTAATTGAATCATGGGGGCAGGTCTTTCCCATGCTGTTCTGGTGATAGTGAATTAACTCTCACGAGATCTGATGGTTTTGAAAATTGGGAGTCTCCCTGCACAAGTTCTCTCTTTGCCTGCCACCATCCATGTAAGACAGGACTTTGTCCTCCTTGCCTTTGACCATGATTGTGAGACTTCCCAGCCACGTGGAACTGTAAGTCCAATTAAACCTCTTTCTTTTGTACATTGCCCATTCTCAGGTATGTCTTTATCAGCAGCATGAAAAAGGACTAATACATTTTCTATATATTCTTTATTCATTTTTCATAATTTATACCTTTCAAGGAATTTATCCATTCCATCTAAGTTATCAAATTTATGGGTATAAAGATGATAATAATATTCCTTTATTATATATACTTATAATATACATTTAACATTTATAGGGTCTGTAGTGACATCTCCTCTTTCATTCCTGGTTTTGGTTATTTGGGCATTGTCTCTTTATTACTTGTCCAGTCCAGCTAGATGTGTTATTAATTTTATTTATATTTACAAATAACTGCCTTTTAGGTTCTTTGATTTTCTCAGCTGTTTGTTTCTATTGCATTGATTTCTATTTCTCCCATTATTATTTCCCTCCTTCTTTTCACTTTATTTTTCTTGCCTCTTAAAGGGGAAGCTGAGATCACTGACTTTAAACATTCTTCTTTTCTAATATAAGCACTTGAAACTATAAATTTTCCTCTAAAGCACTTGTCTAGTTTCATTTTGTAAATTTTAATAGATTTTATTTTTGTTTTATAGCTTTCCTTTTGATGTCATCTTTGACCCATGGGTCATTAGAAGAATGAAGCTTAATTGCCAAATATTTGGAGATTTTCCAGATTTTTTTGTTCTCTATATGGTTTAAATTCTCCCAAGTTTTTGAGACTTTTTTTATGATCTAGTATGTGATCTATCTTGAGTGTCCCATGTGTACTTTAAAAAATGTGTATTATGTTGCTGTTAGAAGTAGAGTTTTATAAATATAAATTAGGTTAAGTTGATTGATAGTGCTCCTAAAGTTTTCTATATCCTTACTAATTTTTTTTGTTTTCTTGTTCTCACTGAAAGAAGAGTATTGAAACTCTAAAAGTAATCACGAATCTGTCTATTTATTTTTCCAGTTGTGACAATTATTGCTTTGTTTAATTTCAGGTCTCTGTCAATGTTTTCATAAATTGACATTTTCATCATTAAGAAATTTCTTTCTTTCTTTCTGTTATTATTCCCTGTCCTGAGTCTAATTTGACTGGTTTTTTACAGCCACTCCAGCTATCCCTACACTTCATGTTTTCATGCTACATTTTTCCATTCTTTTTTTAACCTATCTGTGTCTTTACATAATAGAAACTAACCCTAGAATAAATACTACTCTAATCTGCCCTAATATATCTTAATAGCAAGCCTCAAAAAAAATCAAGCTAATCCCCAAGTAGCCTGTCAAAATAAAATTCAAATATTTTTTAAAGGAAGACGATCGAGACCATCCCGGCTAAAACGGTGAAACCCCGTCTCTACTAAAAATACAAAAAATTAGCCGGGCGTAGTGGCGGGCGCCTGTAGTCCCAGCTACTTGGGAGGCTGAGGCAGGAGAATGGCGTGAACCCGGGAGGCGGAGCTTGCAGTGAGCCGAGATTGCGCCACTGCACTCCAGCCTGGGCGACAGAGCGAGACTCCGTCTCAAAAAAAAAAAAAAAAAAAGAAAAAAAAGAAAAGAAAGGAAGACAACAACCAGGAAGTCAAGCACTTAAATGCCAACTAAAAATTACCAGACATGCTAAGCATCAAGAAATGTGATCTCTAATTAGGAGAAAAGTCAGTCAACAAAAATAGACCCAGGAAATGATGGTAATAATAAAATTAATGTATAAGGACAAATTCAGGTAGTGATGCTGCCTGTATAGGCTGTGCTAGCCTGATCAGCCACATTGTTTTATTTAGTCTTATCTCAGTATGGACTCTTCCCAAAAGTATTCACATGGATTATATAAATGCCCCATCTGGCTGTAGCAACGCCTTTCCAGAGCCCACAGCCTCACAGAGATGTGTCTTTAACACACCAGTCAGTCATCCCCCAGGTATTCAACCAAATAGTTATGCTGTTAGTCACAGCCCAAGAGTGAGTAAAAATAAAACATATATGGCCCTTAGGAGTATTGTCTAGAGTAACAACAGTGGCTTTGAATTTAGGCCATTGTGCTGCTACCCTTATTATAGTCAATTTTCCAAATTTCCTTGGGTCTAGACAGCTGCTTCCATCTAGTAGATAACATTAGCTTTAAATATGGCTCAGCAGTCAGGAAACCTGTCACTCTTTGCCAAAGGCTCTGATGAGCATAGTTATTAGCAATAGAGATCTGTAGTTCAAAGAGATCCTAGAGTCTATATGCCCCCCAGATTAGGGCTGCTGAAACAGCCAGTTGCACTGCCTCTATCTCTGCTTGCTGCTGAGATCCCCAGCTAAATTTAGCATATTTTCTGGTCACTTTATATATTGGTATCAACAAAATGCCTAAATGAGGTGTGTTATAGATTGAATGTTTACATCCCTCCAAAATTTATATGCTTAAATTGAATCCCCCGTGATGGTATTTAGAGATTGGGCCTTTGGGAGATAATTATGTCATGAGGGAAGATTCCCTCATGAGTGGGATTAATGTCCTTATAAAAGATGCCAGAGAAGTCCCTTGTCCCTTTCACCATATGAGGATACAACAAGAAGGCAGTCATCTATGAACCAGGAAGAGCCCTCACCAGACATTGTATCTGCAAGTATCTTATTTTGGGACTTCCCAGCCCCCGGAACTGTGAGAAATAAATATTTGTTGTTTACAAGCCACCCAGTTTATGGTATTCTGTTATAGCAGCCTTAATAAACTAAGACAAGATGATACTGTCTCCAATATTCAAATAATCAAATGAATTGCTGAGCTCCCTTTTTGGTAGTGATGGCCAGAAGGTAACTCTTCCTTTACTGTCCCAGTGGCCAGGCTTTGAGCCTCATGACACATTGTTTCCAAGAAATTGGCTGTTCCCTGAATCTTAACAGAATTAACAAGACATCCTGGGCTGTCATGTGAGTTAGGGTATACTCTAAATAAGTCATTGTCACTTATTTTTTATTGGGGTGTGTAGGGGTGTATTAGTCAGGGTTTTCTAGAGGGACAGAACTAATAGGATATATGTATATATGCAAGGGAGTTTATTAAGGAGAATTGACTCACAGTCACAAAGTGAAGTCCCACAATAGGCTGTCTGCAAGTTGAGGAGCAAGGAAGCCAGTGGTGGATCAGTTCCAGTCCCCAAACCTCAAAAATAGAGAGGCTGATAGTGCAACTTTCAGTCTGTGGCCAAAGGCCCAAGAACCCCTGGCAAACCACTGGTGTAAGTCCAAGAGCCCAAAAGCTGAAGAACTTGAAGTCTGATGTTCAAGGGCAGGAAGCATCCTGCATGGGAGAAAGATGAAGGCTGGAAGACTCAGCAAGTCTACCCTTCCAAGTTCCTTGGCCTGCTTTATCCTAGCCATGCTGGCAGCTGATTAGATGGTGCCAACCCAGACTTGAAGGTAGGTCTGCCTCTCCCAGTCCCCTGACTCAAATGTTAATCCCCTTTGGCAACACCCTCACAGACACACCCAGAACAATACTTTGCATTGGTCAATCCAATCAAGTTGACAATTAATATTAGCCATCCCAGGTGGGAGACTCTAAGATAGTCTCCAATAATCACCACCTCCTGGTATTCCTAGCCTTATATGATCCTGCCCTTGGTTAGAACTTGCTTCTAACCAATAGAATACCTCAACATCCAGAAGTTGTCAATTCATAATTAGATTACATAAGAGTGTGATTTCTGTCTTGCTAGCAACCTCTCTCCCTTGCTGGCTTCAAGAAGCAAGCTGCTCTGTGGAGAGGCCCACATGGCAAGGAACTGAGGATGGAGCCTTCAGCAAAAACCAGCAAGGAACTGAGGTCCTCTGTTCAAGAATCCCTGAGGAACAAAACCCTACCAACAATCACATAAGCTTAGAAGCAGATCCTTCCCCAGACTTTTACTGAAGGCACCAGCCTTGGTGGACACCTTGATTGCAGTCTCATGAGAGACCCACCTAAGCCATGCCTGATTCCTGACACAAAGAAACTGTGAGGTAGTAAATGTGCTATTCTAAGCTTTTAAGTTTGTATTAATTTGTTACTCAGAAATAGATAACTAATATAGGGCCTCTCTGCATAATTACATCATGCAGTGGAACTAAACTCCCAGAGGGAGAGAAATTCGTTTCATGTTTCCGTCCACCTATTGGTGGGTATGAGAATTCTCATACTCCTGTTGCAGTATCATAAATATGCATTGAAGCCCCAGCCAGGTGAATGCTACTGATCTTAATCTCTTCGTGCATAAAGGATTTTAAAAAAAGGCATTTGAAATGTCTAAGATGACATTCCAGGTGCCAACAGTTTTGATATACAATGTCTGAAATAGCAGGAATATAACAACTGAATTCAATAGTAATAATCTACCATAATGGAAACCTCTAGCTCCTATCAGCCTGTCCAGTGGGCACACTGAACTACTGTAATAAATTGCATTTGTCAATACCACTGCTGTCTTGAAGTCCTTAATTATGGTTTTGTGTTCCTTTACTCCTCCTGTAATTATATGGTGTTTTTGTTGCATAATGTGGATGGAATTGGAGGCCTAGTAAGTGCGTTCATCCCACTATCACAAGCAACTCTTCTCAATTGAAATTTATGAGCACTTACAAGTATGCAAAGTATCAATACCAACTGTGCATTCAGCAATAAGAGCAATAATGGCAGTGCCTAAGAATGCTTTAAGCAGCCCAACACAGATGATTACAGTTACTTCTCTTACATATTTCACTCCCCTTTCAAATCTGGCCAGTTGAAGCTGTGGTCCTCACCCCTCAAAAGAACCTGCTAAGATAATCATGTGAACACTGATACCCAAAAGAGCCATAAAAATTTGTATGCAGGTCGGGCACGGTGGCTCACGCCTGTAATCCCAGCACTTTGGGAGGCCGAGGCGGGCGGATCACAAGGTCAGGAGATCGAGACCATCCTGGCTAACATGGTGAAACCCCGTCTCTACTAAAAATACAAAAAAATTAGCCAGGCATGGGACCAGCCAGACGCCTGTGGTCCCAGCTACTGGGGAGGCTGAGGCAGGAGAACGGCGTGAACCCAGGAGGCGGAGCTTGCAGTGAGCAGAGATCGTGCCACTGCACTCCAGCCTGGGCGAAAGAGCGAGACTCCATCTCAAAAAAAAAAAAAAATTGTATGCCAGCTAGGCATGATGGCTCACACCTGTAATCCCAGCACTTTGGGAAGCCGAGGCCAGTGGATCACGAGGTCAGGAGTTTGAGACCAACCTGGCCAACATGGTGAAACCCCATCTCTACTAAAAACACAAAAATTAGCTGGGCATCATGGTGGGTGCCTAGGATCCCAGCTACTCGGGAGGCTGAGGCAGGAGAATCGCTTGAACCCGGGAGGTGGAGGTTGCAGTGAGCCAAGATCATGCCACCGTACTCCAGCCTGGGTGACAGAGTGAGACTCTATCTCAAAAAAAGAAAAAAACTATTGTATGCCAAATCCCTCCATCCTATCCCACTGTATCCTCAATGGAATGCAAGGTCTTCAGTAACTTCTAGGATCAGGGACCTTGTCTATCTTCCTCTCATAGGCTGTCAAATCGGGATACAGGAGCAAGGGTCAGGCAGCCTCTTGACTTCTTTTCTCCAGTAGTTGGAGGTTGATCATTTTGGAGGAATCTGATTCTAAAGAAGCACCTTCTGTTTCAAGTGGGTGGAAAACTGCCTGCTGAAGCCCACCTGCCCCCGTTAATATCTTGACCCAATTACTCCAAGTGCCAACCACATCAGTTTCTTCCTTGGGATCCATATCACCTTATCACCAGGTTCCTTTGAAGAGGGTTTGTTTTTATTCCTATCCTTCATTTTGTCTCATTTTGCAGAGATATTGCTTTGTTTACAGGGTGTGTCAATCTTTATCCTGGGTAATCAATCATTCACAGATTCTTGCACAGTGACTCTAGCTACCGACAATAAAGTTAATGTTCCCAACATTTAGGGGCAGATTTTGGTACAGAGGTCGTTTTTGGAGTTGCCATTTTGTCCATTGTCCAGACTGCCATGACAAGCCAGTCTGGAGAAGCTATAGTTCTTGTGCTGTGATACCATATTCCATAGTATTTTCTGGGATTTTTTTTTTTTTTTTTTTTTGAGACGGAGTTTCGCTCTGTCGCCCAGGCTGGAGTGCAGTGGCACGATCTCGACTCACTGCAAGCTCCGCCTCCCGGGTTCACGCCATTCTCCTGCCTCAGCCTCCCGTGTAGCTGGGACTACAGGCGCGCGCCACCATGCCCGGCTAATTTTTGTATTTTTAGTAGAGACGGGGTTTCACCGTGTTAGCCAGGATGGTCTCGATCTCCTGACCTCGTGATCCGCCCGTCTCGGCCTCCCAAAGTGCTGGGATTACAGGCGTGAGCCACCGCGCCCGGCCACTTTCTGGGATTTTATGGCCCTGAAAAAGTCTCCATGAGTTGGCCATAAGTACATCAGTACAATCAGAGGGCCATGGAAACAGAGATCCAAAGCCTTTCTTTGAAGCCTGATCCTACTCCAATTGAATAGTCTGTGTGATGGCTTGAGGCATGGAATCATATATGAGAAGGCCTAGTTGCTGCCTTTCACATCCAACAACATAACTTTCCTCACTTTCTTGTCATACAGACACACCAACCAAGTCTCTAACAGCTTCCTGCTTAGAAATATTTCCTTCAAGTTCTGCTCAAAAACTAAACTGTTTCTTCTTTAGTTCATCTCTATTTTTTCATGCGCAGCCAAAAGAAATCCATTGGTACTTTTTCTTTCACCTGAAAAATTCCTTTAGCCAAATTGTGTTAAAAGTATCTCTCCGCAACTTACCAGATATGATACTGGACAGACATTTAACTTCCTTTAGTTGGGATTTCCTCACTTCACTAATAGGAATATTGTTCCCATTCTTAACAAGCTGTTCAGGGGAGTATAGTGGATATATGCAAAGAGCTAGGACCATAAGTGTATTAGTTATATTTTCTATTTTCCATGTTTCCAACTTTCTACCAAGCTTTCTGTCATAAGTAACATGAGTCACCTTTTCTCCTAATGACAAGTTCCTTCCTGTCCTAACAGGCTTCCCTAAAATTGTCCTCGAGGCCCTTCCAGCTTCTACCTATCCCAAAGTCAAACTCTCATGTAATAGTTTACCATTAAGCCACACTCCACTTCCAAGAAACAATTTCGGTTTTGGTTTCTACTGCGATGTAACAAACCACAACAAAACTGTAGGCACTTAAGAAAACAATCATTTTATTATCTCTCATACTTGTATAGTTTGAGCTTAGCAGGGAGATTCTGCTGGTTTCTCACTTGGTTGTAGTCAGGAGGGGATGAGACTGAAGTCATTCAGGGCCTTTCCTTGGACAACAGGATAGATCGATATTGGCCTCCATGTAATGTCATGTGGTCTCTCCAACAGGAAGCTAGATTTTTTATATGGCCACTCAGGTTTTCCAAAACTGCAAAACTAAAAGCTGCCAGACATCTTAAAGCTTTGAGCCACTGAGGCAAATGTCAATTCCATTCCATTCTGTTGGTTAAATGGTCACAGGGCAGGCAGATTCAAGGGGAATATAAGCTATACTTTCCCAATGCAGGGCATCACAAGGAAAGCCCGAACAGTCTTACTGAAGATGTACTTTAGAAGTACTTTAGAAAGTACTTGCTAACCAGGCTTAGAACTGGCATATTGACTTGATTGGCAAAGGTTTTTGTAGGGGTAATATGGGAGAATCATCTGACCTCTTGCTAGAACAATACATCTCATTAAGAAAAGATTTTGCTATTGTCATTTTATGCAAAAGTATTTTCACTGACTCATTTCCTGGGATAACAATTTTAGATATTAACAAAAATAGACCTTTAATTCATTCTTAGGAAGGAAAAGGGGGTTAAGGTTTAAAACAGACATTTAAAACAAAAGATAAAACAACACATCTCCTGTTGCTGATAAAAAGCAGTGTCCAAATAAACAGAAAAGCTAAAACCAAGCATACTTGTGGCTTAAAGGAACTAAAGGAGACAGGCAGCACTGAATTTTTATGGGATCTATTTCTGACGTGTATTTCACTCACCTGGATGCATCACCTTATCACACTGTTGCAGTACCAGATGCCAGAAGCATCTTCTAGACATATGAACTCTGCCAGCAGTGTTTATATGTCTGTGGAACAATCAAGTCAATCGGCGATTCTTACCATCTGAATGCTTCTCAAGAAGCAAAACAGCTTGATGATATCTCACTAAACAAATGACATACAATTAGATGATTGGAAGGACTATCAAACTCTAGGAAAAGTCATGGTTTGATTGATTCATTCATTCAAAAATCTGTGTTCAGAAAACTCTGATACAGGGCAACTGCTGCTTACAATTTCAAAATAAAAGCATAATAAAAGGCAGTATGGTAGAGTGCCTTTAAAAAGAGGTAATTCATAAGAGAGGGTGACACTTAAAATTAGAAGACCATCCACTATCTCTGATGCAGGCAGGTGATACTCTCAGTAGCACCAACAATTTGACTGCTCCTCTCTGCTTCATGCTGGACAGATAAAATTCAAACCATGGGCAGATAGTACAATTAGAGACTACCCATATAGCTGGCTTAAAAATGCCAAAGCTCCACTCTGCATTTTCTATAACTGTGCTCTTCCTAATATGATGCCTGGATACCACCATTGCATTCACCTTCAGGTAAGCCATTAGTGGGTTCTTAGAAACATGTCAGCAGGCTTTAGCATTAAGCCATAATCAGGATTGTTCATCCAAACAACTAGCTGAGAGCTGGCTTGGGGTGAATGAGACCATAGTACAGGTACAATTTGATACAGAAGTCTAGAGAATGAAGTCATGTCACAGGAAAAACTCAGAATAAGAAGCATTACTGTGTTTATTCAATAAAGAACCATGGCTTTAAGAATGGAGTAAACAAGGCCGGGCATGATGGCTCATGCCTGTAATCCCAGCACTTTGGGAGGCTGAGAAGGGCAGATCACAAGGTCAGGAGATTGAGACCGTCCTGGCTAACATGGTGAAACCCCATCTCTACTAAAAATTAAAAAAATTAGCTGGGCATGGTTGCAGGCACCTGTAGTCTCAGCTACTTGGGAGGCTGAGGCAGGAGAATGGCCTGAACCCGGGAGGCAGAGCTTGCAGTGAGCCGAGATCGCGCCACTGCACTCCAGCCTGGGCGACAGAGCGAGACTCCGTCTCAAAAAAATTAAAAGAAAAAAAAAAAAAAAAAAGAATGGAGTAAACAATCTCCATTCTCAATAATAGTACCCGTTACTGTTAGAAGTGTTTGAACCAGAGCAACTCCATCTTGAATAGGGGCTGGGTAAAATAAGGCTGACACCAACTGGGCTGCATTCCCAGGAGGTTAAGGCATTCTTAGTCACAGGATGAGATAGGAGGTCAGTACAGGATACAGGTCATAAAGACCTTGCTGATAAAACAGGTTGTAGTAAAGATGCTGGCTAAAACCCACCAAAACTAACAGGTCAACGAGTGACCTCTGGCCATCTCACTACTACACTCCCACCAGCACCATGACAGTTTACAAATGCGATGACAATGTCAAGAAGTTACCCTATATGGTCAAAAAGGGGAGGCATGAATGATCCACCCCTTGTTTAGCATATAATCAAGAAATAACCATAAAAATGGGCAACCAGCAGCTGCTCTGTCTACAGAGTAGTCATCCTTTTATTCCTTTATTTTCCTAATAAACTTTCTTTCACTTTACTCTATGGCCTTTCCCTGAATTCTTTCTTGTGCAAGATCGAAGAACCCTCTTTTCGGGTCTGGATCTGGACCCCTTTCCAGTAACATTACCTCTTATTGAACACCTACATATGCCTGTTGTCTTACAATGACACTTTGCATAAATTCACTCTGCTCCTAAACAATTGTGCAAGATTAACATCAATTTTCCCACTCTTGAAGTAAAGAAACTGAGGCCAAAGGAGATTAAATTTCGTGTCTAATATCACACAGTGGATAAAGGCTGAGTCATACTTTAATCCAGTTTTATCTGACATCAAAGTCCCTACTGGTTCTACTACATTAAGCTGGCTCCAGTAGAGGATTATAAGTCAGTGTCCACAAAGGAAGTCTACCTAAACCAGACCAATGGGACCGTGAAAGGCTTCAGGGAGACACTAATGCTGGAACCAAATCTTGGAATATCAGTATATTTAAATTTACATGTATTTATAAATTATAAGGTCTTGCTAGACAGTTCAAACTAAAGAAAGATATAAGGCAAAAAGTAAAACCTCTTCTCTGTCCTCCCTCACAGCCAGCAAGTCTAGCAACATACTTCAGAGGTAACCATTGTTAGGAATATTTTGTACCTATTTCCATTTTCTCTACCTACTAAATCCTTGCAAAATTTGATTTAAACTTAAATTATGTATTAAAATCAAATGCAAAACATATTTCAATTGTGTATTAAATTTTAAAACTCATGGTACAGACCATTATTTGTTTTTTTAAGAAAATGCATTAACATCTTCCCACATTAGCATCAATGGCTACATAGTATTTCATTGTACTGAATTTCACAATTTAATTTTTAGGTGAACAGATTCATTCCCATTTTTTAAATTTGCAATTACAAACAATACCACAAGTAGTATCCCTGTGAACCCACACGTTTTCCGTGCACTTATAAACAAAAGGACACATTCCAAGAAAAGGAATTCAGAGTTGTGTTTAATAAATGACAACTATGGCTAACGTGTGGAGGATGGACTTGGAGTGAGTAGAATTCTGAGGCTGAAGGACCAGTTAGGAAGCATAGGAATTGTGGGTAGGACAAGGAGAGATAAAAATATCAAGAGCAGAAGTGGGTTGTACACATGAAATGTGGCATCAAGATTGTGGAGAAAGACCTGAAACAAACCTTTCACTTCCCTCTTCCTAACTACCACCCACCTGTACACTACACACACACCCCTAACCTAAGTACAATCCTCATCTTCTAATGAGTACTCCTCACAAAATTCTATGAATTTTAACCCTTTTAGGTCTCATAATCCACCCCCTATAATGGAGGACAGGGCAGAAGACTTTAGAAGCCCAGGAGAGGTCTCCAGGGAGCCTATAAAAACACAATTAGAGACAATGTCCTGTAAAGCAGCTGATCTTGGATGATCCAGATTTACACTAACAAAATAAACACACTTCTAAAATTACAATGGAAAATTATCATTTTTCTTATGCCAACTACATTTATAGGAGTGATGGGGGTGATTAACAGAATTTAAGTGGAGGCAGATAGAAAAAAAAAGCCTCTTCTTATGCCACCCCCACACTCCATATACATTATCCAATATGATAAAACTTTTCCTGCATATTGATGTGAGATGAGAAAGACTAAGTCAAAACATTATAGTTTTCTCTTTTTTTAAAAAAAAAAGCAAAACCCAACATAACACAAAACGTAATCAAATCTCAATAGCTCCCTCTGCTGTCCTTTTGTGTAATTTTTTGTTTTGTTTTATCTTTTTGTAATTATTCAACTAGGAGCCACATTAAGCTGGGTAGTATAGAAGAGTAGTTGATTAAATGCTTACCACTCTATCTAAAAGTGGAGGCATCACTCCTGTGTTATGACTAATGACCATTTTCTGGTCAAACTTTCTTTTCCTATATGGTAGGTATAGAGGGATTTAGAGTGATTAGATTTCTGAAAAGTTCTATATATACTTTAATAACAAGGAAACATCAACCTCTAAAAACCAGACTAATTTTTAAAAATAAAACTTTTAAGTTTCACCTGTCTAGACAATCTTGGACATGTGAAAGCTGAAAAGCCAATGGCTTTGAAAAGGATTTAGAGGATCTACAGTTGAACGCAGAAAAAGCACTAGCAAATTTAGGGAAAAAAGCAAGTTCTTCTGCATGAGGACAGCCAGGACTCCTAGAAAAAGAGGGGCAGGAGCAAAAACTAACACAGTGAAGGCTTCAAGATGGACTGGGCCGGCCAGGCACAGTGGCTCACACGCGTAGTCCCAGCACTTTGGGAAGTCTAGGTGGGTAGATTGCCTGAGGTCAGGAGTTCGAGAGAAGCCTGGCCAACATGGTGAAACCCCGTCTCTACTAAAAATACAAAACTGGCCTAGCGTGGTGGTGCACACCTGTAATCCCAGGTACTTGGAAGGCTGAGGCAGGGGAATCGCTTAAACCCGGGAGGTGGATGTTGCAGTGAGCAGAGATCAAGCGTGCACTCCAGCCTGGGCAACAACAGTGAAAGAAACTGCATCTCAAAAAAGGGAGAGGAGGGGAAGGGGGAGGGGGAGGGGAAGAGGGGAGGGGGGAGGGGGAAAGGGGAGGGGAGGGGAGAATGATGGGCTGGGCATGGTGGCTCATGGCTGTAATCCCAGCACTTTGGGAGGCAGGCATTATCACTTGAGGTCATGAGTTCAAGACCAGCCTGGCCTACAGGCTGAAACTCTGTCTCTACTAAAAATATAAAAATTAGCCAGGCATGGCGGTGCACGCTCAGCTACTAGGGAGGTTGAGGCAGGAGAATCGCTTGAGTCTGGGAGGTGGAGGTTGCAGTGAGCCGAGATAGCACCACTGCAGTCCAGTCAGGGTGACAGAGCAAGACTCTGTCTCAAAAAAAAGAAAAAAAGATGTTATGCATTGTGCATTTTTGTTCAATTCTCTGATCAATTCTGAGTAAGGATGTTTCTCATTTTAGAAATAAGAAAAATGATAGAGGCACTTAATTGTTGGGTCAGTCAACAACTAAATACGAGTTGAGTATTCCTTATTTGAAATTCTAAACACCAGAGTGTTTCAGATATCCAATTTTTTTTGACTTTGGAAGATCTGCATTATATTTACCAGGTGAACATCCCTAATCCAAAAACCCAAAATCTGAAGGGTACAGATTTAGATGAGCTTCACATTGAAGTAGGAACTAGAAAATCAGGGCTTTTTTGAAGTTCTGATTCTCTCACTCATTTGGGAAAGTTATAGCCTTCCAGGCTGTTTCTTCATCTATAAACAGGAAGATGAGATTAAATGGCCTGCATAGGTCCTTTCCAGCACTCTATGATCTCAGAGTAA
This sequence comes from Homo sapiens, assembly GCF_000001405.40. Lineage (NCBI taxonomy): Eukaryota > Metazoa > Chordata > Mammalia > Primates > Hominidae > Homo > Homo sapiens. Next base: position 63,220,807 of record NC_000008.11, on the reverse strand, counting down.
ATCACACTGTATTCCTCCCCCTTATCTGACCCAGAAAAAGTCTGGTTTAAATGAGAGTCAAAGGTAATTTTGGAAAGTAGAAAACAACGAACGAAGGGAGTGGGGGAGAGAAGGCAGCTTCACAAGAGCAGCCAAATAGAGTATTAAAGTGGAAGTGGGGATATTATCAAGCAGTCAACTTTCCCTTTGGTAAGAAAAATGTAAGTCGCATGGCTTGCTTTCAAGCAGTTACTAGCATCACCAGTTTCACAGACTGACTTCTGGCTCCCTAGCAATGAAGGCTATCATTGCAGCATCAACAGCAATGATCCATTCGTCACAACTTAAGAATGAGCTTGGAGGATAGTCAATGACTCATTCAATCAGTAGCTGTTAAGGATGCTATGTGCCAGGCAGTGTTTACAGCAATAAAGAAGACAAAGTCCCTTCCCTCAGGAATCTCAGTTTATAAAGATAAAGCCATACACAAATTAACTTTAGAAAATTTCTATGAAGTAAATAGAGAATAAGAAAATAGAGGACAGAGTTACTATTTTAGACAGTGATCAAGGACATATTCACTAATAAAGTGTGACTTTAGCAGACCCGTGCAGAAGAAAGGAAACATCTGACACAAGCAGAGAGGACAGAAAAACCCTGAGGTAAAAATGCACCTGAAAGTTTGAGGGAAGACAAGGAAGCCAGTGTGGCTGGAGCACAGCGACAGGGCAGAAGATGGGGTGAGTTGACACCTGAGAGGAAGTCAGGGCTGGTTAAAAGAGTGCTGTGTTGGACAGAGGAAACACAGTGGAGAAGAGGAATCAATGATGACAATTTCCTCTGCTTTTGTTACCTCTACCTTTGCTTGGAGTTTGATGAGTTAATAGATTAGTGGTACTGAAAGTAGAGCAGAGGAAAAAAAAAAAAAAAAAGCAGCTTTTTTTCCCCTGGGAGAGTTGGGGTTAGAATAGACAAGGAAGACTAAGGTTAAACACAAACATTTCCCTTCAGATACCAAGAATCTTCACAAAAATCCAAACACAATTCAAAGCCAATTTTGATTGTAAAACTACTCGTTATTTTTATGGGCAATGAATCACCAGATAAGGTAAGAAAATGATATGAAGCTGAAGAAAAAAAAATTCACTGATAACTAAAAGCTATGACTCAATAGATTCCAAGTAGTAGATACATTCCTTGAGATGAGATGTGATTTTATGTTAATGAGATCAAGGAAAGAGACTGGTGTGCATCTGTAGGAGGGTGGGCAGGCCTGTACATGGCAGAGTTGCCCCAAGACAGGGCTGCTCAAGTGATGCAACAGAACCACTTGGGAATACCCATTCACGTAGAGGAGCTCAAACTGCAAACAGTCCATCACCGACATGTATCAGCGAAGAGTGGTTCTCAAAGGACATCTGCAACGCCAAATTTATATTCATAATACTAAGACTTTTTCACTCGTATTCTTTCATGTGTATAGTGTTTTCCAGAGGCTTCCAAGACAAGAGATATCACAATTGAATGCAGAAGCAGAGATGAAAATCCAGCTGCTTTCTATTAAGTGAAACAATGCTTTAAAACTTTTCAGCTTTAATTTCCAATACGGGAAATATCAACTGACACAACCCACATGAACAAAAAGCTCTCTGGGCTCCTCAACAATTTGTATTTAAAGGAGTCCTGAGAGTAAGAAGTTTTGCTGCCCAACCTGTTAATAAATGTAAGATTATTATATATCATCTATCATGTAAATATTTCAAATTTGATATTAATAATTTTACTCTTAATTATCAGGAGCATACATTAACACCAGACACCTGGGAAAGTGGGTCTGAGGATCAAAACCACTCAAGAACCACTTAGGTGGTAGATGCTTATATGGGTCTATGGTGGGTCTGTGTGACACTCCTGAATTGTGTTTTGAAAAATAGACCAAAAATGATGAAACACCTGAGGTTTTCCTTGAAAATGGCAAAAGCTGCGACTTCTTTGTGGAGCAGTTTCTTCACCAAACTATAAGAATGAACTAAAAGAGAAAGAGTGGCTGTGGTCTCTATGTGAATAAAACTTGACATTAATTTTTTTCAAATGTGAGCCTTTGTTGAAAAGCTGTTCAAATAACTTCTGTAACATCTTTTTTATCTGCTTGCCTATGAAAATCAACAGTGATTGAAGTGATTTATTTCTACATATATATGTTATTGACAAACTTTCTTTTTTTAATGCATGACCTTTCAAATCTTGCCTGGAAGGTAACAGGAAATTAAAATAAAACTACATAATTCCAAGATAGGTATTTAATGGTTAACTTCCTCTTCCTCAGGCAATTTTTTTTTTCCTTATTAAAAGGGAGTATTATGGAGGAATAAGTTTATACAACCTCTGAGAACCAAAACGTGCCCTTCTAAAAGAAATGGTTTACTCATGGCAAATCTCAAGACCTGACATGGTTTCAGTGGCTTTAAATTTAGACACCAAGGTTAAGTGGGGAGGCAGATAGCCTGTAATCCCTGCACCTTGGGAGGGTAAGGCAGGTGGATCAGTTGAGGTCAAGAGCTCAAGACCAGCCCGTGCAACATGGTAAAACCCCATCTCTACTAAAATACAAAAAGTTAGCTTGATGTGGTGGCACGCGCCTGTAGTCCTAGCTACTCAGGAGGCTGAGGTGGGAGGATCGCTTGAGCCTGGCAGATGGAGGCTGCAGTGAGCCAAGATTGTGCCACTGACCTCCGGCCTGGGTGACAGAGCCAGACCCTGTCTCTAAATAAATAATTAATTAAGATACCAAGACTTGATGTTGGGTTAATTTCTTCTCTCCAACATTTCATACACAAAATATTTCTTACAGTTTAGACACTTAATTATGTAAGCGTTAGCACATTATATTTTCTAAGTAGCATGAATACTTCTTTTTATTACATTTATTTACAAAGATATCATAACAGCTTATCATTACATTATGTTCACATGCAGCCACATGCAGAAGATGGTCAACTTGTTTAACGCAGAGGAAAAACGTTTTTGGATTTTAAGTGATACAAACCTATCTTAAAGATTTTAATTTAAAAGACACTTTAGTTCAATTATTTGATACAGGTCCAAGACTTTTTCTTTAAATAAGTCTGTTATTTCAACTCCTTAATACTTTTCTTCTCTGAAGCACACTTGTGATGTATCCTCTAAGTGTTCTCAGTGTAATGAGAAGTGAAAAAACACTTGCAAATTAAAAACTTCTACGTTTTTATGATTGTCCCATGGCTTTTAATCGTTTTCATCTACCTAATCAGACAACTCACCCTTACCAGGTATTTCCAAAGCAGTCAACTTAGTCTTCTTAGAAACAATTCTTTTTCCGTCACATTTTATCAACTTACATATTTAAATTTCATAACAAAACAAGTACGACTGGAATCAACAAGTTCAGAAAGAAGCACAAATGACTCTAGGAAGGCATACAAACACGAGCAAACTAGAAAATAGCTGAGATACAAGTACCAATTGTACTCTCAGCACTGGCTGCTTTCCAGCGGACACCAAGTCACTTAATCTGGCAAAGTAGTAATAGCAAACAATATATTTGTTGGGGATAGTAGCTTTAATATTAGCATGCAACAGCATTATGTTGGAGCTTTCATATTTCATGTGTAAACTTATATAATCTTCCTTTTGAATATTTACTACAATAGAATTGCCATCTAAGTTTGTGTATACCAAATACCTCTTCCCTTTAAAGTTACACAACTTCACTGAGGAAATATGGAAGTAACACATCTGCATTAGTGTTTCCATTCTGTAATGATACCAGACATAATGAAGTACTTACAATTTACTTATATATTTAAATGACACTAAATATCAAGGGGCATTTGTAATAAGCAAATCAAAATACATCTTCATCTAATTTTTACCTTTGGTTTCTTTAATTTTATTCTATTGTTTATATGTTTTCTTACCATTATTCCCCCATGTTTGCTTTCCTTTTAATCCAATCCACCTTTGGTTCTGTCATCTGCTCTAGCAGGATAAGCTCTATATTGCTATATTTTACTTGGAAAAGGCATGGCTGTCACTGAATCCTAAAAAATCTTCAATGGCAATCAATAAATTCTAAATTCTCCCAAAGAAACAAAAGAAGGTAGTTAACAACTAACTTTTGAGGGCTTGAAATGGGTCCAGGCATTGTACTAAACACTTGATAATTACCTCATTTAACCTTTCTGAAATAGGTTCTGTTATCATTCTTTCATATTTTTTAATTGACCAGAAAATTGAGGCTTAGAGTTAGTTAAGAAGTGAACCTAGGATTCCAGGATAGATCAATTAGTCTCTAAAATTCAAGGTCTTGGCCATTATATTACACAGCAGGCTCAAAAGTATTTCAAAAGAATTACATCAAAAAGCAGATGCCAAGCGATTTGGAATGTTTTTTCAAGGGAATGCACCATTCTAACCATAATATATTATGGTTTATCTCCCCCAGCTAAATCTGAATGACTGTTTCTACCTATACCATAAGATCAAGATATTTTGCTTTTATCTAAGTATTCTCTGTGACTACAACTTCAATCCCTTTAATACACACACAATTAGAATTCAAGAAATACATATAAGTCTTTAGAATTCAAGAAATATGTATAAGTAAGTCTTCATTACAATTCCTCCAATATCCGACTGCCCTGTTGAAAATGAGGGGAAAATGGGAGGGAGTGTTCTAAAAATATATAGGCAAAAAAAAAAAAAAAAAAAAAAGTGTATTGGCACACAAGCCTGCTGAACCCGGGTCACAGACCAGTAGTGTTATATGTAGCCTGCTGGTTTTGACAACACAAAACAATTCTGTAATTTTCCTATCTGAACAAATACCTTAGATAGAGAGCCCAGCAATAATCAGTGCATCACCCAGAGTCGCCATGATCCTATCCACATAAACTATCAATCCCAAGAGGTAATGCAATGTCAGAAAAGCATTCCTTGGTACCAAGAGTGGGGGATTAGGATTATTAGCTGCTGCCACTATTTCCTCCTGCTACAAAAAACAAACAGGCCTTCTCTTTCTCTTTTGCTCTAAACTTAGTATCAAAAGCATTTAAGTCAATAAGCTCCTTGGAATGGATTAAAAAATAGGGTAAACTGTTACCCTCCGTTTACAAAGGGTATGAAGGACAAATGGTATGAAGACAGATTCCTGTCTTCCCCATTAAAAATACCAGGATAAGGCCAGGTGTGGTGGCTCACACTTGTAATCCCAGTACTTTGGGAGGCTGAGGCAGGCGGATCACCTGAGGTCAAGAGTTCGAGATCAGCCTGACCAACGTGGAGAAACCCCGTCTCTACTAAAAATACAAAAAAATTAGCTGGGTGTGGTGGTGCATGCCTGTAATGCCAGCTACTCCGGAGGCTGATGCAGGAGAATCGCTTGAACCAGGGAGGCGGAGGTTGCGGTGAGCCGAGATCGAGCCATTGCACTCCAGCCTGGGCAACAAGAGTGAAACTCCGTCTCCAAAAAAAAAAAAACCAGGATAAGAGAGACCATAATTTCCTACTCAGATGTGGGCTGTGACTTCCTTCCAAAGAGTACAGTACAGAAAGTATGTGGGGGGTGGGGGGGGGGGGAGGGAGAGTAATGTTATAAAGTGGAGAAACCTAACAAACTCCTACTTCAGCCAAGTGATCAAGGTCCAACATCAACAGTCATAAAGTTGGTAGTATGTATCCTTGATTTGACGCGATAGAAATGGCACTTTACTAATGTGGTGTTTCCTCCCCAAAGCCAGTCTAAACATAAGAAAAACACCAGCCAAATTCCAAAGGAGGAGCATTCTGCAAATCTGATGTTCTGGTGCAGATAGGAGTTTTAAAACATTATCTGAGTATGCCTCAATACTATAAAGGTCATTAAAAACAAGAATGAGAAACCATCACAGCCAATAGGAACCCAAGGACACAGGACAACTAAAGGTAATGCAGTATCCTTGATGAGATCCTGAACCAGAAAATGGGTATTATGTAACAACTTACAAATTCTGCAAAAGTACACATTTTAGTTAGTGATAGTGTATACTGGTTCATTCATTTGTAAGATGTTAATAGTGCCAAGTGCAGGGTGCTGGGAACTTTCTGTATGGTCTTTGCAATTTTTCTGCAAGGCTGTACTAAAAATTAAGGTCTATTTTAAAAATACAAATACAATATGAAATGGTAGAATGTAAAAAACAACTTGGATTTCTTTGGGACACACATTATCTTGCTTCTCTTTACTAACACTTAGAAAAGATGGACATTTTGTACCACTAGACCGTAATTCACGGAAAGTGGTAGTCATATTTGATCAGTTCCAAACATTTATTTTCTGGACTATTTATTACACATACTTTGAACAAAGGATGATTATTAAAAATCATACTGGCCGGGTACAGTGGTTCACGCCTATAATCCCAGCACTTTCGAAGGCTGAGGCAGGAGTTCAAAACCAGCCTGGGCAGCAAAGGGAGACCCTATTTCTTTAAAAAAAAAAAAAAAAGAAAGAAAGAAAGAAAAAAAAAGCATGTTTGGAAACCAACATGTTATATATGTATATATAACATCACTTTCAAAAAAAACTCACCATTGCTAGAATAAAGCACAGCCTACAAAGCTACCTATTTAAATCATAAATTATAAAATATCAGAACTGCAAGGAACTTTAGATGCCTTCTACTCCCACCTCCTGATTTTATTAATATGGATACTTACAATAAAAGAAATGATTTGATCAGTGTTGAGCCTACTGTTGGAAATAACTACGTCTGGTCTTTCAACTCTGAATACTAAAATCTTCCCCCAGACAGTAATTCCATTCTGGTAATAGATGGGTCTCTTAGAAATATCTAATACTGTTTTAAGTAACATTCTAATATCTAAATCTTTAAGCGTGTTCTATGAAGGAAAAAGTATGGTGGCAGAAGAAGTGGGGAATCCTCCAGTGTTATTAACCCTGCATTCATAACCTTCCTTAAACACTAAGCTTTACAAAAACAATTTTTCATTTACATTTAGTCCTAACGTTATAAAGGTAACTAAACTTATAAAGGTGATAAGTTCTGAATTTGGTGCACTATTTACAAATAAACTACATTTAAACTGCCACTACTTATGGGTTACATATATATATATAGAGAGAGAGAGAATTCTTTTTCTCACTATTGCACCAAGAGAAATGAGGAAAGAATACATCAAGATTATGCAATGGCAAGTACTGTGATTAGAAAGTAAAGATAACAACTTTGGTCAGTTAACTTCTGACTGCAAGAATATGTTGGTTCATAGACTAGAATCAGTAAATCCAGTATCACTAAGCAACATAAAGCCAAGCCAAATTAGGCCCCAACTATGACTGACTAGCCTCAATTTTAATATGCTGATGAGCCATACACCCTTGCTCTCTCTAGATGACCAGTAGTAAAAGGGAGGATTCTGATGCTGCTGCAGTGTAGGCACCTGGAGTGATTCTTTAAGCTTGTGCCCGCGTCACAGGCCAGTAGTGTTATATGTAGCCTGCTGGTTTTGACAACACAAAACAATTCTGTAATTTTCCTATCTGAACAAATACCTTAGATAGAGAGCCCAGCAATAATCAGTGCATCACCCAGAGTTGCCATGATCCTATCCACATAAACTATCAATCCCAAGAGGTAATGCAGACAATGTCAGAAAAACATTCCTTGGTACCAAGAGTGGGGGATTAGGATTATTAGCTGCTGCCACTATTTCCTCCTGCTACAAAAAACAAACAGGCCTTCTCTTTCTCTTTTGTTCTAAACTTAGTATTAAAAGCATGTAAGTCAATAAGCTCCTTGGAATGGATAAAAAATAAGGTAAACTGTTACCCTCCCTCTGATTAACTGCTCTGTTTAATTTAAAGTCAACCAGAAGGAGTGATATAATCTATTTGTACGTGAAAGATATGTCAATCAGGAAATCCATAACAGAGTAGGCAAAAATGTTACGTTTTCTGGCAAGCAATACATATTCATGAAGATAAAATGGAAAGAACACAGATATGAGTGAACAATTTTTATTGAAACCCTCAAAGATTAAAGAGGACCAAATGGTGAGTTTGGGTACCATAACAGAAAATCTCACCTAACTGTACCATCATTCACAGGAATGAACAAACCCAAACACGACAAAATTCAAATTCTCATGTAATTGCTACAAGTGAATGTAAATGAACTAATCATTTTATCATAACCTTCCTTTAATCATACGAAAAAGGGAATTTACATGGCATAACAAAAGATATGCAAAACTTAATGAAAACACAATTCTCTTAAATTTCTTAAACTTATTTTTAAAGGATGCAGAATGCACTTGAAATGATTAAATGACTTAAGCTGATTCATTTTTTTTTATTGCAAACTGTTTTAACATCAGCTTAACCCCCATGCACGGTATTCAAAAAGAACACAGCTTTCGAATTAGAAAGATCACTTAAATTAAAAAGAGAAATTAAGTACTAAAATTAGGAAAACGCTGGATTTCTTTTGAAAGGAATCTTCAAGTACCAATACGTATAGAGAAATACTAATTTTGGTTACAGTTTCCTCCTTACTGTTAAATATACAAACTATAATACCTTTCAAAATAAAATACCCACATAAGATAGCTTTAATAAGAAATATTCAAGCCAGAACTTGGAAAAACATTAAGCAAGAAATTTACTGGGCTGATAATGTCTTAATTTGTGATCATTCAAACATTTGATGATGTGTCTCCTCTTGTAGACCCCAGGCTCTCTCCCTTTTGGTCCCCACAGTTAAGAGACATTCAGTTGGTTGTGCTTGAGACAACCTGTGATAATTTCATTCAGAGGAAAAATATTTTGCAATATAATGACAGACCAAGAAGGAAGAGAAGGTGGGTGCTCTGGAGAAAACTTATATGAGAAAAACACAAAATTATCACTTGAAAATAAAAAGATTTTTTTTTCCAAAGGAATGCTGCACCCATTTCACTTAAGATTAGAAATCCAGGTTAAAGGCACTGGGATGTACTCCTCACCATGAATAGACTCTCAATTACATTTATTCGCATGTCTGAGTCTATTGCAATCAGCCTGCTTGCTGAGTGCTTCCATGACACTCTTACATAAAAACCTAATGTAAATTAAACATGTTTGAAACCGTTTATAATGTAACTAGTTTTATAAAAATATCCAGAGTTGCTAATAAAGCACCAAGAAAAAGAGAACCTCAGGGGGAGGACTCAGATCCTTCCTACAAGGTCACCCTTTTATAATATTCTCTAATAGGACCTCCAGAATGACAACAGTCATCTTTGACATGTCCTACCTAGATAATCTTAGGGATGTAGAACATTGCTGTGGTGACTATACCCAAATGCCACTTTTCATTATAAATAGTTAAGAGACATGTTACAAGATTTCATGGCTTACTCTTAAAAAGGTAAAATAGGTGCAATTTTCCTTTAAGAAAGTCTTTATTTTATAATATACCATTAATATTTTGATGTTCCCTTCAGTAAACACTGATATAACTACACTGGGACTACCGAAGAACTGTGTAGTAGCTATGGTTATCTACAAATACTGTATTTTTTTCACTTGAATACAGTATTTGCACATTTAAAAAAAACATTGTACAAAATAAAATTATATAAATGAAAGCCTCAAAGAAATATCCATCACTAGGTCTTTGAGCTGAAGTGACCAAAGACCACAGTAAATGAAAACATTTCTAAACATGATGTAAACATAAATGAAGTAATGCAAAACATCAAGGTATTCAAATCTACTGTATTGCTATTTTCACCCTTAATGTATCTTTCTACATAGCTTTCTCCTTTTGGAACAGTAATACATGGGGCAGTACATTATTTTCATAACCTTATGCCATCAAATCAATTAATACAGATGCTTGACACATTTAATTATACAAAATCAATTTGCTTCAAGATACAAAATTAATGTTGATATGTAATTAATGAAAAAAATAAGATGTTAAAAAGATAACTATAAGAATATCCAGATATATGCTGTATTCCCACTTATATAGATCTGATCAATAAAACATCAACACATTCACTTAGATACTGATTTAATCCATGGATCAAGGCCATATTTTCAAAGTATTTTAAGGATGCCAGGACACTGCAAAAGCTGGAGAAAAGAGCTGAGGAACAACATATGCTTGCTAAACAAGAACTATGTTTATTTAGCTAGTGAATACCTAGAGTAATAAATTTTTACTTCATGATAGCAATCAGGCTCGCAAACACCCAGAAATAGGAATTAAGGGTTTTAAATGTAGTTATAAAGGTCATAAAAAGTCTGATTAGACTGAGGTACATTTACTCAAAATTTTGAGATTCATTAAGTGGTAGCAAACAAAATAATTCCTCAGACAAATGCACATTTTTCAGTATACATATTAATGGGGGGAGGAGGGAAGAAGAATGTGCATTAACTGGTGAAATCCACCAAGCTGCATATCAATATTCTGTTACACCAAACAGTTTGAAGACAAGGGAAATGTTCTAATATAATTTCAGATTATGTTTCATTTGGCTAAAATAGAGCTTAAGGTTGCTTTGCCATATTAAAAGTTTACTACAATAATTTTTCACATCAACATTTAGACTTGAACTCCAGGACTAAATATGGCATGATTATTTTGCTTTTAATCTGTCAAATAGCTAAAAATCGACAATTTAAAAACTACAACAAAGAAAAAGTTGAAGCAGTGTGACTCTTACATCATTGAACCACTTCTAATGGTTAACTGTTAGTATTTAACAAATTCAAAGAGTTAATGAATCCTTGCATTCATTCAGTCTTCTGTGCCTTAGCTAGGATGCATAATTACAAAAGACAGCAGATACTGGTAAAAGCTTCAGGACAGAAAGTGCTTGACGAAGTTACAGTTCTCAAGTGTGTTTGGTGAAGAGTATAAGGGCAGATGCGCTGATGAAAACCATTACGAGAAGAGTCAACTTTGTGTTAAAGTGTTCAAAGATGTCACCTTAAGCAGAAAAGAGCTTTAATACGTCTTCTTTGACTTATTAGGCATTTCCAGAGTCTACATCGTTAGTGTTGTAAATTTAACAGGACATCTTCATACGGTTATTGTTTGTTTCTATTTCTCTCCTGAAAAAAAAAAAACACACACACACAAAAAGAATTACAATGAAAAACTCTCATTATTTAAAGATTTAAACTATATGCACATATAATGTAAATCATCTCCATATAAAGTTCAAGTACTAATTCAAGTAATTAAAAACAATTGATAATTACCTCTATATACCATAGTGAGATTATTACCACAAAACATTTTACATAAAGAACTCTCAAACACAAAGACCTATTTCAGGAGAGTATAGATCCTCTCCACATCCCTATTGTTTGTTTATGATGAGAATATAATAACATCTTTTCAGTCCTTTCAAAGAGTTTTTCATCTTGAGGTGTCAAACAGACTAAAAGCTATTGGCTGAGGTAGGGGCAGGAGAAAAAGGTTAAAAGTTACATTAAATTGCAGTACAATTGCATTCAATGAAGATTTCAGACTAATAAAAAAAACTTTAAATCACAAAGAGAGTATCTTACACTCTCTCTTTCAGCACACGATAGATAACTTTTCACATTAAAAAGTAACATGAGGCCGGGCGCAGTGGCTCATGCCTGTAATCCCAGCACTCTGGGAGGCCGAGACAGGTGGATCAACTGAGGTCAGGAGTTCAAGATCAGCCTGACCAACATGATGAAACCCCGTCTCTACTAAAAATACAAAAATTAGCTGGGCGTGGTGGCGGGTGCCTGTAATCCCAGCTACTGGGGAGGCTGAAGCAGGAAAATCGCTTGAACCCAGGAGGTGGAGGTTGCCATGAGCCAAGATGGCACCATTGCACTCCAGGCTGGGCAACAAGAGCAAAACTCCATCTCAACAACAACAACAACAACAACAACAAAAAAGATGAGTGTTAGACAAATTCAGTCGAATGCTGGCTTATAACATAATTGGGAGAAAAATTATAATTCCTATCTTAAAAAGCAAAAACTACTTGAACAAAAGTTAAACTGAGTTAAACAATGTTTATTAGAAATCAAGTATTTATCTGTAACACTTCTGATGAAAAAAATGACTAGCATTGTACATGCCTATCAACTGAACACATCAAGTAGTTTGTACAACCTTGTTTTAATGTGTAACTTAGTGGTTCTAAAACAAGTATCAGAGTCACCTACCTGGATGGCATGTCTGGGCCCCAGAGGTCTGACGTGGAACCTAAGAATCTGAATTTCTAACAAGTTCACAGGTGGTTCTGGACTGCTGGTCCAGACACTGCACTTTGAAAACCACTGGTGTTTAACACATTAAAAGACTCTCACTTTGCTTTTGCTACTCTCATTTTATTTTTGCATGAGTAAAACATGTTCTGTAACAAATATAAATCGTATTTTGCAAGTGGTCAATTTAGTTTTCCATCCTCTGTGACACCACCTAAAAACTGCATTGTAAATTTCAAAGAGAACCTCAGTTCTCTTTGTTACTAAAAGTCCTTTCTTTTTTATTTTAATACATTCCTGGAACTTGAAGAGCATTATTTCATACATAAAGCTAACAAAAGAAATGTCCTACTACATAACTATAAATGAAACTATTTCATAGACTAACGAGTATCGGTGAGATACATTGAAATGGAAGACTAAAATAACAAAAACAGAGCTAGCTAGATTAAGTACATTTCAAGAGAGTAAACAAAAACAAAAATCCCACCATATCAGCAAAAGAAGAAAAGATAAAACAAGGATTTGTACCATGAAGCTGTAGTTTAATTTTACAAAGGTCCTGCAACTTTTCACAAACCAGTTGAAACATAAAGAAAGTTTAATTCACTGCTAAAGGAAATAAATAGCTTTGGATGAGAAATTTGGAAGCACACTCTAATAAGCTAGATACAAAATACATAGAGAAATTAAGTAAAAAGATGTAAGGGCAATCTGCTCATTCTCCCCATAAAATAAGTGATCAAAACTTAGAGAAATTTCTCAACTCCATGAAGAGCCCTAGAAACTACAGGAAAAAAATGCAACTCTTCTTAAGGGTAAGTCAGACAAAGAGTAGTTTAATGCCAGTGAGATGATCGGTTGTAACAATGAGGACCACATGTTATGCTGTTTCAGTTTGAATTGTAATCAACTATGTACTTTAAATGAATCACTAAAATATATAGATTACATAGATAATACGTCTATATATATAATGCATAACTTCCAACTCAATGGACAAGGGGAGAATAAAGAAAATACCCCAAAAGGACAGAAAAAGAATGAGTTTGAAAAAAATCTAGATTAGAAAGCACAAAATAAGAGGGTAGAAATAAACATTTGTATCATTTACACGTTTAAACTAGGAGTCACAATAAATGTAGGCCCATCAATGAAACCACCAGATACCGGCAAAGGAAACTTTAAAATCCCATTATACATAATTTATAAGAAATAAACCTAAAACTTAAGGAAAAGGAAGTTAAGACTAATAGAGACATACAATAACACAAAGCAAATGAAGACTCATACAACTATACTAATATCAGACAGTGGACTTAAAGTCAAAACCACTGTTGGAGACACAATGGTCACAACATGCTACATAACAGTTTTTGAAAAGCTGTAACAATACTAAACTAAAACTACAATTTTAAATATATTAGTAAGTTGTCAAGTACAAGGAGAAGCTGACATTTTTAAGAGAGCAGGAGAACTTAACACATTTACACATTAGCAAAAATACAGATTGAGTATACAGAATACAGAAAACTGAGACAAATAATTACAAGGTACATATTTTACCAAGGTATACAATGAGCAACTATCAAGTGAATCTTAGTAAATGTCAAAGAATTAGTACACAGATCACATTTCCTGACATCAATTTTGGAAACAAAACAGATAACAAGGAAAAAAACCCATGTTTGGAATTTCTAAAACACGGTTCTAACAGTCTCCAAAACATCATAATGGAAATTAGAAAAGAGAAACAAACTTAAAAGCTGAAGTTTTAGAGGGAAAAAAAAACAATAGAAAAGTCTCTGAAATTACTGATTTTTAAAAAATGAAGTCTAGATATCACGAACACTTATTAGTATTATTAGTAAATGAAAATGTTAATCATGCTAATATGCCAATAAATCTGAATGTTAAAGACAAAAAATTTAAATCATAATTAAAGACAACTTTAATTAGTAACTTTAGTAGAGTTACTAAGAAGTGCCTGGATTCAGTATATATTTGAAAGCAAAGCCAACAAGACTTACTGCTGATGGATTAGATAAGGGGTTAGAAAGAAGTATCAAGGATGAGCCCAGAACTTTTGGCCTAAGCAACTGAAAGGAGAGTGGTATCATACCCTCTCCCCTACTAAGATGAATGAAGTTTGGAGCAGGCAAAAGAACAGGAGTTACAGCCAGGCACGGTGGCTCACACCTGTAATCCCAGCACTTTGGGAGGCTGAGGCAGGCGGATCACCTGAGGTCGGGGGTTCAAGACCAGCCTGACAAACCCCGTCTCTACTGAAAACACAAAATTAGCTGGCTATGGTGGCACATGTCTGTAATCCTAGCTACTCAGGAGGATGAGGCAGGAGAATCACTTGAACCCGGGAGGCAGAGGTTGCAGTGAGCCAAGATCGCGCCATTGCACTCCAGCCTGGACAACAAGAGCGAAACTCCGTCTCAAAAAACAAAACAAAACAGGTACACTAAATTTAGGCTGCTTATGAGACAACTAAATAAAGATGTCAAATAGGCAACTGGATACATGAGTTAGCAGATAGGAGAAAAGGGTCCAGATGGAATACAAATTTGAAAGTCCACAGTGCATGGTAAAAAGTCCATCAACAGAACACAAATCCTCCAAAAGTTAATGATCCATTTTTTAAGAACCTCTGCTTTAAGACCAAAAAAACCCCACATTTATATCAGCAAGGTGGACTGTGCCTGACAGTGTTACTATTAAAATATTTTAACACAATATCTATGGGCATACTATCAGCTACAGACCACTAGAAGTGTGAGACTAAGAAATGATGAGCTACCGGGTGCAGTGGCTCACGCCTGTAATACCAGCACTTAGAGAGGCCAAGGCAGGTGGATCACCTGAGGTCAGGAATTCAAGAACCACCTGGCCAACATGGGGAAACCCTGTCTTTATTAAAAATACAAAAATCAGCCAGGCATGGTGGCATACACCTGTAATCCCAGCCACTCAGGAGGATGAAGCAGGAGAATTGCTTGAACCCACAAGGTGAAGGTTGCAGTGAGCCAAGATTGCACCACTGCACTCCAGCCAGGGCAACAGAGCCAGACCCCATCTCAAAAAAAAAAAAAAAGAAAGAAAAAGAAAGAAATGATGAGCTATCAGTGATATCATTAACTTTTGATGTTATTATAAAATGAGGTACTGTATAGTTAACATCATAATTACATGTACTGGTATGTTGTTGGAAAGTAACTTGAGGATAAAGGAAACCTGAATTACACAAAAATAGCCATGATCCCATACACCCGGAGAAGGACTAAGTCCCTAGTTATAGTTTAGAAAAAGACGCTTTAGACAGATTCTGAAATTTGAGGGCTGAATCTCTTGAGGAAAAACTGAGTAGTACAGGGCTTCTTCCCCACCGTGAACTAAGCAAATACAATGGACACCAGCAAGGATCCTAGAGCAAAGACTGGAATTTGTCATATGGAAATGAGCCCAGAAGGAAGTTTACTGCCAACTCCTGTCTTTTTCACAGAGGTTAACAAATGAGCTAAGACCCCTAGTCTTCAAACTATGAAACAGGCTGAAAACCAAGACTTTCTTCAATGTCCTAAGAGGAGCCTACCGCATGCCCTTAACAAGACAAGACAGATAAATGACTTATTTTCCTTGTAATCTTCGGTAGATTTATCACCATTAGCAATATTTCGGTAACCAGATCTGAGCCTAAATGAGCCACAAAGGAAAAAGTCACTGTGTATCTAAAAGGCCATAGCATTCAAAAGGAAAAGAAGAATAAACACTGAGAACATAAATAACAATAAAACAGAACTGCCGAAGAAGGCAGTGAACATCTGAAAAAAGAAGCAATCAGACACTTGCTATGAAATGCAACAAACAAGCCAGGTGCGCGGTGGCTCATGCCTGTAAGCCCAACACTTTGGGAGGCCAAGGTGGGAGGATCACCTGAGGTGAGGAGTTCGAGACCATCCTGACCAACATGGAGAAACCCCGTCTCTACTAAATAATACAAAATTAGCTCGGTGTGGCGGCGCATGCCTGTAATCCCAGTTACTGGGAAGGCCGAGGCAGGAAAATCGCTTGAACCCATGAGGTGGAGGGTGCGGTGACCCGAGATCACGCCATTGTACTCCAGCCTGGGCAACAAGAGCAAAACTCCGTCTCAAAAAAAAAAAAAAAAACAACAAACACACAAAAAAATTTGTAGCTAAGAATCTTGATTTTCAAATTGAAAAAATCAGTAGATTAATTAAGGGAGAAATGGTCGCTGCCTCATTTGTGGAGTAGAATATTAAATCCAAGAAATATCTCACATCACAGAGCAAGAATAAAGAAATGGAAAGCACAAAGAAAAAAAAATGAGAGGATAGATCCAAGACAAAAATGAATATTCCAGTAGAAGAAAAAAGAACAAACAGAAGGGTGACAAACAACAAAAAATGTCACAAAGTCTTTGATATTCCTCTTTGCGGTAGGTGGGGCTTGATTTCCTCAAGTGTGGGCTGCACAGTGCATGACTTGCCTCTAGGAACAGAGTACACAAAGGGAATAACAGAACATTTTATGGTGGAGAAACCTAGCAGACACCACTTTAAGCAATCGAAGTTAAGATCACTAGTAATAAGATATAAGATGAGATGAAGAGGATACATCACTTCTGTGGTATACTTCTCAAAAATCCATAACCCCCAGTCTAATCATGAGAAAGTATCAGCCAAACCGAAATTGAGGGATATCTTACAAAATACCTGACAAGTACTCTTTAAAAATGTAATGGGAAACAAAGCAAGACGGAAAAACTGTAACAGCTTAGAGAGTAAGGAGACATGACAACTAAATGCAACGTTAGTGTCCAGACTAGATCTTGAAAAAGACATTAGTGAGAAAACTGGGAAAATGTGGAAAACCTCTGTAATTTAGTTAATAATATTGTACCAATGTTCATTTCTTAGTTTAAATAAATGTACTATGATTATGTGTTAATATTAGGGAAAATGAATAAAGAATATACAGAAATTCCCTGTAATCTCTGAAACATTTCTGTAAATATAAAATTATTTCAAAATAAAGTTTTTTAAAAATCACTAAATTTAGTAAACTATAACTTGCATACAACTACCAAATAACAAATACCATATGGCAGAAATATATGTGTGTGTGTATATATATTCTATAAGGTATTACTATTTTAATGGTTGTCCTGCTTATCCTTATTGTTTATGAGGATAAAAGTGTTACTGAAATTTCACCCAAAAGTTTAAAGCCAGGGAATATATCAGACTGCATTTTTTTTTTTTTTTGAGACAGAGTTCACTCTTGTCACCCAGGCTGGAGTGCGGTGGCACAATCTCGGCTCACTGCAACCTCTGCCTCCCAGGTTCAAGCGATTCTCGTGCCTCAAGCCTCTCGAGTAGCTGGGATCACAGGCGTCTGCCACCATGCTCAGCTAATTTTTGTATTTTTAGCAGAGATGGGTTTTCACCATGATGGCCACGCTGGTCCCAAACTCCTGACCTCAGGTGATCCGCGTGCCTTGGCCTCCCTTAGTGATAGGATTACAGGCACGAGCCACCGTGCCCAGCAGACTGTATTTTAAAATTAAGAAAAGAATAAAAAACACCGTGTGCGTGTTTCAAGAAAAGACGATGTTCATAAACGAAGAATGAAATTAAAACATCTAATAGATTCAATTCTTTAGGAAAATTAATGACTTACCAGGAATGAAATCTGCATAGGTGGCTGATAGGTCTAAAAAAATTCATGCTAAAGAGTAGAACAAAGGCCAGGTGCGGTGGCTCATGCCTGTAATCCCAGCACTTTGGGAGGCTCAGGCGGGTGGCTCACCTGAGGTCAGAGGTTTGAGACCAGCCTGACAAACATGTCAAAACCCCGTCTCTACTAAAAATACAAAAAATTAGCTGGGTGTGGTGGCGGGCACCTGTAATCCCAGCTACTTGGGAGGCTGGGACAGGAGAATCGCTTAAACCCAGGAGGCGGAGGTTGCAGTGAGCCAAGATCGTGCCATTGCACTCCAGTCTGGGCAACAAGAGCAAGACTCCATCTCAAAAAAAAAAAAAAAAGAGTAGAACAAGGGCAGTAACAGATGGATAAAACCCCAGCTGCTCAAAAGCCTGCACATATGTCCACCTTTAAAGTGCTAATAATACTTAGATAAGCTTCTAGCATGCACTGTCCCAAGAAAAGGACGGATCCTTTGGCATTAAAAAAGCAAAAGACAAAACTGTAAAGGAAACAAACCAATTCTGCACTGTAAAACTAATTTCAAAACTATATAGTTATCAGGGGAAAGGACAATCATTATGTTTTGGGGATGGAGAGGTTCTGTTTGGAAATCCACTCTTCAGATTTCTTAAACTTACATTTACATTTTAATGAGGCTCTAGCATTGCAAAATTATCCAGAAAGGAAATAAACATTTGGCTTCCTAAGTAGACTGAGTTCTAAAAAGGGTCATTTATCTTTGGTGGCTTACGGTACCCTTTATTATTTATCTGTTGAATGAGGGAACACAGTTAAGAAAAGAACATGCAGGATCTAAATATATGGTGGCATAGGTTGATTAGAATACAAGATGTGTGCTGGGAGAAATCTCAGGAAAAAAGACCTGGTAACAGAGGCTCTTAAAGTCAAGCAAAGGAATGCATATGCAATTCTATTTGGGATGCCAAACTTTGGGCTCTTTTTGAGAAAATAAAAATAATTATTATATTCTAGACTGTCTTTCACATGCAGAATTATTCACTAATAGCTTTTATAGCCTAGTTCTCTAATTGTAGATTTTCACTATGCTTTTTTAATTCCCTCAAGTTATTTCTAATTCAGCACAAAGTATATCAAGCGCGTCAAATGCAGCCAATACCAGAGTTGAATCACCTTTCAATAAATTCAGAACTTTCTGCCACCAACAGTGAAGTCAATTTCACTCAGAAATTGGAGTGCAATGTAAAGTTTGGTGAGGATTCTCTACAATGAAAATGATTAACTCAACATCTGGTAAATTATATTTATTAACTAGAGACCAACAGTAAGTACAATTTTATGCATGTTAACTGTTAACGAAATGAAGAAATAGTAGTAAAATAAAGGTTTTACTGGCATTCACATAATTTCCTATGTAATTGAAAACACAATGTAAATTTTTATTTATTTATTTTTTATTCTAAATATAGAGACAGGGTCTATGTTGGCCAGCGTGGTCTCGAACTCCTGGCCTCAAGCAATCCTCCCGCCTCACCTTCCCAAATTCCTGGGATCACAGGCATGAGCCACACCTAGCTGTAAATCTCTATATAAACACATGCAATGGCTTAGATATTTCTCTTACTTTTTGCAATCCTTGTTTGATTGAAGGCTTAGATATTTCTAAAGTGACACTTCAACATATCTAATTTGTATGTAACTTCCTTGCTTAAAAACTTTAAAAATGATTCCTCAATACTATCAGACTTTAGCTCCTTGAAGACAGAAATTTTCTTAATGAGCTCTATCCCTTAAGTGTCTAGCATGTTCAAAAATGCCTGCTGAATAACAATTCCTTCGACTTGTGATTCATCTTTCCAACTTTATCTCTTTTTCTGTACTGCCTCCCCTCCCTAAGTTTTGGCTATTTTCGATTACTTCAACATATCACAATACCCTAGGCTCTGAATGCCTGTCTTGACTTTATTATGAAATCCTACATATTATCATTCAAGGCCCATCTTAAAAATTCACCTTGACACCCTGAAACTCCCAATCAAAATTGTATTTGCTAGAAATAAAGATAACATGTTTTAAATTGAATAAGGCTTTAATCTAATTTTTCAGTTTACAAATAAAAATTTGAAAACCTGATAATCATAACAAACACTGCCAGACCACCATAAATTCAAATCAGGTACCATGATTTGATATAACCATATGGTCCACCCATAAAAAGGTTCAAAAGAGTTGTGGCAGGGAGTACCACAATGGTCTCTGCATTCAGGTATTCACACCCTTATAAATCCCCTCCCCTGAGTATGGCCTGGACCCAATGAGTGAATTGCTTCTAATCAACAGAATTCAGCAGATGTTCAATCCCCAGTATCTCAAATTAAAGAATAAGGAAAAAAAAAAGAAAAAAAAGAAAAAGAAATTTAAAAATTTAAAAAAAAATTCAGCCGAGGCGACAGAGTGTCACTTCTGTAATTAAGTTACAAAAGACTGTGACTTCTGTCCTGGTAGCTACTGCCTCCTCAGCTTACTCTATTGCCCTCTCAGCTTGCTCACTTTGATGAAGCAAGCCTCCTGTGGGAAAGTCCCATGTGGCAAGGAACACAGTATAGGCAGCCTCTGGCATACAGCCAAAAGGAACTGAGGCTCTTAGTCCAACAACGCTTGAGAAACTGAATTCTGCCAACAACCGTGAGTTTGGATGCAGATTTTTCACCAGCAGAGTATTCACAATGAGACCTCAAGCCCTGCCTTGACTGTAGCCTTGTGAGAGGCCCTAAAGCTGAGGACCCAGACAAGCTGTGCCCAGATTTCTGACATGCAAAAACTGTAAACTGTATGTTTTAAGCCAATGAGTTTTGGAGAAATCTATTAGACAGTCGTAAATAACTGAGACAGCAATTCACAACAGACCAAACACTATCCCTACTCATTTAATACAACAAAGGCCAAAGTACAGAGAATGGAGCTGTGATATCTTTCCCTAACTTCAACAGTATTCATGTATGAGTAGGGTAAAATACCCAGCAGATTTTTATAAATTAAAAAAAAAATGTTTAAGCCATTCCAAGAAACAGGTAAAGTCAGTTAAGCACCTCAAATGACCCTTATGGAAGAATAACTCTTATCTTCGGTAACTACAGCTCTTCATTCATGAAAAAATATTCTTTCCTTGGACACACATACCTTAAATTAAGAAACTGAATGTCACATTTAAAATAAACTATTAAACAGGAATAATTCAATAATTTATTTCTGGAAACATAAGATATTTCATATCCACCTAAGGTTAATTATATTGCTACTCAAGTTATCATGTATTTGCTGAAGAAAAAGATAAATTAAACACAGCTGACCCTTCAACAACACTGGTGTGAACTGCAGGAGTCCACTTACAACGAATTATTTCAACGAAAGAGATAAAAAAATGCAGTATTCAAGGGATGTAAAACATGCCTATATGGAGGGAGAAGCGACTGCAGAACTTGAGTATGTGCAGATTTTGGTATTTGCGGGGGTCCTGGAATAATCCCCTGTATATACCAAGAAATGACTATAAATGAAATTCTGTCCAATTTAATCACCTCACAATTATAGTATGGAAGAAGTATCTCCCAAAGATCTATGATTAACTTGATAAAGTTATCAGCATTGGAACATAACCACTATTAATAATCTGAGAAAAAATAAAAACAAATCAATATGTTAATTGAAGCACCCCCTTTCCAATTCTAACTCATAAAAAATATTTACCAAGTTCAGAATAGAGTAATACTGCAGTAAAAACTCAATCATCTTGACTATTCAAAATACCAATGTTTTTATCAAGGAATTATTTAATCAAATATGTTACATTATTTAATTAAATATGTTACATAAAAGTTTATTGTATCAAATGTGTTACATACTGGGCCCAACTTTACATTCTAGAAAAACATTCTTCAAATTTTACAAAAGTAGATTTTATATATTAAATTTGTTTCTGTTAATTATAATAAACTTTTTCATCAACAGAGAACTATAACCACAGAAAAATTTACCAAAGGGTAATAGAATACACTTCAATCCACGTTACTAAAAACTGCCAGGGAAATGTTTGCTGTTGTCATAAGTATAACTATTTTTGAAGTAATTTCTTCTATGTTAACACAAAGTTGAGTACTCTGAGATAGACCTAACATCATCTCATCTTAAAGTTATTCCAAATATGAAAAAAAATGTATCAGGCACTAAAACTTAAATCTTCAGAAATGCCCAACTTGGCCAGGCACGGTGGCTCAAGTCTGTAATCCCAGCACTTTGGAAGGCAGAGGTGGGCAGATGACCTGAGGTCAGGAGTTTGAGACCAGCCTGGCCAACATGGTGAAACCCCATCTCTACTAAAAATACAAAAATTAGCCAGCCATGGTGGCGCACACCTGTAGTCCTGGCTACTCGGGAGGCTGAGGCATGAGAATCGTTTGAATCCCGAAGGTGGAGACTGCAGTGAGCCCAGATTGTGCCACTGCACTCCAGCCTGGGCAACAGAGCAAGGCTCTGGAAAGAAAAGAAAGAGAAGGGAAGGTGGGGGAGTGGGGAGGGAAAAGGAAAGGAAAGGAAAAGAAAAGAAAGAAGAGAAAACAAAGAAATGGCCAACTATGTAACAGCATAAAGAACTAAAATACACACAAAATTCTAGAGATTTTATTATAATTATGCCTTGCTTATTTCTGCATAAACGGCAGGGCTCCATCTCTTTCTGGAGGAACAGGTAATGCCATGATTTGAAAGTTTATCTCAATGTTATAGGCAATTGAAAACTCTTAATTATTCCTATGTGGAATTAAAAAAGCAACTGAACCAAAAATAGTCTTGGATTATGTTTCCTGACTAATGAAGATTTACAAGAATGAAGGAATACAGGGGGATTTAAATGACTCACATTCACTACAACAATGGAAAAATTTCAAAAGAAAGAATCACCTCAATAGTCAAAAGTAGATTCTACTGCTATGCAGACTATTTGAATTTATACTGGACAAATATACTCAGGATTTTTATTAGTTCTTTTTCTTTTCCCTTCTATTATTCAGTTCCTCTGAGGGGTTGCCATTATAAATTTAAATAGCATACTAATACAAAAATTGCTTATCAATTCAGATGCTATCGATTCCCATTGTACATGAGTAATTTACCATATCACATTGAATATGGTATATCCCACTTCTCTTCTCCTCTCCCGTACTACAAGCCACGCTATTTTTAATTATTCCAGTGGCTGTGCTTATGATTTGAAACAATATGCTTAAGGTACCGTTCCTGATATATCTTTAAACAATTATGTTACTGTCAAAAAGATTAGACAATAAGTGATTTAATCTTCCTTAAACTCTTCCCATTCCATCTCATAACATTTTGTTCTAAATATAATTAAATCTTTTATATCCTACTGTCCATTTCTACAAATGAAAAAAACCAATAGACAGCATTTTATATAACTTCAATGATCAAGTAACAGCGATTACACCTATAAAGAAGAAAAAATTCTACACATTCATACTTTGCAAATGGGAAGAGATTCTTCAAAGCATTTCCACTTTTAACAAATGTCTACTTAAAACCTACTGTGTGCTAAGCATTTTTCTAGGTGCTAGGGATTCAGCAGAGAGCAAAGCCTGCTCTTTCAGCGGTTATCTTCCAATATGACAAAGGCTATCTAGAAATTTTATTTTTTTTTAGCTTCCTTCAATTCTCCAAGGTCAGTGGTTCCCAACCAAGGGCCCACACTGTCAGGCGTGAAGGACCATAATGCGAATTAAGTAGGCAGGATGAGATGGCCAAAAGTTCTGATCCTCTATAAACAATGCCAACCTGTGTGACATAAAATGCACATAGGGTCCCTGCTGAGAGATATTTGTTCTAGTATAACCAGGTGCTACGGGTTGTTGTTCTTTCTTGAATTCTTTTTCATTCTGCTGAAACATTTTAAGTATGGTTTCATGAACAGTACGTGGCTAAGCTCTTTTAAGTCTACACTTCTTTTACTCCCCCGACCCTCCAACCCACCTCACTGATATAATTAAACACTCATCTTTACAGGTATAATTCCATAAACCACTCCTCTCCACCCCTCTCAACCCAAAAATAAGATTTTAAATTTGAGTATCCAGGGTTATAGAATTCTGATGACAGTCTGATTCTCCTTTCTTTGTAGGTAATTTGTCTTTTACTCAGGAAGCTTTTAAAGATTTTGTCTTTGTCCTTTTTTATTCTTTTTTTTTTTTTTTAAGACGGAGTCTTGCTCTGTCGCCCAGGATGGAGTGCAGTGGCGCAATCTTGGCTCACTGCAACTTCCGCCTCCTGGTTTCAAGTGATTCTCCTACCTCAGCCTCCCGAGGAGCTGGGATTACAAGTGCCTGTCAGCACGCCTCGCTAATTTTTGTATTTTTAGTAGAGACAGCGTTTCACCATGTTGGCCACGCTGGTCTCAAACTCCTGACCTCAAGTGATCCTCCCGCCTCAGCCTCCGAAAGTGCTGTGATTACAGGCATTGAGCCACCAAGCCCAGCCTTTAATTTTTTTTTTTTTTTTTAAGAGACAGACTTCTGTCGCCCAAGCTGGAGTTCAGTGGCACAATCACGGCTAACTGCAGCCTCAACTTCCCAGGATCAAGCAGTACTCCAAACTCAGCCTCCCAAGTAGCTGGAATACTGGCACTTGCCACCACACTTGGCTAATTTTTAAATTTTTTCTAAAGGCCAGGTGTGGTGATTCATGCCTGTAATCCCAGAACTTTGAGAGGCTGAGGCGGGCAGAGCTCTAAGTTCTAAACCAACCTGGGCGACATGGCAAAATCCTGTCTCTACTAAACAAAGAAAAATTAGATGGGCATGGTGGCGCATGCCTGTAGTCACAGGTACTTGGGAGACTGAGGTGGAAGAATCACCTGAGCCTGGAAAGTCGAGGCTGCAGTGAACTTATGATCACACCACTGCACTCCAGCCTGGGCAATGGGAGTGAGACCCTGACACACACATGCACGCACACACACACACGTAAATACAGGGTCTATGTTGCCCAGGGTCACACACACACACACACACACACACACACACACGTAAATACATGGTCTCACTATGTTGCCCAGGGTAGTCTTCAACTCCTGGGCTCATGTATTCCTCCCATTCCATCTGAAAATATTTATCTGTTTTTGTTAATCATTCCTCCTTTTGATTATTGTTTCCTGTATTCTTTTAACACTCTTTCAGAGAAATACTGGAGCACCTCTCTTTCCATCACATCTTTCCCATTCTGTATTTTCATCTCTATTGCTGCACATTTGAAATTTTTCTCTAATCTGAAGTTTCAGATCATCAACTGGATCTAAAACATGACATTTTATTAATCTGGTTACTCAGATTTTTAAATTCTGATAATTATGTCTCTAATTTCCAATAACACTTTCTGGTTTTCTGTTCTTTTTACACAGGAATCCTTCCTAACAACACAAATCACAATTTTGTTTTGTATTTTTAGTTATCTTCCACACCCGGAATTACAGCTTCTTTTAATGGGGTATTGGTTATTCATTCATCAAGCTTGATTTTACTCAAATATATCAAAATTATGTTTTCAAATATAATACAAATACTAACTAGCATGGATTTCTCCGACAATTTGAAGCTTCACCAATACCCTTCACTCTAAAATAGAGGGCCTGACATTCCAAGTTTTATATAAGCAGACAGGATATGACAGGTTGGCTCCTCCACAGGAAGAGCCTTGTTGGCTGGCAAGGCAAGCCGAGGAACTCCTGTTGCCAAAATAATCAGTCAATAAAAAATATCTAGCAATGACAAGAGATGAAATTAGGTTTTTAAAGTCCTTGTTTGTTGTCATAATCAGGCTCAAGAATTTAAAGAAAAACATGAACATAGGAAGGAAATGAAAGAAAGATACGGTAACTATAGACCTCAATGTAAATTTTAGTTAAAATCTCCCCAAACTTGGGGAAAGCAGGTTAGTATAACCCTTCTAAACTTACTATTCAAAATTGTTGTAACCAAGTTAGATCCTTTACCTGATCCTAGACTGGATTCACTACTAGAAGAAAGCAATAAGCAATTCCATGGATCATCTGACAGAATATTGTGGTTATGCAAGATAATACCCTTATTCTTTCCTATAGGAAAAAAACACTATAGTTTTCTGGGGGAAAGTTATCTCAAGTGGTTCAAAAGAACCATAAAGCAGATGGGGAAGCATGTTAATAATAAGCGAATCTGGATAAAAGGTATGAATGTTTCACATATTCTTATTCCCCCCAAAATTTATTTATTTTTTTTTTACTTTTATTGTTTTTTGAGACAGAGTTTCGCTCTTGTTGCCCAAGCTGGAGTGCAATAGCACGAACTCGCCTCACTGCAACCTCTGCCTACCGGGTTCAAGTGATTCTCCTGCCTCAGTCTCCCGAGTAGATGGGATTACAGGCATGTGCCACCATGCCCGGCTAATTTTTTGTATTTTTAGTAGAAAAGGGGTTTCAACATGTTAGCCAGGCTGATCTCAAACTCCTGATCTCAGGTGATCCTCCTGCATCGGCCTCCCGAAATGCTGGGATTGCAGGCGTGAGCCACCATGCCCGGCCTCTCCCAAAAAGTTTATTTACGACCAAAAAGATGAAGCAAAAGTATAGTTACCAATACTTTCGCATCTAACTACAGTTTATTCTGTTATACTGTCTCAGGCACCAATATATTTGGCCATTTTCCTAATGATGGACATTTGAACTGCTGCCATTTTTTTGGGGAAAAAAAAAAAAAACTATTGATTGCTCCTAACATTCTTATACATGAAAGTTTCTATTAGGTATGTATCCCAGAAAACAACTGCTGAATTATAAGGTAGATTATGTTCAACTTTACAGGAAAATACAAAACTGCTTCTTGAAGTAGATTTATCAATTTAGATTCTCATTTACAACTGTGTAAGAGGTCTTGTTGATCTACAATCTTTCCAATACTTGATACTGTCAAACTTCTTAATTTTGCCAAATGAATGGATATAAAATATTCTCACTGTAGTCCTGACTCGTATTCCCTCATTTTTCGTAAGCCTTTATATTCTTATTAGCTACATGTTTTTCCTCTCATTAAATGCCTATTCACATCTTTGACTATTTTTCTATTGGTTATCTTTTCTTAAATTAATTCACAGAATTTCTATATATATTCTTTTAAAAATATATTCATTTATTTTAGAGATGGGCTCTCATTGTGCTACTCAGGCTGGTCTCAAACTCCTGGGATGAAGCAATCCTTCTGCCTCAGCCTCCTGGGTAGCTGTGAATACAGGCATGCACCACCACACTAGCTTATATACTCTTGATAAAAATCTTTAGTCAGTTAAGTTCAAATTTCTTTTAGTCTTTTAAGAAACATGGCTGCTGCTGCTTTTTTTTTTTTTTTTTTTTTTGGACGGAGTCTAGCTCTGTCACCCAGGCTGGAGTGGAGTGGTGCAATCCTGGCTTACTGCAATCCACCTCCCTGGTTCAACCAATTCTCCTGTCTCAGCCTCCCGAGTAGCTGGGACTACAGGCATGCACCACCATGCCTGGCTAACTTTTGTATTTTTAGTAGAGACAGAGTTTCACCATGTTGGCCAGGCTGGTATCAAACACCTGACCTCAAGCAATCCATGCGCCTGGGCCTCCCTCCCAAAGTGTTGGGATTACACATGTGAGCCACCATGCCCAGCCAGGCCTCTTAAACTTTCTTTAAAGCATCTTTTGATGGACAGATTTTAATCTAATCAAATGTAGCAGTCTTTTGCAATTAGTGCTGCCTCCCCCAAGGTTGAGTTTAAGAAACCCAACCTTTACCCAAGGTTTCCAAGATATTCACTTGGGGATATAGTACATCCACATACCAGAAGCTTTGAGAAATTCCAGCTAAATACATGACAGATAAGGCCATATTAAAACCAGACACTAATAATGACTTACAACTACTTTTATTTAAAAAAAAAAAAAAAGGCATAAGTAGTAAAGAAAATCCTAGTAAAATACCACTAATTTGTTCTTTTCAATGAAGTGAAGGACCTAGAATAGACAGGCAGCACATCCTTCCTTCAGCACTAAAATGACCAAAGTATTTGAAAGCAGTTATACTGGGAAGTCCAAATGCAAGCACAAGCATATCAAAGAGAAAATCAACAAATGAAAATACAAATTCTGCCTACACAAGGCTAAAAGTACCAGGAAGAAAACTGGACAAAAACACATGGTACCCTATATGCTAACCAGCTAACAAGCAAGGAAAACTGGTTTCTAACACAGTGGTTTCAAACTTAAGGGACAGTCAAATACCTAGCACAACCCATTATACTGGCTTTCCCTTTTAAATCTCCACAGGCTGGTCAATCACTTAACTGGTAAAATCAATTTACAGCATGACTCTCCCATCTCCACATTTGCAAAGAGAAAGGTATATGCAACTAGCATCCAGCAATGAAAGAAACGGGGTGGGGAGGGTAAAAGTACCCATTCTGAGACAAATAACTGAACTCAATGATTCTCTTACTGGTTCAATGACTAAACACAAAAAGCCCAAAGACAGTCCTGAAGCCACCACAACCACAAAGGATATTACAAAATTATGAGTCCAGATGAGTGGCTGTCAGGGCTTAGGCATGGGGGAAGCATGGAAAAACAAAAGGCTAGTATATAAGGGAGGGTTTGGGGGATGACGAAACTGTTCTGTATCCTAACTGATAGGGTGGTTACACAAATCTACATATGTTAAAATTCATAGAGCTGTACGCCCCCGCCAAAAGTGAATTTTATTGTATGATTTAAAAATATACATATTTTAAGTATACACAAATTCTTATAGGAGCCTTATTTACATTACCCCCAAAAGGAAAACATCCCAAATATCCTTCAAAGGATGAATGGAATAGACACAATGGTCATCCATCCATGTAATAGAAAACTACCTAGTAATAAAAAGGAACAAAGAATTGAGTTACACAACGACATAGATGAATTGCAAAGATACCATGCTGAGTGAAAGATAAACATCTTAAAAGATCATATAGTACATAATTTCAATTATGACAATATGGAAAATGTCTTATAGGGACAAACAACCAATCAGTGGTTCAGTAATGAGAGGGAGAGAGAGGGCTTGACTATAAACTGGCTGGTCAAGGAAATTTACAATTTTATTATATTTAATTTTTTTTAGAAGAAAAAAGATATAAAGTTTCTAAAAACATTAAGTACAGAAAGCAGACATAAGTTTTAAACACAGTCTTTTGTGCTCAATAAAATCAAGATGAATTCTAGGATCAAGGGATTCCATTAAGAAAACAGAGTTAAGAGGGGGAGCTGAATGTGATAATAGAAGCAAACAAATACTATCAGTGAAGAATGCAAAACCTCACAAATCACAGAAACAGCACAAATAAAATACACTGAAAAATATGTGAGCAGGAAAATTCAAATCCTCCAAATGAAGAGAAAAAGAATAAAGAACCAACAGAACTCAAGGGCAAAGATTCAACATATTTGTTGACATTAATAGAAAAAAGTGGCCTGCAGACAAAGGATTACAGAAAACAATATTCATATTGTACACGTTTTCACATTTACATTCATAATGTAAAAATAAAGAAAAATCTTTTGTGCACACACCAAAAAAACAGCTATTTACAAACAAAAAATGTAGGCTGGCCTCAGAATTTTCCATAATATAAAACCACATAACTGTAAAGCAAGGCTTATACATAGTACTTTAAGTGAAAAGGCTGTTGACTAGAAAGAATTCTATACCCAGCTAAATGGTTGCTTACATATTCTGACCAAAGACATTTTATGGATCTAAAGGCTTGCTAATAAATAATAAGTTAAACAAGGTTCAAAATAGAGCTGTCAAAGGTGGGTTAGGCATTAAAAAGGGTGGCAGCAACGTGACAAAAGAAAAACTTCAGCTGAATTAAATTTAAAGGAGATTAACTGAGCAATGAATGTGATTCACGAATCACAGAGCCAGCCAGAGTAGGCTCTGACATTCAAGCACAGCCCTGTGGTGGAAGTTTTATAGACAGAAAAAGGAAAAGTGATATACAGAAAACGGAAGTGAGATAAACAGCTGGATTGATTACAGGTTGGTATTTGCCTTATTTGAACAGTTGGCTACATTTGATTCAGCCAAAATTTGGTCACTGGCACAAGAGTAGGCTGCGGTCTGTTTATACCTCCACTTGTTATAGTTCGCCATGTACAGAAAAACCTTTAGGCTGGACTTAAAATATGTAAGGAGGCGGCTTTAGGATAAACTTTATTTAACAAAACAATGAAACAATATAAGGGTAATATTAAAGTTTAAATCACTGTTGTGTATATGGCTACAATATATATAATAATACAGCTACAATATATACCTGTCATTAAAAATTTCCTGAAACAACTACATAATATTAACATACCAAATACATTATAACAAAACCAGGATTAAATTTTCAAGTTTGGTAGAAAAAAAAAAAGACACAGAAGGGTGATTATCTCCTCAGTGGTGGGCGAAAGAAAAGTTGGTATTTCCTTGCCATGTATCCTTTGTCCTAAGTAATCTCATCCCACTTCCATGCTATTAACTGTTTAAGAACAAAAGGTCCCCAAATCTGTGACTCGGACATCTAACTGCCTAATCAGAGATTTTGCTGCCTATATTTCTCAAAGGTATCTTAAAATCAGCACAATCTAAAAATGAAGTCTTAACTTGCATCCCACCTTTCATACCTCAAATCATTTCTCCTGATGCGCTACTTGTAATGGCAGTTACAATATGACCACTTTACTTAACTGCTAAACTGAAAGACTCAGTAGCTACTTTTGATCCCATTTCTCTCATTTCTCATATTTAAGTGGGAGAAAACACAATTATATTCAGCAACCCATCTAAAAGGTTCAGCAGAGCCTTAAAGTCATTTGTATTAATTACTCCAAAGCAAAGTTTCCAACAATCCAACACAGCAATCAATAACTAGCACCAGAATCACCTGGAATGTTTATACTTAAAAAGTACACTGCAAGTTCCTTTATCAAATATACCAAGGGATGGGTCTCGAGAATCTGCAATTTCAATAAACACCCCAATTAACACTTATGTGACTTAAGGTTTGGAAACTACTGCTCTAGGGTCATTATTCCAACACCTTCCCTCTGAGGAATGTTGAAGCACTTCCCTGTGCTGCACACAACCACAAAGACAAGATATTCAGCTTCACACACAGAAACAATCACTGATTTTACATAGAGTTAAGTTACCTCTTTATCTTAATTTCTACATAGGAACAAGCATTCCATAAGAACATGCTTTCCATAGTAACAAGCATTATTTACTGGAGGAGCTTCTAACTTTACCCCTACTAAGTTTCAAAAGAAATTTAAATGTATCCCCTATAGAAAAGCCCATCCATTTTCTCTTTCCACCTAAAAATAGGACCCCAATTTTACGTTACAGTTTGGAAGAGAAAACTTTCCCTAGTTGAACTGACTCTTGTGGCCCTGTGATCAAAGTCTAGCCAATATTTGGGGGGCTAATCCCCATATGGGCCACTCAATAGGATATTTTTAAAAAATAAAAATAAAAATATTCTGGCCAATATAATACAAGGATAAACAGCATGTTTTATTTCAGGAATGTCTCCCTCAATCTTACAGAGGGTATATAACAGAATTAGGAATCAAATTCTGCAAAGCCTCTATTTTGTACAAGTGCTTTAAGTATAAAAATTATAAAAATACTTCAAGAGTTTTATGTTTTAAAAACATATTTTGCCAGGCACAGTGGCTCATGCCTGTAATCCCAGCACTTTGGGAGGCCGAGGCGCACGGATCACGAGGTCAGCAGTTCAAGACCAGCCTGGCCAACATGGTGAAACTCGTCTCTATTAAAAATACAAAAATTTGGCAGGCATGGTGGCGTGTGCCTGTAATCCCAGCTACTCGGGAGGCTGAGGCAAGAGAATCACTTGAATCCGGGAGGCGGACGTTGCAGTGAGCCAAGACCACTCCATTGCACTCCAGCCTGGGCGACAGAGAGCGACTCCATCTCACAAAAGAAAAAAAAAAAAAAAAAAAAAAATATATATATATATATATATATATGTAATTTCTTATAAACACAAAATTAGAGTAAAACATTTATTTAAAAGTTGTTTCAGCTGGGTGCAGTGACTCAGGACTGTAATCCCAACATTTTGGGAGGCAGAGGGGTAGGGGCAGATCCTTTGAGCTCAGGAGACCAGCCCGGGCAACATGGTGAAACCCTCTATCTACAATAAATACAAAAATTAGCCAGGCGTGGTGGTGTGTGACCGTAGTCCCAGCTACTCGGGAAGCTGAGGTAGGAGGATCACTTGAGCCCAGCAGATCAAGGCTGCAGTGAGCCATGTTCACGCCAGTACACTCCTGCCGGGACAAGAGAGACCCTGTCTGAAAAAAAATTAAATAATATATAAAATATAAATAAATAAAAACTTGTTTTAAGTGCCAGGTTCAGTGGTACAGGTCTGTAGTCCCAGCTACTTGGGAGTCTAAGGCAGGAGGATTGCTTGGGGCCAGGAACTTGAGGCTATACGCCATAACTGCACCTGTGAATAGCCACTGCACTCCAGCCTGGGCAACACAGCAAGATGTCATCTCAAAAAAAAAGTTGTTTCAAACTCTAAATATATTTTCTCCTATGTTAGTATGATTAATAATATTAATGATTAGAGCCCCTGGTTAGTTCATGAAGTCTGTTTAGTTACAAATGCCAAAATTCATTCAGCTTTGATGATAAACACTGAGGCCCAATGGCCTTTATCATCTAGGGAGTATGAAGAATGAGCAAGAGGCTAACTCAGCGTGAGTTACCCTGGGAAAGGAAAGAAGAAATGGTTCATATAGGACACACATAGATACCTTCAAGGGTGTTTGTAGAGTTGTTTCTTAAGTAGTTGGTTTCCTTCACAGAAAGTTCTTAAACTCAGAATATACCCATCCATGCACCCCACCAGCAATACAAAGACCCCAAACAAAAAATTACTATATTCTTACCCTACGCATGGCTTCCTCCTCTTCTTGACGCTTTTCATAATGTGCAAAGTCATCAAAGATTGAGGTGGTATGCTTGAAAGTAGCAATTATTTTAAGCACTTGCTTAGCTTTTTCTAGGGGTACCTCTTGAGTGTCCCTTGAATTGGTAACCGGTTTGTTGTCATTATTTTCTAAGCGAATATGCCGTAATTGGTTATTGGGAACATCTTTGACAAAGATCCATTTAACTTCAAATTTGCCCTTCCACTTATCCTGAGACCAGACACCAGCATACGCATTATAGTCCACAACAGACTTCATTTCAGCCACTCCACAAAAATGTCCACTGCCATTCACACTGAAGAGTAAATAGAGTGGGCCTTTCCCATTCAGGGAACGGTAAGCTGCATCCAAACGCTTATTACCATGCTCAGTACTACACCAGATAGAGTATTTAATGGAACGATGTATGTCATCCTCAGAGTAGCTTTTAATTATAAACACACGTCCATTCTTCAGATTCCAATCAAAGTCTTTGGGATTATAGTTGTTTATGGCCTTTAGCTTTTCCAGCACGGGATGCACTTCTACACTAGAAGGTGAAGCACTGACAGGTACAACACCTAAACCAAAGTTTTCACTGCCCGCTCCATTGTTCTGGTTGAAGCCTGCTCCCCTGTTACGAGGAGCTACCCAGCGATTCTGCAGCTGCTGCTGTTGAGGCTGCACTTGGTGAGGCTGGGCCTGTGGCTGAGGTCCTTGTTGCTGCTGTGGTTGTGGTGGTTGAGGCTGCTGTTGAGGCAGTTGGCTTTGCACCAATGGTGGTGGTTGAATTAATGGCTGAGGCTGCTGGATTATAGTTTGAGGAGGCAGAACTGGTTGGGTTGGTGGAGCCTTTACCACTGACCCTTTTTCATCCCAAGTTCCAATATTCATGTTGTGTTTTATAGGAGGTGGTGGTACAGCAGAACCCCCAATTCCCACATTGCCCTTGGGTTTAAGTTTCGGTTGAGGTTTGGCAGGCTTTCTGGCAATGGCAGCCCAGGAGGTTGGTTTAGGTGCTGCACTGCTAACTGGGGGCACACTATTGGTTGCAATGCTAGTCATACCACTGCTGCTCAAAGCTGTACCTACAGTTTTTGTCACTGCAGCTGTCAGGTCACCACCAATTTTCAGTCCAGTCATGCCTTGCTCAATACTGCTAATGCCAGGCACCTTACTCAAAGTATCATTGCCAAATCCAGCCTGTCCATCAGTAATAGCTCTCCCAAGAGAACTAGGTGGATAGCCATAACTGCTACTATAAGCAGAACTTTGTGTTGATTGTCCCTGAGATCCACTTGTCCCCCATGTAGAGAAATCAGCATTACCAGGAAAAAAGTTAAATCCATGTTGACCAAGAAATGGAGGGGTATTTCCTAATGCCCCAGGTTGACTAAATACACCATCTGGTATATAGTGATGTTCTCCATTACTCATTTGTCCATAGGTTGTCAGATATGGCATAGGCTGGTCTCCAGCTGTGGACCACGCTGCTTCCCCAAGAGAATATGGAAATCCAATGGATGGAGCATAGTAACTAGGCATGTATGGATCTGACATTGGTGGATAGCTGTTACTCTGCAAAACAAAATATCACAATCAGTAGCGAAATGTCCTCTTAAAAGAGCAAAAAAAGAAATCTGAAAGATTAAAATCAAGAAGTTTTAAGTAAATGAAAATAAAAGATGTACCTATTCTAGATAAACAAAATTAAAATTTCAAATCCAGTTTTATCAACAGAAAAATTTGCTGATGAGTAGTCACATCTTAAAATATTTCTTACAAACTAACCTATATGGCTTTTTTCAGGGATGAGAGTGGGGGTATAATGAGTATTATTTTTGTTTGAAGAGCCAGGCCCTCTGTCACAATTTAAAAATATCATAATTTCTACAAAAGGCTAATATATAAACTTTGTGGACACAAAATTACCATTTACAGCCAGCTGTACTTTAATCAATTGATGTATGCAATCACTTACACACAAGGATTAAATAAACTAGACAACTCTGCCGAATAATAGAGGAATTACAGCTTATCTATATGATGGAATCCAGTTCAACCATTAGATTTTGTACTTTCATTAAGGAAAAAATGGAGAAATGCTCACAGTCTTGAGAAGATTCAAGATTACGTTTATAGCATGATGCAAATTTCTTTTTGTTTTGCTTTGCCTTGTTCATTTCAAAAAAAGACATAAAACAAATTCCTTATCATAGTTTCTTATTGGTGGAATAACAGACATGACTTTTCTTTATACTCTCCTCTTCCCCAAATTTTACACAATAAACCTATTACAGAACAGGTTTGGGTTTTTTTTAATTTAGTAATAGTGAGTTCATGTAAATTTTTTCCAGAATTACTGCAATTAAATCAACCTTCACTATACTTATCATTTAGTGAACTGCCAAAAATCAAGACACCAAATTTTATTAAAGGAAAAAAAAAGCTCAAATTTGTTACTAGACAATATAAAAATAAAATACTTTAAAGTATTTTAAATACTTATTTCTTTTGAAGTAAGTTTCTTACGCAAAAAAAAAAAGTCTGAAACTAGATTTTCGATCTTTGATTTAGGTGTGCTTTTATTCTATTTTATTTTTGAAACAGGGTCTCACTCTGTCACTCAGGCAGAAGTGCAGCAGCGCTATCTTGGCTCACTGCAACATCCACTTCCTGAGGCTCAAGCAATCCTCCCATTTCAGCTCCCAGAGTAGCTGAGACCACAGGCGTCCGCCACCATGCCCAGCTAATTTTTTGTATTTTTTGTAGAGATGAGGATTTCACCATGTTGCCCAGGATGGTCTTGAACTCCTGGGCTCAAGCAATCTGCCCACCTCAGCCACCCCAAGTGTGATTTAGGTGTGATTTTAAAGCACCGCACAGAGCTTCACAATTTGTAGAATTATGCAAAGTGAAAAAAATCCACTAATATTGTCAGTACAACTGGTATGACTTTTCAAGGGTCAATACCATTTTGAAGGCTAATTTACAGAGACAGTCAAAGTTCTTTGGAGTAAAGTTCTTAACCCGTTTCTTCTACTATTTCACTCTTGTCACTATTTCGTGGCTGCTTTTCCACTCATGAATGTGTGACATAACGTCATAGATCCTGCCTGGAACTAATTTTAAATTATTTTTGAAAAGGCTTATCATTGAAAACTGAGATGTTTTATTACTAAGCTACTTGTTTTACTATTAAATTACCTGTGGTATACCCATCTAACTCTTGTAACTGTCTACTGTCTATGAGAAAGCTAACTTAACATATTGTCTTTTGAAATGGTTCTCTGATATGACTAAAATAACTTAAGAACTAAATATAATGTAACAGAGGTTACATTTAAATTAATAATTCTGACAAAGATTTACTGGCTATTGCCAGTAAAGCTTGGACTTAAAAACCAAAAAACTCAACTCTCACTTACTGTTTAAAAGAAAATCACAAAACCATTTTTCAAATACACTGGATGTTAAAAGTATATTTTACAGTACAGTCCTTGACAGACTATGTTGGTTTTTTATTTGTATCATTTTTTATTGTTGTATTGTTATTTGTTTTTCCAACACAATCAGTCCTTCATATCAGTGGGTTCTACATCTGTGGATTCAACCATTCACAGATTGAAAATAGCTGGGAAAAAGAAATGAATAGTTGCATCTGTATTGAACATGTACACAGTTTTTTTTGTCATTATTCCCTAAACAATACAGTATAACCACTTACAAACCATTTACACTGTATTAGGTATTATAAATAACCCAGAGATCATCTAAAGTATACAGGAGGATGTGCATAGGTTACATACAACTAACTATTATACCATTTTATATAAGGTTCTTGAGCATACACAGATTTTGGTATCCGTTGGGGGTTCTGGAATCAATCTCCCACAGATACCTTGAGACGACTGTATTTTTGATCCACAACTGACTGAATCCGTGAATGTAGACACTGCAGATACGGAGGGCTGACTATATTTAAAACTGGAAAATTCAGGAGTTACTATTTACTAACTGAACACATTCTTCAGCTATAATGGATAATTAGTAACTCTAACTGCAAATATAGTCAAAGAATGTTCACAATATTCACATGAAAGGAATCAACAGCATTTTTACAACTGCAATAGTAGCATCTTACATAAATCAATACTGGAAGTACTGACTGCTATATTTAAATACATCTATAAAGAAAAGACTGAGGGAAGTTCAAATACACCAACAATAGTTTTTAAAGAAAAAAATCTTGACAAAATTAATGACTAAACTTTGGAAGCTACGAAGACAAACACAAATGCGTAAAATTTGATCACTGAAGTATCTACTAAAAATGGAAAGTACTCATAGTGCTTCATACTGACAAAAAGTCACTGTGATTAAAAAAACTCTCAAAAGTTTAATAAAAATGAGAAGTTCATCTAGTATAAACGAATATATGTAACTGATTAAAAGATAAAACTGGGCTGGACACCGTGGTTCATGCCTATAATCCCAGCACTTTGAGAGGCCAAGGCAGGCATATCACCTGAGGTCTGGAGTTCGAGACCAGCCTGGCCAAAATGGTGAAACCCCATCTCTACCAAAATTACAAAAATTAGCTGGCCATGGGAGCATACACCTGTAATCCCAGCTACTCGGGAGGCTGAGTGAGGCAGGAGAATCGCTTGAACCCAGGAGGCAGAGGTTGCAGTGAGCTGCGATGCCACCACTGCACTCCAGCCTGGGTGACAAGCGAGACTGTCTCAAAAAAGAAAAAAAAAAAAAAAGATAAAACTGTCTACTGTCTTCATCCTTTTTTTAAACAGTTAAACATATCCTTTATTTATAATTTTAACTATTTCAACCACTTATCAAATGCATACATTGTAAAAAAACATTGATATAAGATACTCATTCTAAAAGAAAATCTACAGTTAAATGGATAAGACAAGTAATACAGGGAAGTAGATAAATCCCACATGGAGATGCATAGGAAAGGTGGGCTGAATATGAAGGTAACTGGTTTCCAAGTTTTAATTTTGATTGTTGGCAATGAAATCCAGATTCAGTAGTCTTTATCTGGATGTGGGAGTGGAAAAGCACACAAAGTAGGAAGTTTTTATGTTAATTCTTTATAAGAAAGCATTCAGAAAGTTAAACTCAAAATTTATATTGAATATTCTTATTTCACTATGACAAATGCTGAATTCTACACAACAGTTACACATCAAGTTCTTAATTTGTCTATACCCATAGTATAATTCAGGGGTCAGCAAACTAAGAGGCCAACAAGTAAATCAAGCCACATTCAGCCTCTGTCACCTATTTGGGTTTTTTTCTTTTAGCAACTCTTTTAAAAGCTATTAGCTTAAAGCCAGGCACGGTGGCTTGTGCTTGTAATCCCAGCTACTCAGGAGGCTGGAAAAGGTGGATCAATTGAGTCCAGGAGTTCAAGACCAGCCTGCACAAGAGACTATCTCATTAAAAAAAAAAAAAAAAAAAAAAAAATTAGCCAGGCATGGTGGTGCACGCCTGTAGACTCAGCTACTTGGGAGGTGAGGTGGGAGGATCGCTTGGGCCCAGGAGTTCGAGGCTGCAGTGAACTATGATCACACTACTGCACTCCAGCATGGGCTACAGAATAAAACCCTCTTAAAAAAAAAATTTAAAAAAAACCACACACACAAAAATTGAAGTGCTTCAAACTCCTGACATGACTTCCGATTTAACAACCAAAAGTGATGTTCATTCTAATTTTAATGCTTGTATTATGCTATGTACTTTCTCCTATTATAATTTTCTAAAAGTATAATTTATGCATATCTAATCATGTCATAAGAAAAATGTCATAATAATATTCAACCTGAGTATTTCACCAACCGTAATTCTTCATTCTCTAATTCTATTAGATAACCTAATCCATCCATTCACTTAATAAACATGAATGCTATATGTGCCAGATACTGTGCTGGTTACTGGAGACAAAAAATAAAGAACGTGGTCTCCAACTGGGAGCACTTCACAGGTATCGTGAGGAAGACTTATTTACCCTATAATGTGATAGCTACTCTAAATGAATTACAAAGAAAGCAAAACAAAACACTTAAGTACAAAGAAGAGGGAGTAAGTAACTGGAAAATCAGAAAAGACTTTCTGTAGGAAATGCCATAGGTGTGTGTACACGTCTGTATAAAACATACATACAAAAATTGAGATCGTGAAAGAAATATTAAGAAAATATTTATACTTTCATAAAATAATGGTAAGTTCTATTTTGCCAATCAGATGGAGAAAGTTGGCAGAAGATGAGCTAGAAAAGGAAGTGGAACCACTTTAAGGGCATTCATATAATAAATGCATCCACTGTTGAGAAGCTATAGTAATTACTTAACATTACAGTGACACAATCAGACTTGGGATTTTAAGACTGCTGAGTGGCAGTATAGAATTACTAGTTAGAAAATCATTTCAATAGACAAAACTAATGAATACCTTAACTAAGGGCAGTGATGACAAGGGCAGAAAATGACAATTTAATTCTCTATAGTACTTCTCTGATAAAGATAGCTAAGAACTTACTTTCCCAAACACACAAGCAGACAAACTCAACTTCAGTTTTTCCAAATTATTCTTCAAATTTATATGCACAAATTACATGGCATATTTAACAGTGGCAATTAAAATCTAAATTTTCCAATCTATTTAGTCATAAAATTATTCTGAAGAACTATAAAGAACTAATTTTAAGAAATGAAGGACCCTCTCCCTCTCCCTCTTTCCACGGTCTCCCTCTGATGCCGAGCCGAAGCTGGACGGTACTGCTGCCATCTCGGCTCACTGCAACCTCCCTGCCTGATTCTCCTGCCTCAGCCTGCCGAGTGCCTGCGATTGCAGGCGCTTGCCGCCACGCCTGACTGGTTTTCGTATTTTTTTGGTGTAGACGGGGTTTCGCTGTGTTGGCCGGGCTGGTCTCCAGCTCCTAACCGCGAGTGATCCGCCAGCCTCGGCCTCCCGAGGTGCCAGGATTGCAGACGGAGTCTGGTTCACTCAGTGCTCAATGGTGCCCAGGCTGGAGTGCAGTGGCGTGATCTCGGCTCGCTACAACCTCCACCTCCCAGCAGCCTGCCTTGGCCTCCCAAAGTGCCGAGATTGCAGCCTCTGCCCAGCCGCCACCCCGTCTGGGAAGTGAGGAGCGTCTCTGCCCGGCCGCCCATCGTCTGGGATGTGAGGAGCCCCTCTGCCTGGCTGCCCAGTCTGGAAAGTGAGGAGCGTCTCTGCCCGGCCGCCATCTCATCTAGGAAGTGAGGAGCGCCTCTTCCCGGCCGCCATCCCATCTGGGAAGTGAGGAGCGTCTCTGCCCAGCCGCCCATCGTCTGAGATGTGGGGAGCGTCTCTGCCCAGCCGCCCATCGTCTGAGATGTGGGGAGCACCTCTGCCCTGCCGCCCCGTCCGGGATGTGAGGAGCATCTCTGCCCGGCCGCCCCGTCTGAGAAGTGAGGAAACCCTCTGCCTGGCAACCGCCCCGTCTGAGAAGTGAGGCGCCCCTCCGCCCGGAAGCCGCCCCGTCTGAGAAGTGAGGAGCCCCTCCGCCCAGCAGCCACCCCATTTGAGAAGTGAGGAGCATCTCCGCCCAGCAGCCACCTCGTCCGGGAGGGAGGTGGGGGGGGTCAGCCCCCCGCCCAGCCAGCCGCCCCGTCCGGGAGGGAGATGGGGGGATCAGCCCCCCGCCCGGCCAGCCGCCCCATCCGGGAGGGAGGTGGGGGGATCAGCCCCCCGCCCGGCCAGCCGCCCCGTCCGGGAGGTGAGGGGTGCCTCTGCCCGGCCGCCCCTACTGGGAAGTGAGGAGCCCCTCTGCCTGGCCGGCCGCCCCATCCGGGGGGAGGTGGGAGGGTCAGCCCCCCACCCGGCCAGCCGCCCCGTCCGGGAGGTGAGGGGCACCTCTGCCCGGCCGCCCCTACTGGGAAGTGAGGAGCCCCTCTGCCCGGCCACCACCCCATCTGGGAGGTGTACCCAGCGGCTCATTGAGAACGGGCCATGATGGCGATGGCGGTTTTGTGGAATAGAAAGGGGGGAGGGGTGGGGAAAAGATTGAGAAATCGGATGGTTGCCGTGTCTGTGTAGAAAGAGGTAGACATGGGAGACTTTTCATTTTGTTCTGTACTAAGAAAAATTCTTCTGCCTTGGGATCCTGTTGATCTGTGACCTTACCCCCAACCCTGTGCTCTCTGAAACATGTGCTGTATCCACTCAGGGTTGAATGGATTAAGAGCGGTGCAAGATGTGCTTTGTTAAACAGATGCTTGAAGGCAGCATGCTCCTTAAGAGTCATCACCACTCCCTAATCTCAAGCACCCAGGGACACAAACACTGCGGAAGGCCGCAGGGTCCTCTGCCTAGGAAAACCAGAGACCTTTGTTCACTTGTTTATCTGCTGACCTTCCCTGCACTATTGTCCTGTGACCCTGCCAAATCCCCCTCTGCGAGAAACACCCAAGAATGATCAATAAAAAAAAAAAAAAGAAATGAAGGACTGACATTTACTTTCAAAATTACTATGAACATTATTCCTTCAGAAACTGAACACTACAAAATAGAAGAAATATGCTGCCACATAAGTAGAAAGGCCAACAACTTGTTTTAAAGTACCCTTGGGTTTGATATGAACTAGATCTAAGTATACAAAGCAATTTAAATCATTAGCAAAAGACTTGTTAAACACTTTTCCATCAAAATATTTTTTATTTATAATTTTAAAATCAGATAAATGAATTTAATTTTTAAAACACACTGTGTACAGTGTATGAGGACCTAATTAAATAGTTGTGTAACTCTAAATTTGCCAGTATCT
This sequence comes from Homo sapiens, assembly GCF_000001405.40. Taxonomy (NCBI): domain Eukaryota; kingdom Metazoa; phylum Chordata; class Mammalia; order Primates; family Hominidae; genus Homo; species Homo sapiens. The sequence continues at coordinate 63,178,894 of NC_000008.11, read as the reverse complement.
TCTTGAGATCTTTCATCAATAAATCCAGTTTTCACTAATCTGTTATAATAGCACTATTTAAAAGGTCCAAACATTTTATTTAATTTTCTAGCTAGATAATTGAGAGTACTTAAATTCTCATACGACTTACCTTTAAGATTCCAGATAATTTTCAATAAACCCAGTTTTCAACATTCTACAGTATTAATCCTCTTTAAAATGTAAATATGTATCTTGTTAGAGATAATTATTTTTAATATTAAAGAAAGATGACTGCTGAAAATCTATTTAGTACCACAAAGGAGAGGTAGAACAGGCCTTACTGGAATCAAACTTTACAACTTCTCTTCAAACAGGATACAAATATGTTGATTCCAAATATCATGAGTTAAAACAAATCTATTTTACAAATGTTTTGCTCCAACATAACCTGCAATGATGCAGCTGAAAAAATTCATTTGGGTTCACTAAGGTAAATGCCTTTACATCTTTTAAAAAGTAATGGTTTCCCAAACACTTTTTAAAACTATTTTTTTTTTTACAAGTAAAGTCTTATGCACAATTCCAATATATAGAACAGATAAAACGCAAACCACAGTGCTAGTTGCTACACTGGTGGGATTCAGGCACCCTCCGCTGGTTTTCCCTAGGAAGACACTAAGGTGCCTCTATGGAATACCAGAAATCCTCCTGACAAAAATTTTTCCTCCAGTAGAAACCCTTCTATGTCCTTGTGACAAATAATAAAGAATTGTAAAATATCTGTTATCAAGCAAAACATGCAAGAAGATTACTCAGGTAGCAATTCCAAAACTGTCTTTTACAGTCCACTAAAATTCCTTAAAAAAGAGTTTGAATGGCTGAGTGCGGTGTTCCATGCCTGTAATCCCAGCACTTTGGGAGGCCGAGGCAGGTGGATCACTTGACGTCAGGAGTTCAAGACCAGCCTTGCCAATATGGTGAAACCTCACCTCTCCTAAAAATATAAAAATTAGCCAGGCGTGGTAGCATGTGTCTGTAATCCCAGCTACTTGGGAGGCTGAGGCAGGAAAATTTCTTGAACCTGGGCGACAGAGGTTGCAGTGAGCCAAGATTATGCCACTGCACTCCAGCCTAGGCAACAGAGCGAGACTCCGTTTCAAAAAAAAAAAAAAAATAAGAGTTTGAACAAGTCAGGATTTTTTATACTATATCTTCATCTTAAGAACTTCATTTTCAATTATAATTTATAAACTATGAAATCAAGTAGCAAAAAAAACAGTTCAACTGTTTAGCCTCCAAAATTTCTCAAATCTATCTAAACATGGACATCTTTTTGAAGGAATATTTATTACACCTCCTAATATTAAGATTTCTCAGCAAAGTTGGAAAATACTGCCATACTGCCATAAGCGTTAACTGAGATTACTATGTGAGCCAGAATATAGTAAAATCACGCTTATTTTAAAACTTGCACTACATTTCACAACAAATGATCTACTTTCATAATCTTTACGTGGAAAAGTAATTTTGCTGAGATCGTAAAGTTTTTTTCTTTCCCATTTATTTCTTCTCCTCCCATGTATGCTAGGAATGTTGCTCAGTAGATAGGAAGGGGTGGTTAAGGGGAAGTAACCAAGAGGTAGATGAGGTTGAACACAACCACCACTCTCCATAATCCTAAAAATAATCCTGCATCCCACAAATTGGGAACTACTTTTTGTTCAAATTTTCCCTATAACTCTACTGTACAAACTGTTCAGTTCTGTAGTAAGATTTGGTTCCTTGTTCTTTCAGAGTTTCAAAAATCTAGGTTAAAATTTTAGAGTACGTTTTTCATTTTCTCCATATATGCAAGCAGACAAGTCAAACTTCATTCAGTTTTCCAATTTACTCTTCAAATTTACACACACAAACTAACTGGCATCTTTAACGTGCCAATTAAAATCTGAATTTTAGGCTGGGCACGGTGGCTCATGCTTGTAATCCCAGCACTTTGGGAGGCTGAGGCAGGCAGATTACTTGAGGTCAGGAGTTCAAGACCAGCCTGGCCAACATGGTGAAACTCTACCTCTACTAAAAAATACAAAAAGTAGCCAGGCGTGGTGGCATGTGCCTGTAATCCCAGCTATTCAGGAGGTTGAGGCAGAAGAATCACTTGAGCCTGGGAGGCAGAGGTTGGAGTGAGCCAAGATTGCGCCACTGCACTCCAGCCTGGGCAACAAAACAAGACTGTCTCAAAAATTAAAGAAAAAAAAAAAACTGAGTTTCTAATCAAATTAATCATAAAATTATTCCAAAGAACTGAGTTTCTAATCAAATTAATCATAAAATTATTCCAAAGAACTACAGAGGTGGGCTGGGCCCAGTGGCTCACACCTGTAATCCCAGCACTTTGGGAGGCCGAGGCGGGCGGATCATGAGGTCAGGAGATCGAGACCATCCTGGCTAACATGGTGAAACCCTGTCTCTACTAAAAATACAAAAAAATTACCCGGGCATGGTGGCGGGCGCCTGTAGTCCCAGCTACTCCGGGCTGAGGCAGGAGAATGGCGTGAACCCGGGAGGCAGAGCTTGCAGTGAGCTGAGATCGCACCACTGCACTCCAGCCTGGGCGACAGAGCGAGACTCCGTCTCAAAAATAAATAAATAAATAAGAACTACAGAACTAATTTTAAGACCCAAAGTTCTTGAGCATTTTTTGCTTTTTTAAAGCAAAACAAACAGTTTCATTCCACAATGTTCTCTCTAAAAAAACTGGTGAATACTGAAAATGTATTTTTTCATTTATTTCTATCAGTGGCTTATTTTTAGTAACAGACAGAAATGGATGCAGAAATGGCATACAGATACCTAATAGCATTGTTCTTCAATGTTTAAATTGGAATTACGCTTGTACACAAATACTCAAAGCCACCAGTTACCAATTACTTGATTTGATAAAACTGTCCATGTCTACAATACAGAAGTAACTGTGTTTATAAAGCAAGTATGTTTATAAACTCCTTAATTCTATCACCGACATTACCAAGGTATGTTAAAATTTTCAATAGTTATCAATGAATTCAATCTGCAATGTCTTAAAAAAAGAAAACACTACATTTGACCCAAAATTGCAGGCAATTTCAGGTAACTAATCCCTCCTCCAAATACCCAAATTTCTAGCTAATTAAGCCTTTTATAATTAGCTTAAGCTATGAAGATATAGCAGTGACATTAAAAGATTAAGTTCCTTCAATACACACACACAAAAAACCTAACCATAATATATACAAATAATGGTCACCTTCAAATCTTTATTCTATATTTCATAACCTAGTTTCTGGTGCCTATACTTTCTGAAGAAGAACTCTCCTGTGCCATAAATCTGCAACTGCTACTCACTACTCACTTACTATATAGGTACACTAGATGAATGAATCCATGTTATGGTTAATCTCATTAAATAATCTATTTGAAAAATCAACTAATACTAATAAAAGGTTAATTTCCTAAAATCTGAAACTGTCAGAAGACTTACCTGATTTGTCTGGCTACTTAAGTATGGCTCAAAATCATCATCATTTACAGCATCTTTTTGATGAATCGAACCGTTTTGTACTGAAACTAAAAAAATGTTTGTATTAGAAGTGTTGTAGTTATCTTTATGAAACTCGCAGCACAACCTAATGTTTTTAATATTTTTCAAGCCAAAAAAAGTAATCAGAAAAAATAATACTGAGTTATTTTTAAGAACCCTCTTAAGGATAAACTATTTTAGATACAAATATTCATGTGCCACAAAAACTTAAAAGTCTTTTGATACATAAGCCCAAGATTACATAAACACAAGCCATATATACACTTCCCCTTACCAAAAACTTTAAGTAAATATCCCAATCTCAACACTGTAGTGAGTAAATTGTTACATAAGAATGTTGGAAAGAGTTCCCTAATGCTATATTTGAATGTAAAATAACTATTTCAAGTAGCGTTGTAGGCAATAAAAAAGATTTCTGAATGTTCTCTACCTTTGTTTAAATCTCTAAATTATTTAGTATAATAAAGAATGAAATAACTATTTTCGATCTAATTTGTTATAGTAAATGTCTTAAATGTCTCCAGTAAAGTTTAGGCTAAAATTAACTTGAAACAATATCACAATGAATAGACTTATAATTATGAAATATCTAAATAAAGAGGGCTTTAATTCTAAGCCCCCCAGAATGAAGACTTTCACATGAAACTACAAACAAAATTAAGACACAAAAGATAGCCATAATTATCCTTGCAATACATGAGAAACAAGTCAGAGAATAATTTTGTTCAAAGGTCATCTCCATAAACACTCTAAAGTTGTTATTCTCTGGATGCTGTTTCAGAGTGCTTTTGAGCAGACTCAGAAGTAAGGTCCCGAATTTGAATCTCAAGTCCAGCACTGAGGAGATGATCTCCAGTTAGGGATTTAAACTCTCTAACCTTTGACTGTTCGCTGTTTCAGAAGGTTATGTATGAATAGTACCTACCTCATCTCATCTGATTATTAAATGACAGTGTTCAATAATCTTAAATGTAATCACATTAAATATTACAAGATCCAAATAGGACTAATATGACTTTAGAACCATTTAAACAGAAGTGTTACTAAGCTAATACTTGATGAGGTGGCACTATGTAAATATACTATTCTATACTAGTGAAGATAAAGTTGAAAGTTTCCGATGGATGTCTACAAATTAGAAACAAAAAGAACTCAGTATCTAAAGATTTACTGCTCAAAGGTACAACATCACCAAATTTTATGAAGTTAGGAGGGTGACGGGTTTAAATTGCGTATTCCTCTGTAATATAACATTTTTATTATCCTTAAATTTTCCCATGAGTGTAGAGCACCTAAAATGTAATATTATGAGTTAACAGTGGCTTGGGAGCAAAGATATACAAAATCCCTTAAATCTTTGCCATCCAATGAGTGGCAAAGATCAAAGATATGATGTTACTGTGTAAAGCATTCAAAGTAGACTTCTTACTACACCACACTGCCCCTCAGAGGCCACAAGAAGCAACCTGAAGGTCAACTTGATCCTGGCTCCACTAACATAATTTAACTATGTCTGATAAGGACTGCATCAGAACTAGGATTGAGCTAAATATGCTCCATGGAATTTAAATATGTAATAGCCACTAGAAACCAAAATAAAGAGGGTGCCTTAGGTTACTTCTAGTGCCATTATAAGGCTGGGTTATTCATTTCAGTCCAAGAGATTCTGACATACCTGTTCTCCTCTGACACTGGCTTTACTGCTCCTAAATCAAAGGTAAGTATGCATGGTCTATTACTTCTTGAAAAAAAATTCTTCACTATTACACTCATACATGTTAGTCAGTATTTGAAACAGCTAACAACTTAAAAATTATGACTAACTATCTCTCATATCCACTAGGTTCTCGAAAATCTAGTTCATACAAATACAAAAAGTGCCAGGCCAGGAGCTCAAGACCAGCCTGGGCAACACAGCAAGATCCCACCTTTACGAAAAATGTTTAGAAATTAGCCAGGAGTGGTGGCATGTGCCTATAGTCCTAGTTACTCAGGAGTCTAAGGAGGATCACTTGAGCCAAGGCATTCCAGGTTACACTGAGCTATGATTATGCCACTGCACTCCAGCCTGGGGTACAGAGTGAGACTCTGCCTCTATTTAAAAAAAAAAAAAGGAAAAAGTACTTACTTAAAATTTATCTGTATATATATATAAATATAATCCTGTTATTCTTATTTTTTTTGTTCTATTATTTCTCTTCTAAGAGGCTAGGCCTGAGAACAACCCATATACTATTATAAATACAGTCTACGGTCATTTTTAAATGATGCATAAATGTCTATAAAGTCTTAAAATATAGTACAAAAAGTCAATCTACTTTAAAAAATGTTTAATTAAAAGTACTTCACATATACCGAGAAGCAATTTGCATTAAACTAGCCCTTAAGTTTTGGAAGTGTATCTTAAAGAAAACTATCTTAAAGACTTTCGTTTTTGAATATTTACTTAATGACAAGCTAATGTCTTGGAGTCTGAAAACCATTAAATAGAAATGAAATCCAAGCTAGTTCCATAGTCTGTAAAATTTCTTCAGGGGTAAAAAGAACAGATGACTTACATGATTCTTCGCCTGTTTCCTCTGCTCTATGAAACAGAGTCAAATCAAGATAGAACATGGGCCTTAGGAGCCAGGTGATTCTTTGCTCTGGTCCTGACTACATCAAGTTAGGAAAGTCAACAGATCTGTGCATCATGTTTCCCCACCTACAAAAACAGCGACAATACCATATACCCGCTATCTCCTTACAAGGATGTTGTGAGGATTGATAAAATGAAGCCTAAAATAATGATAGTAAAGTGCTTTGAAATCATTTCTCGGGAGGACGAGGAGAGAATACAACAGAATATTGCCAAAATATAAGGCATTTTCCACTACTTTTCGAAAATTAAAACTTAGCCAAATTTAACCTAATTATTTTAAATTACAGTTGTATAAAACAATGCATACGTCTCTCCGTTGGAAGAGAGCGGAGAGGAGGAAAAAGATAAATCCTGTTCCATGAATTTGCTATTTATAAACTTAGAGGAGAAAGGAGGCAGTAAGGCCTAAGACTGTAAGTATGGCATCTGACACTTCCAACCATAGTACTCCCAAATAAAAGTACTGCACACCTTTATTCCAATAAGCAAAAATTCTACTTAATAAAAAAATAAAATACGAAGTGTTAAATTATGAACCAATAGGCAAATAATTATCCTTAAATTTCTACTATCCTTTGGTACTACTCTTGCCAAGGATAATAAAGAGTTCTGATATTTAACACAGGGACAGACTTAATTAAAAAAGAATTCAAACTTATAAAACAAGTAAACCTTGAATTATTACTTATTCTACAAAAAACATTTTTGCCATATCAAAGACAATTATTTAGAATTCCTTTTGGCTTCTGTAATGAATTAAGTAATTAAGGATATATAGAAAATCAAAGACACTAAAACTAGGTGTTAGGCTAAAGCTGTCAACTAAAGACAATTCAGAAAAGAAACAGGATCTCTGAAATTATAGTAAGTTGACTGAAAAGGATTACGTGTTCAAAACTTTAACTGACACCAACTTCTCAAGGACATACTATTTTTCATAAGCTTGCTAAGTTCAGAATTCAAGATTACTCATATTTAGAATACTGAGGTTGCAGTTCAAGAAAAATAACTTCATGAAAGTAAACAGAATTGTAAAACAATTTTACGAGCTGGGAACAAGCTAAGGCAGAAAAGCTTTTCTCAAATACACACATAGCTACTTATATCAGGTTCACTGGTAGTGTTGCCTTTGCCTTGTAATTCTCCCTGCAGTCATAAAAATACAAGTAACGTATATTTGTTATTTGTGCACTTGTAGCATCTGCCATTTTTAAGAAACTTAAATAATTAGCAATACTTTCAGGCCAGTAGCATTTTTCCCCTCCTGCCAAGGCTCCATGCAAAGGAGTCTTCCTGCACCTTAAAAATAGATTAAGTGAGGAAAGTGAAAAGAAATCCAGCAAATATAATTGCTACTAGAGCAGTGAACTACTGTAATTACAAGAATCCTAACAACATACTATAGGAATTATGGGAATTATGACTAGAGTTATTTTTATTTTATAGAGGGGAGATTCTGACAGACAGGTAAAATGTTTTCAAGCTCACTTGGCAAGTCAGTAGCCAAAGGCAGTATTAGAACTCAGGACTCCAAGGAATCCCAATCCATTATTCTAACCTTAGATGAAATTATTAAACTGAACAACAAGGGGGAAAGAAAGAAAATTTCTTGAGAATAAAGAACTATCAAAATAAACACTTTGTGTATGTGTCTGAATACAACTAACAGAAGCGATACTGATGGATAAAAATTTTTGAAATAACCAAAAAATACTTATTTGCAAACAGTGGATGTATTATGCAGTTTATAGATAACTCAACTCATATCTAATATCAAAGATGCCACCAGTGCCTACCTAAGTGAAATGACCACTCATAAATCAAACTTATTTTACTGACTTACAGTGCTGTAGAGGCTCTATTTTGTTTTAACAAACAAGTACCTCATAGAACTTGTGTACTTACCTTAAAGCGGGTAACATAAAACACTTAGCATTTCAAATAGCTTTGCAAAGTGCCACCTCCCCACAGATCTAGGATAAAATAATTTATGCTAGGCAATAATGACCACAATTTCACAATCTCCAAGTCTACATAGTTCCTAATGGGTAGACTAGCAAAAGAAGAAATTAATGGATCATTCTTTTTAAAATTCACAAATTTTTAAAAACTCATTTAAAATAAATCAATATCCAATTTTTATTTCAGGTTTATGCTTACAACAAAAAAAATTCTAGAAATGAAATTTTAAAAATTAAAATGTCTAAATATTTACATACTGCAAGAAAACATCTTTAATGAAAACAAACAAAATGTTACCTAATATGGTGCCATGTAACTGGTATGTACAAATTCCATAATTCAGAGGAAACTAATCTACATATCCAAAACCTATTAAATTCACCAAATTTGCAATAGCAAATAAATACCCTAACAAGAATTTAAAGGGCACCAAAGACAATCTATATCTAAAAGGCTATTATAGATCTTAATTTCTAACACTGTGTTACTGAAATCAACAGAAAGCATAATTTTAGTGTAATTTCAAGCACTACAAAATGTTATATATAATTTGCTCTGATGTTATTTAATTGGCACTATCCCAAGAAAGCAGTTATTGTTCTATACTTAACTAAATGTCACATGACTAATGTCATAATGTTTCAGTCAGCTGACTGCACTGTTCCATATTAATACAAAACACACTTTTTAAAAAAACACTTTACTTTCAATGGTACTTTTACTAAAGAGAAAATTATAAAATCCTGGAAAAAATGTCACAAACTATTTTCTTCTCAGCCCTTTATAAAATACCAGATAGAGTCACACCTTGCAATCAGAACAATAGAGCAAGATGGCATGCCTACTCAGTTCTAACCTCTCTCATGTTGTTGCCTCATTACAACTGACTTCAATAGAATCAGTGATTAACAGTACAATTTTCATTAATGTGATGGAATACTATGTAGACTTCCATTTTCCAGTGTAATCCAGACATGTCAAACAAAATGTCCACTTTAAGAATATACTTGTCTATATACACATGTAGAAATTTTTTGTGGCATAAGTTACATAACACAGAAAAACTGGAAAACCAAAGAAATACCACCAGGTTCACACCAATACCTGCTTAACTGACAAGGAAACTGTTTCTCGTACTACTTTGGTTTCTATAAAGTGGCTTCAAAGCAACGAACTACCGAAGTTCTGGATAGAACTTGGCTACCTTAGCCATGATGAATATTTTCCCTAATCCTACATTTTTTCCCAAGAGGGAGCAAAAACAAACAAAATACCCTCACAGAGTTTAAAAGTAACATTAAGGCAACATTGAGCAATAAGAAAAAAAAAAATCCAAACTCACCTTTATTTCCTTGCCCTTTAGGTCTCTGTGTTGCAAGACGAAAGATGCGGTAAAGAGGAGAAAAAGGAAGAAAAGAAAAAGTGTGTTAATCAAAGGCATTATCAAAGACAAGTTATTTTAGACTATCCGCGTAGGAGTAAAAACCCACCATATCCTCCACAGCCACCAATTTCCCAACCACCCCCAGCCTTTAAACCTCCCACCCGCCACTCGGAATCCGTCTCCCAGAGCTCGCCCGGTCTCCGCCCCATGTCTGCCGCCCTCAGGATCTGTCCTAAGGCCCCTAAGACCGGTCCTTGCCCCCACCCGCCGCGGCACCGCGCCCGCCCGCCCGCAAGCTACGGGGCCAGGGCGCACGCCCCGGCCCGGGTAGCTACACCGCAGCAACTTGCGCCCGGGGCACCGTTATGGGGCCGGCAGCGGCGGCGACGGGGAGGAGCCGAAGCCCCGCGCGAGGGTGGAGCTCCGGGGCTCGGGCCTTCGCCAAGCCTGGGGCCTCTGCTCCCTCACCTGATCCACGCTAGTGGCTGACATTCTTCACCGCAACCCGAGAGCCGCCGCCGCCGCCGCTGCCTGGGCCTCTCCCCGTGCACTCACAGCAGTTGGCTGTCGCCCTTGGCCGAGTGATTGTTCCAGCCGCCGCCGCTGCCGCCGTTCGCTGAGAACCCAAAATGAGGGCCTCGCGCTCGGGAGTCGGAGGAAGAGGCCCGTCTTTTCCGCTTGCACGCTCCTCTTCCCCCTCTCGCTCTCTGCTTCTCGGGTCCACAATGGCGGACAGACTCCCTAGTCTCACTTCCGCTCCGAGCCTCCCTGACCTTCCGCTCTCCACTCTGACGTCCGCGCTCACCTCGCTCTTCCTCCCCCACCCTCCCGCCGCTGATCTTGGCTCCGCCTCCTCACCGCCACGTCACCGGAGACCGGACCCGCGCTCACGGCCGGTGGGCGCATGCGTCATGGAGGGAGCGCGTCGGGGCGTCAGCGAGCGCCAACTTTCAGCGTCTTTTCTGCGGCTTCCTTCTATCCCGCTCCGAGGCTGCAGGGCCCTGGCAGAGTGGCGTCAGCTGGAAGGCTGGCCAGAGCCGGATTTTGTTGCACTCCGGGCAGGAAGATGGCCGAGGCGGCGGCTGACGGAGATAGTAGTGCCTTGCTGAAGTCACGGCGGCCGGCGGCGCCCTCCTGGAGGCTGACGGGACGGAGGCAGGGAACTTCCCGGTGAGCCAGCCGGGCCTAGCAGGAGCCTTCGGCGGCTGCCCAAAGCCGTGGGGACGGCTGGCTGACTCAGCCGCTCTCTGGACGGAGTTGCTGGGTCCCCACAAGCCTGCCCGTGCAGCTGAAGTGGCAGGTTAGAGTTGTGGTACTCAAACTTAAGTCCAAGCAAACAGGAGGAGCACCGGCGCGGGTTCAGTCTTTCCAAACCCAGTTCAGCCGTAATCTCTGGAGTCAGACTTCGCCGCCCAATTCATGGATTTGTGCTTTTGACTCCGCTCTGATGTTTTTGAATGAATAAAGTTGCCTAGGATACTTAAGTATAGTTGCAGAGCGTCTTTTCGGCCCTGAAAAGAGGGAAAGTTTCCATTGAAAAAGTTCTTTATCACATATTGGCAAACCCAAAGTATGCCAATTTGCAACGTGTTGACATTTTCATTGAAATATCTACAATAAAGGCAAAGATTCCTTGTCTCAGTGATACAGAGTCCATGGAAGGAAATAATTTAAATGACCAAATACTTTCTGTACTTCAAAAACCATCAAATAAGTGATCATTTAGAAAGTAAAATTGTAGAATCATAAGATTAATTTTGTGGTTTACAGTGCAACAGTATCTTAGAAGCACTGAATAATAGAAAAACTTGAGAGGCCACTTTTCATGTAAATCACCAAGAGGCATTTTTAAGTTCTGGTTAGACAGTTTCCCTTGCCCTTCCATTCATTGCCACGGGTCCCAACCTAAGCACCCTTGCATTTCCCAAGACTCCCCCAACCCTTTCTGCTGTTGCTCTCAATGTCTCCCATCCTTCACTCCCAAACAGACCGTTTTAGTTTTAATGAGTTTGCTGGTACATGCTATGAGCCAGGAACTTGAGAGAGAATATACAAGAGGAGGCTTAAATCTTGCAAGCCTTGTCTTTGATCCTTAGTATCATGGCTTTGGAACCCAATCAATTCGAATTTAAATTCTAGTGGAGCAAGAATTAGTGTTATAATCTTGGTAAAGGCACTGAAACTTTCTAAGCTTTAGCTTCCTCATGAGTAAAATTAGGTCCTTCGTGTACAGTTCCTGACACAAAAGTAAGCTTTCAGCAAATTGTGGCTATATACAGGTAATGAATTGTTCCTTCGCTAAAAGATTCCCGGAAATAGTAATCGCTTACATTTATTGAGAACACATTATATGTCATGTTAATTCCCACAGCATCCTTGCAGAAGTGCCATTATAAAAACTGACACAGTGAGGTTAGGAAACACGCCACAAACAACACAGCTAGTCACTATGAGAGCCAGGATTTGAACTCAAGCAGTGTGACTCCCAAGTTCCCACTCTAATAACTACCATATAATACTGCCTAATGACATAATATTATGAGCTTCTATTCTCTTTCATTTTTGCTCAACAAACTTCTTTCTTTATGGCTTTTCTTCCTAGCAATAATACCTACCCTCAGATATAAACCTACTTAATTTAATATTAACAGACTTTTGAAGTACATCTGGGGACTACCTGAAACCATCTCCAATGCCTCCAGGAGTGTATTAGTCCGTTTTCATGCTGCTGATAAAGACATACCCGAGACTGAGAAGAGAAAGAGGGGTTAAATTGTGTTTAAAGTTCCACATGGCTGGGGAGGCCTCAGAATCACGGCAGGAGGCAAAAGCCACTTCTTACATGGAGGGCAGCAGGAGAAAATGAGGAAGAAGCAAAAGTGGGAAACCCCGATAAACCTATCAGATCTCATGAGACTTAATTCACTATAATGAGATTAGCATGGGAAATACCGGTCCCCATGATTCAATTACCTCCCCCTGGGTCCCTCCCACAACACGTGGGAATTCTGGGAGATAAATTCAAGTTGAGATTTGGGTGAGGACATAGCCAAACTATATCATTCTGCCCTGGCCCCTCCAAATCTCATTTCTTACATTTCAAAACCAATCATGCCTTCCCAACAGTACCCCAAAGTCTTAACTCATTTCAGCATTAACCCAAAAGTCTACAGTCCAAAGTCTCATCTGAGACAAGGCAAGTCCCTTTCGCCTATGAGCCTGTAAAATAAAAAGCAAGCCAGCTACTTCGTAGATACAAAGGGGGTACAGATATTGGGTAAATACAGCCATTCCAAATGGGAGAAATTGGCCAAAACAAAGGGGTTACAGGGCCCATGCAAAGGGCACTCAAATTTTAAAGCTCCAAAATGATCCCCTTTGACTCCAGGTCTCACATCCATGTCATGATGATGCAAGAGATGGGTTCCCATGGTCTTGGGCAAGGAGAATGGAGAGGATATTTTGAAAAATGTTGCCACAGAGCCTAGTTTCTAGGTAAAAATGCACTCTTCTAAAGAGCCACTAGGGTGTGTCAGTCTCCTGGAGCACACAGCACAGTGCAAAGCTTGGAAAGGAGAGGGCAGGCTGGATTTAAGGCCCCATTTTTCCCTCAGCCAACTTTGGTGTTTGTGTGTGCGTGTGTTGTTGTTATTTGTTGTTTTGTTGTTTAATTATAGCAACATGTTCTTGCTATGTTGCCCAGGCTGGTCTCCAACTCCTGGGCTCAAGGGATCCTCCCACCTTGGCCTCCCAAAGTGCTGAAATTACAGACAGTGAAGTTCCAGTCTGCACAACTGTAACTTCTGTATGATTACTTGTATCAGTTCAAATTAGGTTCAGCTACAAGTGGTATCAAGTTCAAAATAACAGGAGCCGAAGATAGAAATCTGTTTTTCTCATACAACAGCAGTCTGGATATACTCCAGGACTTGGGTTGCCATTGTATCAGATAATCCAGGCTTCTTCTAGTCTGTTGTTCCACCATCCTGTTATAAATAAAGTTTTGTTGCCACAAAAGAAGTAGCACTCGAATATAGAATTTACTTTTTAATTCTCAGCAAGGCAAGTTACTTCTACAGAAGGGTGCACCCTTACAGATGGAACAACGGTGAGCACAGACTTAGACAAGGGAAGGGAAGGGGTTCTATCCCTGACGCATGTGGCCCCTTCTGCTGTGTTGTTCCCCTATTGGCTAGGGTTAGACCGCACAGGCTAAACTAATTCTGACTGGCTAACTTAAAGAGACTGACAGGGTGAGTGGTTTGGCGGGAAAAATGGTTATGACAGAGCAGGTAATTGGAATGAGTCAGGGTGGAGTAGGTAATCAGAATGAGTCAGGATGGAGCAGGTAATCGAAAAAGGTTGCTTTATGAGGAAGTTAAGTTTAAAAGTAAAAGGCAAAGAATTGAACATACTGACATATTGATTCTTTGAAAAGAAATTTAGAACTCATATCTAACAATCCTCATTATGATACCTCTACCTGTGGCCCATGATGGCTGCTCAACTTCCAGCCATCCTAATCACATTCCCACCAGCAGAAAAACAAGGTTAAGAAAGCACATTGTTCTCCTTTAAGGACATTTTGTAGAAATTGCATTTTTCCCATTTGTATTAGTCTGTTTTTGCATCGCTACAGAGGAATACCCGAGACTGGGAAATTTATAAAGAAAAGAGGTTTCATTGACTTACTGTTCTGCAGGCTATTCAGGAAGCATGGTCCAGCATCTGCTTGGCTTCTGATGAGGCCTCAGAAAGCTTGCAATCATGGCAGAAGGCAAAGGGGGAGCTAGCTTACACATGACGAGAATGGATGCAAGAGTGAGATGGGGGAGGTGACACACACTTTTAAACAACCAGATCTTCTGTGAACTCAGAGAAAGAACTCAATCATCACCAAGGGGATGGTGCTAAACCATTCATGAAGGATCTGCCCCAGTGATCCAAATGCCTCTCCACCCTCAACATTGGGGATTACTTTTTTTTTTTTTTTTTTTGAGATGGAGTCTTGCTCTGTCGCCCAGGCTGGAGTGCAGTGGCACGATCTCGGCTCACTGTAAGCTCCGCCTCCCAGGTTCACACCATTCTCCTGCCTCAGCCTCCCAAGTAGCTGGGACTACAGGATCCTGCCACCACGCCCAGCTAATTTTTCATATTTTTAGTAGAGACGGGGTTTCACCGTGTTAGCCAGGATGGTCTCGATCTCCTGACCTTGTGATCCGCCCGCCTCGGCCTCCCAAAGTGCTGGGATTACAGGCTTGAGCCACCGCACCCGGCTGGGGATTACATTTAATTGTGAAATTTGGAGGGGACAAACATCCAAACTATATTAACATTTCTGGCTACTTTCTACTAACTAAAACATAGTTTCCTACAAGTATTTAAAGTTAAGTGAAAGCTGGAAAATATATTCTGAGTGGCCATGTGTTCAGTTAAAAATGAGGATGTTTATTACTAAGGAAGAGGGGGAGAATGGGTGGGGGGATACTTAGTAATAAACTCTGTGCCTAGTAATTTCCTGGATTTGCTTTGTTAACTAGCAGCACTTAAACTTATCTTTGAATTTTACCAGTGTTTAAGCCAAAATTTATAAGGCTTTCTGTTATCTTTAAGTAACATATATAGTACATGAACGAAGTGTAGAGAATTCAGCTTGAGGATTGATCGATGCACTTTTAAAAGGAGGTATTCTTAAATATCATGCATAAGGTAAAACCACTAATAGCTAAGAAGGACACTGAATAAAGTAAAAAATCAGTCAATCAATCTGCTTTGAAACAGAAAAGCCAAAACTTTTCCATTTATTCTTAAGTTTACTGCAGAGAAATTTACAATGGTAAGAAAAAGGCAGCAGAAAACATCAAATAACCTTAAGATTTGCTTAAAGCAATTTCTTCAAACTGTTTCCTTGGGACTAGCAGCAACATCTCCTAGGAACTTATTCAAATGCAGATTCTCAGGACTCAGCCCTTATTTACAGAATCAGAAGCTCTAGGGTTGGACCAAAAGTCCATGTATTAAAAAAAAAAAAAAAAAAAAGCCGACAGTGGTGGTGGTGTGTCTGGAATTGGTGGGTTCTTGGTCTCACTGTCTTCAAAAATGAAGCCGCGGACCCTCGCAGCGAGTGTTACAGCTCTTAAGGTGGCGCGTCTGGAGTCTGTCCCTTCTGATGTTCAGATGTGTTCGGAGTTTCTTCCTTCTGGTGGGTTCGTGGTCTCACTGGCTCAGGAGCGAAGCGGCAGACCTTCGCGATGAGTGTTACAGCTCTTAAGGCAGCGCGTCTGGAGTTATTCGTTCCTCCCAGTGGGCTCGTGGTCTCACTGGGCTCAGGAGTGAAGCTGCAGATCTTCGCGGTGAGTGTTACAGCTCATAAAAGCAGTGTGGACCCAAACAGTGAGCAGTAGCAAGATTTATTGCAAAGAGCAAAAGAACAAAGCTTCCACAGCGTGGAAGGGGACTCGAGCGGGTTGCCAATGCTGGCTCGGGCAGCCTGCTTTTATTCTCTTATCTGGCCCCACCCACATCCTGCTGATTGGTAGAACCGAGTGGCCTGTTTTGTCAGGGCGCTGATTGGTGTGTTTACAATCCCTGAGCTAGATACAAAGGTTCTCCACGTCCCCATCAGATTAGTTAGATACAGAGTTTCAACACACAGGTTCTCCAAGGCCCCACCAGAGCAGCTAGATACAGAGTGTCCATTGGTGCACTCACAAAGCTTGAGCTAAACACAGGGTGCTGATTGGTGTATTTACAATCCCTGAGCTAGACATAAAGACTCTCCAAGGCCCCACCAGAGAAGCTAGATACAGTGTTGATTGGTGCACTCACAAACCCTGAGCTAGACACAGGGTGCTGATTGGTGTATTTACAATCCCTGAGCTAGACATAAAGATTCTCCAAGGCCCCACCAGACTCAGGAGCCCAGCTGGCTTCACCTAGTGGATCCCGCACCAGGGCTGCAGGTGGAGCTGCCTGCCAGTCCCGCGTCGTGCGCTTGCATTCCTCAGCCCTTGGGTGGTCGATGGGACTGGGCGCCGTGGAGTAGGGGGTGGTGCTCGTTGGGGAGGCTCGGGCCGCACGGGAGTCCATGGAGTGGGTGGGAGGCTCAGACATGGCGGGCTGCAGGTCCTGAGCCCTGCCCCGCGGGAAGGCAGCTAAGGCCTGGCGAAAAATCGAGCACAGCGCCGGTGGGCTGGCACTGCTGGGGGACTCAGTACACCCTCCGCAGCCACTGGCCTGGCTGCTAAGTCCCCCATTGCCCGGGGCCAGCAGGGCTGGCTGGCTGCTCCAAGTGCGGGGCCTACCAAGCCCACGCCCACCCGGAACTCCAGCTGGCCTGCAAGCGTGGCACGCAGCCCCGGTTCCCGCTCGTGCCTCTCCCTCCACACCTCCCTGCAAGCTGAGGGAGTGGGCTCCAGCCTTGGCCAGCCCAGCAAGGGGCTCCCACAGTGCAGTGGGGGGGCTGAAGGGCTCCTCAAATGCCACCAAAGTGGGAGCCCAGGCAGGGGAGGTGCCGAGAGCAAGCGAGGGCTTTGAGGACTGCCAGCATGCTGTCACCTCTCAGTGGCTCACGCCTATAATCCCAGCACTTTTGGGAGGCTGAAGCAGGTGGATCGCCTGGGGTCAGGAGTTCAAGACCAGCCTGACCAACATGGTGAAACCCCATCTCTACTAAAAATACAAAAATTAGCCAGGCATGGTGGTGGGTGCCTGTAAGCCCAGCTACTTGGGAGGCTGAGGCATGAGAATCACTTGATCCCACGAAGTGGAAGTTGCAGTGAGCCAAGATTGTGTCACTGCACTCCAGCCTGGGCGACAGAGTAAAACTGCATCTCAAAAAAAAAAAAAAAAAAAAAGGCATCTTTGGCTGGGCGTGGTGGCTCACGCCTGTAATCCCAGCACTTTGGGAGGTCGAGGTGGGAGGATCACCTGAGGTCAGGAGTTCAAGACCAGCCTGACCAACATGGAGAAACCCCGTCTCTACTGAAAATATAAAATTAGCCTGGCATGATGGTGCATGCCTGTAATCCCAGCTACTCGGGAGGCTGAAGCAGGAGAATTGCTTGAACCCAGGAGGTTGCGGTTAGCCGAGATTGGGCCATTTCACTCCAGCCTGGGCAACAAGCAAAAAAAAAAAAAAGAAAAAAGAAAAAAGCACCTTTATTTTGAAATAATTTTAAATTTATGGAAGTATTGCAAAGAGAGTTCCTGTGTATTCTTCACTCGCCTTTCCTTAATTTTCACATCTTACACAACATTGTAATTATACCAAGATATGGGCTTTAAAAAATTGTAATTGACATGGGTACAATACTTTTAACGTGCGTACAATATTGTTAACTATAGGGTTCCTCAGTTTTCCCACGAATATATATATTTTTCTATTCTAGAATACCACATAACATTTCAGTGTCACGTCTATTTAATCCCCTCCAATTTCTCAGTTTCTTGGTCTTTCATTGTTACATGTAGTTAGACTGGCATGAGTAGGGCAGGAGAGGGTTCTTCCCCTACCCACTAGGAATGTCGGGTGATGGTTCAGCAGTTATCACATTGCCTCTCTAAAAGTGATAAATTGGCAGGTGGTGCCAGGAAGAGGCCATTTCCTGATAGTCTACACCTATTGCACTAAAATGTTAATTGAAAGCAGACACTAGGGAGAAGCAACTTCCCAGGCATGTGCATTAAGAGACAAAATGGTGGAGTATGATGTCTCGGGGCACTCCACTGGAAAAGGGAAAAAAGCCTGATTGGCATGCATACAGGCTGGGTGCTGTGGCTCACACCTGTAATCCCAGCACGTTGAGAGGCCAAGGCGGGTGAATCACTTGAGGTAAGGAGTTGAAGACCAACCTGGTCAACATGGCGAAACCCCATCTCTACTAAAAATACAAAAATTAAGCCGGGCACAGTGCCTCACGCCTGTAATCCCAACACTTTGGGAGGCTGAGGCGGGCGGATCACCTGAGGTTGGGAGTTTGAGACCAGCCTGATCAACATGGTGAAACCCCATCTCTACTAAAAATACAAAAACTACCCGTGGGTGGTGGCTGGCACCTGTAGTCCCAGCTACATGGGAAGCTGAGGCAGGAGAATTGCTTGAACCTGGGAGGCAGAGGTTGCAGTGAGCTGAGATCACGCCATTGCACTCCAGCCTAGGCAACAGAACCAGACTCTGTCTCAAAAAACAAAAACAAAAATCAGCCAGATGTGGTGGTTCATGCCCCAGCTACTCGGGAGGCTGAGGTAGGAGAATCACTTGAACCTGGGAGGCAGAGGTTGCAGTGAGCCAAGATCATGCCACTGCACTCCAGCCTGGGTGACAGTGAGACTCCGTCTCAAAAAAAAAAAAGAGAAAAAAAAAAAGATGGGCATACGTACAACTTCCTAAACACACTGCACATGCTCACTTCCCAAGGCTAGGTAGGGCGCGTGCATGTGGGCGGCCCATCCTAAGGAAAGAATCATGAGAAAGGGGTGAGCCTATAAAGTCCTAGGATCAAGGTGAAACATCTCACTTGACCTCGGTGCCCACTTGGGACTCTTCCAAGTGTACCTTCCTTTCTTTCCTGTTCTTTTTTTTTTTTTTTTCTTGAGACGAAGTCTCGCTCTGTCTTTCAGGCTGGAGTGCAGTGGCGCAATTTCCACTCACTGCAACCTCCGCCTCCCAGGCTCAAGTGATTGTCTTGCCTTAGCCTCCTGAGGAGCTGGGACTACAGGTGACCGCCACCAAGCCCCGCTATTTTTTTTTTTTTTTTGGTATTTTTAGTAGATACATGGTTTTGCCCTGTTTGCCAGGCTGGTCTTGAGCTTGTGATTTCAGCTGATCCACCCGCGTTGGCCTCCCAGAGTGCTGGGATTGCAGGCATGAGCCACTGTACCTAGCCCCGTTCTAAGCCTTTTTAAATAAACCTTCACTCCTGCTCTGTATACTTGCCTCAGTCTCCTTTTCTGCCTTGTGTCCCTCAGTTGAATTCTTCCTTCTGAGGGGGCAAGAACTGAGGTTGTTGCAGACCCGTATGGATTCACCCCTAGCAAACTTGAATACCTTCTACCGGTAACAGGAATGCTTTTAACTTTTCCCCATTCAGCATGGTACTGGCTGTGGGTTTGTCATAAATGGCTTTTATTACTTTGATATTCCTTTACTTTCGTAATAAACTTGCTTTCACTTTACCCTGTCAGCTTGCTTTTGAACTCTTTCCTGCATGAAGCCAAGAACCCACTTGTCCTTCCAGGCTGAGCCCCAATTTGTGAGTTCACCCTGCCACGGGAGGACAGTACCACAAGGAGAGGTGCCTTTCTCATCACATCATATGTCATACATGACTTCAGTATGTATATATTGGTGATATCCCTCTTGATCATTTGGTTAAGATGATGTCTGTCAGATTTTTCCATGGCAAAGTTAGTGTTTTCTCCTTAAGATGAGTCATTAAATCCAGCCCATACTCAAGAGGAAGAGAATTAAAACTTCACCTCTTTGGTGGGAGAGTACTTAGATATGTTATTTAGAATTCATATGTAGGTAAGTCTTGCCCCTTCTCCCCCATTTATTCTTTTTTTTTTTTTTTTTTTTTTGAGATAGGGTCTCACTCTGTCACCCAGGCTGGAGTGCAGTGAAGTGAGCTCACTGCAACCTCCGCCTGCCAGTTGCAAGCAATTCTCCCGCCTCAACCTCCTGAGTAGCTGGGAGTACAGGTGCCTGCCACCACGCCTGGCTAATTTTTGTATTTTTAGTAGAGACAGGGTTTCACTATGTTGGCTAGGCTGATCTCGAACTCCTGGCCTTAAGCGGTCCACCCACCTTGGTGTCCCAAAGTGCTGGGATTACGGGTGTGAGGCACCACACCCAGCCTCCCCCATTTATTTATATAGCAATGGACTAGGAACCCAAAATATGTAAGACAGGTCGTACTCAACTTAGAAAGTTTATTTCGCCAAGGTTAAGGACACATCTATGACACAGCCTCAGGAAGTCCTGTTGACATGTGCCCAAAGGGGTCAGGGCACAGCTTGGTTTTATACATTTTAGGGAGACATGAGACATTAATCAATATATGTAAGATGCACATTTGTTCTGTCCAGAAAGGTGGGACAACTTGAAGTGGGGATGGGCATCCAAGTCATAGTGATACAGAAGGGCTGGGCTCCCTGCTAAACCCCACCCTTAAGCCTGAAACTGAGGCCCTAAGTGAAAACAGCCGACCCCATTTTTTCCACCCAAATGTTGCCTCTTTGATCTGCCATGCCCATATCATGTGCCCATAAAAAGACTTCAGCTGGCAGAGCAATGTAAGTGGCCGTTGGGGATACAAGCAGCTGAGCATTGGGGATACAAGTGGTTGAGTGGTGAGCAGAGAAGCAACTGAGCATTGGAGACTATGTATAGACATGGCTAACTTCAGACGGTGCGGCTTCAGAGAGGGGCCCGGCCAGAGATGGCCAGTTTTCAGGGAAAGATCACTTTCTTCCCATACCATCCATCCCCTTTCTGACTCCCCATCCCACTGAGAGCCACTTCCACTGCCCAGTAAAATCCTCCACATACACTACCCTTCAATCCATTCATGTGACATGATTCTTCCTGGATGCCAAACAAGAACCCAGGTACTGAGAGGGCAGGGGCTGCCAACCTGACCCTTTCAACTGGTTGGCACTTGGCCATCCCCAGATGGCAGAGACGAAAGAGTTGTAATATGCTTTGATGCTGCTGCAGGGCTGCACAGAGCCTGCTCCATCAGAGGGGAACAACAGGTGGGTTCCAGAGTTCATTTGGTTCATTTGCTCCGGTTCCCATACTTGCTTGCTTGCATGCTCCCTCTCATGAGGAGTGGCCAGTGGAGGGCTAAGTGAAACAAACCATTCCAGTTCCTGCCCATGAAGGGGGTCAAGGGAATTATCCCATCTAGATAGGTAGATAAGAGACAAACGATTGCATTCTTTTGAGTTTCTGATTAGCCTTTGACTGAATACACAATTTATAGGAATAGTCGCTTATGCCTTCATCTAGCTTAGTGAAACAATAGGGCAAAAGAAGCACCCACATATGCATTTGTCTCACAGGAGCAGAGGGATGGCTCTGAATTCTTTCTGTCCTTTGTCTACAAGAAATTTCCTTGTGGGAAAGTTGTGAGGGAGGTATACAGCCTTTTTATCTTTGTAGCTATTTTATTTAGGAATACAATGGGAGGCAGTTTTACCTGACAGCTTGACTTTTCCCTTTGGCTTAGTGAATCTGGGGTCTGAAGATATATTTTCCTTCACAGGACTTAGAGATATTTGTTTTATTCTTTAGGTTATAATCCAGTACAGTTATTACTAATTTTGTTGTTCAAATTACTCTCGTTTTGGCCTTTTGAAGATCAGGTTGGTTCTTGCATCTTTTTGACATGTCCCCAACCATTTTTGTTTTTTGGTAGCACTTCACTTTTGAGCACAACTTTCTCATTCATGGTCAGTTTACTACAGGAAAATTTACAATGACAAAAAATGGTGGGTGTGGTGCAGTGGCTCACACCTGTAATCCCAGCACTTTGAGAGGCTGAGGCAGGGAGATCCCTTGAGCTCAGGACCAGCCTTGGCAATGTGGTGAAACCCCATCTCTACAAAAAATACAAAAATTAGCTGGGTGTAGTGGCATGCACCTGTAGTCCCAGATACTTGAGAGGCTAAGGTGGGATGATCACTTGAGCCCAGGAAGTTGAAGCTGCAGTGAGCTGTGTTTGCACCACTACACTCCAGCCTGGGCAACAAAGTGCGACCCTGTCTCAAAGAAGAGAAAAAAAGGCAGCAGGAAATTATTTCCTGGAATAAGAGCATTAGCAACACAAGGGAGTTCATTGGAAATGCAGATTAAATCTAGGGCCCCACCCCATGGTTACTAAATCAGAAATTTGGGTTGGATCGCAACAATTAGTTTAATAAGCTCTACTCATGATTCTGATGCACACTAAAGTTTTAGAAGCACTACACTAAAATTTCCTCAGAGATGCAGGTGAAAAATCTATCCAAAGAACGACTTAATTCTGTTATTACCCCTGGTGAAAATATTTCTAAAGAACTGCTGGTTATTTACATTAAAAATAATGCAGACAAAGAGATATGGACAGATATTTTACCAAAGAGAATATACAGATGACATGTAAAAACCATGAGTATATCCAACATCTTTAGCTATTAGAGAAATGCAAATTAAAGCCATGGTAAGATATCATTAACCACCTATTAGAATGGCTAAAATAAAAAAGAGTAAGAGCACCAAATGCTTGTGAAGTTGTAGAGAAACTATGTCATTCCCATGTTGCTGATGGGATTATAAACTGAGGCAGTCACTATGGAAAACTGACAATTTCATATAAAACTATACATACAACTACCATATGAACAAATTGTTGCACTTTTAGGTACTTATGAAACTGTCATTGTAAAATTATAACTGAGACAGTGAAAGAGATCTTAACTAACCAAGTCCATTTTGCTTCTAACCTCCAAATTATGCTTGCTCATCCCTGGGCATAGGTTGAACTAAATTTGGGGGGAACTTAGTTTATAGTTTAAAACAAAGATGATAAAAGCCCTTTCCCAAAATAGACCTCCTTCTTGTCTGGGGACAGGACTGCCTTTGTAGGACTAACAAATTAGCCATAAGATTAGAAATTATGATTTTGGAGTCATGCACCTGGAGGATAACATTATTATTGTAAAACCTAAGATGAGTGCTTGAGATATTTTGCAGACCCTGCACTTCATGAATCAGCTGGCACTGTCCGAGGTACATGAACCAGAATGACTCCATCTTAAATAGGGGCTGGGTAAAATAAGGCTGAGACCTACTGGGCTGCACTCCCAGGAGGTCAGGCAGTCTAAGTCACAGGATGAGATAGGAGGTCAGCACAAGGTACAGGTCATAAAGACCTTGTTGATAAAAGGATGAGATAAAGAAGCGGTCAAAACCCACCAAAACCAAGATGGTGACAAAAGTGACCTCTGGTCATCCTCACTGCTCATTATACACTAATTATGATGCATTCACTTGCTGAAACACACTCCCACCAGTGCCATGACAGTTTACAAATGTCACGGCAATGCCAGGAAGTTACCCTATATAGTCGAAAAAGGGGAACCCTCAGTTTTGGGAATTGCTCACCCTTTTTCCAGAAAACTCCTGAATAATCCATGCCTTGTTTAGCATATAATCAAGAAATAACCATTAAAACAGACAAACAGCAGCCCTTGGGGCTACTCTGCCTATGGAGTAGCCATTCCTTATTCTTTTACTTTCTTAATAAACTTGCTTTCACTTTATGGATTTGCCTCGAGTCGTTTTTTGTGCAAGATCTAAGAACCCTTTCTTGGGGTCTGGATCAGGACCCTCCTCCAGTAACAGCACCACCCAGACTGATAAACTGGCTCATCTGATCTTGTGACCCCCACTCAGGAACTGACTCCATGCAAGACAGTTTTGACTCCTTATGATTTCATCTCCGACTCAATCAGTCAGCACTTCTGACTCACTGGCTGTCCCCAACCCACCAAATTATCCTTAAAAACTCTGATCCCTGAATGCTTGGGGAGACTGATTTGGGAAATAATAAAGCTCCAGTCTCCTGCACAGCCGGCTCTGCGTGAATTACTCTTTCTGTATTGCAATTCCCCTGTCTTGGTAAATCAGCTCTATCTAGGCAGCAGGCAAGGTGAAACCACTAGGCAGTTACACTTATCTCAGAGAAGTGAAAATTCACTGTGCCCCCCTAAATAATAGCCCCATAATGATGTACACATCCTAATCCACAGAATTTGGGAACACATTACTTCACATGGCAGAGGCTTTTTGCAGAGGTGATTAAATTAGGTGGATTAATGAAGCCAAAAGCAAGAAATGCCAGCAGCCTCTGGAAGGAAAAGACAAAGAATGGATTTTTTTCCCTAGAGACTCCAGAAGAAAGGCAGACCTCTGACCTCCATAAGTGTAAGATAATAAGTTTATATTGTTTTAAGCCACTAAATTTGTGGTGATTTGTTACAGCAGGAATATAAATCTAATGTACTTTCATGTTCATGGAAAAACCTGTACACAAATGTTTATAGTCACTTTATTGGTGAGAAATCAAAATGAAATCCTAAGACCCTCAACCAACTGGACAGACTCCCTCTTGGCCAAGGGAACCCCAGAGAAACCTGGGGTTGGAAACACCTCCTTGTGCCCCTCCTTATACTCCCTCCTTATACTCCTTCCCTTACTAACCACCGTTAGGCTTTCTTTCCTAAGAGTTAAACAGAAACCAGATCTTTGGAAAGACTCACTCCACCCTGATATCAACCAACTGCCTGATGCTGCCCCTCCCTTTTGAAGTTTCAACAAAATAACCAACCAGCATTCCTTACTGATAGAGACCATTGACAATGGAATCATTCTGGCCAGTCTACAGAGGATGCACAGTGAGGGGTTTTGTTTTTACTATTTTTATTAAGACAGGATCTCACCCTGTCACCCAGGCTGGAGTACGGTGGCATGATAATGGCTCACTGCAGCCTCCACCTCCCCAGCTCAGGCAATCCTTCCACCTCAGCCTCTCAAGTAGCTGGCATCACAAGAATGCCCTACCACACCCAGCTAATTTTTTGTATTTTTTGTAGAGACAGGGTTTTGCCATGTTGCCCAGGCTGGTCTTGATCTCCTGGGCTCAATTGATCCACCTGTCTTAGCCTCCAAAAGTGCTGGGATTACAGGCATGAGTCACTGTGTCTAGCTCAGTGAGGCTGTGTCCTCTGCTTCACCTTTTGATGTTGGAGGGCCAAAAACTCTCCCCTCAGATTGTTTTGGCCACCAGTTTTTGAACATGGGTCCCTGGAGAGGCATGAAGCTCAACTGCACATGTGTATGTTTCTCCTTTCATAAATATTCATGACTCCTCCTATCGCTTATTGAATAAGTATATTTTGCTACTTCATTTAGCATAAATCCATGTCTTATTCTTTCTACCCTCAAGTGTCTGTTTTCAGCTTCTGACCAGAGGCTACATTTCCCAGCCTGTGAGAATGGCCACCCTATAGGCTGCAACTCTTTATGAGAAATAAAGCTCTCCTTTCCAAATTTATGAACAGACCAACCAGCCCAAGGAACATCTCACCAATTTTAAATCGGGTAAGTGGCCTCTTTTTACTCTCTTCTCCAACCTCTCTCACTATCCCTCAATCTCTTTCTCCTTTCAATCTTGGCACCACCCTTCAATCTTTCCTTTCTCTTAATTTCAATTCCTTTCATTTTCTGGTACAGACAAAGGAGACACATTTCATCCGTGGACCCAAAACTCTGGCGCCGGTCATGGACTTGGGAAGGCAGCCTTCCCTTGGTGTTTAATCATTATGGGGATGCCTCTCTGATTATTCACCCACGTTCCATTGGTGTCTGATCTCCTTCGGGACGCCTGCCTTGGTCATTCACCCACATTCCCTTGGTGGCAAGTCAATTGCGGGGATGTCTGCTTTGGCTGCTCCCCACCCCCCTTCTCCATGTCTCTACCCTTCTCTTTAAACTTGCCTCCTTCACTATAGGCAACCTTCCACCCTCCATTCCTCCTTCTTCTCCATTAGCCTGTGTTCTCAAGAACTTAAAACCTCTTCAACTCTCGCCTGACCTAAAATCTAAGCATCTTATTTTCTTCTGCAGTACTGCTTCATCCCAATACAAACTCAACAGTAGTTCCAAGTGGCCAGAGAATGGCACTTTCGATTTGTCTATCCTACAAGATCTAGATAAATTTTGTTGAAAAATAGGCAAATGGTCTGAGATGCGTGACATCCAGGCATTCTTTTACACATTGGTCCCTCCCTAGCCTCTGTTCCCAATGCGACTCATCCCAAATCTTTCTTCTTTCTCTCCTGTCTGTTCCTTCAGTCTCCAACCCAAGCTCTGAGTCCTTTGAATCCTTCTTTTCTATGGACTCATCTGACCTCTCCCCTTCTCCCCAGGCTGCTCCTCCCCAGGCCAAGCCAGGTCCCAATTCTTCCTCAGCCTCTGCTCCCCAACCCTATAATCCTCCTATCACCTCCCATCCTCACACCCAGTCTGGCTTACAGTTTTGTTCCGAGACTAGCCCTCCCCCACCTGCCCAGCAATTTCCTCTTAAAAAGGTGGCTGGAGCTAAAGGCATAGTCAAGGTTAATGCTCCTTTTTCTTTATCCGACCTCTCCCAGATCAGTTGGCATTTAGGCTCTTTTTCATCAAATATAAAAACCCAGCCCAGTTCATGGCCCATTTGGCAACAACCCTTAGACACTTTACAGCCCTAGACCCTGAAAGGTCAGAAGGCCATCTTGTTCTCAATATGCATTTTATTTTATTACCCAATCTTCTCCCGACATTAGAAAAAGCTCCAAAAATTAGATTCCGGCCCTCAAACCCCACAACAGGACTTAATTAACCTCGCCTTCAAGGTGTACAGTAATAGAGTAGAGGCAGCCAAGTAGCAATGTATTTCTGAGTTGCAATTCCTTGCCTCCACTGTGAGATAAACCCCAGCCAGATCTCCAGCACACAAGAACTCCAAACACCTGAACCACAGCTGCCAGGGGTTCCTCCAGAACTTCCTCCCCCAGGATCTTGCTTCAAGTGCAGGAAATTTGGCCACTGGGCCAAGGAATGCCCACAGCCCGGGATTCCTCCTAAGCCGTGTCCCATCTGTGCAGACCCCATTGGAAATTGGACTGTCTAACTGGCCCAAGGCTCTGATCGACTCCTTCCCAGATCTTCTCAGCTTAGCGACTGAAGACTGACACAGCCCGATCGCCTCGGAAGCCCCCTGGACCATCATAGATGCCGAGCTTTGGGTAACTCTTACAGTGGAGGGTAAGTCCGTCCCCTTCTTAATCAATATGGAGGCTACTCACTCCGCATTACCTTATTTTCAAGGGCCTGTTTCCCTTGCCTCCACAACTGTTGTGGGCATTGACGGCCAGGCTTCTAAACCTCTTAAAACTCCCCAACTCTGGTGCTAACTTGGACAATATTCTTTTATGCACTCCTTTTTAGTTATACCCACCTGCCCAGCTCCCTTATTAGGCTGAGACATTTTAACTAAATTATCTGCTTCCCTGATTATTCCTGGGCTACAGCCACACCTCATTGTTGCCTTCTGCCCCAGTTCAAGCCTCCTTCACATCCTCTCCTTGTATCTCCCCACCTTAATACACAAGTATAGGATACCTCTACTCCCTCCTTGGCGACAAATGATGCACCCCTTACCATCCCATTAACACCTAATCACCCTTACCCCACTCAATGCCAATATCCCATCCCACAGCATGCTTTAAAAGGATTAAAGCCTGTTATCACTTGCCTGTTACAGCATGGCCTTTTAAAGCCTATAAACTCTCCTTACAATTCCCCCATTTTACCTATCCAAAAACCGGACAAGCCTTACAGGTTAGTTCAGGATCTGCGCCTTATCAACCAAATTGTCTTGCCTGTCCACTCCGTGACGCCAAACCCACATACTCTCCTATCCTCAGTACCTCTCTGCACAACCCCTCCATAACCCATTATTCTGTTCTGGATCTCAAACATGCTTTCTTTACTATTCCTTGCCCCCTTCATCCCAGCCTCTCTTTGCTTTCGCTTGGACTGACCCCGACACCCATCAGGCTCAGCAAACTACCTGGGCAGTTCTGCCGCAAGGCTTCACAGACAGCCCCCATTACTTCAGTCAAGCCCAAATTTCTTCCCCATCTGTTACCTATCTCAGCAGCTAATTCTTCATGAAAACACACGTGCTTTCCCTGCTGATCGTATCTGGCTAATCTCCCAAACCCCAACCCCTTCTACAAAACAACTCCTTTCCTTCCTAGGCATAGTTGGGTACTTCCGCCTTTGGATACCTAGTTTTACCATCCTGACTAAACCATTATGTAGACTCACAAAACCAAACCTAGCTGACCCCATAGATCCTAAATCCTTTTGCCACTCCTCTTTCCTTTCCTTAAAAACAGCCCTAGAAGCTGCCCCCACACTAGCTCTCCCTAACTCATCCCAACACTTTTCATTACACACAGCCAAAGTGCAGGGCTGTGCAGTTGGAGTTCTTACACAAAAGCCAGGACCACGCCCTGTAGCCTTTCTGTCCAAACTTGACCTTACTCTTTGAGCCTAGTCCTCATGTCTGCGTGCAGTGGCTGCCGCCGCCCTAATACTTTTAGAGGCCCTCAAAATCACACACTATGCTCAACTCACTTTCTACAGCTCTCATAACTTCCAAAATCTATTTTCTTCCTCACACCTGATGCATATACTTTCTGCTCCCCGGCTCCTTCGGCTATACTCACGCTTTGTTGAGTCTCCCACAGTTACCATTGTTCCTGGCCCGGACTTCAATCCAGCCTCCAACATTATTCCTGATACCACACCTGACCCCCATGACTGTATCTCTCTGATACACTTGGCATTCACTCCATTTCCCTATATTTCCTTCTTTCCTGTTCCTCACCCTGATCACACTTGGTTTATTGATGGCAGTTCCACCAGGCCTAATTGCCACACACCAGCAAAGGCAGGCTATGCTATAGTATCTTCCACATCTATCATTGAGGCTACTGCTCTGCCCCCCTCCACTACCTCTCGGCAAGCCGAACTCATTGCCTTAACTCAGGCCCTCACTCTTGCAAAAGGACTACGCATCAATATTTATACTGACCCCATATCCTGCACCACCATGCTGTTTTATGGGCTGAAAGGTTTCCTCACTATGCAAGGGTCCTCCATCATTAATGCCTCTTTAATTAAAACTCTTCTTCAGGCCGCTTTACTTCCAAAAGAAGCTGAAGTCATTCACTGCAAGGGCCATCAAAAGGCATCAGATCCCATCACTCAGGGCAATGCTTATGCTGATAAGGTAGCTAAAAAAGCAGCTAGCGTTCCAACTTCTAACCCCCACTGCAGTTTTTCTCCTTCTCATCTGGTCACTCCCACCTACTGCCCCCACTGAAACTTCCACCTATCAATCTCTTCCCACACAAGGCAAATGGTTCTTGGACCAACGAAAATATCTCCTTCCAGCCTCACAGGCCCATTCTATTCTGTCGTCATTTCATAACCTCTTCCATGTAGGTTACAAGATGCTAACCCGCCTCTTAGAACCTCTCATTTCCTTTCCATCATGGAAATCTATCCTTAAGGAAATCACTTCTCAGTGTTCCATCTGCAGGCTCCCTCCCTTCCCTACACATCAAGCTCGGGGATTTGCCCCTGCCTAGGACTGGCAAATTGACTTTACTCATATGCCTCAAGTCAGGAAACTAAAATACCTCTTGGTCTGGGTAGACACTTTCACGGGATGGGTAGAGGCCTTTCCCACAGGGTTTAAGAAGGCCACCGCAGTCATTTCTTCCCTTCTGTCAGATATAATTCCTCAGTTTGGCCTTCTCACCTCTATACAGTCCAATAACAGACCGTCCTTTACTAGTCAAATCACCCAAGCAGTTTCTCAGGCTCTTGGTATTCAGTGGCGCCTGGTTTTACCTCAAACTGCCACCCTTAAGTCTCTCTTAAAATGGATAGAAGATCTTCAGTGGCAAAGTATACTCCAATACTTTCACCCTGATGAAGTCCTATTCTTTACTTTTATACTTTTATTCTCGTTCCCATTCTTATGCCACCCTCTACCTCTCCCCAGCTATCTCCACCACACTATCAATCTCAGTCACTCTCTCCTAGCCGTTTCTAATCCTTCTTTAACAAACAATTGCTGGCTTTGCATTTCTCTTTCCTCCAAAATTGCTGAGGTCTCGACTTACTCACTGCTAAAAAAAAAAGGGGGGGGGGGCTCTATATTTTTAAATGAAGAGTGCTGTTTTTACCTAAATCGATCTGGCCTGGTATATGACAGCATTAAAAAAAACTCAAAGATAGAGCCTAAAAGCTTGCAAACCAAGCAAGTAATTATGCTAACCCCCTTGCACCCCCTTGGACACTCTAATTAGAAGTCCTGGGTCCTCCCAATTCTTAGTCCTTTAATACCTCTTTTTCTCCTTCTCTTACCTTGTGTCTTCCATTTAGTTTCTCAATTCATCCAAAACTGTATCCAGGCCATCACCAATCGTTCTATACGACAAATGTTTCTTCTAACAACCCCACAATATCACCCCTTACCACAAAATCTTCCTTCAGCTTAATCTCTAACAATAACGTTAGACCCCCTTGGACACTCTCTAATTGGACATCCTGGGTACTCCCAATTCTTAGTCCTTTAATACCTGTTTTTCTCCTTCTTTTATTCGGACCTTGTGTCTTTCATTTAGTTTCTCAATTCACACAAAACCGCATCCAGGCCATCACTCATAATTCTATACAACAAATGCTCCTTCTAACAACCCCACAATATCACCCCTTACCCCAAAATCTTTCTTCAGTTGAATCTCTCCCACTGTATGTTCCCACTCCGCCCTTAATCCCACTCAAAGCAGTCCTGAGAAACATCGCCCATTATCTCCCCATGCCACCCCCCAAAAAATTTTCGCCACCCCAACACTTTACCACTATTTTGTTTTATTTTTCTTATTAATATGAGAAGACAGGAATGTCAGGCCTCTGAGCCCAAGCTAAGCCATCATATCCCCAGTGACTTGCACGTGTACATCCAGATGGTCTGAAGCAACTGAAGAGCCACAGAAGTGAAAATAGCCTTAACTGATGACATTCCACCATTGTGATTTGTTTCTGTCCCACCCTAACTGATCAATGTACTTTGTAATCTCCCCCACCCTTAAGAAGGTTCTTTATAATCTCCCCCACCCTTAAGAAGTTTCTTTGTAATTCTCCCCACCCTTGAGAATGTATTTTGTGAGATCCATTCCCTGTCCCCAAAACGTTGCTCTTAACTCCACCGCCTATCCCAAAACCTATAAGAACCAATGATAATCCACCACCCTTTGCTGACTCTCTTTTTAGACTCAGCCCACCTGCACCCAGGTGAAATAAACAGCCTTGTTGCTCACACAAAGCCTGTTTGGTGGTCTCTTCACACAGACACACGTGAGACATTAGCTATAAAAGAACAACGCAAATGACCCTTGTTTTGAGGGAAAATTTTGCATCTTAGTATATTGATGTCAATATCCTGATCGTAATTGAAAGATTCTCCCCAGGGCCTGAAAGCTTAAGGGAATGAATAACTTCTCCCTTCTCAGGCCCAGTCCCAAGGCACAAGACCACTTGTGCCAGCAGCCTGAGTCAGCAAGATAGCAGAAGCAGGAAGAGAGCTGGCCAGAAGACACACACCCGCTGAAGACTGAGAAAGAGGCCATCTGGATACCATGCATAGCAGTTACATCAGACTGAGGCACTTCCTGTTTACAGGAGACTATAAAACCCCTGCCCAATTCTCATTTGGTGCTGACGCCGTTTTAAGCCTCAGCCCGCCTGCACCCAGGCGCTCATTAAAACAGCGTGTTGCTCCACACTGCCTCGTGTTGTCTGTTGGCATGCTCTCGGGGTTTGAATTTATACAAGAACATTTCATCTGGTGCTGAAACCCAAGAGGGGCTCCAGTCCATGTTCCCTGTGGACCTACCCCTCCACCCCGGACAGCAGACCACAGCAGCTGGACAAAGGGAGCTGCTCAGCCTCCAGTCACCTCTATGTGCATGCATGTAGGTCACTGATCTCACCTACAGGTAAGTTCCCCGGGAGCCCAGTTAACAGGGAAAAATCCACATGGCCTCTCTTGGTTTCTCCAGTCCGAAAATCCAATGTCGGTCCAAGAAGGTTCCAATGTGTGCCAGCCCTCTAGGCTGCGTCTTATATAAAAAACCCTGCAAACCTTAGGCCTCAGGCAAGATATCCACCCTAAGCACCTTGTCTTTTTTTGCATTTCAGTCTGGACACAGTACGAATTAGATGGCCTGCAAATGGAACATTCAACTTTGCAATTTCAACTGATTTAAGCAATTATTGCCGAAGACTGGAGAAATGGGGAGAAATTCCTTATGTTCAGGCCTATTTGCACTCAGATCACAACCCGACCTCTGCAATTCTTGCTCACTTGTTCAAATTCTTCTCCTCCATTCTTGCCGTCCAGATCGCCCTCCTCCTCCTGATTCCACCTCTTTTTCCTCACTGGATCCAGCAGACTGCTGTGCATCTCTCCCAGCCCCTACCTCTCCCTCTCAACCGTCTTCTTTAAACCCCAAGCCACCTCTTTATTTTCTCAGCTGCGATCTTTTCAGCTGCCATCTTCCCAGTCGCCATCTTCTCCATCGCCATCTTCCCAGTGACCATCTTCCCAGTCAGCAGTATCCACTTCTTTTCCTACACCATCCCCTCCTCAGGACAATTCTAGTATTGCCTGTACCCATTCTCCTCCCTCATTGCCCTCTCCTGAGGCTTGTAAACCCTTCTCGCCACCTTACACCCCTATCTATCCTCCACTGCCTGTTAACTCAACCTCCTTTCCCCCTTCAAACCCTCAATAGGAACCACTTTCAGGTTCTTCCTTCTCTCCTGCCCATACTCGCTCAGGTGCCATCTTTGGCCCATGCCCCCACCCTTACTTTAGCGCCTGTGCTACAGTGCCCCCTTCGGGAAGTAGCAGGAACTGAAGGTATTGTTAGAGTTCATGTTCCCTTCTCCCTCACTGATCTCTCTCAAATTAACAAAAGACTCGGTTCATTTCCAGAAGACTCTACCTCTTATATTTGAGTTTCAGTACCTCACCCAGTCTTATGAACTAACTTAAGCTACCTCAATTGTGTTCCGTCAAAAAGGGCCTGGAACTGTACAAACATCACTAACCCTTATGCCACATACCCCCGCCTAAGTGCACTATGGGACAATCCTATGAACACCAGCCTACAATGGATTGCCCCGATGGATTCTTTCGGATATGTGGAACCCAGGCTTACTCATGGCTACCTTATCACTGGCAAGGTACTTGCTTCCTAGGCATAATAAAACCTGGATTCTTTTTACTTCCAAAGCAGGCAGGTGACACCTCAGAGTCCCTGTGTATGATAACTTAAACAGAGAAAAACGATCCTTAAAGGTAGGAGGAAGCCAAAGATGGCAAGAGGGCGAATGGCCTCCACAACAGATCATGGAATATAACGGTCCTGCCACTTGGTCTGAGGCTGGTTCATAGGGTTATTGCATTCCCGTATATATCCTAAATAGAATAATTGGACTACAGGCGGTTCTAGAGAGAATCACTAACCAAACCGCCTCAGCCCTGGAAATGCTTGTGCAACTACAAAACCAAATGTGCACAGCAATTTATCAAAACAGGCTAGCACTAGACTACTTATTAGCAGAAGAAGGTGGGGTCTGTGGTAAGTTAATATCTCTAATTGCTGTCTTAACATAGACGATAACGGAAAAGCGGTTCTAGAAATTCCTTCAAACATCAGAAAATCAGCCCATGTACCAGTACAAACCTGGAAGGGATGGGACCCAACAAACCTTTTAGGAGGGTGGTTCTCTAATTTAGGAGGATTTAAAACTCTGGTAGGGACAGTCATCTTCATCATTGGGTTCCTCCTATTTCTCCCCTGTGTTATCCCACGGATAATAAAAGCCATTAAAACTCTTGTTGAAACTACAGTTAGCCGCCAGATAATCCAGACGATCCTCCTGCTACAATGACATGATGGATACCAACCCGTCTCTCAAGAATACCCCCAGCCAGGTGCGGTGGCTCACGCCTGTAATCCCAGCACTTTGGGAGGCCGAGGTGGGTGGATCACGAGGTCAGGAGATTGAGATCATCCTGGCTAACACGGTGAAACCCCATCTCTACTAAAAATACAAAAAATTAGCCGGCATGGTGGCGGGCGCCTGTAGTGCCAGCCACTCCGGAGGCTGAGGCAGGAGAATGGCGTGAACCCGGGAGGCGGAGCTTGCAGTGAGCCGATATCACGCTATTGCACTCCAACCTGGGCAACAGAGCGAGACTCCGTCTCAAAAAAAAAAAAAAAAAAAAGAATACCCCCAAAATTAAGTTCTTCTTTGTTTCCAAGGTGCCCACACCACCCCCCATGTCACACTTAGAGTAGTTATTGAGAAAGTCGTCCCTTTTCCCTTTTTCTATAACCAAATACACAGGAATGAAAGATTCTTCCCAGGGCCTGAACACTTAAGGGAATGAATAACTCCTCCCTTCTCAGGCCCAGTCCCAAGGCGCAAGGCAACTTGTGCCAGCAGCATGCATCAGCAAGATAGCAGAAGCAGAAAGAGAGCTGGCTGGAAGACACGTACCCCCTGAAGACTGAGAGAGAGGCCGTCCGGGTACCGTGCATAGCAGTTACATCCGACTGACACACTTTGTGTTTGCAGGAGACTATAAAACCCCTGCCCTGGCCTCATCTGGCGCTGACGCCATTTTAGGCCTCAGCCCACCTGCACCCAAGCGCTCAATAAAACAGTGTGTTGCTCCACACCGCCTCGTGTTGTCTGCTGGCATGCTCTCAGGGTTCGAACTGATACAAGAACCTTTCAGTAATATTGAACTCCAGTTTTGCAAAACGTTAACATTGGCAGGAAACTAGGTAAAACTGTGGAAACAAGAAGCACAGAAACTTTTTATTAGTAATTTAAAATATTAAAAAGTTATGTTAAATTAAGTAATGGTAAGCATAAAGAGTCTGAGTCATTTCTAGATAAGTTAAAATATTAAAACACTAATTATTAAACATAAGGTAAAGTTTATATACTTTGGCATCTTATGTTTAATATTTAAAAACTCAATATACTTAGATCTGCTAATAAAAAATGAGCAGACATTTTTCTCAAAATTATGAAATGGTTTTAATCTATTGATACTGACATAAAACAGTTCAAATCACTTCCAGTTTTCTCACTGGAAATAGTGCTTACTAAGATTTAACATTGTAATTAATATATGTAATTAAAGCTGCTAGATACAAGAGGAAAACTCTTTATGGAAAGTATTAAAAAAACAGGATGTGGGCTGGGCGTGGTGGCTCACACCTGTAATCCCAGCACTTTGGGAGCCTGAGGTGGGCGGATTACCTGAGGTCAAGAGTTCGAGACCAGCCTGGCCAACATGGTGAAACCCTGTCTCTACCAAAAATACAAAAATTAGCCGGGAGTGGTGGCACACGCCTATAATCCCAGCTATTCAGGAGACTGAGGCAGGAGAATTGCTTGAGCCCGGGACTCGGAGGTTGCAGTGAGCCGAGATCATGCCACTGCACTCCAGCCTGGCTGACAGAGTGAGACTCTGTCTCAAAAAAACAAAACAACAAAAACAACAAAAAACAGGATGCATTTTGTGTGAAGAGCATTATAAGAAATACATGAGGATGAGTGAACTCCCATTCACAATTGCTTCAAAGAGAATAAAACACCTAGGAATCCAACTTACAAGGGATGTGAAGGACCTCTTCAAGAAGAACTACAAACCACTGCTCAACAAAATAAAAGAGGACACAAACAAATGGAAGAACATTCCATGCTCACAGATAGGAAGAATCAATATTGTGAAAATGGCCATATTGCCCAAGGTAATTTATAGATTCAATGCCATCTCCATCAAACTACCAATGACTTTCTTCACAGAATTGGAAAAAACTACTTTAAAGTTCATATGGAACCAAAATACAGCCCGCATTGCCAAGTCAATCCTAAGCAAAAAGAACAAAGCTGGAGGCATCACACTACCTGACTTCAAACTATACTACAAGGCTACAGTAATCAAAACAGCATGGTACTGGTACCAAAACAGAGATATAGACCAATGGAACAGAAGAGAGCCCTCGGAAATAATACCACACATCTACAACCACCTGATCTTTGACAAACCTGACAAAAACAAGAAATAGGGAAAGGATTCCCTATTTAATAAATGGTGCTGGGAAAACTGGCTAGCCATATGTAGAAAGCTGAAACTGGATCCCTTCCTTACACCTTATACAAAAATTAATTCAAGATGGATTAAAGACTTAAATGTTAGACCTAAAACCATAAAAACCCTAGAAGAAAACTTGGGCAATACCATTCAGGACATAGGCATGGGCAAGGACTTAATGACTAAAACACAAAAAGCAATGGCAACAAAAGCCAAAATTCACAAATGGGATCTAATTAAACTAAAGAGCTTCTGCACAGCAAAACAAACTACCATCAGAGTGAACAGGCAACCTACAGAATGGGAGAAAATTTTCGCAACCTACTCATCTGACAAAGGGCTAATATCCAGAATCTACAAAGAACTTAAACAAATTTACAAGAAAAAATGAAACAACCCCATCAAAAATTGGGCAAAGGATATGAATAGACACTTCTCAAAAGAAGACATTTATGCAGCCAACAGACACATGAAAAAATGCTCGTCATCACTGGCCATCAGAGAAATGCAAATCAAAACCACAATGAGATACCATCTCACACCAGTTAGAATGGCGATCATTAAAAAGTCAGGAAACAACAGGTGCTGGAGAGGATGTGGAGAAATAGGAACACTTTTACACTGTTGGTGGGACTGTAAACTATTTCAACCTTTGTGGAAGTCAGTGTGGCAATTCCTCAAGGATCTAGAACTAGAAATACCATTTAACCCAGCCATCCCATTACTGGGTATATACCCAAAGGAGTATAAATCGTGCTACTATAAAGACACATGCACATGTATGTTTACAGCGGCACTATTCACAATAGCAAAGACTTGGAACCAACCCAAATGTCCATCAATGACAGACTGGATTAAGAAAATGTGGTATATATATACCATGGAATACTATGTAACCATAAAAAGGATGAGTTCATGTCCTTTGTGGGAACATGGATGAAGCTAGAAACCATCATTCTGAGCAAATTATCACAAGGACAGAAAACCAAACACCGCATGTTCTCACTCATAGATGGGAATTGAACAATGAGAACACTTGGACACAGGGTGTGGAACATCACACACTGCGGCCTGTCGTGGGGTGGGGGGAGGGGGGAGGGATAGCAATGGGAGATATACCTAACGTAAATGACAAGTTAATGGGTGCAGCACATCAACATGGCACATGTATACATATGTAACAAACCTGCACGTTGTGCACATGTACCCTAGAACTTAAAGTATAATAATAATAAAAAAAATATGACGATATATTTTTTTAACTTTTATTTTAAGTTGAGGGCTGCAAGTATACTTTTATTACATAGGTAAATTTGTGTAATGGGGTTTGTTGTGCAGATTATGTTATTACCCAGTTGATGAAAGGTACTAAGGTATTAAGCTTAGCACCCATTAGTTATTTTTAGTTATTAAATATATTAAGCCTAGTATCTATTAGTTATTTTTCCTGATTCTCTCCTTCCTTCCACCCTCCACCCTCCCAAAGGACCCGGTGTTTGTGCTCCTCTCTATGTGTCCATGTGTTCTCATCACTTAGCTCCCAGAAGATGTAGTTTTTGTTAAATGCAAAGTACTTTTGTCTAGTTTAGAGGCTGGACACATTTCACATTTTAAAAATTATGTAGAAAAACTAAATGAATATAAAACGTTGGGAAAATAAAAGAATTTTTTAAAATTGATAAAAAGTTATAAAAGTTTTATAAAAAACTTAGGTGGTCAAAGC
Source organism: Homo sapiens (assembly GCF_000001405.40). Taxonomy (NCBI): domain Eukaryota; kingdom Metazoa; phylum Chordata; class Mammalia; order Primates; family Hominidae; genus Homo; species Homo sapiens. Next base: position 63,140,791 of record NC_000008.11, on the reverse strand, counting down.
AGATTGAGATTGGATAGATTTATTTATGTTTTTATTAAAATTAGCTTTCACATTAATAATATACTAATGCAAAGGTCTAATTTGGTTTTCTTGTATGAACAAGATTTTGGTGTAGTATTAATAAGGGATATTAAGAGGTTTTGTTCACCTTTTGTGTAAACTGCCAAAAAAAAAAAAAAAAAGAAAGAGAAGGGAGAGAGGGAAAGATAGATTCCGTTGGCCTTATGCTGTCTGTATTGGGTCTTTTGACTGGGAAACTGAGTCTCCTCTCTCTCAAAAAGTAAAGGTGTTTGTTTTTTGAAATGTCTTAATTGTCACTTTGGCTAAATGACTGACTTATTTTATGGTGACTTGTGGCCCTATTTTGACATCAATCATTTCATACTTGATCTTAGTCAAAAGGCTGAGAAACGAGAAGTATTTAAAATTTTGATATTTGAAATACTTCCCAAAATCAAACTTCAAATTCTAAAATCAAGTCTATTTCACCTGACTAACTTGGATGGAATAATAGGAACCCCTGGAAGTCCAAAAGAGACATATTAGGCTTGTTTGGTATGTTAAAATCATACAGAAAGCATTGTCAAATAAGAAACGGTGTTTAAGTTATATTTTTGTACATATACATGGGTTGGTTACATGTGTTCCAATATTCTATGATATTTCTAAATTCTGATATGTCTTGGTATATGTTATCAGTCATAATTATGATTTTATGTTAACTTGTATGCCAGAGAAATAATCAAATTTCTTTGTCACTTGCATTTTTTTTTTTTGGAGACTGAATCTCACTCTGGTGCCCAGGCTGGAGTGCAGTGGCGCAATCTCGGCTCACCACAACCTCTGCCTCCCTGGTTTAAGCGATTCTCCTCCTGCCTCAGCCTCCTGAGTAGCTGGGATTACAGGCATATGCCACCACACCCGGCAAATTTTGCATTTCTAGTAGAGACAGGGTTTCTCCACATTAGTCAGGCTGGTCTTGAACTCCTGACCTCAGGTGATCCTCCCGCCCCGGCCTCCCAAAGTGCTGGGATTACAGGCGTGAGCCATCGCGCCGGGCCCCAGTTGCATCTTTAATCATAGCTATTCTAAGTCTTGTTATCCACAGAGAATTGTTTTTGTTGTTGTTTCTGAGACGGAGTTTAGCTCTTGTTGCCCAGGCTGGAGTGCAATGGCATGATCTTGGCTCTCTGCAACCTCTGCCTCCCAGATTCAAGTGATTCTCCTGCCTCAGCCTCCTGAGCAGCTAGGATTACAGGCATGTTTCACCGTGCCCGGCTAATTTTGTATTTTTAGTAGAGATGGGGTTTCACCATACTGGTCAGGCTGGTCTCCAACTCCTGACCTCAGGTAATACACCTGCCTCGGCCTCTCAAAGTGCTGGGAATTACCGGCATCAGCTAATGTGCCCTGCCAAATTGTTTTAATTTGATTCTCTTAAAAAGCCATTTACTATTGGTTAAAGTCTAAACTTTGCCTTTTCAAAGAAATTTATGGAAAGAACACTGACAAGTACTGTTGAATATAGATTTCTGATAACTTTGGAGATCATACCATTGGATGAGGTTAAAAACTTCCGGATCTCTAATTAAAAGCTGATGTATTCATGAAGACTGATAGGCCAACATCAAACAAAACAAGAATTCATTACATGGGGCTAAACTGATAAAAGACTGATATAATTGTTTATGACTTTTTTTTTCTGAAACTCTTATGATTCCTTTAAAAAAAATTTTTTTAAGAGACAAAAACGGCCTCTGATTTTCTCTACTGTTCTAATTTTCCTTTTCTTTTTCCTTTTAACTTTAAAATTTTATCCTTAGAAATTGTGTCTAATTATGTTGTCCAGGCTGGACTCAAACTGCTAGTTCAAGAGATCCTCACACCTCAGCCTCCAGAGTAGCCGGGACTACAGACGTGTGCCACCACACCACGCCTTCTTTTTACATTTTGTTTTCGAGAGTCAATAAATCATTTTATATTTTTCTTTTGAGTCATTTATAGCTTACAATAATTGGGTAAAATATACTTTTGTGAGCAAAATTGAAACATTTACCTTTCTCTCTACCTGATTTCTCCAGAATTTAAAAACTATTCGGGCCGGACGCGGTGGCTCACGCCTGTAATCCCAGCACTTTGGGAGGCTGAGGCGGGCGGATCACCTGAGGTGAGTTCAAGACCAGCCTGACCAACATGGAGAAACTCCGTCTGTACTAAAAATACAAAATTAGCTGGGCGTGGTGGTGCATGCCTGTAATCCCAGCTACTTGGGTGGCTGAGGCAGGAGAATTGCTTGAACCCGGGAGGTGGAGGTTGCGGTGAGCTGAGATCGTGCCACTGCACTCCAGCCTGGGCAACAAAAACGAAACTCTGTCTCCAAAATAAATAAATAAACAAATAAAAAATAAAAACTATTCATGAGTATTATTTTATGACACTGTAGTTATTTGCATAAGTTCAATAAGAATATGTTTTCTTTTGTAACAGGACACTGGAGACACTGGTTATTTTACCAAGGCTTTGATTGGAATGCCATATTTTCAGATATGAATAGACTGCTTGAGGAATTGATGTTGTCTTTATAGAGTTGATAAAAAGCCCCTAGCATTTTGTGGGAGTGAAGTGGTTGTTGGGCTGTGCTTGGATCTGTTGCTGCCTCAGTGTCCCTGTTGGGATTCCCAGCAGCAGCCTAGCAGAAAAGTAAAAGATGTCTGAATATATTCGGGTAACCAAAGATGAGAACAATGAGCCCATTTAAATACCTTCAGAGGACGAAGGGACGGTGCTGCTGTCCACTGTTACAGCCCAGGGGCACATGGGCTTTGCTACAGGAATCCAGTGTCTCAATGTATGAGAGGTTTCCGGCTGGTAGAAGGAATTCTACATGCCCCCGATGCTGGCTGGGGAAATCTGGTGTATGTTTTCAACTATCCCAAAGACAACAAAAGCAAAATGGATGAGACAGATGCTTCATCAGCAGTGAAAGTGAAAAGTTTTGGGTGTCCCGTGGAAAACAACTGAACAGGATCTGAAAGAATATTTTAGTACCTTTGGAGAAGTTCTTACGGTGCAGGTCAAGAAAGATATTAAGACTGGTCATTCAAAGGGGTTTGGCTTTATTCATTTTATAGAATATGAAACACAGGTGAAAGTAATGTCACATTGACATATGATGGATGGACAATGGTGTGACTGTAAACTTGCTAATTCTAAGCAAAGCCCAGATGAACATTGAGAAGCAGAAAAGTGTTTTTGGGGCAGTACAGAGAACATAACTGTGGATGAGCTGTCGCAGTTCTTCTGTCAGTACGGGGAAGTGGTGGATGTCTTCATCCCCAAGCCGTTCAGGGCCTTTGCCTTTGTTACATTTGCAGATGATCAGGTTGCTCAATCTCTCTCTTTTTTTAATTTTTATTATACTTTATGTTCTAGGGTACATGTGCACAACATGCAGGTTTATTACATAGGTATACATGTGCCATGTTGTTTTGCTGCACCCGTCAGCTCATCATTTACATTACGTATTTCTCCTAATGCTACCGCTCCCCCAGCCCCGCACCACCTGACAGGCCTGGGTGTGTGATGCTCTCCTCCCTGTGTCCAGGTGTTCTCATTGTTCAATTCCCACCTCTGAGTGAGAACATCCGGTGTTCGGTTTTCTGTCCTCGCGGTAGTTTGCTCAGAATGATGGTTTCTAGCTTCATCCATGTTCCTACAAAGGACATGAACTCATCCTTTTTTATGGCTGCATAGTATTCCATGGTGTATATGTGCCACATTTTCTTAATCCAGTCTATCATTGTTGGACGTTTAGGTTGGTTCCAAGTCTTTGCTATTGTGAATGTGCTGCAATAAACATATGTGGGTTGCACAATCTTTTTGTGGAGAGGACTTGATCATTAAAGGAATCAGTGTTAAAATACCCAATGCCAACCTAAGCACAATAGCAATAGAAAGAAGTGGAAGATTTGGTGGTAATCCAGGTGGCTTTGGGAATCAGGGTGGATTTGGTAATAGTAGAGGGGATGGAGCTGGTTTGGGAAACAACCAAGGTAGTATTATGGGTGGTGGGATAAACTTTGGTGAGTTCAGCATTAATCCAGCCATGATGGCTGCAGCCCAGGCAGTGCTACAGAGCAGTTGGGGTATCATGGGCATGTTAGCCAGCCAGCAGAGCCAGTCAGGCCCATTGTGTAATAACCAAAGCCAAGGCAACATGCAGAGGGAGCCAAACCAGGCCTTCGATTCTGGAAATAACTCATAGTGGTTCTAATTCTGGGGCAGCAATTGGTTGGGGATCAGCATCAAAAGCAGGGTGGGGCAGTGGTTTTAAAGAAGGCTTTGGCTCAAGCATGGATTCTAAGTCTTCTGGCTGGGGAATGTAGATGGTGGGGTTGTGGTTGCTTGGTACAGAATGGTGGGAATTCAAATTTTTCTAAACTCATGGTAAGTATATTGTAAAATACATATGTACTAAGAATTTTCAAAATTGGTTTGTTCAGTGTGTAGTATATTCAGTAGTATTTTTGACATTTTTCTTTAGAAAAAAGAAGAGCTAAAGGAATTTTACGTTTTGTTACGTAAAGGATTGAAATATTGTGGTTGAAAGTGAACTGCTGTTTGCCTGATTGGTAAACCAACACACTACAGTTGATATCAAAAGGCTTCTGTAATATTTTATCCCTGGACTTGTCAAGTGAATTCTTTGCATGTTCAAAATGGAAACCATTGATTAGAACTACATTCTTTACTCCTTGTTTTAATTTGAACCCCACCATATGGATTTTTTTCCTTAAGAAAATCTCCTTTTGGGAGATCATGGTGTCACAGCATTTAGTTCTTTTGTTTCTTAACACTTTTCTTCTCTCATATACAAAAGCACAATAGCCTTCATTTAATCTCTGCAGTTCATCTCATTTCAAATGTTTATGGAAGAAGCACTTCATTGAAAGTAATGCTGTAAATATTCTGCCATAGGAATACTTCCTGTCTACAAGCTTTCTCATTTAAGAATTCATCATTGGCTGGACGCGGTGGCTCACGCCTGTAATCCCAGCACTTTGGGAGGCCAAGGCGGGCGGATCACAAGGTCAGGAAATCGAGACCATCCTGGCTAACATGGTGAAACCCTGTCTCTACTAAAAATACAAAAATTACCCGGGTGTGGTGGCAGGCGCCTGTAATCCCAGCTACTCAGAAGGCTGAGGCAGGAGAATCGCTTGAATCCAGGGGAACGGAGGTTGCAGCGAGCCGAGACTGCGCTACCGCACTCCAGCCTGGGTGACGCAGTCAGACCCTGTCAAAAAAAAAAAAAAAAGAATTCGTCATCACGCATCACAGGCCCATTTTTATCTAGTATTCTTTATTTCATGGAGTAGTATCAACGCTATGAATGCAAGGCTGTGATATGGAACCAGAAGGCTGTTACAACTTTTGAAACCTTGTGTGGGACTGATGGTGGTGCGGAGGCATGAAAGGTTAGTATGAGTGAGAAAAGGAGAGAGCGCGTGCAGAGACTTGGTAGTGCATAATGGATATATATATATGTGTGTGTATATATATACATATATACATATATATATTTTTTTGAGATAGAGTTTCGCTCTTGTTGTTCAGGCTGGAGTGCAATGGTGCAATCTCAGCTCACTGCAGCCTCCGCCTCCCAGGTTCAAGCGATTCTCCTGCCTCAGCCTTCCAAATAACTGGGATTACAGGCATGCCCCACCATGCCTGGCTAATTTTGTATTTTCAGTAGAGACAGGGTTTCTCCATGTTGGTCAGGGTGGTCTCGAACTCCCAACCTCAGGTGATCTGCCCGCCTCGGCCTCTCAGAGTGTTTTGATTATAGGGGTGAGCCACTGCTCCCGGCCAATGGATATTTTTTAACTTAGTGAGATGTGCCTCTCAATCCTGTGGCTTTGATGAGACAGTGTGCAGAAGGCAATGATAGCAAATAATGTATGAATTTTTTTTGCATTCAAAGGACATCCACATCTGTTGGAAGACTTTAAGTGAGTTTTTGTTCTTGGATAACCTACATTAGTTGAATGCGTTAAGTGAAATTATACTTGTATTCTCCCAACCCCTTTGTCAACTGCTGTGAATGCTGTATGGTGTGTGTTCTCTTCTGTTACTGATAAGTAAGTGTGGTAATGTGAACTGAAGCTGATGGGTTGAGAACATGGACTGAACTTGCAGTGTGCTTTGCAAGAGTACTTGGAAGCAGAGTTCGCCAGTTAGCTTAGGTGTCTCAAAGAAGAGTGGAAGTTCTAATGTCTGTTAGCTACCCATAAGAGTGCTGTTTGCTGCAGTTCTGTGTCCTGTGCTTGGATGCTTTTTATAAGAGTTGTCAATGTTGGAAATTCTTAAAGAAAACTGATTTAATTTAAAAAAAAAGCCTCTTGGAAAAACTGGCCTGGTACATTGTCTATGCTGTTCTTTCACAAGATTCTTGACCTATGGTAAGTGAAGAATGTTACTTTCTGACAGGCCTAGGAAACTCAAGATATTTTCGAACTTCAAGAAGAGAGAAATTCACCCAATTTGTACATGTATTATAGGCACAGTCTGATGGTGAATCCTTGGCTTGGCTTCCTAGCCTTGAGAGGTTTTAAAAAATCAATCCAGATGGGGCATGTGGTTCATACCTGTAATCCCAGCACTTTGGGAGGCTGAGGCAGGAGGGTTGCTTGAGGCCAGGAGTTCGAGACCACCTGGCCAACACAGCAAGACCGCATCTCTACTGAAAAATAAATAAGCTGGTTGCGGTGACTCATGCCTTTAATTCCAGCATTTTGGGAGGCTGAGGCAGGCAGATCGCTCGAGGCCAGGAGTTCAAGAGGAGCCTGGCTAACATGGTGAAACCTATTTCTACTAAAAATACAAAAGTTAGCTGGGTGTTGTGGTGCATGCCTGTAATCTCAGCTACTTGGAAGGCTGAGGCAGGAGAATTGCTTGAACCTGGGAGGCAGAGGTTGCAGTGAACCGAGATCATACCACTGCACTCTAGGTGACAGAGATTCTGTCTCAAAAAATAAAAATAAAAATAAATAAATAAGTCCTGGCGTGGTGGTTCACGCCTGTAATCCTAGCACTTTGGGAGGCTGAGGTGGGCGGATCACTTGAGGTCAGGAGTTCAAGACCAGCCTGGCCAACATCGTGAAACCCCATCTCTACTAAAAATACACACACACAAAATACACACACACACACAAATTAGCTGGACATGGTGGTGGGCACTTGTAATCCAAGCTACTCAGGAGGCTGAGGCAGGATAATTGCTCCAGGAGGCAGAAGTTGCAGTGAGCCAAGATCACGCCACTACTCTCCAGCCTGGGCAACAGAACGAGACTCCATCTCAAAAAAAAAAAAAAAAGTTCCAGCAAAGCCAATTTAAAAGGAGCCTATGGCTGGCCACAGTGGCTCATGCCTGTAGTCCCAGCTACTTGGGAGGCTGAGGCAGGAGAATCACTTGAACCAGGGAGGCAGAAGTTGCAGTGAGCCGAGATCACCACTGCACTCCAACCTGGGCAACAAAGCAAGACTCTGGCTCAAAAAAAGTAAAATAAAACAAAACAAAATAAATAAATAAATAAAGAAGCCTATACGGCTAATCACTATTCTTGCTTCACATTATGCAAATAATCAGGTCAAGTATAATAATACTAACTTTTTTTTTTTTGCCAATAAATTGGTCTTTCCATGATTTCTCATTGGTAGGACAGGGGGACTATAGTGAGAAAAATTATGCTTCAGAAGAAAACTATAGTGCAACTGTTAGTTATTCAATTCTAGCCCTGATCATCATATTTGAGCTCATATTATCTTCCCACAATTTGGACCAAATTCTGAATTATTTCCTGGCTACAAGAAGTCTCTGCCAGGCGTGGTGGCTAATGCTTTAATCCTAGCACTTTGGGAGGTCAGCGTGGGAGGGTCAATTGACTCCAGGAGTTCATGATCAGCCTGGGCAACATGGTGAAACCCCATCTCTGCAAAAATTCAAAAATTAGCCATGATGGTGTGTCCCTGTAGTCCTAGTTACTCAGGAGGCTGAGGTGAGAGGATCATCTGAGCCCTGGCTCATCTGAGCCAAAGCTGCAATGAGCCCTGACTGCCCCAGTCGGGTCGACAGAGTGAGACCTTATCTCAAAAAAACAAAACAAAACAAAAAAAACCCGCTGGGTTGTCATTTTCTTCATGATGTTTTCAGTTGACTCCTTAATGGAATTTTTTTTTTCTCATTCTGGCATACAAATTCTTTTTTTTTTTTTTGTTTTTGTGTTTTTTTGTTTTGTTTTTGTTTTTGCTTATAAATCTTATGTGTTACCAGAAAACTAAAGTCATGAATTCCAAGGACTAAAGATGATTCAATAGGCCATAGCAGCTCTATAAACCAATGATTGACTGAGGTTTCATTTTTGTCGTTCTGTGATGCCATACCAAATCAACTTTTGAGTGCTCTTTAAAAATTCTTCACTAACAGCATGCTGGCTTGTGCCTGTAATTCCTGCTATCTGGGAGGCTGAAGTGGAGATTCACTTAAGTCCAGGAGAGGGAGACCAGCCTGGGCAATATAGTGAGACCCCATGTATACTAAAACAAAATTCCTCATTGAAATGTCTCTTTCTTTCCCTCTTGATGTGGGACAGGACTATCCAAGAATGAGCCTTCCGGGTGACAAAACACCCTAACACTCATATTTTGGTAATTAATGGTTTCAAGAAGACAGTTTTTAAATTTTTAATATTTAATATTTATTTTTTATTTCTTTTTTTGAGACAGGGTATCACTCTGTTGCCCAGGCTGGAGTGCAATGGCGTGATCTCAGCCTCAGGGCAACCTCCATCTCCTGGGCTCAAGTGTTCCTCCCACCTCAGCCTCCTGAGGAGCTGGGACTACAGGCACATGCCCTCAAACCCGGCTAATTTTTGTATTTTTCGTAGAGACAGGATTTCCCCCGTTGCTTAAGCTAGTCTCAAACTCCTGAGCTCATGCGATTCTCCCACCTCGACAACTCAAAAAGTGCTGGGATTACAAGCATGAGCCCCCACATCTAGCCAAGAGGAAAGATTTTTTTTTTTTTAATCAAAAGGAGAAATGTGGAAAAAAAATAAAAGAAGAGACATTTTATCTGAGGAATATGAGTTCCTTTTAAATTTTCAGGCCCGGAGAAGCATTGGAATAAAACAGCAGTTATATTACTTCACCTTGAGCCAATAATTACCTCTTGAGGCCTGGCACAGTGGCTCAGGTCGGTAATCTCAGCACTTTGAGAGGCCAAGGAGGGCAGATCTCTTAAGCTTAGGAGTTCAAGACCAGCCTGGGCAATATGGTGAAACCTCGTCTCTGCAAAATATCCAAAAAATTAGCTGGGCATGGAGGCATGCGCCTGTAGTCCCAGCTGCTATGGCGGCTGAGGTGGGAGGATGCCTTGAGCCTGAAAGGCGGAGGTTATAGTGACCTAAGATTGCATTACTGAAATCCAGCCTGGGCAACAGGGCGACAGCCTGTCTCAAAAAGAAAAAAACCAAATCCAAAAAAAAAAAACAACTGTTAAAGTCACTTGTTATGTGGGCTTTAGACTAATAATGCCAAGCAGCCATAAAATGCCACACACCCTAGAGTTCAACAATGTATCACCAATCACTAACCAATGTTATTTCTGTAAACCAATGAGAATTCCTGACAAAACTTTTGTAATCACTCCCTCTGCTGATTCATCCCTTTTTCTTTAAAAATGTGATCCTCTCCTTTGTTCCCAGAGCACTCCTCAAGGTAAGGTGGAAGTACGTCCTGGTCTGCAGTCCTCAAACTTGGCCCAGATAAACTCTCTACGTTAATTTTGCCTCAGCTTCTTCCTTTTAAGTTGACAAACTATATACTTTATTGTCTGTATTCTTTCTTACAGCTTATATGAATCTACAATTATCTCAAATGACATTAATTTTAAATAAATAAGTAGTCACATCTCTCTTAAAAAGTAGGGCAGATATGAAAAAAATATGACATTAAATGAGAATGTGTAAAATGTTATATTTTATTTTACACATACAGACACACACACACACACACACATTTTTGAGACAGGATCTCCCTCTGTCACCCTTGCTGGACTGCAATGATGTGATCATAGCTCACCGTAGCCTCTACCTTCCAGGGCTCAGGTGATCCTCCCATCTCAGCGTCTCAAGTAGTTGGGATTATAGGCTTGCACCACCATGCCCAGTTAATTTTTGTATTTTTTGGTAGAGACGGGGTTTCACCATGTTGCCCAGGCTGGTCTTGAACTACTGGACTCAAGTGATCTACCCGCCTTGGCTTTCCAAAGTGCTGAGATTACAGTTGTGAACCACCATGCAGAGCCTATTTCACTATATTTTTGAAGAATGTTTAATGTTATTTAAAACAATTTAACTTTATATGAAAAGAAATCTAATCAGAATGATTCCAATCTTTTAATTTATACATAAAAAGACTGAGAAAAAATAAAATGTTAATTCGGTATTAATTTACATGGTTATTTTCTCCTCCTTGTAACTTTTCCAGATTTCAGATTTTCTATTCTTATAATTTAAAAAATTTAACAGGAATTTAACGTATAAAGTAGATAAGGTTGAAATGATACAATGTCTGGGATTTGTGTCAAATGCAAGGAGGAGAGAAGGAATTAGATGGTTAAAGAGAAAAACAAGTTTGGGTGAGTTGGTAATTTTTGAGGCTGGGTGATGATAGGTCCCCAGGGTTTCCTTTCTATTCTCTTTACTTATCTATTTGAAATTTTTCATAATAAAAATTTTTTAAAGAATTAGCTTATACAAGCAAACGTACAGTCAATTTTTTCTTATCCACAGTAGTTCTATAAAGTCATCTCAAACATTGAATTAGACATTACAGAGCCATTGCTCCTGGGCATAACATAGGGTTAGGTTCCCTCAAGCCCCTGGTCACAACATTCTCATCAGGGGATAACCAGGTAACCTTGTTTTATTCCTGTTTCTGTTTAAAGACACCTTATTTAATATAAACTATTGATTCATTAACACTGAACTCATGGCCAAAGCGCTATAACTGCTGCCTGAAGGAAGTTTCTTTAACATACTTAATTTTCTTCATAAGACACATTACAGCTTCTTCAATTAGGAACACTGGACAGCACTTCAGAACTACACTTGGGAGCCATTTCAGACAACAAAATCACCAAGAAAAAGTACACAAATGTAAAAAATGTGGCACTATGAAGATCACAAAAAAGAAACTTGTTTACTGTGTAAGAACTAAAAGAAGGCGGCGGAGTATCACCTGGTTTGAGTTCAGCTGGGAAAATGGGCCTCCTCCAGCAATGCAATTTTTTTTTTTTCTGTTCTGTGCACGTGTATGTCTGTGACTATGAAAGCACTGGAGTGTTGATTTGGGGGTTACAAATTTTTTTTTTTTACAGATGGGGGGTTGGGGGGTTCGCCATGTTGGTCACGCTGGTCTCGAACTCCTGGCATCAAGTGATCTGCCCGCCTCGGCTTCCCAAGGTGCTGGGATTACAGGTGTGAGGGAGCATGCCTGGCATACAAATAAATTTTAATGAGTGGACATATTTGCAAATACAGAATCTGAAAATAATGAAGATTGACTGTATTTAAAGTAACAAGCATAGTGATTGACACATTGTGATAACTAAGTGTTCCTTCTTGTTGATATAGACTATGATACTGAATTATTAAACAAAATTTTACAGGAGTATTGTAGTTCTCTAAGTTAAATATATTAGAAAGCAATGTATAGATTAAACAGATATGTCATTTGTAGCTGATTAAAAGTGGTGGTTGGGTCATAATCTAGCCTATGAGAAAATCAGCTTTAACATGAATGTTTTAAAATTAAAGTTTTTTGGCCGGACATGGTGGTACACGCCTGTAATCCCAGCTACTTGGGAGGCTGAGGCTGGAGAATCGCTTGAAGCCAGGAGGTGGAGGGTGCAGTGAGCCGAGATCAAGCCACTGCACTCCAGCCTGGGTGACAGAGTGAGACCCTATCTCAAATAAATAAATAAAGTAACAAAATAAACAGAAATAATAACCAAATGCTGTATTGGACAAACCATGAGTCCAGAATTCTATAAGAGGCAGTGAAAAATACTGAGAATGCATGGATTTTTCACTTGTATATCTTACTTTGAATCCTGGCCAAGGTACACAATAGCTGTATGGCTTTAAGTAAGTTAGTTAATGCTTCCTTGGTTTCCTTACTTCAATGTTTTACTTTTAAATTATTTATTTATTTGTTTTTAAGAGAAAGGGTCTCTCTCTGTTGCCCAGGCTGGAATTCAGGGGTGCAACCACAGCTCACTATAACCTCAAACCCCTGGCCTTAAGAGATCCTCCTGCCTCAGCCTCCCAAAGTGCTGGGATTACAGTCCTGAGCCGCAGCAACAGGCCAGTTTCTTAATTTAAAAAATGGAATCATGGTGCCCATCTCACAGGGTTGCTCTGAATCTTGCGCCCAGTGCCTGAGGCCCAGCGGGGACTCACCCAATGCTAGTTCTCTCTGATGCCTGGGGATGTGCTATAAAACAGCAGAGTAATTGCACTTTACCACATTCACACACTTAAAATTAGCAAATAGTCTTAAATTCATCTTTAGAAACCCATCACGAATATTTCATTCAGGAGTTACAATTATACTTATGAAGCAGGAGACTGATTTTGCAATATTTATCGGTCTCTATCCAAACCCCCTCTTCTCTTTTCTCCCTTTTCCTTTTGCTTCTTGATCCTTTTTCCATATTTAAGCAGCAGCTGGACTCTTAGGTTTACACTCATGGAAAGGATGTGGCTACAGAAAAAATAAAAAGGTTAGGGGGAGTCTCTTCTTGGCTTTTGAGTTTTAAAAGCAGAGACCTACAGATAAAAAGAAACTGAAGAATAGACAGAAGAGTTGGAGGATATCAGAAAGAATACAGCTCTTCCTCTTCCATGTCCCTATACACCCTTTGCAAACAAGAATCCCCAAGGTTGAGAGGAGTTTGGAAAGTCTGAGAGGAGGGTCGTGGGAGGGCCCGAGAGAAACAAATTGCCCCTGCTGAGCTCCAGAAAGAACTACCCCATGTGGGGGCGAGAGGTCCATACCACTTCCTTACTTCCCAGGTGGACTCCAGCAATGCGCCCAGACTCACTGGAAGCAGCTGTGAAGTGTGTCTGTGCAGGTGCGCTCCTAGCCTCAGGGGAGTTCCCCTGAGCCAGGTTTCAGGACCTGGGTAACCGAGCGGGTCCCGTGGATCCAATAATGGAGAGTAGAGGAGAGAGACCCTGGCTCAGAGGGGTCTGGAATAGGAACAAGGATGACTCCAGAGAAATCTTGGACTAATTCAAAATGGCCAAATGAGAAATGGATATCTCAGTGACCGAAGGGACAGATGACAGTGAGGATAAAAGAGCTTCATTTTAGTAAGACTTTGGCTCCATACAATCACGAGAGAAAAAAGAGGGAAAGACATGGAATTGACCAACACAAAATTTGTGCCCGGAATTGGTGGGTTCTTGGTCTCACTGACTTCAAGAATGAAGCCGCGGACCCTCGCGGTGAGTGTTACAGCTCTTAAGGTGGCACGTCTGGAGTTTGTTCCTTCTGATGTTCGGATGTGTTCAGAGTTTCTTCCCTCTGGTGAGTTCGTAGTCTAGCTGACTCAGGAGTGAAGCTGCAGACCTTCGGAGTGAGTGTTACAGCTCTTAAGAGGGCGGGTCTGGAGTTATTCATTCCTCCCGGTGGGCTCGTGGTCTCGCTGGCTTCAGGAGTGAAGCTTTGGACCTTCGCAGCGAGTGTTACAGCTCATAAAAGCAGTGTGAACCCAAAGAGTGAGCAGTGGCAGGATTTATTGCAAAGAGCAAAAGAACAAAGCTTCCACAGTGTGGAAGGGGACCCGAGCGGGTTGCCACTGCTGGCTGGGGCAGCCTGCTTTTATTCTCTTATCTGGACCCACCCACATCCTGCTGATTGGTAGAGCGCAGTGGTCTGTTTTGACAGGGTGCTGATTGGTGCATTTACAATCCATGAGCTAGACACAAAGGTTCTCCACGTCCCCACTAGATTAACTAGATACAGAGTGTGGACACAAAGGTTTTCCAAGACCCCACCAGAGTAGCTAGATACAGAGCGTCCATTGGTGCATTCACAAACCCTGAGCTAGACACAGGGTGCTGATTGGTGTATTTACGATCCCTGAGCTAGACATAAAGGTTCTCCACGTCCCCACCAGACTCAGGAGCCCAGCTGGCTTCACCCAGTGGATCCCGCACCGGGGCTGCAGGTGGAGCTGCCTGCCAGTCCCAGTGCTGTGTGCCCGCACTCCTCAGCCCTTGAGTGGTGGATGGGACTGGGTGCCGTGGAGCAGGGGGTGGCGCTCGTTGGGGAGGCTCGGGCAGCACAGGAGCCCATGGAGGGGGTGGGAGGCTCAGGCATGGCGGGCTGCAGGTCCCGAGGCCTGCCCTGAGGGAAGGCAGCTAAGGCCCGGTGAGAAATCGAGTGCAGCGCTGGTGGGCCGCTGGCCCGGGTGCTAATCCCCTCATTGCCCAGGGCTGGCAGGGCAGGCCAGCTGCTCCGAGTGCGGGGTCCGCCAAGCCCCCGCCCACCCGGAACTCCAGCTGGCCCGCAAGCGCCTCGCTCAGCCCCGGTTCCCGCTGGCGCCTCTCCCTCCACACCTCCCTGCAAGCTGAGGGAGCCGGCTCTGGCCTTGGCCAGCCCAGAAAGGGGCTCCCACAGTGCAGCCGTGGACTGAAGGGCTCCTCAAGTGCCGCCAAAGTGGGAGCCCAGGCAGAGCAGGTGCCCAGAGCGAGCGGGGGCTGTGAGGACTGCCAGCAGGCTGTCACCTCTCATTTCTACCAGCCTTGTAAAAGGATGCCGTGAAATAGAAATAAAGTGGAATTGTAGAAATCAAGTTATATTTCTTGCGTCTGAGTTTGTAGATGGAGATTCTGGCCTAATATGCCTGTTTTATATGTTCAACATATAAAGCTCAATTTAATTTATTTAATATTTACTACATGCCCCTTATGTGCCAGGCAGTGTCCTTGCCCAAGTTATGATTATAGTCCAGTGGGAGGCAGGTAGTAAAAAATAATTACAAGTCAAATAAATGTTAGCAAAAGGAAGTACATGGGAGCATGTGGCAAAAGCGTTTAAACCTTATAATGGTATGGTAAGTGCCTTCTTGAGAAAATTAGTAATTTTAAGCTGAAACATGAAAAATAAGAATACCCAAGGCAAAATGCAGGGGGAGAAGAGTAGTAGAGGGAAGGGAGGGAAGAACACGTTTCAGAATTGAGAGGATAGAATCAGTAGGGGTAGAGCACAGAGGGCAAAGGGAAGAATATTAGTGGGTAGGGCTCAAAAAAGTTTTTAGATTTTTATTATATTATTTCTTTTCTAGGCAAGTTGGCTGCAAAATAAGGTAAATTCCATATTTAGGTATAAAACAGGGAGAAAAGTGTAGTAATTATTTAAAATAGCATTCTATCAAAATGTTCCAAATTAACTTGCAATGAAAGTTTCTGAAAGATTCCCCCCTCCGGGGCCTGAAAGCTTAAGGGAATGAATAACTCCTCCCTTCTCAGGCCCAGTCCCAAGGCGCAAGACCACTTGGCGCCAGCAGCGTGTCTCAGCAAGATAGCGGAAGCAGATAGAAGAGAGCTGGCGGAAGACACATACCCCCTGAAGAGAGGCCTTCCGGGTACCGCGTAGCATTTACATCAGACTGAGACACTTCCTGTTTACAGGAAACTGTGAAACCCCAGCCCCGTCCTCATTGGATACTGATGTGATTTTAGGTCTCAGCCCTCCCGCACCCAGGCACTCATTAAAACAGCGTGCTGGCCAGGCGCGGTGGCTCACGCCTGTAATCCCAGCACTTTGGAAGCCGAGGCGGGCAGATCAAAAGGTCAAGAGATCAAGACCATCCTGGCCAACATGGTGAAACCCCGTCTCTACTAAAAATACAGAAAAAAAAAAATTAGCTGGGCGTGGTGGCGCGCGCATATAGTCTCAGTTGCTCAGCAGGCTGAGGCAGGAGAATCGCTTGAACCCGGGAGACGGAGGTTGCAATGAGTCTAGATCGGGCCACTGCACTCCAGCCTGGTGACAGAGCGAGACTCCGTCTCAAAAAACCAACCAACCAAACAAAAAAAAAAACAGCGTGTTGCTCCACACTGCCTTGTGTTGTTTGTTGGCTTGCTCTCAGGTTCGAACCGACACAAAAGCCTTGCAGTTTCAGAGTAAAAATATTTGCACTCCTACACCCTGTGCCTATCACTAGACATTATCTGTAGCTTTACACGGTTTCCAGATGGGGTTCGCTGAGCTTTTAGAAAGACTGGGTACTCTTGTAATTATGTCACTATCTTTTACAACAATGGATGGTGTTTACAAGTAGAAATGAATTTAGAGCTTTTTAAACCACTTCCACTGGAAGTCATTACATTTCAAATGTTTCTTTCAATCAGAATATGATAATTTGTTCTACTTCTGGGTTAACGGTATCCAACATATATATAATATATATATTTATAAAATATATATAACATATACATCTTTATAAAATATATATAATATATATTTATAAAATATAAAATATATATAATATATATTTATAAAATATAAAATATATATAATATATATTTATAAAATATAAAATATATATAATATATATTTATAAAATATAAAATATATTTATAAAATATAAAATATATATAATATGTATTTATAAAATATAAAATATATAATATGTATTTATAAAATATAATATATATAATATGTATTTATAAAATATATATAATATGTATTTATAAAATATATATAATATGTATTTATAAAATATATATAATATGTATTTATAAAATATATATAATATGTATTTATAAAATATATATAATATGTATTTATAAAATATATATAATATGTATTTATAAAATATATATAATATGTATTTATAAAATATATATAATATATATTTATAAAATATATATTATATATATTTATAAAATATATATATTTATAAAATATATATAATATATATTTATAAAATATACAATATATATAATATATATTTATAAAATATAAAATATATATAATATATATTTTTTAGATGGAGTCTCGCTCTGTCGCCCAGGCTGTAGTGGATTGGTGCGATGTCGGCTCACTGCAATCTCCACCTCCTGGGTTCAAGCGATTCCCCTGCCTCAGCCTCCAGAGTAGCTGGGACTACAGGCACCCGCCAACAATATATTTATTGCGTTATATCTGTGTAGGTTGGCAATTTAGAACTTAAAATGCTTTCTTCCACTAAACTAATATAAATGGTGGCCTTTACAAGGGTATGCATCCTGTAATGTTGCTGAAATGATTTATTCTGCTTGAATTTATTTATTCTTGACATTTGATTGTCATTGTTCATGTGAGATCCATCCTCGAGATCCATCCTCTTCTTTCTGTTCTTTTTTTTCTGCATTCCACAAAGTACTAATTTACTAAGCCTGCTCTATTTTACTTCTAAGTATCACTCCAATATGTCGCTTTCTCACCACTCCCATTGCTATTTCTTGAGTTCCACTTTTCATTATTTCTCACTTTGACTCGTATCTCCGGACTGCTTTTCAGCCATCAGCATTTCTCCACCCTGTTGCTGAGGTTTCAGATCTTGTTCACATACTTTCCCATTTAAAACCCTTTATGGTTCCTCTTAGAGTAGTTGTCTTCAAATTTCATTGAACCCATATCCATAACCAGAAAAACAATTTTGAGGATTCAATGTAGCCTAATTTAGTTTTTGTAATTTACATATTTGTATTATTGTACTAATGTTAGGTGTAATATAGATTATATCATAAGAAGACATTTAGTTCCTAAAAATAGGAACTAAAAATAAATGAAAATTATAATTTTTCCTTGCTCTATAGTACCTGTGTTGAGCACACCCACTCTGTAAACTTGTCTTCTCATGTTCTTCCTCCTAGCTACTATCAACTCACATACATATATATTCCTACTTTTTTTCTTCAAATTAAAATTTTCTTTTTTCTTTTTAAGACTGGATCTCACTTTGTCACTCAGGCTGGAGTGCCATGGCATGGTCTTGGTTGGCTCACTGTAACCTCGGCCTCCCAGGCTCAAGGGATCCTCCCACCTTGGCCTCTCGAGGAGCTGGGACTACAAGCATGCACTACCACACCCAACTAATTTATTTTTATTTATTTATTTATTTATTTATTTATTTATTTATTTATTTATTTACTGTAGAGCCAGGGTTTCACCATGTTGCCCAGGCTGGTCTCGAATTCCTGAGCTGACGTGATCTGCCCCCCTTGGCCTCCCAAAGTGCTGGGATTACAGTCATGATGCACCGTGCTGGGCCTATATTCCTATTAGGTTGGTGCAAAATGGCGGCTTTTGTCATTTCTTTTAATAACAGTTCCTAGCTGCAATAAAGTATTTAAATTTTCAGTGTACTGTTATTCTCGCTTTGCACAGATTGTTCTCTCTACCTGGAAATTCTTTTACACTCTCATTGTCCCCAGCCACTTCTTTGCCTAATGCATACTCATCCTTCAGGGCTCATTTCTACTACTATCCTCAAGGATATCTTTCTTTCTTTCTTTCTTTTTTTTTTTTGAGACGGAGTCTCGCTCTGTCACCCAGGCTGAAGTGCAGTGGTGCTATCTCGGCTCACTGCAAGCTCCACCTCCCAGGTTCACACCACTCTCCTGCCACAGCCTCCCGAGTAGCTGGGATTACAGGCGCCCGCCACCACGCCAGGCTAATTTTTTTTGTAGTTTTAGTAGAGACGGGGTTTCACCATGTTAGCCAGCATGGTCTTGATCTCCTGACCTCGTGATCCCCCTGCCTGGGCCTAAGGATATCTTTCTGGATCCTTTATCCAAGATTGGATACCTTTCTGTGTATATCAGGAGCATTCTGGGAATCCTTTATGTTGCCTGTGTCCCTTAAAGCTCCTTGAAGATAAGGATAAGGTATTTCATCTTTGGGAGCTAAATGATAAGAACTTATGAACACAAAGAAGGAAACAACAGACATTGGGGCCTCCTTGAGGGAGGAGGGTGGGAGGAGGGAGAGGTGTAGAAAAGATAACTATTGGGTAATGGGCTTAATATCTGGGTGATGAAATAATTTGTAAAACAAACCCCTGTGACATGTGTTTACCTATGTAACAAACATTCACATGTACTCCCAAACCTAAAATAAAAACAAATTATAAGGTATTTTATCTTTAATATCATCATTGGCTAGTATAGTACTCATAGTGAAACATTACTATTTGAAAATAATTTGGAGGAAAGCAAACTGGTCAACATGTCATTTGGGTCATGGGGATGGTTTTGTAATGTTTTATGCATCTTTAAGCATTTTTTTGCCAATTTTTCTCCCTCATCCCCTAACTGTGGCGGGTTGTACTTAAAAAAGAAAAAACAAAACACAAACAAACTAGATTTAGTGTACAAAGGGATTGTACTTTTTAATACTAACTTATTTTCATCTACTTTTAACTGCTCTTCAGTGTCATTTCAAAAATTTGGGGTACCCTACATGTCCAATAAATGGTAAATTGCAAAAAAGTATGTGTGACATTAGGTTGTAGAAAAAGGACACATATTCTTTATATAATAGAATATTGAAGGATATAATCTAAGGTATAGGTAATCATATTTTATTACAAAAATAGATTTGCATTATTAAAACTTTCTGCTCCTTACGGAAAATCAGAAACTACAAACTAGCAAATGAATAAAAGAACAGTCAAATTTTGGTGATTTAGAGACAATTGCTACATGGGAAATAATGGTGAAAAAGAAGATATGTATATGAATTGAGGATTAGTGACTATATTAAGAAAAGGTTACTCTTGATAAGATTTTTGGAGGAGGATATAGAATATCAAGTGAATTTGGTGCTAATCTAGGAGGGGTAGCTTGAAATAAATAAGGAACTCTTTTGAAGGATGGTAAAAATGCCTATGGCACAACTTTGCTCAGGGTACCTGTTGTGATGGTGCTCAGTTGTAGCTAACCTGATCTTCCTACCTAAGATTAAAGCACAATTTGTTCACCTACCCCGAGTCTGGATGAGTTAAGCTGAACATTCCTGAATCTAAATTTCTAGACTTATCTTCTTCTACTTTTCCAGCCAAATAATTTTCCTCATGCTTCTGCTAAATTCTTCCCTTTCTTAATCTAGTCACTAATCCCCAGTTCACATACATATCTTCTCTTGACTTTGTGTCTATGCACAAGTTGTTTCATAGAACCATTGCCACCAATCATTGTGTACTGAAACATGTTCACCTTTCAAAGCTCACCTAAAATGCTTCCTTCCCCATGAAGTATTCACTTCTTACCCCACTCCTACTACTCAACCACAAGGAATCTCTTTCTTTTGATCCTCCATAGTACTTTGTATTTTGCTGATGGCCTTTACATTCCGGTAGCATAGAAAGGGGGGCAAAGAGGTGAATTCACAATGTGTGAATTTACAATGTAAAGTTCTTTGTAAACTGAAAAGCATTGTAGAAATATGTGATGTTACCACTGTCTCATCCTCAGAATTACATTCTATGCTTCTTTAGGGCAGACATGATACCTTATTCAACTTTTTGTCCAGATTACCTAATGTAATGTCCAACACATAGTTATTTTAAAAATATTTGCTAAATAGGCTGGGCGCGGTGGCTTACGCCTGTAATCTCAGCACTTTGGGAGGCCGAGGCGGGCGGATCACGAGGTCAGGAGATCGAGACCATCCTGGCTAACACGGTGAAACCCCGTCTCTACTAAAAATACAACAACAAAAAAAATTAACCGGGTGTGGTGGTGGGCGCCTGTAGTCCCAGCTACTCAGGAGGCTGAGGCAGGAGAATGGTGTGAACCCGGGAGGCGGAGCTTGCAGTGAGCCGAGATCGCACCACTGCACTCCAGCCTGGGCAACAGAGCGAGACTCTGTCTCAAAAAAAAAAAATTTGCTAAATAGCATATAGTAGTTCTCTTCCGCCTTCCCTGGCACTGACTCACTGACTCTTTAGGAGTGGTCATGGATCTGAAAGAAATGCTTCTTGTTTCTCCTAAGCTATTATTCACAAATTCTGTAGAAATCTTCGCCGACTGTGAATGATGATAAGATATTCATCCTCCCTATTGAGTTTGTGAGGTATTAGTATATAAGGTTTATTTCCAGGCATCATGCCCAAATGTCTACTCTTTGATGAATGGATAATGAGAAGTTCTCTTGGTCCTTTAGATCTGGGGCGGTTTATGGATATGTGCTTGGTACAGGTGAAGGATTTGTAGTGTAATGCTTTCTATAATGCCCTTAGAATACAGACAGCATTCTAAGGGCATTACAGAAAGTGTTACACTATCTGCATGACCCAAATGACGTGTTGACCAGCTTGCTCTTCTCCAAAAGGGCTTTCTATAATGTCCTTAGAATACAAGGAGAGCAGACATGCTTCTCTGAGTGACACATTTCAGGACACCTGCATTCACTTTGGAATATCTGCCGCACATTATCTCTTGCCCCAGATCTTGTTTTATAGTGCTACCAGGATTTTCCCCCTGCCTCTAGGAGGCTGAAAAGGTAACAGATTCCTTCCACACCAGCATTTTAGATGATTTTGTTATTTATGCCCATTATGAACAGGTGGAACTCAACATAAAATGAAGAAGCCTGGCTCTCTCATTCTACTAGCTACTTCTGGACCATACTGAACTACTTAACAAATGACATAAATTTTCGTTTTTAAAATGTGAGTTATAAGAGTGGGAGGGTTGAGACAAATCACTATTAGATACAGAATTATATTGTTAGGCAGATTTATTCATCAGAAAATTTCCTTTATAAATGTGCATTCATTCATGCACACATATTTACAGAAACATGTTTGTTTCTGCACAGACCATTCCTTTCAGTTCAGTACCCATTTATCGTAGCCTTAATTTGTGCCAGACACCATGCTAGCTCCTGAGCATGGAGAGTTGCATGAATTGCAGCCGTGTCTCACGGAACTTAGATAAACCCTCCAATATGCCTAAGTGTTCACAGGGAATTGGGGAGGACCAGGAATTTTAATTCACTATGACATGTAGGGCAGCAGACACAAAGTATAACAATAGTTCATAGGAAAGTAATCTTATCACAGTCTAAAAGAGCCAAGGAAAACTTCATAAAGATGGTAAAAGTTTTGAAGGATAAGTAGGGGTTCACCAAGCCCAAAAGTGTAAAATAGTGTGGCAGTTTTGGGGTAGTATAGTAAGTAATGTATTTGAGGAGATCTGTGAGATGATCAATTAGAGTACTAGGTAACATATTAGAGCTTCTATTTAAACAGAAATACCAATTAAATATATGCTTAGAAATAATTTCCCTGTCAGATTAGCAAAAATCCATAAATTCTACACACTCTTTTTTTTTTTCTTTTTGTTTTGAGCTAGCATCTCACTCTGCTGCCCAGGCTGGAGTGCAATGGTATGATCATAGCTCACTATAACCTTGAAATCCTGGGCTCAAGCAATCCTCCCACTTTAGCTTTTCAACTAGATGAGACTACAAGCATGTGCCACCATGGTCACCTAATGTTTGTATTTTTTATACAGACGGAGTCTCACTATATTGCTCGGCTTCTATACACTCTTTTGAGCACCCTCTACACTGCTAGTAGGAATGCAAATTAATACAGCCCCTAAGGAAGGCAATTTTGAAATATCTATCAAAATGACAAACACACATGTCTTCTGACCCAGTAATCCCCCTTCAAATAATTTATCATATATACATATACACATATATATTTGCACACTTGCAAAATTACATGCGTGATATAGGTTATTCATTCTAGCATCATTTGTAATACTATTGAGATTCATCCATGTTATTGCATGTACCAGCACTCATTCCTTTTTCTTGTTGAACAGTATTTCATTATAAAGAGGTTTATCCATTGTTTTTCCACATTTATCCGCAATCGGTTTATCTACTTAACAATAGATGGATATGTATTTTTTTCCCAGATTTTGGCTATTTTGAATAAACATTCACCTATAGCTCTTTATGGTATTTTGATTTCTCTTGATTGTCTTCTTATTGACTTGTGAGGGTTCTTTCCATATCCCATATAAATGTCCTTCATCAAGACATTTCATGGAGACATTTTCTCCCAGTCTGGGGCTTTTTTTTTTTTTCCTTTTTCATAGTAGTTCTTCTAAAGACCAGAGTGTTCAATTTTTATTAAGTCCAATTTATCAATTTTATTTTTTATGGTTCATACTTATTGTATCCTATCTAGTAAATGTTTGCCTTAAGCAAGGTCACAAATATTTTCTTGTATGTTTTCTTATAGAAGTTTATAGTTTTAGTTCTAACATTTAGAGCTGTTATTTATTTGAATTTAATTATTCTTACGTAGTGTGTACATGTTAATTTCCAATAAAAACCTTAAAAAGGAAGAGTTTCTAACTTTGTTGACCTTTGTTGGTAAGTATTGTTAGATTAGTGTTACTCCACCTAGTGGATACCTAAAAACACACATTTTATCTGTCAGTTCATATGGCATTTTAATTAAAAATACAAAAGTTGTTTTTTTCCATAAAATAAACAGAAGTATTTTGACACCAAATGTTTTTAAAATTATGATATAATTGTATTTTTGGAACAAATATATCACCTATACAAATTCTCATATCTCCACATGCTTAGGAAACTTACTTAGAAACAGAATTTTTAAACATATTCTAAAGTCCTTCACTTTAAAATGAAGCACTTCAGTGAGATTCCAGTGCTTTTAAAAATTTGAAAATACAGCACCTTCTAGTTAATTGACATTAGG
The DNA here is from genome assembly GCF_000001405.40 of Homo sapiens. Taxonomy (NCBI): domain Eukaryota; kingdom Metazoa; phylum Chordata; class Mammalia; order Primates; family Hominidae; genus Homo; species Homo sapiens. Next base: position 63,116,919 of record NC_000008.11, on the reverse strand, counting down.
AAACAGCTAATTGACATTAGGAAAAGTGGAAGTATTAAGTTTTCATTGATTTTCAATGAAAACTTTTGAATAAGTGTATGAAATTGAATAGCAAGTATTGGATCTACATATTTTTGTGAGGTATCTTTTTATTTTTAATTTTTTTTTTTTTTTTGAGACCGAGTCTTGCTCTGTCGCCCAAGCTGGAGGGCAGTGGTGCGATCTTGGCTCACTGCAACCTCTGCCTCCTGGGTTCAAGTGATTCTCCTGTCTCGCCCTCCCGAGTAGCTGGGACTGCAGGCACGTGCCACCACACCTGGCTGATTTTTTTTATTTTTAGTAGAGGCGGGGTTTCACCATGTTAGCCAGGATGGTCTTGATCTCCTGACCTCGTGATCTGCCCACCTCAGCCTCCCAAAGTGCTGGGATTACAGGCGTGAGCCACCGCACCGAGAGGTATCTTTTAAAAATACAGCTGATTATCAAAATAAGCTGAACTTACAATTTAACTTTTGATTGTTGTATTGAAAAATGATTACTCAAAATAAAAATGATTATGCATATTCACTCAGTACTCAGCAAAAATATTAATAGTAAGAGCAAAAAGTATCTTTATACCATTAGTAAAACTAAACGATTTTAAATTATTTCTTCTTTATATCATACTGTAAAATGCTTGTCTATATTTTATAATATAAATAATTTATAAGCATTTAGTACATAACAAATAGATATATCCTTAGCCCTACAACTTTGGGAAGCCGAGTCAGGAGGATTGCTTGAGGTCAGGAGTTTGAGACCAGCCTGGGCATCGTAGCCAGACCCCATCTGTACAAAAAATTTTAAATTAAAATAGCCAGGCATGGTGGTGCACATCTGTTGTCTCAGCTACTCCAGAGGCTGAAATGGGAAGATTACTTGAGCCCAGGAGTTTGAGGCTACAGAGAGCTATGATCATAACACTGCACTCCAGCCTGGGCAGCAGAGTGAGACTCTGTCTCTTAAAAACAAAAAGGAAAAAGAAAATTCCAAGCTTAGAGATGAGAAGAACGGTGATATCATAGACAGATTTATGAACATATTTAAAAAGATGTCAGTTTATGATGGGAGAATGTTGAACTCAATTGCAAAGGTTAAATTTGAAGTCGTTTTGGTAAGTCATTATTTTTCTCTACATTTTACTAAAAAAAAAACAGATTGAGGAAAAATGGATTGATATCCTTAATGGATAAAGGTCACGTACAAATCAATAGAAATAAAAACACATTTTCAATGAAAAATGGGCAAAGACAATAGCCAGGAATTCATCAGAGAAAATACCCAAATGACCAATAAACATGTGAGAAATGTTCAACCTCATAAATAATTTATGAAACGTGAAATCAAAAAAATAATAACTTATAAAGATGATCAGAATAGGCTTTAGCAGAATTATGTTGCTTCTTTGGAGAAATGATTCTTTTACATAATTAGACTTGAATGCACTTAGAATATACTCAGAATCGCTGACTGATGGAAATGAGAATCTGAGAGGGAGCACAGTAGGGCGATGCCACAGGACAGATGGGCCAGGAATGGACTGAGAGGGGCTGACAGTTGGAGGAATTAATAGTGACTACACCAAGTGGAGAAGGCAATCTTTCCCAACATACCTGGAGAAGTTAAGAAAGCACCGGCTGGGCGCGGTGGCTCACCCCTGTAATCCCAGAACTTTGGGAGGTTGAGGTGGGTGGATCACAAGGTCAGGAGATCGAGACCATCCTGGCTAACACGGTGAAACCCTGTCTCTACTAAAAATACAAAAAATTAGCAAGGTGTGGTGGCGGGTGCCTGTAGTCCCAGCTACTTGGGAGGCTGAGGCAGGAGAATGGCGTGAACTCGGGAGGTGGAGCTGGCAGTGAGCCGAGATCGTGCCACTGCACTCTAGCCTGGGCAACAGAGCAAGACTCTGTCTCAAAAAAAAAAAAAAAAAAAAAAAAAGAAAAGAAAAAAAAAAGAAAAGAAAAAAGAAAGCACCAGACAAATAGAAAAGTATTTTGCAAATACTTTTCTGCCAAAAGTTGCAGAATCTTAGGCACATCAATACAGAACATAAAGTTTGTCATGTACACTCCAGTATCCAAGAAATGGAGAAATGTTGTTTGAATATCTAAGAGGATGCCCTAGGAATTCAAAAGAGAAAAATAGATCCTGTTAAAGCATAATCATCGGGGGAAATAGAATTCCTCCAACTCCATTTGGAGTCTACAGAAAACATTAAGGAACACTATAATTATGAAGAAACTTCCTTTCACCAGCTTCAGGACTTGTGGTGCATTTTATGGCAAGTCTTCATCTTGATCAAGATTAATGCAGTTAGCTAGTTTCCTTCTCAACATACTGCTGATTCTTTGAATGTCTTTAGCGACTACCTTCTATTCTAACTGAATGAAGCTTAGAAACCTCAGAGTGCCTCCTCATTTTGCAGGCTGAAATTTTTGAGGCCAAGCTGCCATGCTATGTAGAATGGACTTTCAGGACCTCAAGCCCTTGTTTATCTACCTTTTGGAAAGAAATTTAAAAAAATTATAAGTAGATTCTGGATCTGACCTTCAGCATACATACTTCTTTGGATCATCTATCTCCTTGGAGAAGTAGTGGCCTTCATTCAGATGCAATTTTTGGTTAGTTTTCTCAGTTTTCACAGAGAATGTCAGACCTCTGACTTGCCTGATAACACACATGAGTCTATTTAAGTGACAGCAGAGAAAATCTGCAGTTTCAGTAACGGTCAAGCATTATGTATCAATTGCTGAGATGTTATCAATATCTCAGCTGAGTGAGAGAAGTCATGTTCTGGGAAGACTGACAGAGAATTTATACTTTGTGCTGGCTGCTGTGGTGTATTTTCCAGATCTGGCCCTTCAGGACTGACACACTCATTTCCCCAGCTGCTCACACTGTTGGCTACTGATGTCTCACAGTTCCTCTTCAGAAATCACCCTTAGCAGAAGGAGGCTGACTTATCCAAGGTTACGTCCTCTCCCTGGAGACAGCTTCCATCCAGCTATTGGTTGGGGTGAGGGCACAGGTGACCTTCTTTCCTTCATCTCTGAAGGGCGATCCAGCTCCAGGTCTCTCTCTGGGATTGACTGAAGCCTCTCCAGCTGCTGCATCACAGTTTAAGTTCTGCCCAGTTTACTTCCCTGGCACCCCTATAGGTGTTCCTCCTGAGCGCACGCCCCAATAAACTCCCTGTGTGCAGATCACCATCTCAGACGTTATTTCCACAGAGCCTGAACTAGGATGTACTCCGAATATTCTTTTAGGTATTGTAAACTCAACACCTGGATCTAGCTGGATCATAAGAGAGATTACTAGTGGTCACCATAAAATTGCTTACTTTTAATTTGTTTTAAGGAGTTACCTCTGCCTTTGTGGGATGATTCCTTAAAGAACAACCTGTCTGGCACAGGCTGGGGAATTGTGGGAATAATGGCAAGTTACAGCAGCTTATGCTTGTAATCCTAGCACTTCGGGGGGCCAAAGTGGGAGAAGTGCTTGAGGACAGGAGTTCAAGACCAACCTGGGCAACATATTGAGGCATCCCCCACCTCCCCCTCACTATGTAAAATACCAAAAATTAGCCGGCTGATAATGGTGCATGCGTGTGGTCCCAGGTACTCAGGAGGCTGAGTTGCAAGGATCTTTTGACCCCAGAAGTGTGAGGGTATAGTGAGCTATGATTGTACCATTGCACTCCAGACTCAGTGACAGAATGATACTCTATCTCTAAGAAAAAAAAAAAGTTATAATCGCTACTCTAAACTTGCCATTATTCCCACAATTTCATTTCTTTTTTAAAAATTAAAAAAAATTGGTCACTATTTTTACAATTTCATTTCTGCATTGGCTGCATGCAAAGATGTATAAATACAGATAATGATCATAACAGTTTAGAAATAAGAAAATAATGGAAACTATGAACATTCACCACACATACATTAGTTAAAATTTAAAAACACATGTAACAATATATTCATATTGTTTACTTGTTTAATCTCATTTTTTAAATGCCCTAAATATGTCCAAGAGTGAAGACATATGAAGTATGTCATGACAGATCATGACATTAGATGTATAGTAATTAAATACATAGAAGTAAAAGCTGAAACCACATTATTCTTACAACTTCATAAAATGGTATGCATTTGACTCATTTTACTTATTTTTTAGAGACAAGGTCTCACTCTGTCACCCAGGCTGGAGTGCAGTGGCATTATCGTAGCTCACTGTAGCCTGGAAATTCTGGGCTGAAGCAATCTTCCCACCTCAGCCTGCTGAGTAGCTGGGATTACAGGCCCATGCCACTGCACCCAGCTCTCATTTTTATTTAATTTCAGACAGATATTATATTAATAAAACATGCGTGCTATAAAAATTTAACATTTTATTAAATCAATTTAATTTTTAAGCAAATTCTATGAATGTTCTTCAAAATAAAGAAGTTTTAAGGCTTAGTTGTGACAGATTAATTTTAATAACCATGGAATGACTTTCCAGCATAACTAAATTATTTATTTATTTAGAAATGGAGTCTTGCTTTGTAGCCCAGCCTGGAGTGCAGTGGTGCAATCTCGGCTCACTGCAACCTCCACCTCCGGGTTCAAGCAATTCTCCTGTCTGAGCTTCTGGAGTAGTTGAGATTATAGGCCCCCGTCACCATGCCCGGCTAATTTTTGTTTGTTTGTTTGTTTGTTTTTAGTGGTTTCATCATGTTGGCCAGGCTGGTCTCCCAGCCTCAAGTAATCTGCCCACCTCAGCCTCCCAAAGTGCTCGGATTACAGGTGTGAGCCACCACACCCGGCCAGCTAAATGATTTTTATATCTATTAAATTTGCATCAACCAACTTATAGCTATAGTTACTATTTATTAATTATCTCTGTATACTAGTTTTTTATTTGCACAATGTGCCATTTATTCCTATTAACCTTATGAAATTGACTTTATTCAAGTTTTATTGATAACAAACTGACCTTCAACAGATTTAGCCTGAGGTTGCTTATCTAGTTCATAGAATTTTCAGACTCAACTTCCAGCCTATCTTTTTCAAAGTTTTCTCTTTTGCTTATTTGCCAAGATATATGTTCAAATTACATATATTTTAACTGAATCCATCCATGAAACATTGTAATAGATATTTAATAGCTTGATGTAACCAACGAAGTGTTAAATGAAAACAGTACTACAACATAAACTCCATTTTGAAATGTAAATGTACACCCATGGACATAGAAAAAAATGTCTGAAATTACATACATACTTGAATGGGGGAATTATGAATGAGTTTTAACCTAGTAGACTTTTTTACTTTGTAAAATACATAAGATGGGTAAGTTTCAACTTATAACTAGAAAAAAAGGAGTTTTACAAATATAAAGTTGCTTCCAGTTTTTTTTTTTGAGATGGGATTTTACAATGTTGCCCAAGCTGGACTCTAACTCTTGGGCTCAAGTGATCCCCCTCCTCAGCTTCATAAATAGTTGAGACTACAGGGCTTCTTGTTTTTAAATGGAGCATATTCGTTTCCTCGATCACTTTAGGAAGTGCAATTTACTTTGAGCTGACTTTAAAATGAACTCAGGACACTTTACATTTTTCCTTGTTTGAAAGACAGAAAAAAATCCAATTTATTTCTTCAAACTTTCCACTAGGTGGTGCTAAAGTGAAATTAATTAAATTGCCTTTTAAAAAATCCACTAGTTCTCAAACTTTAGATCTTAGTTTGGTGTTCAAGGTGTCTTTGATTTCCCCTCTCAATCTCTTCATTGTGTTACTGCTGATAAACAAAAGCAGATCAACTTGTTGCAAGTCTAGAGCTGATTTAATGCAACACCTATAAGGTGACATCTATCAATTATTATGGAAAATTAATTGACTTATGCTACATGACAAAACAAGCAATGATCTATTAAAAACACTTAAGGCCGGGCGCGGTGGCTCACGCCTGTAATCCCAGCACTTTGGGAGGCCGAGGCGGGCAGATCAAGCGGTCAGGAGATCGAAACCATAGTGGCTAACACGGTGAAACCCCGTCTCTACTAAAAATACAAAAAAATTAGCCGGGCGTGGTGGCGGGCGCCTGTAGTCCCAGCTACTCTGGAGGCTGAGGCTGGAGAATGGCATGAATCCAGGAGGCGGAGCTTGCAGTGAGCCGAGATAGCACCACTGCACTCCAGCCTGGGCGACAGAGGGAGACTCCGTTTCAAAAAAAAAAAAAAAAAAAATTAAAAGACATAATTCTGATCCTTATAACTGTGAGGTCCTTGGAAATAACAGGTGGTACCTGGACCGTACTTTGTGAGCCATTAATTTACAATATAGAACTTTAAGAAATTTGGATAAGTAATTTTCCAATTACCAGTAGTTCTCAACTTTCAGGTATTCAGCTGAAGTAATAAAAAATTATGGCACACTTCTGATCACATGCACTTATGTGGCATTACCTATGGTATTTAGAGCAGTCTGCAAAAACTGTAACTTACAATCTTCTCCCTCGTGCTGTGGCCCAGAGGTCCTTTATCAGTGAGGCTCAGTAAGTTTCCCCCTTTACTGTATGTTTGTTCCCCAGTGACCTCTCTGGCTCATGACTGCAGATATCACAAAATTACCTCATTGTAATATATGGTCTTCAGCTTTTTTCCTGGTTGTACCATCAATAAATGCAGGTTAATTTTAATGGAATTAGTTGTAATTTTATGTCATTACACTGATTTAACAACTAAAGAATGTGAAAGTTTATTACTTGTGAATAAATTTATAGAGTATCTATAAAAGGTTTTTGTGGCTGACTGAATAATGGTTCCCAAACATATGAAGGAATTTCAAAAAGTTTATGGAAAAATGGAGTTAAAAGATAAAAATAAAATGATAAACTTTATTTCTCAACATAACTTCCATCAAGGTCAAGATACTTTTTTGTAAGCAATGATACCAGCTGTTTAGTCCCTTCCTAAAGAACTGAAAATCCTGGGAATTTAACCATGTGAATGTAGTCTTTTTTATATTACTAACAGACATGAGCTCTCTTTAAAGATTTTTTAAGATTAGGAAACAAAAAGAAGTTGAAAGGAGTGAAATCAGCACTGTAAGGTAAATACCTAATGATTTCCCATCAAAACTCTCACAAAGTTCCCCTTGTTTGATGAGAGCAATGAGCAGGAGCATTGTCGTGGTGGTGAAGAACACTCTGATAAAGTTTTCTTCCATGTTTTTCTGCTAAAGTTTTGGCTAAATTTCTCAAAAACGCTCTCATTATAAGCAGATGTTATTGCTCTTCAGCCCTCCAGAAAATCAACAGGTAAAATGCTTTGAGCATCCTGATACACTGTTACCATGACTTTTACTCTTGACTAGATAGACCCTTCCACCTCTTGGTAGCCATTGCTTTGATTGTGCTTTGTCTTCAGGGTCATACTGGTAAAGCCATGTTTCACCTCCTGTTACAATTCTTTGAAGAAATCCTTCAGGATCTTGATCCCACTTGGTTAAAATTTCCATTGAAGCTTGTTCTTGTCTGCAGCTGATCTGCATGCAATGGTTTTGGCTTCCATTGACTGGAAAGTTTGTTCAAATTTGTTTCTTCAGTCAGAATTGTGTGAATGAAATCAATTGAGATGTCTATAGTGTTGGCTATTGTTTGTGCTGTTGTCACTTCTCTTGAATTAAGGCATGAACAAGATACATTTTTTTCCCGACAAATTGATGTGGATGGTCTGCCATTCAGGGCTTCATCTTCAACATTGTCTTGTCCCTTCTTAAAACAAATATCCAATTGTAACCTCTGATTCCTTTGAGGCACTGTCCCTGTAAGCTTTTTGTAAAGCATTAATGATTTCGTCTTCTCTCACCTAAGCTTCACCACAAATTTTATGTTTGTTCTTGTGTTAATTTTAGCAGAATTCGTGTTGCTGTGATAGGGGCTTTTCTCAAACTGATGTCTTATCCTTTTTAGTGCCTTAAACTAGATTCTGTTTAGACATGTTGTAATAAGTTAGTACGAGCTTATTTTGGTGCAAAAAAACTTAAAGTCCATGCATAGTTTTTTCATAATATGTATTTTCTGTGAGTTTTTTGAAGACCTCTCCTATTTATGTCTTATGCCCTGGAACTTGTAAATGTTACCTTATAAGGCAAAAGACACTTTACAGATATGATTAAATCAGGGATCTTGAGATGGAGAGACTATCCTGATTATCTAGGTGTGCCTGATGTAATTACAGAACTCATTATAAGAGAGATACATGAGGAATCAAAAGTTAGAGAAGAAGGTGATGTGATGAAGAAGTAGATGAGTAGTGATGACATACTTTGAAGATGGAGGAAGAAGCCACAAGCTAAAGAATACAGGCTAGGCTGGGTGCAGTGGCTCATGCCTATAATCCCAGCACTTTGGGAGGCCGAGGTAGGTGGATCACTTGAGGTCAGGAGTTCAAGACCAGCCTGGCTAACATGGTGAAACCCCGTCTCTACTAAAAATACAAAAATTAGCCGGGTGTTGTTGTGGGTGCCTGTAATCCCAGTTACTCGGGAGACTGAGGCATGAGAATCACTTGGACCCGAGACGTGAAGGTTGCAGGGAGCCAAGATTGTGCCACTGCACACCAGCCTGAGTGATAGAGCAAGACTCAGTCTCAAAAAAAGAATACAGGCTAGAAGCAGAAAAATGCAAGAAGATGAATTCTCCTTTAAGATCCTCCAGAAAAAACCCACACCTTGTAAACATCTCAACTATAACTATGTAAAACTGATTTTGAACTTCCAGCCTCCAAAATTGTAAGATAATATATTTGTGTTGTCTTTTAGAAACAGGGTCTCACTGTGTTGCCCAGCCTGGAGTGCAGTGGCTATTTACAGGCCTGATCATAGCACACTACATCCTCAAACACTTGGGCCCAAACAATCCTCCTACCTCAGCTTCCTGAGTAGGTGGGACTACAGGCACATGCCACTGCACCTGGCTAAATTTGTGTTATTTTAAGTTACTAAATTTGTGGCAATTTGTTACAATAGCAACAGGAAATTAATATAGTTGCATACTAGATCCTTATATCCATTAATGTAACACTGCTGCATCTATTTCAGATTCATAACTTGCCAATTTTGTTGAAATATAAAAATTGTGATTCATTGGAAATATATGGTCTACTTTTGGTAGATTTATTAACTAATTTGATTTTACTGGAAGAAGGTTTATCAACATGTATCAAAATCTTTAAAAACATTTATACTCTTTGACTCAGTGATTCTAGATACCTAAGGAAATAACCTGAATTTTAAAACATACTACAAAACTACAGTAATTAATACAATGTGGTACTGGCATGAGGATAGACATATATAGATCAATGGACTAGAATTGAGAGCCTAGAAATAAACACTTTTCATTGATGGTCAGTTGATTTTCAACAAGGGTACCAAGACTGTTCAATGGGGAAAAATAATATTTTCAACAAATGATGTTGAGGCAAATGAATATTCACATGCAAAAGAATCAAGTTTGATCCCTCCCTCACACTTAAAACACAAAATTAAGTCAAATGTTAAAGCTAAACGTAAAAGACCTAAACCTAAATGTAAAAGCTAAACTTATAAAACATATAGAAGAAAATGTAAGAGTAAATTTTCGTGATTTTGGTACCAGCAAAACCTTCTTAGATGTGACACCTACAGCACAAGTGACAGAACAAAAAAGTAAATTGAATTTCATCAAAATTAGAAATCTTTGCATTTCAAATGACACAAGCAAGAAAGTCAAAAGACAACCCAGAGAATGGGAGAAAATATTTACAAGTCATGTGTCTGATAAGGAATTTACATCTAGAATATATAAAGAACTCTTACAACTCAGTAATAAAAAGACAGATAATTCAATTTAAAAATGAGCAGAGGATATAAACAAATATTTCTTCAAAGAAGAGATACAAATGGCAAATAAGTACATGAAAATATATTCATCATCATTAGACGTCAGGGAAATGAAAATCAAAATCATAATTAGATACCATTTCACACCTGTTAGTATGGCTATAATAAAAAAGTCAGATAATAACAAGCGTTGATGAGGATGTTGAGAAGTCAGAATCCTCATACATTGCTGGTAAGAATATGAAACGTTTCACCTACCTTGGAAAACATCCTGACAGTTCCTGAAAAGGTTACACGTAAAGTTATCATAAGATGTAAGCATGAAGTTACATCAGTAGCAGTTAGCTGGGAATCTTTTTTTGCTCTTTTTTTTTTTTTTGAAACGGAATCTCGCTCTGTCGCCCAGGCTGGAGTGCAGTGGCGCGATCTCTGCTCACTGCAAGCTCCACCTCCCAGGTTCACGCCATTCTCCTGCCTCAGCCTCCCGGGTAGCTGGGACTACAGGCACCTGACACCACACCCGGCTAATTTTTTGTATTTTTAGTAGAGACGGGGTTTCACCATGTTAGCCAGGATGGTCTCGATCTCTTATCTCCTGACCTCGTGATCCGCCCACCTAGGCCTCCCAAAGCGCTGGGATTACAGGCGTGAGCCACCAGGGCCGGGCTTTTTTTTTTTTTTTTTTTTTTTTTTTGGCTCTTCCTTATCTTTCATCCTTCAACCTCTTCTCCTTATCCTTTTAAAGCCTGAAAGGGCCATAAAGAAGATGGTGTGAAATGAGTGAAATTTTCAGTTAATTTTCCTTTTTCTAACTACAGAAAGCCCAAGCTGGGAGTCAAGTGCAATTTTTTTTTTGTTATTTTTTAATGTTATTATTTGTGCTCTATACATTCAGAGAAACTTCTCTGGTAACAAACGATAGAAATGATCCCTGAAAGTCTTTCAGGTGACAATTTAAATTAAATTCATAGTTGTGGTTATTACATAGGACTAAACATTGTAATTTCTAAATCAAGACTGTTTTGCTGAAAATAAGGGATCATGGGAATGATTTTAAAAAATTTTTCCAGTGGTTGGGAAAGAATTTCTTCCAATAGACAGATTGTAAAGCCATACTAGGATATAAAAATAAAGTTTCCTTCTGATTAACTTCCATGGGTCCTGGTTATTCAATGTATTGGTTACATATTAACTTTTTTTATTATAAATTTATTTTTATAAAATGATGTTTTTATAAAACAATGGGCATTGCCATATTATAGAAATAAAGTTATAGTAGAAAATTATAAATTATTATATGAGATATGATTCACATATGTAATAATTCATCCATTTAAAGTGTACGTCTCAATGGTTTTTAGAATTTTAATATGTTAATAGAGTTATGCAATCATCCCACAATCCATTTTTTGACAGATGTTTAATACTGTACTGACTCTTTCTCTCCTTCTCCATGATATAGATCCGGGTTTCTCAACCACAGCACTCTTGCCATTTGGGCTAGATAATTGTTGTCTCGTATAGGATGTTAATCACCATATCTGGCCTCTACCCGTGAGTGTAACGCTCGTATCAGTTGTGACAACCAAAAATATCTTTGGACATTATCAAATGTCCCCAAGGGTGCAAAATAATCCCCAGTTGAGAAAGCACGGTTATAGATGATGTATTTTCCAACAGCTGAACTCTGCCCCCTCAACTCCTGTTTTCTATTTGTGGTCTGTAGAAGACATACTTCTGCCCACAACATGGTCTGCTTCATACAGACTTTTTTTGGAACCGGATCCCTCCAGACAGCTTCCCTTGGACCGAATTTAAGGCAGCTCCAGGCTAGCTCTTTTTACAAATGTGCTCCGAATCTCATTCACGGGAAACACCCAGCATTTTTTTTACCCTAACAAGCTCTGAGAGTGGAGACACTCAGCTTCCCTCCTCTCCTCTTGCCATAAAGCAGCTCATCAACAGGTCTCTGCCTGGTATGTTTTCCAACCAAGAATTAGATGCTAGTCTACTACATCCCCCTAATTACAGCGGAATCATATTAGCCCTCAGAGTGACTCCACTGAGGGCCAACTTTCTTGATGTAAGAACAAAAAGAGAGGCCGGGCGCGGTGGCTCACGCCTGTAATCCCAGCACTTTGGGAGGCCGAGGCGGGCGGATCACGAGGTCAGGAGATCGAGACCATCCCGGCTAAAAACGGTGAAACCCCGTCTCTACTAAAAATACAAAAAATTAGCCGGGCGTAGTGGCGGGCGCCTGTAGTCCCAGCTGCTTGGGAGACTGAGGTAGGAGAATGGCGTGAACCCGGGAGGCGGAGCTTGCAGTGAGCCGAGATCCCGCCACTGCACTCCAGCCTGGGCGACAGAGCGAGACTCCGTCTCAAAAAAAAAAAAAAAAAAAGAACAAAAAGAGAAAGTCTTCCTTTTCCCTTTCCCACTGGGACTCAGCTTGAATCTCTCTGGGGAACTCCTTTTTATAAATCTTCCTTTTGTCTCCACTTTTGACCCCTTTATATCCTAGATGAGGATAAGGTATTCAAAAGTTATGAGCAAGTTTTCAGACAATTATTTTGATATTTTTACAGAGTAGTTTGTCTTACAAATCACATTGGTATCTGATATCTAAACACCTCAGGGTCTAGAAAACTTCCATTTTATCATCCTGTTCCAAGTTTAACAATGTTGTGAATGGTTAAGTAATTTATAGTGTATGTTATTCGATAAAATATTATGCAATTATTAAAGTTACCCTATAAAGAAATACAATATGTTGGTTAAAGAAAAAGCTATAAAATATTTTTACCTTGTCATTTTATTTTTATTTTTGACATAGGGTCTTATTCTGTCAGCCAGGTTGGAGGGCAGTGGCGTGATCATGGTTCCCTGCAGACTTGAACTCTGAGCTCAAGCGATCCTCTCACCTCAGCCTCCTGAGTAGCTAGGGCTACAGGCATACACCACCATGCCCAGCTAATTTTTTTATTTTTAATTGTTTTTTTAGAGATGGGATCTCACAATGTTGCCCAGGCTGGTCTCGAACTGCTGGGCTCAAACAATCCTCCTGCCTCAGCCTCTCAAAGTGCTGGCATTACAGGTGTGAGCCACTGCACCTGCCCTACTTTATCATTTTAATATTTAAAAACATGTATTTTTAGACAAAAAGAAGGAACTATATTGAAATAGTAATTGTGACAATCTCTAGATGGCAGGATTATTTTCTTTTTAATAATTTATGTTGTTCTCAAATTTTTCACTGTAAGTATGTATTTTTAAACAGAAGAAAAATGTGTTGTATGATAATAAAATGAAGTTTGGTCATAATTACATTCTCTTCCTCTTCAATTTAAATATTGTTAAAACTCAGGTACAGTTAGACTTCCAGGAAATCTAATTTATTTCTTCTTCGGAAAGCCTCTTGTTGCCTCAGGAACAATCCAAACCTCTTGGCATGGCATTCCAGGCTCTCAGCAGTTGGCCTTTCACCTGTCATCTGCCTCTTTGCTCTCAGTCCCTATGCCCACCTCTCTCTTCTGTGCCTGGATACGTATTTTTGGGCTGAGAGCCTTGGAAACTTTATTTCTCAGACTCTTTTGCTAGCTGGCTTCTGGTCAACTTCTTTCTACCAATGAGAAGATAGTGGGAGATTAGAAGATGGGGGGAAAGAAAAGGAACACATCCTTCATTGTGTCAATATTCTTTCAGAAGCAGCCAGCTATGGAAAAGTGTCTTTTAACTGTCTCATTATCCAATGGGCACAGCCCATTCCCGGTGCTGACTTCCTCAGTCTCAGCATCAGCACTCAGATCCTGCTCGTGGTCCCAGAACCTGCTAGGGGCCTCTTCCTCATGATCCCAGCAGTGCTCTGTGGTGGTCCCTCCATCTTTCAGTGGATCCAGCAACAGCTCAAGGGCTCTTTCTCTGTGGTCCCAAGCACCACCCAGGTGGCATCTCCTCTACATTTCTGGTCTCTGGTGACACCAACTCTTCCCATTATTCTTCCAATCATGTACATGGTAGGTGCTTTCTGACATTACTAATCTGTGTATTTCATCACTTTACTCTTCTTTTTACTTTCTGAGCCCTTCCAATACCTGTGCAAGCAATAATCTGCATTAACTTTCTGTTACTAGAAATGCTTTATATCTGTTTTCCTAATTGGCTCTTGACATCACATATCATATCTGCTTAAATTTCACTGGCCAGAATTCAGGCACAAGTCCCACCCAACTGCAAGAGGAGGGTGCATTGGGAAATGTGGTCTAGCTGCCTGTCCAGCAAGGGAATCACAGATACAGGTGGTACCAGTAGTTTCTTCCACACTGCCTAACAAGGCACATAGTAAGTTGACCATAATGCAAATGTAGACGATTAGGAGATTTTTTTTTAAAAAGAATATAATTGTCTAAAGAAAATCTAGGTATATATATATATATATGTATATATACATATATGTGTGTGTGTGTGTATATATATATATATATTTTTTTTTTTTTTTTTTTTTTTTTTGAGATGGAGTTTCGCTCTTGTTGCCCAGGCTGGAGTGCAATGGCATGATCTTGACTCACCACAACATCTGCCTCCCGGGTTCAAGCAATTCTCCTGCCTCAGCCTCCAGGGTAGCTGGGATTACAGGCATGTGCCACCACGCCTGGCTAATTTTGCATTTTTAGTAGAGACAGGATTTCTCCATGTTGGTCAGGCTGGTCTTGAACTCCCGACCTCAGGTGATTCACCTGCCTCGGCCTCCCAAAGTGCTAGGATTATAGCCATGAGCCACTGCCCAGCCCAAATCTAGGCATATTTTATCCAAAGACCTGAAATGAGTCGATTTGTTTTCTTTTTTCTTTTTGTTTTTGACAGGGTCTCACTCTGTTGCCCAGGCTGGAGTGCAGTGGTGCGATCTTGGCTCACTGCAGCCTCAACCTCCTGGGCTCAAGCCATGGTCCTCCTGGGCTCAGGCCATGATCCTCTTACTCCTCTTGTGAATAACACAGCTTGGTCAGCTCTCCTGGAGCTGTAGCAAGAGGATGCCCCCTCTCCTGATTGTTACATTCAGTTAGGGGGATTTCACAACAGAGACTTTAGGCCTTAACTTTTAAATATTTAGCGAGAAATCTCTGAGTTTACCACTTATGCAATGAGCATGTTTGTATGTCGTCCTTTATATTCTTGTCCAATTATTTCCTCGAAATAAATCTTTGGATTAAATTGCATGCACTTTTTCCCCAGAGCATTTGAATATGAATTGCCAAACAATTTGGACAGGTGTGCCGAACTATACTCCCACTCTCTGTGGTGTATTGTTCTGTGTAAGTATTGGTTTCCTAATGTTCTTCTTAACAATCATGCTGATCTTTAATCTTCATTTAACCAATTCTAATCTGATGTATTAAAAATAGTATTTCTGGCCAGGCATGGTGGCTCATGCGTATAATCCCAGCACTTTGGGAGGCCGAGGCGGGTAGATCACCTGAGCTCAGGAGTTCGAGACCAGCCTGGGCAACATGGCAAAATCCCGTCTCTACCAAAAAAAAAAAATATTTCCTTGTTTTATTTCTTTGATTATAGTTTATGCAAGCTGTATAAAAATACATTTTGGAAACATTTAAATCAGGAAAATACCAAATTTTTGTGTAGTACAAAAAAGCAAATACTGTTTTGAAGTATTATTTGAACTTGGCTAATAGGATGAAAGTTAATTTGTATAGCTGATGTCCAGAACTAACTCAAAGGGCAAGGTTAAGTAAGCACATGCTGGCATTGGCCTTTGGATATTTACAACACTGGGTAGCCAACTAGTTTAGTACACTACCCTAAAAAAAGTAGATTACCACTAAGTAAACAGACTACAGATGCCTGGGTGCCTCATTCTTCTTAAAAACTCTGCGTTCAGATACTTATTCCTATTCCCAGACTATGACGATCTATACAAATGACTTTCATGTAGCAGAATAATTATGTGTTAACATTATTCTCTGAAACCAGACAAACTGGCATTTTTCATATTCTTAATCTGATGTTAAATTATAACTGTAACACAGACAATAGTTTCCAGCATATAAAATTCCTTTCTCAATTATCACTCTGCTGCTGTCATCCTTGCTGGGAGTGGGGCATCACTTGGGAAGAGGGCTTTTCTTAGTGTGAATTCTAGATGCTACATGCCAAGTAGATATGGCTATTTAGGTTTGTTTTACTTTTATACTATACAGAAGCTCTTTCATGACAAAGAAGATTTTTATACTTTCTAGATAACATTAGTCATATTAATACTGCCATTTAAGATATTACAGGAGAAAAAGCAAATTTCAGGTTGAATATTTTTGAATATTTTAGAACTATAACGTTTATACCTAAGAAAGTGTCTGGTCCAATTCCTCTCTTTTTAGATAAGGAAAACAGATTGAATGATTTTCTGTCACTTCAGTTTTGAAACAAGCTGTTTTAGCTTGGTGATTCCAAAATAAAGTTTCAGATGATCTTGCAGTGTCTACAACACAGAAAGCTCTTACCCACGTATTTCCTATTTCCCATGCTGTCAGTGGCCTTCAATTTCCCTAGACCTCATTTATGCCATGAATACTAGCATGACATTTATCCGTGAAACAGGAGGAATTAGTCAAGCTCGCGTGTGCTATGCCTTTTAACTTCCTTTACTGTTTGCCTCTGGATTCCTATGATCCAGTTTTCTTTCCTAAGGCTTTGACTCTAAACTTGGAACTGAATTTGGACAAAAATGTGTCTCAGGGGATTGCATGGACTTTTTATCATAAGCCGAATGCTAAGGCAAAGCTGTGGAATTGAGTCCTCCTCCAACAAGGGAGAGAAAAGGATGTCTTGTGACACACCCAGATAACTGGTAGCTAGAATTATGCTTGCTAAGATTCGGGTGCATGGGGCTTGGCTTTGGTTAGTTCCCTTGGTCTTACTGTCCCAAAAAGAAACCTCTGGACTATGGGCACCCTATTTATTCCCGTCACTTGGCAGGATTTGCAGGATAATTGCTCAGAACTAGAATATCGATCCAGATTTTTACATTACCCATTCCTTTTGTTCCTTCTGAGCTGCAGTTGTAGATTGCTGGTTTGTTCACAGGAATAAGCAGAGTTAGTTTAAAATGTAGGCAAAAAGTTAATAACAACTAATGAGTACAGAATTCAATGACAAATGTATGATAAGTCCTGAAACACAATTTCTTTCTCTCCAGTCCTCTTTTTTTTTTTTTTTTTTTTTTTTTGAGACAGAGTCTCACTCTGTCACCCAGGCTGGAGTGCAGTGGCACGATCTCTGCTCATTGCAAGCTCCACCTCCCGGGTTCATGAAGTTCTCCTGCCTCAGCCTCCCAAGTAGCTGGGACTACAGGCGTCCGCCACCGCACCCAGCTAATTTTTTGTGTTTTTAGTAGAGAGGGGGTTTCACCGTGGTCTCGATCTCCTGACCTCATGATCCGCCCGCCTCAGCCTCCCAAAGTGCTGGGATTACAGGCATGAGCCACCACGCCCGGCCCTCATTTTTGTTAAAAACAAATCATAATGGGACTGAGTTGTTTGTAAAATAAACTTTAATCTTATACTTGGCCTGATTATTTGCATAAAGTGCAGCAAGAATAATTATTTCTACATAGGCTTTTAAAATTGGCTTTCATGGAACTCTATTCCACAAAGAATCTCAGATAGGACTTTCTAAAGCCAAACCCAGCCACGAGTTTGTACCCTCAAGTACCTGTGAGTTGGGTAAACTTCTCTCTTCTTGAGGTCCCAAGAATATGGAGTTCCTGGGCCTGTTAGAAAGTGACATTCTTTTTTTTTTTTTTTTTTTTTTTTAATTGAGACAGACTCTTGCTCTGGAGTGCTGTGGCATGATCCTGGCTCACTGCAACCTCTGCCTCCTGGGTTCAAGCAATTCTCGTGCCTCAGCCTCCTGAGTAGCTGGGACTGCAGGTGTGTGCTACCATGCCTAGCTAGTTTTTGTGTTTTTTAGAAGAGACAGTTTCTCTATGTTGGCCAGGCTAGTCTCAAACTCCTGGTCTCAAGTGATCTGCTCGCCTCGGCCTCCCAAAGTGGTGGGATTACAGGCATAAGCCACCGTGCCCAGCCAGAAAGTGACATTCTTTTCTCACTCATTCTTTATTTGCAGGTTAGGAACCCTGTACAGGGACTGTGTAGACAAGTCCAGTTTTCCCAAGGGGCTTTTATTGGCTCTGCAAGTCGAGCTTGACTCCTTAAAAGGAAGCACACCCTTCCAGTCAAAGCCTTGGTAAAAAAATCAGTTTCTCCATTTGTGTCTTGTTGCAAAAGAAAATGAATTTTTATTATACTGATGCAAACAACTATATTGCCATAAGTTAAGAACACTCACAACTAGTTTCCAAATTCTGGAGAAGCCAGGCAGAGAGAAACAAATATGCTCCAAATTTTGTTCTCAGGAATATACCTTACTCAATTATTAAGGGCCATAAATAGCTCAAAATCAGTTTCTTTGACTCTGAATAACAAAATAAGGATCAGCAATGTTCCAAGCAAAAGTCAGAAAACATTACTTCAGTTTTCTATTAGTTCAGTCCATTCTGTTAACTCTTGTTCTGTTTGATATTCATGAACATTTCAGCTCTTCATGAATCCTGTACGTTTTTCCTTTATTTCAATGTCATAATCTCCAAAGTTATCAGAAACCTGCATTTGAGAGCACCTGTCAAAGTCCTATAGCTGATTATAAACCAACTTTTGAAAAGAATCAAAACAAGACAACAATTGTCTGTGAATAACTGTCCAGGGTAGTTGCAGTTGGAAACATGGTTGACAAAGAAATTTGGTTATCTCCATGGTTTGCAATAACTTAACATAACAACTTCATTGTGATTAATAGCATATAATCAGCTTTTCTCATGTGCCCATATGGGCCATGAACATAATGCAAGATTTTTTGCTTTTTAGTTAAGCTAAAATCTGGGTTCTTGTGTCACGACCAGGAAAAATTAGGCACGTGGACACATTGAAAGGTGAGGAGGGTGGTATTTATTTATTTATTTATATTTTTTGAAATGGAGTTTCACTCTTGTTGCCCAAGCTGGAGTGCAATGGCGCAATCTCAGCTCACTGCAACCTCCGCCTCCCAGGTTCAAGCAATTCTCTTGCCCCAGCCTCCCGAGTTGTTGGGATTACAGGCATGTACCACCACGCCCAGCTAATTTTGTATTTTTAGTAGAGACAGGGTTTCTCCACGTTGGTCAAGGTGGTCTTGAACTCCTGACCTCAGGTGATTTGCTCACCTTGGCCTCCCAAATTGTTGGGATTACAGGTGTGAGCCACTGTCCCCAGGGAGAGTGGAATTTATTAAAATAAAGCTCCCAGTGAAAAAAGGACATCCTGCTAACAGGCTCCCATCTCACAGATTGAATACCAGGACACCACACATGAGCTGGAGAGGCCAGGCTCCTCTCCCCTGCATAAGGTGTGAATTCCTGGTGCTCCACCCCATTCTCCTAGTGTGCAAGTAGACTCCTGGTCTGAGCCACTCCACATTTACTTATTTTCCTTAATGCACATTAAGAAAATAATGTGTTAAGGGACAGAATTTTTCACCATGGGCAGGTTTGGGGAAGCCCCCTGTGCACAATGACCTGGGTGGCATTTGGCTGTCTCCTGTCTCTATCACATGTTTCTCCATGCAATTATCATCCCCTATGGCATCAAAATTCAGAATTTATTAAAAGAATCCATGAAAGCACTAAGCCCCATTGGTTGTGAACTCTAAGCCAGCTTTGCAATTAAGTAAAACTACCATATTTTGACTTTGGGAATGTCAAGCACTACATCCGATTTACCAACTCCCCCACCTCTTCCCCATGACCTTTGGTTTATACCCATGACCTGCTGGGTGGCAAGGATTAAAAGATTGTACCAATTAAAGCCTCTATGGAAAACAATGTGTCATTTCCTCAAAAAAGTTAAGTAGAGAACTACTATAGTATCCAGAAAGTCTACTCCTGTGTATATATCCAGAGAAACTGAACATAAAGACTAAAACATATTTGTATACAAATGCTCATAACAGCCCTATTCACAATAACCAAAAGAGGAAGCAACCCACGGATCCATGGACAGATGAATGGATCAAGAAAATGTGTTGTACACATAAAATGAACTATTATTCAGCCATAAAAGGGATGTAATTTGATACATACTACAACATGGATGGCCCTTGAAAACATTATGTTAAGTAAAATAGGTCAGGCAGAGAAAAACAAATATGGAACCATTCCATGGATTTTTATTGCACTGATGCAAACAACTATATTGCCATAAATTAAGAATACTCACAACTAGTTTCCAAATTCTGGAGAAGCCAGGCAGAGACAGAGAAACAAATATGCTCCAAATTTTGTTCACAGGTATATTATACCTTACTCAATTATTAAAGGCCATAAATAGCTCAAAATCAGTTTCTTTGATTCTGAGAAATGAAACAAGGATCAGTAATGTTCCAGGCAAAAGTAAAAAATATTACTTCAGTTTTCTATTAGAAAACTTTAGCCTTCTATTACATGAGATACCTATAATAGGCAAATTCATAGAGACAGAAAGTATAATAGAGGTTACCAGAAACTGAGGGAGTAGGAGGAGGGGAATTATTGGTTAATGGGTACAGAGTTTTTGTTGAGAATGATGAAAACGTTGTATGTACAGATAGTAGTGAATAATTTGGGAATGAATATGTTAAACTGAACTTAATTGTATACTTACAAGAGATTAAAATGATAAATATCATGTTACGTATATTTTACCACCAAAAAAATTTGTGTCATTATTTTATCTCTGGTTTTGCTTCCATGTCACAATTTGAAGCCAGAGGTCAAGGGAGCTCATTGAGGAAATCAATGAAGGTCAGTTTTATGGCACACAGAGAATTGTGGGAAAGAATAGTGGGTGCACCTGGAGTGAAAACAGAAACTATTCAGCACACCGGTCTGTTACACTACTATATGTTAGTTGGGTCTGGTGAGCAGGATATAGCCAACAAATGAGGTGTTTTAGTAAGTTGGCACATGCCAGAGGACAGAAACGAACCTCATATTAGTTCAGGTGCTGCCATGTCAGTGAGGAAAGAGGCACATCTGATTGGCCCCTTGGATTTTAGAAGCAACATATTACCACATTGGAGCCTGCTGCTCCAAACTACTTGGCATCTAGCTGTCAGACTGTCAGTGTTGAATGGGGCATGAAATAAGAAAAGGCTTTGCAGCAGGTCCAAGCTGTAGCACCAACTGCCCTTCCATTTGAGTCTTATGACCCACCCAATGGTGTTGGAAATGACTATGGCAGACAGAGGTGCCTCATTAGGAGAATCACAGTGCATACTTCTAGGATTTTTTAGTAAGGTCACGCCCTGTTCTGCTCACAACATTTCTTCATTCAAATAGAGCTCCTGGCTTGCTATAGGGCTCTGGTAGAGACTGGAGGTCTGACCGTGGAACACCAAGTGCATATCTAATCTGAATTGTTCATCATCAATTGTATCAATTGTTTGTTACCTGATCTAATGAATCATAAAACTGAATGTTTGCCGCAGCATTTTGTTGTAAAATGGAAAGAATATATACAAAGCGGGGCTCTATCAGGTAAGGAAGCATAGAAAAATTTCATAAGTATGCAGCCCAAATCTTCATAGTACCTGACCCTGCTGTTTTGCCTTCTCTCCCGTGACTCCCGGCTATTGTCTTATGGAGAATTCCTGTAATTAGTTAATAGAGGAGGAAAAGTATGGCCCAGTTCATGAATGGGCCTACATCAAAAAGGCACAAACTGGATGTAAACAACTACTTCATGATGCATTCATTCAGGTTATCCCTGAAAGATGATGGTAAATGGAAACCTTTCCAGTGGGCAGAACTTCAGGTACATCTGGTTGTCTGCTTCATGTTGTAGGAGAAAAGCCTGAAATACATATCTACTCTGTTTTATGTACAGTGGCTAATGGGTTGTTGGGATAACGGGCTTGGAAACAACAGTATTAAAGATCTGGCCATCAGGCAGATGGGTGGAAACATGTGGATGTATCTCCTGAGATGGGCAAAGGCTTCAAATATAAATACCTTTTGGAGACAAGGATTTCTGATGGAAAGGTGATGACAAAAGGTTACTAAAGGTTTCCACTGCAGAGGAGTCTCTCAGTAATCAAGAGGATAAGACAACCCATTCTGTGTGTGATCCTTTTTATCGCCAGGCGTCCTATTGCCAATTTAATGGGTTCCATTACAAAGTGGCAATTACATGATGGCAGAAATGTGGGCTGTATACATGACTCAAAAACCTGACTTCCCTTCACTAAGTCTGAACCGGTTCTTCCCCAATTTGACATCAATGTAAGCCAACTGAGCCCCAATATAGCACTGTTCTCTGGGGAGACAATTCAGCTGCTGACCTGTTGATTACACTGAACCACTTACATCAGGGAGAGGCAGTAATATGTTCTCATAGAAAAGTTACACATTTCACATATAAATTCGCTTTCCTCACCAAAGTAGCTTCAGAAACACCATTGTGGGTAGATGCTGTTTTGTCATCACTGATGTGTTGTCATCACTGTAGTATCCCACACATCATTGCCTCAGACTGCAGAATTTATTTTATGGCATAGTAGGCATAGCGAAGAGCTCATTCCAACAGAATTCACTGGGCTTGCCAGCTTCTTACCACCTAGATACAGTTGATTGACTTAGAATCAACTAAAGATTGACAAAGAACCAAGCTAAGACTCAGTTATGGTGCCACCTGAGATAAAACGTCCTGCAAGATTTATAATTTGCTTTAGAGGATATCGATATACCTTAAACACATGGTCAATATTTGGTGCAGAAACACTATTGCATAAGACAAGGGTCAGGAAACAATAGATAAAAGTGACCATGTGTCTCTTATTATTACATCTAATAACCTACTCACTAAGTTTTGTTTACTGTATCAAAAAGCGTTGATTCAGAAAATTTAGAGGTCCTAGTGCCCGAGAGAATTATTTGATTAGAGAATACAGTTACGGTTGTAATAAATTAGAAACTGAAACTGTCACATAGCCATTTACAGCTTCTCTTACTATTGAATTGACCTTCAGAAAAGGGGAGTCATGGTACTAGCCAAATTCTAGCCCCTCCTGGGCTTTTCATGAAGAGACTTTTCATGATCTGAATTACTAAGGAGAAATTGGGTTTCAGCTGCAGAATAGGGGTAAGAAAGACCATGTTTGCACCCTAAGGAATTCACCCAAGAGTTCTATGTTATGTGGTAATAATTAAGAAAAACTACATTAACCCAACAAAGTTAGGGCCACCAAGGACTCAGAGCTTAGGAAAGAAAGGTTTGGGTTATACCATCAGATAGATTCTGTCCCACTGGTAGAGAATGTGAGAACCATGAATAGAAACTGAATGAGATTCTCCTCTTGTCTTGTTGTAATGTTTTTGAGAGCTTGACTTGTGACCAAGCGGGTGCACTGTCATTCGGGGTGTGATTTTCACGTCTTGTCCGGTAGCCCTGTCTGAAAAGTCTGGAACCCAAGACACACACAATTTTAAGCAGCACACTTTTTGTTCCAAATGTGTCAAGCTCTCAGGACAGTTTGTCTTAATAAAAAGTCCCATCCATAAGAGGCTTTTGTCATCTCAACGTTGTTGTCTGGTTAGTCCTGGCAATGTGCAATCCCAGGAGAAGCTACCCAGTGTCATGGATTAACAGGTCTGTTAACAATATCCACAGATTTGTGGGATATTGGCGGCCCTGTATGCACAAATGCTATGTTTTTTTTTCTTCTCTGAGACTTCAGCAGAACAAACACTATTCATAGCCATCTGTGGCAACAAGTATTTTACTATCTCAGCCTATTCTTAGGAGTGAATTTTCTTTCTTTCTTTCTTTCTTTCTTTCTTTCTTTCTTTCTTTCTTTCTTTCTGTCTGTCTGTCTGTCTGTCTTGGATAATCATTGAGATTGCCTTTTCTATGCTCTCTCCAAGAAAACTCTCGTGCTTATATGGTGAAAATTTATTCTAAATCTGGAAAATTACCTCCTGGGCTTTTCATGAAGAGAGTTATTGGATTAAGTCGCTACAAGAATAAGTACACCATTGGAAAGTTATACTTCTAAAAAGATACTTTTGGAGGTACTCTTTTGTTACTGATCCTTTTCCCTTTCAACGACAGGTTTTGATTGCCTGTCTTCTTCCATCTCCGAGAGCACATGAGGCTTTTGGGTCTTTGTAGGTAGATGGTCAGTTGAGAAGCTGAGAGCCTAGAGAATATGGCTGTACAGAAACGTGGGTTATTCCCTGTTTGAGGCTAGTAAAACTTTCCTTTCTTTGAGCCATCTTTGTTGTGGTCCTGCATCTTGTGAGAACTGCTTTGCGACTCTTTGGAGCTGTCTAGGGTGTCCTTAGTTTCAGTAATAACCTTAGTTAAGGCTTATTGATTTTAGTGAGTCACTTGGAAAGATACCTTTGGTTTAACAGAAAAAAAAAGTTCAAAAGCCAGGAATATTGGCTGGTTGTGCTGGTGGAAATCTGATAAGAGATTTGAAAACTTTTTTTTTTTTTTTTTTAAAGAACTCTAAGGTCAGAAGCCAGCTTAACTGAAAGCTGATAACAAGTTATGATTTTTTTTTTTAAAGATCTTTCTACTTTTTCTCTTTTGGGCCCTGTTCCTGGAAAGTTTCTTCAGTCGACTGAAATCGTTTTTAATAAGGTGTTAATCTCAGAGGGACTGGTCCCTCTGTTTGCATCCTCTCTTGTTGGCATGTTTTTTTAATGAGAAAAATGCAAAACTTCATTCGCCTTTGGAAAGCTTAAAATCTCTCCCAATTGACTCCTCTAAGACTTGTTCTTCTATTTATTTCCACTTTGGCTCCTCCTTCCTTTTGCCACATGAAGAAATCTAGAGATTTCTCGCACCCTTAGACCCCTTGAGGAATCCAGAAAAAGGTGCCACACACATCCTGGGTATTTGGGTTGGTTCCAAGTCTTTGCTATTGTAAATAGTGCTGCAATAGACATATGTGTGCATGTGTCTTTAGAGTGGAATGATTTATATTCATTTGGGTATACACCCAGTAATGAGATTGCTGGGTCAAATGGTATTTCTGGTTCTAGATCCTTGAGGAATCACTACACTGTCTTCCACAATGGATGAACTAATCTGCAATCTCACTAACAGTGTAAAAGCATTCCTATTTCTCCACAGCCTCACCAGCATCTATTGTTTCCTGACTTTTTAATAATCGCCATTCTGACTGGTGTGAGATGGTATTTTATTGTGGGTTTGATTTGCATTTCTCTACTGATCAGTGATGATGAGCTTTTTAAAATATGCTTGTTGGCGCATAAATGTTTTCTTTTGAGAAGCGTCTGTTCATATCCTTTGCCCACTTTTTGATGGGGTTGTTTGTTTGTTTTTCTTGTAAATTTATTTAAGTTCCTTGCAGATTCTGGATATTAGACCTTTGTCAAATGGGTAGATTGCAAAAATTTTCTCCCATTCTGTAGGTTGCCTCTTCATTCTGATGACAGTTTCTTTTGCTGTGCAGAAGCTTTTTAGTTTAATTAGATCCCATTTGTCAGTTTTGGCTTTTGTTGCAATTGCTTTTTGTGTTTTAGTCATGAAGTCTTTGCCCATGCCTGTGTCCTGAATGCTATTGCCTAGGCTTTCTTCTAGGATTTTTATGGTTTTGGGTTTTACATTTAAGTCTTTAATACATCTTGAGTTCCGTGATCTTTTTGGCTTTAGGGGGTACCAGGGATTACTGTGTTTTGTGAGAAAGCACTTAGCCACTGTGTGTGCAATAGCTACCAGGTCACTGGTAAGGGCAGCAATTTTGGAGACATCTGAGAGCAGTTGCAGTAAATAGTTATTACTGCAGGGCGCTGTTCATTTCTTTGTGCATTTAGAGGGGGAGAAAGAACAATTCAAACACTTTGAGGCTGTGGAAACATTTGCCTTCTAGGGCAATAAGATTCCCATTGGAGATAGGCAGATCAGAGAGTGAGCTGATTGATGTTGGGTCGTCCACTAGCATCAGGGGAATATCTTTTGAGACGTACCATGGAAGCATTGCATGGTCCATTCTGAAAGCATTTTCCTCTTTTGTGAGGATCTACACTGAGAATAAAATATATATTATATACCTTTTCATGTGATGCACCTCATGAAACATTCTTGCCAAAGTAAGATTTAATCTAAATCTAACCAATCCTCTAGATCTAACTATTCTTTACCAGAAACGCAGGGAAAAGAAAAACAATGTAATGATGCCAGTAAGAAGCAATCAGAAAAATCCAGAAGATGGTAAATGCTGAACAAAATTGACCCGGTTATACCGACAAATTAATAGCATTTAAAAAAGAGAGAGGCTATTCTTGACACTTATGCACAGCAACCAAATGCACTGTATGAACTGTATGTGGATCCTAATTTGAAGAACTTAAACGAGATATTTTTGAGATAATCAGGGAATTTTGAATACAGAGTGGGTACTAGATAATACTGGGGAATTGTTGCTAATTTTTTAAGTGTGAAAAATGGTATCGTGGTGATGTAAAAAATTTATTTTGTAGTATTTACAAGAGTATGATATTTAAAATAGTATGATATGTGGGTATGTCTTTAAAATATTTCAGCTTATTAAAAAAGTAGGGGAGGTGGATAAAACAAGATTGGCAAAATATCATTGATTGCTGAAGCAGACTGTATATTGGTATTCATTACTATTATTTTTACATATGGTTGAAATGTTCTGTGGTAAATATTATTTTATAAATTTTACATAGAGTTTCCCAAGTGATGTGGGGTAATATTTCTGCTTCAATGGAAAATTATGCATTACATAGACTCTAGATGGCACCTCCTGCATTATTTGATTCTCATTCTATCGAAGCTATTTTACAATTCTGTGAACTGTAGATAACTGATAGCAATGGCAAATAATTCTTGTCTAATAACATGCTAATTCTGAACTGCCTGGAGGAGTTTTGATTGACCTCTCTCCCTCACTGTGAAAGAAGTTAGTTTTGCCTCCATTTGCACATCCCTTTCAACATCCTTTACTCCATGTAAATGTGTGCTTTTTTTTTTAACTTATTTGAACTTGCAATAACATGTGTCTACTTTCCTCCTTACCAGTTGAATAAAATCTTTAACACTTGTTCAGTTTTATATATGTATAAGTGTCATAATTTTATCTCTTTTTGAAAATGTTATCTTTTAACAGTGAAAAATATTTGTCTTTTCTGTGAAGCTGAAAGTAAAATAAATTGGTATACTTATGAATTATTATGCTAATAAATAACTAAATGTTAAATAATTTCAGAGTAAATTGTAAGGTAGCTACAAAAGTCAACTAACTTTTCATTCCAGTTTTGCTTTTATTTCCTCATACCATTAGTTCCAGAAATCCCTTTGGACTCTTTCAGCCAGAGGCCTGGATGCATTTTCGGTAAACACAAGAGCTCACCAGAGTAAAATATGAGCATAGAAAATTTGAAAACATTTCAAAACAAAAATTGAGTAACAGCTCTTGAAAGCTTGTGCCAAGAATTCTAAAATTTTTATATAAATCCAAGATAACATTGTTGAAAGACAGAAGCACGATCTGTATAATTTAACCCCAAAGTAATCAAGTTGTAGTGTAAAATTCTCACCTTTTATGTCTGCCCCATCAATTCTTCAACTTTTTTCTCTCTTTCCCATAGTCGTGCAATCTTTTCTACCACTGGGCTAACTGCTGACATTGGCATTGCTTCCCACTTGAGTTATAGATATCCACCGCTCCCTCTGCCACCTCTTAGGTATTTAGGAGCCACCTCTCACCACCATCTGGGCTCCATGTTGGCTTCATTTTCACTGAGTTTAATGGCAATCAATCAGTCAATCTTATTGATTTCTTAGAAGAGTTTCACAGATGCAGAAATAACAGATTTATCAGTTCTAAAAAGGGACACTAGGCCAGGCACAGTGGCTGACACCTGAAATCCCAGCACTTTGGGAGGCTGAGGCGGGCTGATCACGAAGTCAAGAGATAGAGACCATCCTGGCCAACATGGTAAAACCCCATCTCTACTAAAAATACAAAAATTAGCTAGGCATGGCAGTGTGCGACTGTGGTCCCAGCTACTCAGGAGGCTGAAGTAGGAGAATCTATTGAACCCTGGAGGCGGAGGTTGCAGTGAACTGAGATTGCATCACTTCACTCCAGCCTGGCAATAGAGCAAGACTCCGTCTCAAAAAAAAAAAAGGGATACTACAATGAAGGAAACCAAAAATATGCCATTCACAATATACTCCTTTGGTCTATTTTGAGATGGCTATTCAGAGGGACTGCCAGCACAAGAATAGCCCTGAAAAGCTGTCTTTTATAGGGGAGATTTGTATCTGTAGAGAAAATCCATATAGGTGAAATAAACATCCAAGCTTTCTCTGAGGCTCCCCTTCTCTGGATCTAGGAAAGATTAACTTTTGGGAAAAAGGGACTAAAAGTTGGACACCTTAAAGGTCCACTAGGGAAACTGTTACTACAGGCTCCTGTCTTATTCTTTCTGAGAGCTCCTCCCTGGAGGATTTTATCTGCAAAACTAGGTAGGCTCTATGCCATGCTTTCCCCCTCACTTTCCCATAACCCGTGTCTCCATCTCTCCTCGAGAAGCCCCAAGCCCCTATTCTTTCTGTAACCTCAGGATGGTATAAAACTTCATTATCTGGCCCCTTCTTTAAGTCTCATACTTTGTGTATGACTCCCTTGTTTACACACGTTAATATACGCATGTGCCTTTTTCCCATTCGTCTGTCTACTGTCAGTTTGTTTTATAGACTAAAATCATGGAACTTACAGAGGGGAAGAGACATTCTCTTTGCACCTTCAATGGCTATAGCTAGATAATGTCCCCGATCTCTCACTGAACTTTCTGCCCAATTTCAAAAAAGTGGATGCTAATTACTAAAAACAAGTAGGAGAGAGCATTGAAAAAAATCTTTTGGAAGGGAGGAAAACATGCTCTATAGGCCCTCTCTTATTATTTTTAGACACTTAAAACTTCTAGAGAAGAAAGGCTACCATTGTCTTTTAATTCTTCGGAGCTTCCAGAAAGGCCTTGCACAGTCAGCCCCTCTTGACTAGTACTTTCTTCCTTCCCCCTCTCTCCTTTGGTTGGCAAACATTCCCAGTGCATTCACTAAGGCCGTGCAAACAGCCCCTTTGTGAGGCCTTTCCAAATCTCTTAGGCAGTGTCGGTAGTGTTCCTCTGTGTTCTCACACCATGGTCTCCAAACCTGTTTTGTACACTTGTCACATTGACTTGTAAACCTTTACTCAAATAGCTTCCGTCTCACTCTGAGTATAAGCCAAAGCTAGGAATCTTTTGTCCCCAGGTATAGTTGCTTTCTGGTTGGATTGGGATTATTTACTCTAATGCTTCCCATCTCCCTCAGAACAGAAGCCAAAGCCCACAGCCTTCCAGTCCCAGATACCCCTGGGCCAAGCTCGCTCACCTCACTCAGGTGTTTATTCCAACGTCACTGTAGGTGCTGCCCACTTTTTGGCTTCGTTTCCCCATAGCATTGACTGCCATTTCTTATATCACATTATTTACTGATTTATCTTGTTAATCATCCATTCCCTCCCCCAAAAGAATGAAAACTCCTTGAAAGCAAGAGTTGTGTCTATTTTGTTCACAGGAGTGCCCTCAGTACCTAGAATAGGGTCTGGACACAGTAACCACCCAATCACTCTTTCTTTAATGAATGAAATGGCAGTCTCTTTCTCCACCCTCTGAGCTCCTTAAAAGCAAAGATTTGGTTTAATTTGTTTTTCTCCAAGTCCAGCATTTACCTGGAGCATAGTATGCATTTAATAAGAAACGGTTTCATGGATTCTCTCTTGGGAAGACAAAACAATTCTAGGCTAGTTCCAATATGGAGAAATCAAGAAAAGGACAACGGAACAGCCTTTCAAGTTTCCACATTATTTCCCTACTTCATCTTCATTCCCCAGGCTTTCATAGACTCAATCATATAACAGCTTTGGACTGTCCATTTTAGCGAGTAGACATGCTTAAAGTTTAGTGATGGTGGAGTGTAACAGAGTAAGTTTATGGTGCTAAAAATATATGGAGGCCAGTCATGGTGGCTCAGGCCTGTAATCCCAAAACTTTGGGAGGCCCAGGCGGGAGGATCACTTGAGCCCAGGAGTTGGAGGCTGCTGTGAGCCTTGATCAGACTGCTGCACTCCAGCCTGGGCGACAGTGAGACCCTGTCTCTAAATAAGTAAATAATAAATTAATAAAAAATATAAATATATAAATATTGGTGCGGAAGGGGGTCAGGGTACGCGCTAGTCATTTATTTGTGTCAGTAACAGGGGCCGGTGCCAGGATTAGAGAAGTTTTCCCGAATCGGGAGGAAGGGAGAAAAGCGGTGAGGCTGCCAAGGAGGCATTATGGAATGCGTGTTTTAGAATGCATGCTGTAATCCAGTGCGAGGCGAGGGGTCATCAGTCTGGAATCTGATGGAAGGAGAAGGGAGAGGGCTCAGTAGCGCGTCGGCCACTGGCCATTAAAGGCTCGTTCTAAGGCTCCTTTCAGCTCCAAGATTGCAAGAAGGAAGGAAGAATGGAAGGAAGAGAGAGGGAGGAAGGAAAAAGAAAAAAAAAAAGATTCTCTAGTAGATCGTAAAAATCATCCCAACTAACTTTGACATCGTTTCCTCGGTGTTTGAACATCAGTGGCTTCCCTCGCTGGGAAAAAGCTGGGGTCCCTAACTAAAGCTGCTAAACAGGTGGCTAGCACCCGTGGGGACACTGTGCGGTTTCCTTTAAGAGGCAGCTCTGCTCGCCGCGGGTCCGGCGTGCGAGGCCGGAGACCGCCCTGCCAGGCTGGAGAGTGGTTGTGCGACGGGCAGCGGCCGCAGAGGCGGGGCCGAGGGTGGCGCGGGGCGCGCGCTTTTCCCGGGTGCCCGGGTAGCTGCGGCCGCAGCAGCGGCGGCGGGCATGGCAGAGGCGCGATCCCAGCCCTCGGCGGGGCCGCAGCTCAACGCGCTACCGGACCACTCTCCGTTGCTGCAGCCGGGCCTGGCGGCGCTGCGGCGCCGGGCCCGGGAAGCTGGCGTCCCGCTCGCGCCGCTGCCGCTCACCGACTCCTTCCTGCTGCGGTTCCTGCGCGCCCGGGATTTCGATCTGGACCTGGCCTGGCGGGTAAGCGTGCGTGCCCAGGGCGCTCGGCAGTGCGCACCTCACCCGCCCCGTCCCCCGCCCCACGACCCCGGATATCTGACCCCTGCCGAAGCCCAGGGTGCAGGCAGGACCCTGGCGGGTAACGCGCCCCTAACCACCCGGCGTGGGCGCTGAGGCTGTAGATGTTCCGAGAATCCAGAGCTGGTCCTCCAGTTTCTCTGGGTCATGGAAACGACAAAGCTAGAAAGTGTTGGAGTCATGGGATAATGGCCCATTTGATCTCAAGCATGGAGAACTCCTGCGCTAGATGAGTCTCCTGAACCTACAAAGTTTGGGGGACATGCCTTCCTCTCCCTGCAGGAAAGCCTGTGGTACAAACAAAGTAACAGCTTACAAGTTGGAAGCTCAGACTTATCACACGTGACCAGATTAACTACGTATAGCGGGGAAAATGAAATTGCTGGTAAAACTGAAGTTCTGAAGCCATATAGTAGCAACATAGTATTATTACTAGTAACACTTAAGTGTCAAGACAGTAAAGCAACCCAGTATAGTTCGAGTCTGGGTTGTAGTCGGGCAGTTCTTTTGGTTTCTGGTATGTTACAGCTCACTGAAAGAAAAGGTGATGGAAAGATAGGAATCAGAAAGAGGGATGCGACCTTGAGTTCTGTCACTTTAGGTTTGGTGTCCTTATCTGTTAAATAATGATGGAAATGCCTGTCTCATTGATTTTTTGTGAAGATTGAACATTAACCAGTTTAACAAAACAAGCTGTGCCCAGCACAGTGCCTGGCACACAGTAAGCATTCAGCAGTTCGACCAGATCTAGCCCTTTCTCTAAGTGGCTTGTTCAGTGTCACACAGCTGCCTAGCAGGAAAGATATTATAGTACAAAATTCCAGTGTGTCTCAGTATGAGGTTTTTGAGGGTTTCTCTTGTTTGTTTTAGAGTGAAAGCAACTTTATTAAGAATGTAAAGAAACAAAAGAATGGCTACTCCATAGAGACAGAGCAGCCTGAGGTTGTTTTTAACTTAAGTAAAATTATGGTAAAAATAATCTAGGTAACACAAAATCCTAAAACGTGAAAAGTAAGTTTCTAACAGTAACTTTCTAAAGGAAAAAAGCTCCCTACCTCAAACCTTAGTTTGTCAGTCACATACCCAGAGGCTGGTTAGTGTTACTCATTTATCTTTTTAAACAGCCAGAGGTTGCACAAGCATGTTTGTGTGTGATTTCTATTTTGCCTTTCTTACCTGTCTTTGAACTAGGAGCATCCCATATCAACTGGTATACATCCATCTTACTCTTTATTGGGCTGCTGTTATTCTACTGGATGGATATATTAGACTATATTAAAATGTATCTAACCTGTTATTGGACTTAGGGCTTATTGCTGTTCATTCCTTCATTCAACAATTATTTTTTGGACTCTACAATTTGCCTAGTAGTACACAAGATGCAGTCAACAAGGCGGCTGTGGTTTCTTCCATCACTGACTGGGCATTCCTCATGTCCTCATACTTTGTGCATAAATAGGAATATAAATTTACAGGATAAATTCAACCGGTGAAATTGCTGGATGAAATTAGATGTGTATTTTTCAGTGTTGAGTAATATAACAAACTGTCTTCCAAAGAGTTTTCAGTGCCTTCCAAAGGTCGCAGTAGCTCAGGCCTGCAATCCCAGCACTTTGGGAGGCTGAGGATGGTGGATCAATTGAGCTCAGGAGCTCACGAACAGCCTGTGCAACATGGTGAAACCTCATCTCTACAAAAAATAACAAAAATTAGCCAGGTGTGGTGGCACGTGCATGTAATCCCAGCTACTTGGGAGGCTGAAGTGGGAGAATCGCTTGAGCCCAGGAGGTGGAGGTTGCAGAGAGCCGAGATTGTGCTACTGCACCACAGCCTGGACAACAGAGTGAGGCCCTGTCTCAAAAAAAAAAAAGAAAAAAAAGAAAAAAAACTCTATAACTCATCACTCTGATATTACATGATTTTGCCTTTTCCTCCATAACCCACACTGTATTATCAAACACAATTTGTGTATAAACCTGCTAAAAGAGATATACTTTTTCATTGTTATTATAATATGCATTTATTTAAGTGTGATTAATAATCTTTTATATACATGTAAAATTTCAAAATTTCTTTCCAGTTAACTGAAAATGGCCTGTTTTTGCTTTTGTTCTTTTTTTTTTTTATTATACTTTAAGTTTTAGGGTACATGTGCACAATGTGCAGGTTTGATACATAGATATACATGTGCCATGTTGGTTTGCTGCACCCATCAACTCGTCATTTACATTAGGTATTTCTCCTAATGCTATCCCTCCCCCAGCTCACCACCCTCCAACAGGCCCCAGTGTGCGATGTTCCCCACTGTGTGTCCAAGTGTTCTCATTGTTCAATTCCCACCTCTGAGTGAGAACATGCAGTGTTTGGTTTTCTGTCTTTGTGATAGTTGCTGAGAATGATGGTTTCCAGCTTCGTCCACGTCCCTGCAAAGGACATGAACTCATCCTTCTTTATGGCTGCATAGTATTACATGGTGTATATGTGCCACATTTTCTTAATCCAGTCTATCATTGATGGACATTTGGGTTGGTTCCAAGTCTTTGCTATTGTGAATAGTGCCGCAGTAAACATACGTGTGCATGTGTCTTTATAGCAGCATGATTTATAATCCTTTGGGTATATACCCAGTAATGGGATTGCTGGGTCAAATGGTATTTCTAGTTCTAGATCCTTGAGGAATCACCACACTGTCTTCCACAGTGGTTGAACTAATTTACACTCCCACTAACAGTGTAAAAGCATTCTTATTTCTCCACATCTTCTCCAGCACCTGTCGTTTCCTGACTTTTCAATGATCACCATTCTAACTGGCGTGAGATAGTATCTCATTGTGGTTTTGATTTGCATTTCTCTGATGACCAGTGATGATGAGCATTTTTACATGTATCCGTTGGCTGCATAAATGTCTTCTTTTGAGAAGTGTCTGTTCATATCCTTCACCCACTTTTTGATGGGGTTGTTTTTCTTGTAAATTTGTTTAAGTTCCTTGCACATTCTGGATATTAGCCCTTTGTCAGATGGGTAGATTGCAAAAATTTTCTCCCATTCTGTAGGTTGCCTCTTCATTCTGATGCTAGTTTCTTTTGCCATGCAGAAGCTCTTTAGTTTAATTAGATCCCGTTTCTCAGTTTTGGCTTTTGTTGCCATTGCTTTTGGTGTTTTAGTCATGAAGTCCTTGCCCACACCTATGGCCTGAATGGTATTGCATAGGTTTTCTTCTAGGGTTTTTATGGTTTTAGGTCTAACATTTAAGTCTTTAATCCATCTTGAATTAATTTTTGTATAAGATGTAAGGAAGGGATCCAGTTTCAGCTTTCTACATATGGCTAGCCAGTTTTCCCAGCGCCATTTATTAAATAGGGAATCCTTTCCCCATTTTTTGTTTTTGTCAGATTTGTCAAAGATGAGATGGTTGTAGATGTGTGGTGTTATTTCTGAGGCCTCTGTTCTGTTCCATTGGTCTATATATCTCTTTTGGTACCAGTACCATGCTGTTTTGGTTACTGTAGCCTTGTAGCGTAGTTTGAAGTCAGGTAGCATGATGCCTCCAGCTTTGTTCTTTCTGCTTAGGATTGTCTTGGCAATGTGGGCTCTTTTTTGGTTCAATATGAACTTTAAAGTAGTTTTTTCCAGTTCTGTGAAGAAAGTCATTGGTAGCTTGATGGGGATGGCATTGAATCTATAAATTACCTTGGGCAGTATGGCCATTTTCATGATATTGATTCTTCCTACCCATGAGCATGGAATGTTCTTCCATTTGTTTGTGTCCTCTTTTATTTTGTTGAGCAGTGGTTTGTAGTTCTCCTTGAAGAGGTCCTTCACATTCCTTGTAAGTTGGATTCCTAGGTATTTTATTCTGTTTGTAGCAATTGTGAATGGGAGTTCACTCATGATTTAGTTCTCTGTTTGTCCGTTATTGGTGTATAGGAATGCTTGCGATTTTTGCACATTGATTTTGTATCCTGAGACTTTGCTGAAGTTGCTTATCAGCTTAAGGAGATTTTGGGTTGAGACGATGGGGTTTTCTAAATTTACAGTCATGTCTTCTGCAAACAGGGACAATTTGACTTCCCATTTCCTAATTGAATACCCTTTATTTCTTTCTCTTGCCTGATTGCCGTGGCCAGGATTTCCAACACTATGTTGAATGGGAATGGTGAGAGAGGGCATCCTTGTCCTGTGCCGGTTTTCAAAGGGAATGCTTCCAGTTTTGGCCCATTCAGTATGATACTGACTGTGGGTCTGTCATAAATACCTCTTATTATTTTGAGATACGTTCCATAAATATCTAGTTTTTTGACAGTCTTTAGCATGAAGGGCTGTTGAATTTTGTCAAAGGCCTTTTCTGCATCTATTGAGATAATCATGTGGTTTTTGTCATTGATTCTGTTTATCTGATGGATTACATTTATTGATTTGTGTATGTTGAACCAGGCTTGCATTCCAGGGATGAAGCCAACTTGATCTTGGTGGATAAGCTTTTTGATGTGCTGCTGGATTCGGTTTGCCAGTATTTTATTGAGGATTTTTGCATCGATGTTCATCAGGGATATTCATCTAAAATTCTCTTTTTTTGTTGTGTCTCTGCCAGGCTTTGATATCAGGATGATGCTGGCCTCATAAAATGAGTTTGTGAGGATCCCCTCTTTTTCTATTGATTGGAATAGTTTCAGAAGGAATGGTACCAGCTCCTTTTTGTACCTCTGTTAGAATTTGTCTGTTAATCGGTCTGTTTTTTTTTTTTGGTTGGTAGGCTATTAATTATTGCCTCAATTTCAGAGCCTGTTATTGGTCTATTCAGAGATTCAACTTCTTCCTGGTTTAGTCTTGGGAGGGTGTATGTGTCCAGGAATTTATCCATTTCTTCTAGATTTTCCAGTTTATTTGCATAGAGGTGTTTATAGTATTCTCTGATGGCAGTTTGTATTTTGTGGGATCGGTGGTGATATCCCCTTTATCATTTTTTTGTGTCTATTTGATTACTTGATTCTTCTCTCTTTTCTTCTTTATTATTATTATTATTTATTTTTTTTTTTTTTTTGATACGGAGTCTCGCTCTGTCACCCAGGCTGGAGTGCAGTGGCATGATTCGGCTCACTGCAAGCTCTGCCTCCTGGGTTCACGCCATTCTCCCACCTCAGCCTCCCAGTAGCTGGGACTACAGACGCCCGCCACCACGCCCAGCTAATTTTTCTGTATTTTTAGTAGAGACGGGGTTTCACCGTGTTAGCTAGGATGGTCTTGATCTCCCGACGTCGTGATCCGCCTGCCTTGGCCTCCCAAAGTGCTGGGATTACAGGCGTGAGCCACCATGCCCGGCCTTCTTTATTAGTCTTGCTAGCAGTCTATCAATTTTGTTGATCGTTTCAAAAAACCAGCTTCTAGATTCATTGATTTTTCAAAGGGTTTTTTGTATCTCTATCTCTTTCAGTTCTGCTGTGATCTTAGTTGTTTCTTATCTTCTGCTAGCTTTTGAATTTGTTTGCTCTTGCTTCTCTATTTCTTTTAATTGTGGTGTTAGGGTGTCGATTTGAGATCCTTCCTGCTTTCTCTTGTGGGCATTTAGTGCTATAAATTTCCCTCTACACACTACTTTAAATGTGTCCCAGAGATTCTGGTATGTTGTGTCTTTGTTCTCATTGGTTTCAAAGAACATCTTTATTTCTGCCTTCATTTCATTATTTACCCAGTAGTCATTCAGGAGCAGGTGGTTCAGTTTCCATGTAGTTGTGCGGTTTTGAGTGAGTTTCTTAATCCTGAGTTCTAATTTGATTGCGCTGTGGTCTGAGAGACAGTTTGTTGTGATTTCTTTTCTTTTACATTTGCTAAGGAGTGCTTTACTTCCAATTATGTGGTCAATTTTAGAATGAGTGTGATGTGGTGCTGAGAAGAATGTATATTCTGTTGATTTGGGGTGGAGAGCGCTGTAGATGTCTGTTAGGTCTGCTTGGTGCAGAGCTGAG
The DNA here is from genome assembly GCF_000001405.40 of Homo sapiens. NCBI lineage: Eukaryota > Metazoa > Chordata > Mammalia > Primates > Hominidae > Homo > Homo sapiens. The sequence continues at coordinate 63,079,797 of NC_000008.11, read as the reverse complement.
TTCAAGTCCTGGATATCCTCGTTAACCTTCTGTCTCATTGATCTGTCTAATATTGACAGTGGGGTGTTAAAGTCTCCCATTATTATTGTGTGGGAGTCTAAGTCTCTTTGTAGGTCTCTAAGGACTTGCTTTAAGAATCTGGGTGCTCCTGTATTGGGTGTATTTAGGATAGTTAGCTCTTCTTGTTGAATTGATCCCTTTACCATTATATAATGACCTTCTTTGTCTCTTTTGATCTTTGTTGGTTTAAAGTCTGTTTTATCAGAGACTAGGATTGCAACCCCTGCTTTTTTTTTGCTTTCCATTTGCTTGGTAGATATTCCTCCATTCCTTTATTTTGAGCCTATATGTGTCTCTGCATGTGAGATGTGCTATAGACATCTGATGGGTCTTGACTCTTTATTCAATTTGCCACTCTGTATCTTTTAATTGGGACATTTAGCCCATTTACATTTAAGGTTAATATTGTTATGTGTGAATTTGATCCAGTCATTATGATGTTAGCTGGTTATTTTGCCCATTAATTGATGCAGTTGCTTCATAGCATTGATGGTCTTTACAATTTGGCATGTTTTTGCAGTGGCTGGTACCAGTTGTTCCTTTCCATGTTTAATGCTTCTTTCAGGAGCTCTTGTAAGGCAGGCCTGGTGGTGACAAAATCTCTCAGCTTGTCTGTAAAGAATTTTATTTCTCCTTCACTTATGAAGCTTAGTTTGGCTGGATATGAAATTCTGTGTTGAAAATTCTTTTCTTTAAGAATGTTGAATGTTGGCCCCCTACTCTCTTCTGGTTTGTAGGGTTTCTACTGAGAGATCTGCTGTTAGTCTGATGGGCTTCCCTTTGTGGGTAACCCGACTTTTCTCTCTGGCTGCCCTTAACATTTCTTCCTTCATTTCAACCTTGGTGAATCTGACAATTATGTGTCTTGGGGTTGCTCTTCTCGAGGAGTATCTTTGTGGTGTTCTCTGTATTTCCTGAATTTGATTGTTGGCCTGACTTGCTAGGTTGGGGAAGTTCTCCTGGATAATATCCTGAAGAGTGTTTTCCAACTGGTTCCACTCTCCCCATCACTTTCAGGTACACCTATCAAAAGTAGATTTGGTCTTTTCACATAGGCCCATATTTCTTGGAGGCTTTGTTCATTTCTTTTTACTCTTTTTTCTCTAACCTTGTCTTCTCGCTTTATTTTATTAATTTGATCTTTAATCACTGATACCCTTCTTTCCACTTGATGGAATCAGCTACTGAAGCTTGTGCGTGCATCACAAAGTTCTTGTGCCAGGCTTTTCAGTTCCATCCGGTCATTTAAGGTCTTCTCTACACTGTTTATTCTAGTTTGCCATTCGTTTAACCTTTTTTCAAGGATTTTAGCTTCCTTGTGTTGGGTTTGAACATGCTCCTTTAGCTCAGACAAGTTTGTTATTACTGACCTTGTGAAGCCTACTTCTGTCAACTCATCAAAGTCATTCTCCATCCAGCTTTGTTCTATTGCTGGTGAGGAGCTGTGATCCTTTGGAGGAGAAGAGGCGCTCTGGTTTTTAGAATTTTCAGCTTTTCTGCTCTGGTTTCTCCCCATCTTTGTGGTTTTATCCACCTTTGGTCTTTGACGTTCATGACCTACACATGGGGTTTTGGTGTGGATGTTCTTTTTGTTGATGTTGGCGCTATTCCTGTCTGTTTGTTAGTTTTCCTTCTAACAGTCAGGTCTCTCAGCTGCAGGTCTGTTGGAGTTTGCTGGAGGTCCATTCCAGACCCTGTTTGCCTGGGTGTCACCAGCGAAGGCTGCAGAACAGTGAATATTGCAGAACGGCAAATATTGCTGCCTGATCCTTCCTCTGGAAGCTTCGTCCCAGAGTGTCACCTGCCTATATGAGGTGTCTGTCGGCCCCTACTGGGAGGTGTCTCCCAGTTAGGCTATATGGGGGTCAAGGACCCACTTGAGGAGGCAGTCTGTCCATTCTCAGAGCAGAAATGCCATGCTGGGAGAACCACTGTGCTCTTCAGAACTGTCAGACAGGGACGTTTAAGTCTGCAGAAGCTGTCTGCTGCCTTTTGTTCAGCTATGCCCTGCCCACAGAGGTGGAGTCTATGGAGGCTGTAGGCCTTGCTGTGCTGCAGTGGGCTCCACCCAGTTCGAGCTTTTGGCCCACTTTGTTTACCTACTCAAGCCTCAGCAATGGCAGATGCCCCTCCCCCAGCCAGGCTGCCGCCTTGAAGTTAGATCTCAGACTGCCACGCTAGCAGTGAGCAAGGCTCCATGGGTGTTGGACCCGCCAAGCCATGCACAGGAGAGAATCTCCTTGTGTGCCAGTTGCTAAGACCTTGGGAAAAGTGCAGTATTTGGGTGGAAGTGTCCTGTTTTTCCCGGTACATCCGTCATGGCTTCCCTTGGCTAGGAAAGGGAAATCCCCCAACCCTTTGCACTTCCTGGGTGAGGCAATGCCCCGCCTTGCTTCAGCCCACCCTCCATGGGCTGCACCCACTGTCCAACCAGTCCCAGTGAGATGAACCAGGTACCTCAGTTGGAAACGCAGAAATCACCCATCTTCTGCATCGATCACACTGGGAGTTGCAGACTGGAGCTGTTCCTATTCGGCCATCTTGGAATGGATCCCATTTTTATGTTTTACTGATTTATAAAATATTTTTATGTATTTTAGGCCTTTTTATATATTTTAGGCCTTTGTCCTTGATTTTTATCTGTTACATTACTTATACTATTTTTTTCTGTGCAGAATTTTAAATTTTAATGTAATCAAATGAATTGATTTTATTAGTCTTTGATTGCCTCTGGGTTTTATAATCTCTTCTCTTGTCCAAAATTTTTTCTAGTTATTTGTGTCTTCTCTTTTTTATGTTGGGGTCTTTGATCTATTGAGATTTGTTTTTATGTTAGGAGTAAAATAGGAATCCAACTTTATTTATTTTCATTTTTTAGATGGCTATATAAGTATCCCAATATCATGAGTAATAAACTAATATGTACTTAGTAACTACTGAATATGAAAACACAATCTCAGGTCCTATGAAGAATGAAGCTTAAATGAGGCATTAAACATATATATGTATAGAGATAACTAACAATAAAACATGTTTCATTTACTAATTTCATTTTAGCTGCTTTAAAAAAAGTAATGTTTAAATAGAAAAATAAAATTGACCATCAGCCTCTGGGACATAATATATTTTTTTCTGTATTCCTTAAATAAGGAATTGTTTTCATTGTACCATGCCCTTGAGGAATTGGCTAGCAGGACTGTGTCTAAATCCACCGCATAGAAATCAAGTTTCTGTCTGTGAACTCTTTGTCTTGCTTTTCTGCCAACTGGAAAGGAAAAGGAAAGGGTAAGAGTGCAAAACTTTTTTTCATTTTCCTCTGCAATAGCACTTAATTCAACTCTAACTTCTTCATTCATAATATAGAAGCCCTATAGTTTTTGTATAAAGAAAGCTTGATAAGTGCCTCAGTCACAATGAAATTTCTCATTATTCTAGTGTTTGTATTTGAAGTTATGATGAATTAATAAGGTTTTATTATATAATCCTAATAGCTAATGTGCTTATAGAATGCAACATACTTTGGTAAGTAGGGTTTTCATGGATTATCTTTTATTATTTTCTCATTTTAGAAGAAACAGATATAAAGAGTAAGTAACTTGTCTGAAATTATGTAGCCATTAAGTGTTGAAGCAGGGATTTGAATTTGGGTTGGGCTCAGGAGAGAGCCTGCGCTGTCAAATACACTGCACTTGCCTCTTATATTTAAAACAACAAACATATAAAACAGCTAACCATTCACTTCTCTGCCTGTTCTACATAGTCTCATGAATTCCTTATATCAAGTGATAGCCTAGTTCCTTATACTTTTGTTCCATGTGATAAGCTTTTTATGCTATAATTATCTTTATGGTTTTCCCAAAGCTTTCCAAATTCCATAGATTCTCCCTGCTAATTTCTCTCTAAATGCAGCTTCTTTTATAAAATTTTTCATATCATGTGTCCATTTCAGTTTCCACTCTGCTCCTGATAGTTATTGCCTTTGAACAAATGTGTAATTTCTCATAGCTTTACTTTACTTTTTTTTTTTTTTTTTTTTTTTGAGACGGAGTCTGGCTCTGTCGCCCAGGCTGGAGTGCAGTGGCGCAATCTCGGCTCACTGCAACCTTCGCCTCCCAGGTTCAAGCGATTCTCCTGCCTCAGCCTCCTGAGCACGCACCACCACACCCAGCTAATTTTTGTATTTTTAGAGATGGGGTTTCACCATATTGGCCAGGATGGTCTTGATCTCTTGACCTCGTGATCCATCCGTTTTGGCCTCCCAAAGTGCTGGGATTACAGGCATGAGCCACTGTGCCTGGCTGGAGCTTTACTTTTCTTATTCTTATAATGCCACAACAGTAGCTACTTCTCAGGGTGATGGTGAGGAGGAATTCAAAAGATGGCATTAGACCCTATAAAAGTGCTCCAAATATGGTGGTTCTTATTTTGTTTCAAAGTACATGAAACATGTAAGAAGAAACCTACTCTGTTACAAAACATAGTTAACCCATAACATTTTAAATGTTTATTTACTTCTAATGTTTGCAAAACAGACACCTTCCAATGATGAATATTTATTTTTAGCCACTTCTTTGTTGTTGTTGTGGACATAGGGTGGTTTGTTTGAGAATTGCTCAGTAGCAGTTTATTTACATAATTTATTTATGACAGCTATACTGTGAATTTATGTATCAGTGGATAAGTAAAGACCAAAGTTCCAGGTTTAGATCTTTCAGTTTGCAAAAATTGTGCGAGATAGTGATTTGTGCCTCTTTACAGAAGTCAGTTTTTCAAGTGTGTGGTTCCAGTTGGTTTACTCATGACTTAATTTATTCTTTCATTCAACACGTGTTGTTATCTCCTGGGTGTGCAGCACTCTGCAGAGATGAATAAGCTGAGGCCCCTGCCAGTATTAAACCTAAATGATCCCTTCTAATGAAGCCACAACTTTTATCATTCCACAGGAAAAAAAAACACATTATTTCTATATAGTTACTAATGTGCAGCTTCCAGCATTTTACTTGAATTGGAATGAAAAAGATTTTTATGTCTGAGGAAACTATCAGAAAAGTAAAAAGCATTGTAAAATACTGTTAACAGTTATTCTGGTACCCCCTAAGACTGGAGGAGGAAGAGAAATGCACCGTGTAGAGTAGAATGAAGATATTAGGACCTACAATGTGCCTGTTGTTCTCATGCTTTTGGAAACTGCTATTTAGGTCACCAATTATTTCTTTGTTGGCAAATTGACTTTTTTCTTTCTTACTCCTCTCTTGCATTTAACTCTTAGCAACATTCTCTCTTTTTTCAAAGTTAAGAAAGGTTTATTAAATACAGAAATGAAATAGAGGGAGACAGACAGAGAGAGAAAGAGAGGGAGATAAATCAGAGATGGGGGTGAGGGGGAGCAGAGCAATGCAGATGGCACTGTCCTCCCTCTCGTGTACCAGTGCTGGTTCTCTTCAGGTCCACTCAGTTTCTGTCTTCCTCCAGCCATTCCCAGCCATTAACATTTCCCAAGGCTCAGCATTTCCCTCTCTAGTTTTTGTCGTTTGTAGTTTCTCCTCCAGATCATTGTGATTTTTGTGGTTATAGTTACCTTGTTTATTCCAATTACTCTCAAATATAAAATCTGTCATTTTCTCTGCACTGCAGTCTCACATTAATAAGTCTCTTTAAACTCAAAACAAATGTATTGTAACTTGTGAAAAATTGAGAGTGCCAAAAATCATGAGAATAAAATTAAAATATAAATATAATAATTTTTAAATACATAATTTGCTTTAGTATTTTCCACAATATGCTGGTAGTGTTTGTATGTTTGCGTATATGATTAGCTATTTCCGGTGGTTCTTTTGGAAAGAAAGAAAATGGGATTTCTTCAGACCATATTTTGACAAGATCCAGTATCCAAGTATACTGCTCCTGGGCTCTTCTAACTCATTTGATTGATTTCTATACTTCCTTATTTCAAAAAATACTAAAAGTGGTGTTTCAGCTTTCTATTGCTGAGCAACAAGTCACTCCAAGAATTAGTGGCTGAAAACACAATGATTTATTTGTTTTTGATATCACCAGTTTGGGCAGGGCTCAGTGGGAGTGGTTCATCTCTGTTCCACATGGCATTAGATGGGAACTTGGCTGAGGTCACACTATCCAGGATGTCCTCTCAACCTCCATGCCTCTCTCCACATGAATTGCTATCATTCAGTAATCTCACATAGTGTCTGGATCCCAAATAGTACATTCAGAAGGTACCAGGCTTCTTAAAGCTTGGCCCACACAGTATCACTTCTGCCAGTTGATATTAGATCAAAGCAAGGTGGAAGGCCAGCCTAGATTCAAGGGGAGTGAAGCAAATAGATGCCATCTCTTAATGGGAAGAATGGTGCATGGGTATCAGGAGGGGAGGAATTGGTGGCTGTCTTTGGAGGATATCTACCATGGGTGGTGAATGAAAGTTGCTCAGCTCTGAATTTGTGATTAACCCCTGTCACCTCAGATCCTTGATAAAAGAACTTTCAGTTTTCACAGCTGAAAAGATACCCTAGATTAAACTCTTGACATAATGGATGGCAAAGTTTATACACAATGCCAAAGCTTTTCTTCCATTTTTACAAAATCATTACCATGTATGCCATTTGTAGACAATTTTAATTTTATTTTTCAGTTACTAAAAAACTATTATAAGTGGAGAGCAGAATGTCCAGAAATAAGTGCAGATCTACACCCTAGAAGTATTATTGGCCTCCTAAAGGCTGGCTACCATGGAGTCCTGAGATCCAGGGATCCCACTGGCAGCAAAGTTCTTATTTACAGAATCGGTAAGTCATACACAACTCTTTTTTTTTTCTCCTCTCCTCCAGTTCAGTTGTGTTCCCTCCCCTCTCCTCTTCTCTCTTTCTTCCATTTCTTCCTTGAATACCATATAGAAAGCTTCAATGCATTCATCTTTAGGAATTTGGGCTTTAATTTAAAATTTTAGGTTTTAACTTAGATTTAATTTAGGTCTTAATGTCCCCCAAATATAATAACACTTTGGTAATTGTGAGAAAATTAACAGATACAAGTGAAAATCCTAGTTCCATTCTTCCACACAGTCAACTGTACAAAATAAGAAGAAAGGAAAATAGTGAAGATGAATAGTGTGAGAATATTTTAAAAAATCATGGAAAAGTGTTTCAAAAATGCTTAGTAGGAAGTGCAAATAAGAATTCTGAACTATTGGCTGGGCATGGTGGCTCACACCTGTAATCCCAGCTGAGGTCAGGAGTTCGAGACCAACCTGGCCAACATGGTGAAACCCCGTCTCTACTAAAAGTACAAAAATTAGCTGGGTGTGGTGGTGCATACCTGTAATCCCAGCTACTCGGGAGGCCGAGGCAGGAGGATTGCATGAACCTGGGAGGCAGAGGTTGCAGTGAGTCAAGATTGCGCCATTGCACTCCAGCCTGGGCAAAAGAACAAGAGTCCGTCTCAAACAAACAAACAAAAAACAACCAGAATTCTGGGCTATAATGTAAACTCCATGAGATTGTGGATTTCATCTACTCTGTTTGCTGGTGTATCCCAAGCACTGAAAACATGGTCTGGTACTTGGTAGGTAGTCACTAAATATTTGTGGAATGAGTGAGTGAATGACTAGTTCGAAAATGCCCCAGGCCGAGGAGCAAGAGGCTCATTCTCTTGGGTGGAGGAGGGTGCAGAGGAAAGGCAACTCCTCTGGGAGCTGTTGCAGACACGGTATTCCATTAACTCCTGTTTATTCTCATTGCATCCCCTTTTTTTCTATTAGGTGTAGCTAGTGTTTCTTGTAGGTTGGTGTCTTAGTGTATTCAGGCCACTATAACAAAATGACGTAGACTGGGTGACTTATAAAAACAGAATTTTATTTCTCACAGTTCTGGAGGCTGGGAAATCCAAGATCAAGGCACTGGCAGATTTGGTGTTTGGTGAGGGCCTGCTACCTGGTTCCTAGGTGACATCTCTCACTTTAACCTCACATGTTGGAAGTGAAAAGGCATCTCTCTTGGAACTCATAAGGGCACTAATCCCATTCATGAGGGTTCCATCCTCATGACCTCATCATCTTGCAAAGGGCCCACCTCTTACTACCATCACTTTGGGAGTTAGAATTTCAGCATATGACTGTTGAGGGGATGCAAACATTCAGATCATAGCAGTTGGTGACCTATAACTTCTGTCCTCCCTCAGACCTGCATATGATTAAAAATGGCCGGCACAGGAGAACGACTCACACTATTCCCAGAATTTCTCATGGCCCAGTTGAAGGACAAAGATAAACCAACATTTCATGACCAGAATTTTTTAATTATAATTTTACAGAAACAACTATATCTTTAAAGATTTAAAATATTTAAATATTTGCATTTCTTGCCTGCTTATAGATAAGATACCTGCCTGTAACTCAACTGCTTGCCATACTGCAAGAAGTTACTGTATTTAATTTTTGAAAGGATATTGGAAGATCGAGTAAAATGATTTGGGGCTGTTTTTTAATTTTTTTTGCCCTAGCTTAAGTGTCAAATAAAATTGAGTTAATCATGAAATCCCATCTATAAAACAGACATCATGATCTTCCTGTTCTTTCATTGCTGCACCAGTGTCAGAGGAAATTGAATGAGCTCATAGCAATGAAGTTCCTTGAGCTTCTTAGGGGTAGTCTTGCCAGATTTAACAAAGTACCTATGTTTTATTTAGGAAATAAACCTATATGTTATAAAAATAAAGGATGCCCAGTTATTTGAATTTCAGATAAACAACAGTTTTTTTAAAGTATGTATGGAGCATTCTTATGTTAAAAATTATATACTGGTTATCTGAAATTCAACTTTAATTGAGTGTTGTATATTTTTACCTGGCAACTCTACTCAGGGATCCAAGAAACATAAAACTGAAACCTGCAGCTAATTATTTTTGTAAATGTCTTGGCTCTGCATTGTCTGGCTAGATTTTATTGTGTCTAGTTTGTTCATAAAGTGACTGAGGCAGGTGAAGAAGTAAAAGTGACACCTTGATAGTGAGAAAGCAGATGTGCAGTTTTGATCATAAATACCTTAACACTGAACCAGTAGGGGTATTTTTCTGGGCCTCATGTAGCACATTAATTTAGAAGTATATTGTTTAACTCAAGAGATTTGAAAATCAAGAAAACATGTAACTTAGTGATGGTCAGAACAGGAAGGTATGTTGCAAATCTCCTGTATGTTCTGTTATTCTAGGATGAAAGGGAGAAACTCAGAAAGTTTTATGAGTAAAATGAAAACTTTTCTAAATTTGATTGAATTAATGGGAGGAGCTAAAGAAGGAAATCTGTGGTGGAACTTTTCGGTAGAACTTTAGCATAACCACCTTCTCTAGATACCATCTCTGTGCAGTAAAAGCAATGAGAAAATGCACACAGCCCTTTCCTCCATGCGGGCCGGGCAACCCAAGGTGAAGCTAAGTTTTGACCTTTATCAGCCAACATGCTGTAGGATATAATTTTATGTTTTTTGAGATCCCATAGTATACTACTAGCAGCAAAAGTAAAATTTAACAGTGAGTGTGAAGTTTTGACTGTGGCTTAGTTCTTGTGAATACAGGTTCTGGAGCATGTGACCTGGATTGGAATCTCAGCTCTGCTACATTCTAGCTGTGTGAAACACTATGTAGCTGTAACTGCATTTTCTCATCTGTAAAATGGGCACATTGAAAAGCTGTCACATAGGGTTGCTGTAAGCATTAAATCAATCTATCAGTCTGTCTATCTAAAATATAACAAGAGCATTACCTGGTACATAAAAGCACTCAATACATATTAAGTAGATACTGGAGAAGGAATTCAAAATATAAGGTATATTTTTCTTTTGCCTCAATGGAGCTTAAATTCTAGCCAGCACTGTACCATAGAACTTTCTATGATGATGAAACTGTTCTACAATAGACACTATTCTCATGTGGCTATTGAGCACTTGAAATGTGACTACTGCAACTAAGAAACAGATTTTTTTTTTTTTTTTCTAAGCTAGGGTCTTACTCTGCCATCTGGGCTAGAGTGCAGTGGCACAATCATAGCTCACTGCAGTCTTGAACTCCTGGGCTCAAGTGATCCTCCCACTTCGGCTTTTGGAGTAGCTGGGACTAGAGGCATGTGCTACCACACTCAGCCAGTTTTTTTATTATTTTTATTTTTTAGAGATGCATTCTCACTATGTTGCCCAGGATGGTCTCACTCCTGGCCTCAAGCAATCCTCCCCCATCAGACCCACAAAGTGCTGGGATTCTAGGCATGAACCACTGCACCTGGTGAAACTAAATCTTTAATTTAAATTTGAATGACCACACATGGCTAATGGCTACCATATTAGCCAGTGTAGGCCAAACAATTATGTTGGTTGGCTCAGAACTTAGGACATAAACTATTTTTTTGATTGGCAAACTTCATATGTTCTTTTTTTTTTTTTTAATCATTATAGCATTCAGCCAATGTCTGAAGTTAGTATAGTATTTTTGATCTGGGTTATCCATGGGTTGATTGTTCAAATTCTTATGAGAAATCTGAGGCTTGTTTTTTTGTTTTGTTTTGTTTTGTTTTGTTTTTTTGAGACAGAGTCTTGTTCTGTTGCCCAGGCTGGAGAGCAGTGGGCCATCTCGACTCACTACAACCTCTGCCTCCCGAGTTCAAGCGATTCTCCTGCCTCAGCTTCCCAAGTAGCTGGGACTACAGGTGTGTGTCACTATGCCCAGCTAATTTTTGTATTGTTAGTAGAGATGAAGTTTCACCATGCTGGCCAGGCTGGTCTTGAACTCCTGGCCTCAAGTGATCTGTCCACCTTGGCCTCCCAAAGTGCTGGGATCACAGGTGTGAGCCACCATGCCCGGCCAGAAATCTGAGGCTTTTAAAAAACACTAACACACCTCCTGAAGGATCCATTAATATGACAGAAAATAAAAATTTTTAAAAAATAGCAATCCCATTGTGGCTTCTTAGGAATATTTCTGTTTATTCTTTCTTTTTCTAGATCTTCAACTTTTCTCTTGCTACTACATGCTACCAGTTAACATTTAAATCAGTTAAGGGCCAGCCACTAAAAACAAAACAAAAACTCCTCATTCGTTCCACAAAACTCTCCCTCCTTCATTACATCTATCTCCCCTCTCTTTGTTAGTGATGTCCACCATCCACATTTTCTCACAGTTCCTCCTCAGCCCACCCTAGTTTGATTTCACTCCCATCCCTGCTGAAATGAATGTAACCAACCATTATTGACTTTCTTTTTACCACATTTAATGGACATATTTAGTCCTATTTCACTTAACCTCTCAACAAAGTGAATCACTTCTGCTTTCTTGAAAAATCCTCTTCCCTTGGCTTCTCTGATGCCATGTTCTCTTGGTGTTTTTCTCTGACATCACTGGCTGCTCCTCCTTAATCTCTTTTTCTGGCATTTCCTCTTCTACTCATCCTTTAAACTCTGAATTTTTTTAGGACATTGGCCTCAGCCTTTTCTTTTTATGTTACTTCATCTCTCTGCTTTGATAGAGAAAAACATAGCTCTGAGACAATCCCTGTTGTGGATCATCATGTAGGCACAAACAGCCCCCAGATTTGTATCTTCACTCCCATCTTTTCCTTGAGGATCCAGACCCACACAACTAGCTGCTATTCCAGCTGCACCCAGTTGGATGTCTCATGGTCACCATTTTAACATGTCCATACTTATAATCTTTTCCACCCAAACAGGTCTCTTATCTCAATAAATGGTACTGCGTGTACACCATGGAGTACTACACAGCCATAAAACGAATGACATTATGTCCTTTGCAGCAACAGGGATGCAGCTGGAGGCCATTATCTTAAGTGAATTAAAACAGGAACAGAAAACGAAATACCACATGTTCTCACTTATAAGTAGGAGCTAAACACTGGGTGTTTATGACATAAAGATGGGAACAGTAGACACTGGAGATGACAAGAGAGGAGAGGGAGGGAGGGGAGCAAGCGTTGAAAAACTTCCTATTGGGTACTGTGCTCACATACCTGGGTGACAAGATCATTTATACCTGAAACCTCAGCATCATGCAGTATACCAAGGTAACAAATCTGCACATGCACCCCCTGAATCTAAAATAAAAGTTGAAAATAAATAAATAAATGGTGCCACAATTCTATCCAGTTTCCCATGCCAGAACTTTTGTTGTTTTTTTTTTTTTTTGAAAATTTACTATTGCTTAGTTATGATTTTTTTTTCTTTTTCGTTCATCCTGTTAGGCACTTCAGTCTGAAGACTTACATGTTTTTTTTTTCAGCTTTGGAGAACTTTTCTCTATTGCTATGATTCCTCTCTCCTCTGTTTTCTGTTACTGCCTTCTAGAACTTTTATTAGTTGGATGTTGAAACTCCTGGATCCAGCTGCATGTATTTCTTACCTTTCTATTCATACATGTCAACTCTTGGCTCTTTTGTGCCAAATTTGAGAGAATTCTTCAACTTGATCTTCCAAACCATTTTTCCTCGATTGGCTCTGTCTTTTCCAGCATTTATCTTATCAATGAATGTTTTTTAAAAAACTTATCTTTTTATTTCTAATATCTCAATGGAGTCTTTTTAATAATAGCCTGTTTTTATAATAATAGCTTATAGTATTCTCCCCACCCCCTGCTGAAACTATTACGCTTCTTTAAAAAAATTCTTTGAATTTTTTTACAGACCGGTTCTTGCTATGTTGCCCCGATTAGACTTGAACTCCTGGGCTTCAGTGTTCCCCCTCCCCCCACCTCAGCCACCCGAGTAGCTGGAAATACAGGCACCTACCACTGCACCTGCACCTGGCTTCTATTATGTTTTTTAGTGTCTCCTGCTTTCTTACTTTCTCGAGTTGATGCCTTTGTCTATTGAGTTTGGTTTCCCTCTCTTTGTGTGTGTATGGATGTGTTTAATATTCTAATTTTTAAGGAATAGATGTCTTTTAAAAAAGATTATCTGCTTGTCCATCCATTACTGTCATTTCTGCATGGCGTGGCCTGTCCTGGGGTGGTGGGAAGGGATGAGATGAGTGAACAAGAATCTCAGTAACTCCTGTCTTAGCACAGGTACTCCCTGTTTCTCTTTGGTGTGAGCAGCTACCTAAGTGCTTCCGTGGCTCTTCTTTCCCAAGCCCTCAATTCCTGCTCTAGCCTACAGGGACATGACTCTGCTATGTGCTGCTTACTACTGGAAGGCTGTCAGAGGATCAACTTGCCTGCCTGTTCCTCATGCATTTCTCTTAGCAACCTCTTTAGTTACTATGGGGCCCTAATTACTCTTTATAATCCAGGCCCTTGCTTTTCCATTTCCAACATCTCTGAGCTTGGAGCATACACAATGGCATTCCCATCTTTATGTGAGGTTGTGACTTCATCTTGCAGTCAAATTCAGCCTGTGTCCATTCCTTTTTCCGCAATACTCTTTAAAAGCCATTCTTTGCTAGAATTTGAGGAGGAAGGGAGAAGCAGGCACATGTTCTTGGACGCCAGTTGGATTTATTAATCAATTCTTGATCTTTGTAGATGTTTTTATTTCAACTGATCTTTTAAGAATAAAATGAATTAGTCTCCCTTTGGAAATCTTTCTGATTTTTTACACAATGCTAAGATATGATATGCTTTATTTTTTTTAGCACACTGGGACCCCAAAGTTTTTACAGCTTATGACGTATTTCGAGTAAGTCTAATCACATCCGAGCTTATTGTACAGGAGGTAGAAACTCAGCGGAATGGAATCAAGGCTATCTTTGATCTGGAAGGTTGGCAGTTTTCTCATGCTTTTCAAATCACTCCATCCGTAGCCAAGAAGATTGCTGCTGTACTTACGGTAAATGTATATTTTAACTGTCAGGCATAATACTTCCAAATTATAGTTTTAAATTTTGTTATATGTTAGACAAAGAGAAGCAAAAGTACATTTGTTAGAAATTTAAATACAATTTTGGAAATGATGTGTAGAATTCAACAATGCTAAGAGGAAGTAAAATGTTATTAGTTTATAAAAGAAAAAATGTTGCAACAAACTGCAAAAATATGTTCAAATTAGTAACGAGAGGATTTATGCATCTTAATATGTGGTGACTTTATCTTTTTGTCATTAACTTTTTTTCCTAAATTAAAAATTGATTAAAAAATATAATATATCAATGGAACAATAAAATGTCACATAAGTCTTGGTAGGTGTATATTGATATCTTTTTTTTCCAAAAGGTTTTTAAAGTGGTCATCATCTTTGACTCAGTAATTCTATTTCTGGGAAACTAGCTAAGGAATAATCTTTAATATATTAAAGATTGCGTATAATAATAATAGCTTACTATGTGCCAGGTACTTTGCTAAGTGTTTCAAATGCATTATCTTTTAATGTCCACACTGAGCCTATGACATATGACTATTGTATTTTCCCACTTTACAATTAATAAACTATATCCGAGAAGTGACATAGCGATGCCCAGGCACACACAGTTTGCCAGTAGTGAAGTGAGAATTCCAGCCCAGGTCACCTGAATGTAAAAGTCGTGCTTATAACCACCACTTCTCCTATACACAAAGACAGTTACTGCAGCATCAATTTCAGTAAAGAAGTAAAATAAATAGTTTATTAGTCCAGAAAATAGAAACATGGTTACTTAAAAAATGTACATTCATTTGATGGATTCTTGCAACAATAATAAAACATGATATTTGCAAAAGCTGTATTGTATCAGTGGAACACAACGGGATGAAAATTATTTAGAAAGTATATTAGCAATTATGTTTAAAAGAAAATTATGCATAGAAGGGATTTGGAAGGACAATCCCCAAATTAATAATACATCTCTGAAAGTGATGCATGGAAAAAATAAAAGAACTTCACATAAAAGAACCTTGGAATGAAAGGTCTCTGTATTAATAATACAACTTGTAGGTAGGAAAACCATCTTTTTCCTTCAACTCTTAACTTCTTAAACTTTCTAAATAAGCCTATATTACTTTGATGCTAAAGACATATACCAATGTCAAAGTTTAAAAGTGTGTGTTTATTGTGCTAGTCTTTCAATATTTGTGATTTTTTTTCTCAAAATAAACATTTTTTGGGAAAAAGTTAAATATAAATTTCCAAATGACTCATTGGTTCGTTAAAAGAACATCTATATGTGATGGGAAAGGAATTTTCTGGTGAAAGTGTGCAGATATTTTGTAAAATACTTTGCCAAATCTATAAGGAGAAACCTTTTTAGAGATCTTTACTTAATCTAGTGACAGTGAACTGTAAGCCAGGCTTTTGTGCTGATGGAATAAATAATTTTGAAGATAAAATCACACACTTTAGATATTTCCATAAGCTTAGCAAGTGTTCAAAGAAGAAACTTGACATTAGGTATCAGATTGTAATATTTATGTTTTGTTATTAAGATTTTTTTATTTTCAAAAGGATTCATTTCCATTGAAAGTTCGTGGCATCCATTTGATAAATGAACCAGTAATTTTCCATGCTGTCTTTTCCATGATCAAACCATTCCTGACTGAAAAAATTAAGGAACGGGTGAGTAAAATATATTCAAGTCTGTGTTCCTCTACACCAAACATTCCAACCCTTTTTAATTTAAGGATTGCTTTATCATCTTTCCTCGTACCTGCCCATCTATATCATTAGCCCAATATTTTGAATATTTATCTAACAAGCCAACTAAAAAAAAGTAAATTAAAATTTACTTTTAATTTATAAAAATCAAGTATATTGGTTGTAAGACTGTGGGGTAACTGGGCTTTTCATACACTGCTGGTTGGAATGCTTAATGGTATATTCCTATAGAGGGCAGTGTGGCAAAGACATCAAAATCACTGTCTTGAATTACCTATACCTAAACAAAATTACATATGCTAGAGGAGTCACAGCAGCAGAAGACTGA
Source organism: Homo sapiens (assembly GCF_000001405.40). Lineage (NCBI taxonomy): Eukaryota > Metazoa > Chordata > Mammalia > Primates > Hominidae > Homo > Homo sapiens. The sequence continues at coordinate 63,063,838 of NC_000008.11, read as the reverse complement.
AAACCAGGAAGTGTTCACCATTAGGGCATTGGTTAAATAAACATCTACACAACAGAAAACAACGAGATTGCAGGATGTTTTGTAAACTGAAATAAACAAAATGTGGAATAGTGTTTATGGCATGCTACCTTTTGTATACAAAGGGGAGAAATAAGAATATATTTCATAAATTTACATTAAAAGGATATACAAAAAATAATATAAGTGGATATCTATAGGGAACAAGAGAAGAGGTGTGAACTACAGTAGATGAGAATAGGTTTGGGAGCAAGATCTCTCACTGTGTATCTTTTATCTTGTTTTGATTTGTAACCATATGAATTTATTATTAATGCAAATAAAAATAAACATTTTTCTTAAACAGTGAAGCCTACTTAACGGTTTCAGTGTAACTGAGAACCACGGTAACTGAGGTATATGACTTAATGTCATGCTAGTTAGAGCAAAGATACTGGATTTTTTCTTCTTTACCTAGCCTATGGAGCCTTATCTCAGAAAAAGCATCTCATATATCTTAGACTTTTTGAAAGGTTGAAAATAGAGTCTGCGTTCTCAAGAATGGCAACCATTCTAAACTAATCTGTAAAGAAGAATTTTTAGAGCATCTATTTAGACAAACATTGGCATCATCTAATGCCTTGAACACAAAACAATTTGTAAAGGTTTTAACAGTTTAAATCTAAAAAATCACTGAAATGTCAGCAGTGATAATATAAACTGTAATAGCACATTTGGAATTTTAGAAACGATGTTCTTTCATATTAAGAAAATATAACATCTTATACCTGGTCAGAAAGTTATGACCCTAGAGCTTCTTTAGAGGTTATGCAGTGGATGCTTCTGTTTGTCTTCAAGAACCACCCTTAAATTGCCTGCTTTAGCAAAAATGGCCACTTTCAGCTACTTTTCATTCTAGTATTTTTATACAAATCAATTTTGTTTGTTCATTTTTTTCTCTCTTCAGTGTAACTTGATAATATCTGGCTTCCCTCTGTTTAATTCTTAGAGATCTAAAAATAACTATTTCTATTTTGAGTAATATTTTAGATAAAAACAAAAACAAGAATAAACTGAACCTAAGAAATAGGAGAATATGGAGAAAAAAGCAAAAGTAAAAAGTTGAGAAGTTAGGGGAAGGATGTCAGTGAAAGTTAGTTGACGGGAAACAGACTTGCCAAAATAGGGAGAAAAAAACTCTGATCCAGCCACTTTTTTCCTTTTTAACTTTTTGGCAATGCCCCATACATTTTCTTATTTTGCCCCTTCCTGAGGAGATAGAATTTCTTCTCAATTACCTGATAATATTTTACATATTTCAGAAAAAATTAAAGATTGGCTTTGTGAGTTTCCTAAGTGAGTATAGGAAACTCATTTCATCCATCAAACCTCATATCCCAGCACATAATAGATGCTTATTAAATGATTGTTGAATACATAGAGGAACATTTTGCCCTAGAAAGTGAAAAAAGGTTATTTATTTATTTTAGCAGGTATGCTTTTGGTTCAAGTTTCTACGGCTTTCTCTTAACTTCAGGGCATTCTATGATCAATTTTATAGTTTAAAATATTTGAAAAGTTAAGGTTCTCAACTATCATAATTGTTTTTTAATACTTTTTTAAAATTTGACTTTTTAATTCTTTTAATTCTTTTTTTTTTTTTAGACAGGGCCTCACTTTGTGCAGTGGCACGATCTTGGCTCACTGCAACCTCCACCTCCTGGGCTCAAGCAATCCTCCTGCCTCAGCCCACCAAGTATCTGGGACTACAGTCCTGCACCACCACGCCCAGCTAATTTTTGTATTTTTTTTGTACCAGCCATGTTGCCCAGGCTGGTGTTGAACTCCTGAGCTCAAGTAATCCACCTGCCTTGGCCTCTCAAAGTGTTGGGATTACAGGCATGAGCCACTGCACCCGGCTGTCTCTTAACTTTATACTAACTAACAGTATCCATCGACTGTACCATATAAATTGTTTCTCATAGATTTAATTGTGTGCTCAGATATATGCTTCTACTTAATATGAATTAGTACCAGCTAGTACATTTTTATCGTGTATAGAATAGTCCCAAGGTATTAGTTTGGTAAGAATCACTTGCACATAAGGGAATAGAATTTATAAAATAACTTTATTTAATCTTTAAAAATTTACTTATGAAAGAGGAAAATAACTTTTTATAAATTTTATGCAGTTATAAGAATGCAAATCCAAGAAACAGTAAGGTTATTAGATCCACAGTAATACAACCTAAACATAAGTAAAATTATTAGATTCATAACCAGAGGAATAAAGGATGTGGTATCTATTTATACACTCCATTTTAGAAGTTATTAGAATACCTTGTTTTATGAGGTTGATTTTCCACTGGAAATGCATCTAATGCGGTTTCCTTCTAAAGTGTTTTGGCTATTTCAGATTCACATGCATGGGAACAACTACAAACAAAGCTTGCTTCAGCATTTCCCAGACATTCTTCCTCTGGAATATGGTGGTGAAGAATTCTCCATGGAGGACATTTGTCAGGAATGGACAAATTTTATAATGAAGTCTGAAGATTATCTCAGCAGCATTTCTGAGAGCATTCAATGAGAAGTTATGTCATGTGAATGGCTTCCTAACTAAAAATACATGAGTGATATCCAACCTGGTTAAATGAATGAAAGAAAAGGAGCAAATCTTTTAAACTAATGCTTGCCTGAACTTTAAAAATGTAGAAATCTTCTGACATGAGCAACACAGGTGTTTGGAAAGATTTTTTACTTTTTAAATGCTTTTTTCTCTACTTTTGAAGTAATTAAATGTCAGTACATTTTAAGAGCATAAAAATCGGCGATTTTGTACTTGAAGAGAACATGAAAGTTATTGCTAAAGTAGCTGCTCATGTGCATCTTTGTATGTTTCTAGAAAGTTATATTTTAAACAAGTTCTCTGATTAAATTGGTTTAGAAAAAAATTTAGAAATATTCCGCTTAAAAATACTAGCACAAGTCAGCTAATGATAAAAAAATTAACACTTGTTTTAAGTGGATGTCAGATTAAATTATAATTCATTATAATTAAAATCTGAATAGAGTTTTATGGTTATTCCTGTGGACCAGCAAGACATTTCATCTCAGGGAAATTTTATTTTAGTATATTAACACGATAGAAACTTTTTTTTTTTTTTTCAGACAGAGTCTTGCTCTGTCGCCCAGGCTAGAGTGCAGTAGTGAGATCTCAGCTCACTGCAACCTCTGCTAGGATTACATGTGCACACCACCACTCCTGGCTAAGTTTTGTATTTTATATAGAGATGGGGTTTTGCCACGTTGGCCAAGCTGGTCTCAAACTCCTGAACTCAAGTAATTTGCCTGCTTCGGCCTCCCAGAGTCCTGGGATTACAGTCGTGAGCCATCGCGCCTGGCCGTGATAGAAACTTTCAGCTGAGGAGTCTATATGCCATACTACTCTATGTGGCATCTTTAGGTCTCTGTGAAATCATGTTGATGTAATTGATTAACAAAAATAATTTAGAAAATACGTCAGGCACAGTTGATGGCTTCTCAATATCTGCTTTGCATTTTTAAACAAATCAAGAATGTAATTTTAACTTTTGCTTATGGTCATTCTTATGACTACACGGAAAGGGATGGAATCATACTTACTTGTCTTATACATGGACTGTTTTTAGTTAACAATAACGTAACTACACAAAGGAAAGGAAATGTTTACATTTTAAAAAATTACTGTCAATTACATCTGGTATTTTTCAGATTATGCATAAAATAATATGAGTTTGACTATTGTATCAGAATATTTTAATCAAATCCTGCAATTTATATTAACTTAAAAAAACATCTGGTAAAGACTGGGTGTGGCAGCTCACACCTGTAATCCCAGCACTTTGGGAGGCCGAGGCTGGATGGATGATTGCTTGAGCGCAGGAGTTCTAGACCAGCCTGGGCAATACAGGGAGACCCTGTCTCTATTTCAAAAATAAATAAATAGGCCCCGGTGTGTGATGTTCCCCTTCCTGTGTCCATGTGTTCTCAAAAAAAATTAAAAAATAAAAATAAAAATAAATAAATAAATAACCGGTAAAGATGTACTGTTTCTACTGCAGTTTATAATATTTCATTTATTAAGAAAGATATCATCTCAGCTTTCAAATTCAACATAGCCCTCAATTTATGACATAAGTTTTATACTTAGTATTTTATAATTTCTTAATTTTGTTATAAACTTGAAAATGTAGAATATGGGGTCCAAAATCTGTTGAACATTTGTTCAGCTAGTTAGGTTTCAACATTAATCATATACATTAATAGTATCTTTATGTAAGGATATGTGAAGGGTGTTTTTCTTTATAAGAAAATTAGTTTAATCAGGTGAGCTGATACTTAGGATTATACATATATCTATGATAAAATTGAAAGTAATTGTGGTTGTTCTTTAGAGAACGTGTTTTGATTTTGACTTAGTATTGGGAAGCTAACAACATTATAATTTTTATTAAAAAACTGGACCCTGGGCCGGGCGCGGTGGCTCACGCCTGTAATCCCAGCACTTTGGGAGGCCGAGGCGGGCGGATCACGAGGTCAGGAGATCGAGACCATCCCGGCTAAAACGGTGAAACCCCGTCTCTACTAAAAATACAAAAAAATTAGCCGGGCGTAGTGGCGGGCGCCTGTAGTCCCAGCTACTTGGGAGGCTGAGGCAGGAGAATGGCGTGAACCCGGGAGGCGGAGCTTGCAGTGAGCCGAGATCCCGCCACTGCACTCCAGCCTGGGTGACAGAGCGAGACTCCGTCTCAAAAAAAAAAAAAAAAAAAAAAAAAAAAACTGGACCCTGCCTGTTTTCTAAAAAACACTTTAAAGTATTTTAAAATAAAAGCATACTATTTAAAATTGTATAATTAAAAATAATAAAAGAACAAAATCACTTAAAAAGAATAAACAGTGTCAATAACAAAAAACCTCTGGCTTACCCAACTTTTGTTTCTAGAAGATTTATATCAATCACCAGTTCCACTTCATTTATTTTTGTTTATTTCAAACACTTTCTTATGACTCTGTGGAGGAGTGATTAGTTTAGTACCCAAATAAAGGATAACATTTTAAAATGTCCTTTAAATTAGATTTTTTTGGTGATAGGTTCCATAGTAAATAGAATTAAGATAAGTCAGTTAATCTAGGCATATTTTATGATGGAACTTTGAAGTGTTTATAAATGAAACAATTCACTGAAGAACATTAAAAGAAAATTGAAATGAATGGTCAAATTAATAAAGTGTCAAAGCAAATAATTGTCTAATTGTCTATATTACTTTAGTGATTATGCCAGAAGTGCCTTTTAAAAGGTTAACTGTATTATGTGCTCATTGTGTTACTCAACTGCACGTAATTTATTTGTTTTAATATTGTTTGAAAGAAAATAAACATCTTTCACATAAACCATAGTGTACAAGTTATTTTTTAATTTTAAAATGTAAATATGAGGCATTCTTTTTCAAAAACTGCTTTTCCTTACAGAAAAAAAAATCTTAGCACATCTATTTGTCCATCACTCCAGTGTCAGTTTTTTCTTCATAAGTTTAATGACAGGCTGGTATTCCAGCTGCTTAGTTCAACACCGTATTTCTCTAATGTCTTTCGCTGTACATAAAGGGGACCACAAACTAATTACTAAGCCATGGATAGTCAAGAAGTTAAAAGTTTTAAGCAAAAAATGCCATAGTTTGCCACTTAATCAGATAATTTTATTTTCTTTAATAGACTTCATTTTTTAGAGCAGTTTTTGGTTCTCAGCAAAATTGAGCATGAAGTACAAGATAGAGCCATTTAATTTCGAAACAATATGCTATTAGCCTAGATCATGATTTCATTTGTCAAACTAGATTTTTCTTACAGAAATAGCACTGAAGTCCTATTACAAATATCTTTATCTTTGCCAATCACCTAAATTAAGACTGTAGATCATAAAACATGTTAGACATATAACCAAGAACTCCAGCCAATTAGTCAGATGGTATTGTCTGAAACACTCTTTACTGGCCTTATATATTGAATTTTGCCATACCTAGATGCTGTGGAGGAACTAGAAATGAGAGCAATAAAATTAGGATTGGCAGCGGTACAATCCTACGACTTTTCTGGTTAGCAAGGACATACACCATCCTCCTCCCACACCCATACCTAGCACTCAACTGACCTCTTTCTGAGACAATCATATTAATCTGTTAAATATCTACTTTTGATAACACTGTAGAGTGAATTAAGTACTACTGACTAGGAAAATTAAACATATGCTACCTAGGAGAGGGAAAAATATACTCCAAATAGCTAGCTAAAGTGCAGTATATTGTAAGGGCCATTAAAGTGATTCCAATAAAGTGTTTTGAGAGTTTAACAGAAGGAAAGATAATTTCCACTTGGGGTATTGAGGATGTGTTCTTAAAGGAGGTATTATCTGAAGCAAAGCCTTTAAGATAGCAATGAAAACTGAGGAGAAGAAGGATACTTAAAGAAAATAAATTGTGTGAGCAAAGACTTAGAGATCAGAAAGAGTAAGGCATGTCTGAGAAACAGTAAATAGCCCTATATTTTTATGGCATGAGTTGTAATGTCTTCTTTTTCATTTCTGAGTTTGTTTATTTGGGTTTTCTCTTTTGTTCTTAGTCTAGCTAATGTTTTGTCACTTTTGTTTATCTTTTCAAAAAACCAACTTCTTGTTTTATTGATCTTTTGTACTTTTTTGTTCTCTATTTCATTTATTTCTGCTCTGATTTTTATTATTTCTTTCTTTCTACTAATTTTAAGTTTTATTTGTTGTTGCTTTTCTGGTTCCTTGAGGTGCATCATTGGGTTATTTATTTGAGATTTAAAGGGAGAGATAGACCCCAATATAATAATAGCTGGGGACTTCAACACTTTACTCATAGCATCAGACTGATCATCTAGACAAAAAATCAACATAGAAACATTGGATTTAAGCTGCACTTTAGAGCAAATGGTCTTAATAGACATATACAGAACATGTCATTCAACAGCTGTAGAATGTATATTCTTCTCATCAGCATGTAGAACATTTTCCAGGATAGACCATATGTTACGTGACAAAACAAGTCTGAACAATTTTTTTTTAAATCATACTAAATCTCTTTTCAGCCCACAATGGAACAAAACTAGAAATCAGTAACAAAAAAACCTTTGGAAACTGTACAAATACCTGGAAATTAAACAATATCCTCCCGAATGACCTATGGGTTAATGAAGAAATTAAGAAGGATATTTAAAAATTTCTTGAAACCAATGGAAATAGAAACACAACATACCAAAATCTGTGAGATACAGCAAAAGTAGTACCAAGACGGAAATTTATAAGCAGAAATGCCTACATCAAAAAAGCCCTCTGTTTTTGGAGGAAAGAGATGAGTACAGGAGAGTGGTTCATTTGCCTAGAAAGATGCATGTGAATCAAATTATAAGAGGCCTTGAACACCAGCTGAAAGGCGCTAAGGTGTATGAATTACTTATGTGCCAGGGACCATATTAGATTTACATACATGGCATCATTTCATCTTTGCAAAAAAAAAAAAAAAAAGGTTAAGTGGCATTAGACCCATTTGCACATCTTTTGCTCAGAATCACAGAGCTTTGTAAGGCAGAATCAGACTGAACTCAGCTGGCCTGGCTGTAAAGTCCACATACTCCACAACACCACCATGCTCCTGTTAGACCAGATTCTGCAGGCCATGGAGATCAGTGGTCATCAGATTCTATCAGTCTTACCCAGAAATGTCTGACACTGATCCATCTCTGAGGCTTATTATCTTTCATCCAATCTTCTGCAATAGCTTCCTCTTGGACTACAGGTTTTTCATTGTTCCTCCCTTTACCTACCCTTTCCATGCTGCCTGACTTATCTTTCTGTAAGATTTCATTTCCTGATCTTCAAGGGAGCAGCACTGTAAGCACAGCAAACTGCTAATTGGCACCCACAGCCCTCCACACCCAGGCCCAACCTATTTTTTCATTCTCACATTGCAGGACTCCTGACTCCACCTGTACTCCAGGCACACCAACATTTTCACCACTGTGATAATATCCCTTCCATATAAGACACATCAGAATTGGCAGAAAGGAGTGGAGGAATGAGGTGGAAGGGAGGTGAGGTATATTTTTGACTGTGAACCTTTGTTCTTTGTTTTCTCTGCTTGATGCCCTTGTTCTGTCTGCTCATATAGAGATATAAGTCCTGCCCCTTTGTCCCCTCTGTGAAACAGTCTCTAACCATCCCCAGTAAGAATTCTTTGCTCCTACTTGTGTGTTCTCCTGTTTGAACTTACAGGCAGTTACCTGCCTCTCTCCCTTCTAGAAAGTATTCTTAAATGCAAACACTGTCTTTTCCATCCTTGTATAATCAGTATCTAACTAGTGTCTAGCACAGGGTCAATACTCACAGGGCAGACTTGACATAGGCATATTTCTTGTTGCAAGGGTGGGTGACAGCCATCAGCAGGGGCAGCCACAGGTCATATGTAGTGCAATGAAGCCTTGCACTATGCTAAATAGAATATCATTTACTGAGAAGTTGGGCTGACCTCAGCAGCCTCCTCGTAAGCTCTTAGACTTGACCTTATCCCTCTACTTCTTCCTTCTCATTCTAAATGTTAGCTGTCTTACAATAAGTTCTTACCCACTAGTCTTTATTTCCATCTCTAACATCACTCCAATGTCTCTGTTTTAAGTATCTTAACAAATAGGTTTCATTTTTAATTGATTTTGAATTTCAATTATTTTAATCTCATATATATTCATACATATTATAGGCTGGTCCCTAAGGGGTTTTTCAGGAGCCATTAACCATTGTTAAATAAAAACCTGTTGTAATTTGGCTTTTATGTGTGGCTCTCTCTCCAGTCAACAAGAAAACATGTGCTGCTGCTGTGTTGAGCTCTTTTGGTGGGTTTCCCACAGCAAAGCTTTGCTGTGCACTATATCCCTCTCTTTCTCAGAGCATCATGTACTCGAGAAGATGTGGGGGTCTGAGATGGGAATGGTCAGGCATAGCCCCCCATTGTACCTGGTTATCCTTCCCTACTGCTCAGTCTCATCCACTCATGACTCAGGCCAGCCTCATTTGAGGAACTTCAGTCCATCAGTCACCTCTGAAAGTGTCTTAGCCCCAATATTACCTGAATTCAGAAGGTAGATGACCCCTTCTCAGTTCAATGGTGATTGCCAACACTCAATATTTACTCCAAACCGTTGCCCACAAGGGACATAACATCATTAAACCCAACATAAAATTAACAGCCCTCAAGTGCCTAGGACATGATATCTCCCTTGAAGGACACACTTTATCTTCTAAAAGAAGTAACATTGTCATCAATTTCCCTTTCCCCAAGGCCAAAAGACAACTCTGACTATTTTTAGAATACATTGGCTATTGCCAAAACTGGATCCCTAACTTTTCTGCTATTGCTCCTCCCTAATGCCCCCTAATTGGGCTTCTGAGCCTGCATTTCAGAGCCTCAAGTCCTCTCTATCCTCTTCCCTCACTGTTAGATGCCCCAATTACTCATCAACTTTTCCCTTTTTATACATGAAAGGGATGAATACACTTTAGGTGTCCTCAACCAAATCACAGCTCTCTTCTTCACCACCAAAACTGCTGCAAGACTACAAAGAATACAACCTTAGGTTCACATTTCATAATTAAAAAAATACAAGTCTTCAAACAGAAATTCACTCCAAAAGGAAACATTAAATTGGAGGTCTTTCAAGAGCCCCTAGAAGCAGATGATGACATGAGATAGACTTCTTTCCCAAGAACAACTGCATGATGCCATCAGGTGGCTGACTTCTACCCAAGACACCAGAACAAGATCCCCTATGAGTCCTATTTTTAATTCCCTCCATATTCTCCCTTTGTGTCCTTCTTACTGTCCTCATTATCTTTTTGCACTCATAAGTACAAAAGCTTTCTGAAACAGGTCTGCTCTTTTCCTTTTTGCCCTCCCTACCATTTCTTTCTTCTCTATTCCCCATTTACCTACCTTCAGAAAGGATGCTCAAAACTTTTGGATGGCTTGTACTGAAGAGACTACTCAAATCTTAAAATCTTTCTTAAACTCATTGCTTTTATTCATCCTTTTCCCTCTTGGATCAACCATCTGATATAGTTTGGATCTGTGTTCCCACCAAATCTCATGTTGAATTGTAGTCCCCAGTGTTGGAGGTGGGACCCAGTGGGAGGTGGTTGGATCATGGGGGTGGACTTCTCGTGAATGGTTTAGCACCATCCCCTTGGTGCTGTTGTTGTGATAGAGCGTGAGTTCTCATTTTTGAGATCTGGTTTTTTAAAAATGTGCAGCATCTGTGCCCTCACTCTCTCTTGCTCCTGCTCCTGCCATGTGAGATGCTTCACTCCTTTTTTACCTTTCACCATGACTGGAAACTTCTTGAGGCCTCTCCAGAAGAAGAAGCCACTGTGCTTCCTGTATAGCTTGCAGAACAGTGAGCCAATTAAACCTCTTTTCTTTATAAATTGCCCAGGCTCAGTTATTTCTTTATAGCAGTGCAAGACTATACTTTGCACCATCTTCCCCCAAATTACTCTTCTCATTTTTAAAATCTCCACAGCTATTGATTTAGCTGTTTTCCTCTGCACAATGTTAGGAAATTGTTCCTATATTTTATATCAATCACACAAGCATCCAAATAGAATCTGAACCACTTTTTTAAAAAGTCATTTTTATTTCTCTCACAATTTTACAGACAATAATGCTTTATGTTCTAGTTTCTGGCTTTACAGCATTTACTCTGTCAACTCTGATGACAGTACTTGTAACGATTAATCATTGTCCCAGAGCAAATACAACATTATATGAAGTAAGTTTACCATGGGGAATTGCTATGGGGACACTAAAGATTTACATATGGAAAAGTACCAATGAAGATATTCCCCTTATAGCCATACCCTTTCCTCAACCTAGTATAGTGGAAGAGAATTGCTCCCACTTCACTTGGTTAGCCACAAAAGACAACTATTTCATTTATGGAAGAGGAAACTACTGGTATCTCCTAGAACACTGGACAGGCTCATGTTATCTAGCCAATCTTGTCAACCCCTACCATATATTATCAGGGGAACCCACCCCTAATATTTCAGCGTACGTTCTTTCTATTTTCCCTAAGTGTCGGCCGGTCTGAGAAATAAAGTGAAAGAGTACAAAGAAAGGAATTTTACAGCTGGGCCGCCAGGGATGACATCACATATTGGTAGGTCTGTGATGCCCCCCGAGCCACAAAACCAGCAGGTTTTTATTAAGGACTTCAAAAGGGGAGGAGGTGTACAAACAGGGAGTAGGTCACAAAGATCATATGCTTCAAAGGGAAATAAAGATCACAAGGCAAAGGGCAAAACAAAGATCACAAGGCAAAGGGCAAAATCAAAAACTCCTGATAATGATCTATGTTCAGCTGTGCATGTATTGTCTTGATAAACATCTTAAACAACAGAAAACAGGGTTCAAGAGCAGAGAACTGGTCTGACCTCAAATTTACCAGGGTGGGGTTTCTTCTCAACACTAATAAGCCTGAGGGTACTGCAGGAGACCAGAGCGTATTTCAGTCCTTATCTCAACCACATAAGACAGATACTCCCAGAGCGTTTATAGACCACCCCCCAGGAATGCATTCCTTCCCCAGGGTATTAATTATTAATATTCCTTGCTGGGAAAAGAATTCAGTGATATCTTCCCTACTTCCATGTCCATTTATAGGCTCTCTGCAAGAAGAAAAATATGGCTCTATTCTGCCTGACCCTGCAGGCAGTCAGACCTTATGGTTGGCTTCCCTTGTTCCCTGAAAATCGCTGTTATTCTGTTCTTTTTCAAGGTGCACTGATTTCATATTGTTCAAACACACGTTTTACAGTCAATTTGTACAATAGTGGTCCTGAGGTGACATACATTCTCACCTTACAAAGATAACAGGATTAAGAGATTAAAGTAAAGACAGGCATAAGAAATTATAAGAGTATTATTTGGGAGCTCATAAATGTCCATGAAATCTTCACAATTTACGTTCAGAGATTGCAGTAAAGACAGGCATAAGAAATTATAAAAGTATTAATTTTGGGAACTGATATGTGTCCATATTAAAATGAAATCTTCGCAATTTACGTTCCTCTATCGCGGCTCCAGCCGGTCCTTCCATTCGGGGTCCTTGACTTCCCGCAACAATATATGTAGCTCAACTACCTTCTTAAACTATTTAAATTCCCCTCTGTCCTTTCTAATGTCCATCATTGGTCTTGATGGTGCACTAGTAACTGTGCCTCCCGAAAATGTAGAGGTTGGCACCAAAATATTACTGCATTCTTCCTTTCATTGCTAGATCTCAGATCTTCCTTGAAAAGGAAGCTGAGATAGTAGGAAATCTCCAGAACTTAAAGCTGCATTTGATCACATTTAGGCTACTTTTGTGCCTGGAGCAGCTGCAGTATGGGATACTCAGAGTGAAGAGAAATTCTATCTTCCATGCTCTAATATGGGAGATAACCATGCCTGCAAACAACCAAATAAATAACCTCACTCTTTCCACCCCAGAATTTCAAAAGACTCAATACACAGAGCTCCATAACTGACTGGCACTCAACATGACCTTGGTATCTAGAGGTGAGACATGCTTTGTTTGGAAGCAGCTGCTACATGATTGTTATCCAAAATGTCTCTGACCTCTACATCATAAACGAGAATATTCAGTTGCTAGTGAGGAAATGCATGCCGCTGCCACCACAGTCCTAACTCAATCAAAAAAGGACCTCGTCACATCAATTTCCTGGAATCCACTAGATTGGATGCTTCCTGGCCTCAAGTCTCGGTTTTACTCCTTAACACACCTCTCATGGTTATTTTTCTGCTTTTGCTTATAAGTATCTCCTGATTAAAGGTCTTGTCTCCAGAAACCTTCTCAGTTCCAGATCACCATCAGAGCCTAATACAGGCATACCTCAGAGATATTGTGGGTTTGGTTCCAGATCACCTCAATAAAGCAAATATTGCAATAAAGCAAGTCATAATTTTTTTTTTTGGTTTCCCAGTACATATGAAAGGTTTTTTTATACTTTACTGTATTTTATTATGTGTGAAATAGCATTGGGTCTAAAAAAAACCCAATGTACACACCTTAAAAATACTTTATTGCTGGCTGGCTGCAGTGGCTCACGCCTGTAATCCCAGCACTTTGGGAGGCCGAAGTGGGTGGATCACGAAGTCAGGAGATCAAGACCATCCTGGCTAATGCAGTGAAACCCCGTCTCTACTAAAAATAGAAAAAATTAGCCAGGCATCGTGGTGGGTGCCTGTAGTCCCAGCTACTCGGGAGGCTGAGGCAGGAGAATGGCATGAACCCGGGAGGCGGAGCTTGCAGTGAGCCGAGATTGCTCCACTGCACTCCATCCAGCCTGGTTGACAGAGTGAGACTCCGTCTCAAAAAAAAAAAAAAACTTTATTGCTAAAAAATGCTAATGGTCATATGAGACTTCAACAAATTGTATCTTTTTGCTGGTGGAGGGTCTTGCCTCAGTATTGATGGCTGCTGACTTCATCAGAGTGGTGGTTGCTAAAGGTTGGGGTGGCTGTGGCAATTTCTCAAAATACAATAACAATGAAGTTGGCTGCATCGATTGACTCTTTCACAAAAGATTGATTTCTCTATAGCATGTGATGCTTTTTGTAGCATTTTACCCACAGTAGAACTTCTTTCAAAATTGGAGTCAATCCTGTCAAACCTGGCAGTTGCTTTACCCATTAAGTTTCAACAATGTTCACAGCAACTTCTCATCCAATCAAGTTTCATCATTAGATTGCAGCAATTCAGTCACATCTTCAGGCTCAACTTCTAATTCTAGTTATCTTGCTATTTCCACCACATGTGCTGTTACTATTTCCACTGAAATCTTAAACCACTCAAAATCATCCATGAGGGTTGGAATCAACTTCTTCTAAACCCCTGTTAATGATGATATTTTGACCTTGCCCCATGAATCAGGAATAGTTTTTGTTGTTGTTGTTTGTTTTTTTGTTTTTTTTTTAGATGGAGTCTCGCTCTGTCACCCAGGCTGGAGTGCAGTGGTGTGATCTTGGCTCACTGCAACCTCTGCCTCCTGGATTCAAGTGATTCTCCTGCCTCAGCCTCCTGAGCAGCTGGGAGTACAGACATGCATCACTATGCCTAGCTAACTTTTGTGTATTTTTAGTAGAGATGGGGATTCTCCATGTTGGCCAGGCTGGTTTCGAACTCCTGACCTCATGTTATGCACCCACCTCGGCCTCCCAAAGTGCTAGGATTACAGGTGTGAGCCACCTTGCCCGACCAGGAATAGTCTTAATGATGTGTAGAATGGTGAATTTTTTCAGAAGTTTTTCAACTTATTTTCCCAGATCCATTGGATGAATCACCCCCTATGGTAGCCATAGCTTTATGAAATATATTTCTTTTTCTTTCTTTCTTTCCTTTTTTTTTTTTTTGAGATGGAGTTTCACTCTATCACCCAGGCTGGAGTGCAGTGGTGCAAACTCAGCTCACTGCAACCTCCACCTGCTGAGTTCAAGTGATTCTCCTGCTTCAGCCTCCTGTATAGCTGGGATTACAGGCATGCGCCACTGCACCCAGCCTGAAATATCTTTCTTAAATAATAAGATTTGAAAGTCAAAATTACTCCTTGATCCATGGGGTGCAGAATGGAGCCCATGGAGCCCACCTAGGTATTAAGCACAGTAGTTGCTAAGCTTCCTGATGTGCTGCTGGATTTGGTTTGCCAGTATTTTGTTGAGGATTTTTGCATGGATGTTCATCAAGGATATTGGCCTGAAGTTTTCTTTTTTTTTGTTGTGTCTCTGCAGGTTTTGGTATCAAGATGATTTTGGCCTTATAGAATGAGTTAGGAAGGACTGCCCCCCCCCACTCAAGTTTTTGGAATAGTCTCAGCAGGAGTGATTCCCAGCTCTTCTTTGTACATCTGGTGATCCACAAAGGTGTTTATAATATTCTCTGATGATTATGTGTATTTCTGTGGGGTCAGTGGTAATATTTCCCTTGTTGTTTCTAATTGTGTTAATTTGGGACTTCTCTTTTTTCTTCTTTATTAGTCTAGCTAGCAGTTTATCTATTTTATTAATTTTTTCAAAAAACCAGCTCCTTGATTTATTTATTATTTATTGAGATGGAGTTTGCTTTTGTTGCCCAGGCTGGAGTGCAATGGCGTGATCTCAGCTCACCGCAACCTCCGCCTCCCAGGTTCAAGCGATTCTCCTGCCTCAGCCTCTTGAGTATCTGGGATTACAGGCATGCACCACCACGCCCAGGTAATTTTTGTATTTTTAGTAGAGACAGGGTTTCTTCATGTTGGTCAGGCTGGTCTCGAACTCCCGACGTCAGGTGATCTGCCCGCTTCGGCCTCCCAAAGTGCTGGGATTACAGGCGTGAGCCACCGTGCCCTGCCTCATTGATTTTTTAAAATGGTTTTTGTATTTAAATCTTCTTCAGTTAATGTCTGATTTTGCTTTTTTCTTGTCTTCTAGTTTTGAGGTTGGGTTTCTCTTGGCTCTTTAGCCCTTTTATTAAGTTGGTGAAAATGTGATTTCAGTTTTTGCATTATTGGAATTTGCTGTTTGATATTGGAATACATTCTTAAATAAAAGTGGTTACGTTGTACATTGTTTCAATGCACATTTCTTGCTTTTTTTTTTGCTAATGACTTATCACTTGCTGTTTATTTTATGTTTATTTTAGACTATGGAAATGATATTAGACAAAAAGCACATTCTAGCAGTTTTCTTATTCGAGTTCAAAATGAGTCATAAAGCAGCGGAGACAACTTGTAGCATCAACGCATTTGGCCTAGGAACTGCTAGTGAATGTACAGGGCAGTGGTGGTTCAAGAAGTTTTGCAAAGGAGATGAGAGCCTTGAAAATGAAGAGTGTAGTGAACTGCCATTGGAATTTGACAATGACCAATTGAGAGCAATTATAGAAGCTGATCCTCTTACAATTATGTGAGAAGTTGCCAAAGAACTCAACATCGACCACTCTATGGTCATTTGGCATTTGAAGCAAATTGGGACAGTGAAAAAGCTCAATAAGTGGGTGCCTCATGAGCTGACTGAAAATAAAAAAAAAAACAACATTCTAAGTGTCATCTTCTCTTATTCTATGCGACAACAATGAACCATTTCTCAATTGGATTGTGATGTGCGATGAAAAGTGGATTTTATATGACAACCAGAGACGACCAGCTCAGTGGTTCGACCAAGAGGAAGCTCCAAAGCACTTCCCAAAGCCAAACTTGCACCAAAAAAAGATCATGGTCACTGTTTGGTGGTCTTCTGCCAGTCTGATCCACTACTATTCAGCTTTCTGAATCCCAGTGAAACCATTACCTCTGAGAAGTATGCTCAGCAAATCAATGAGATGCACTAAAAACTGCAGTGCCTGCAACTGGCATTGGTCAACATAAAGGGCCCAAATCTTCTCTATGGCAATGCCTGACCACACATCACA
Source organism: Homo sapiens (assembly GCF_000001405.40). Lineage (NCBI taxonomy): Eukaryota > Metazoa > Chordata > Mammalia > Primates > Hominidae > Homo > Homo sapiens. The sequence goes on along the minus strand of NC_000008.11, from coordinate 63,047,290 downwards.
CGACCAAGGCTTCAAAAGTTGAACAAATTGGGCTACGAAGTTTCACCTCGTCCACCATATTCACATGACCTCTCACAATCCAACTACCACTTCTTCAAACATCATCCCCAAGACTCATATTTATCAGAGTCTCCAAGGTCAAAATGAAAGAAAAAATGGTAAAGGCAGCTAGAGAGAAAGGCCAGGTTTTCTACAAAGGGAAGCCCATCATATTAACAGCCAACCTCTCAGCAGAAACCCTACAAGCCAGAAGAGATTGGGGGCCAATAATCAAAATTCTTAAATAAAGAAATTACAATCCAGAATTTCATATCTGGCTAAACTAAACTTCAAAAGTGAAGGAGAAATAAGATCCTTTCAAACAAGCAGATACTGTGGGAATTCCTTACCACCAGACCTGCCTTACAAGAGTTCCTGAAGGAAGCACTAAATACAGAAAGGAGAGACTGTTACCAGCCCGTACAAACAAAAAAACACTGAGGCACACAGACCAGTGACACTATAAAGCAACCACATAAACAAGTCTATGAAATAACCTGCTAACATCATGATGACAGGATCAAATCCACACATAATAATACTAACCTTGAAAGTAAATGGGTTAAATGCCCCAATTAAAAGGCATAGAGGGGCAAGCTGGATAAAGAACCAAGACCCGTTGGTATGCTGTTTTCAAGAGACCCATCTCACATGGAATGACACTCATAGGGTCAAAATAAAAGATGGAGAAAAATCTACCAAGTAAATGGAAAATAACAACAACAAAAAAAGCAGGGATTGCAATCCTAACTTCAGACAAAATAGACTTTCAACCAACAAAGATTTTAAAAAGCCAAAGAAGGGCATTCTATAATGGTAAAAGGTTCAATTCAACAGGAAGACCTAACTATCCTAAATATATATGAACCCAACACAGGAGCACCCAGATTCATAAAAGAAGTTCTTAGAGACCTTCAAAAAGACTTAGACTCCTACACAACAATAATGAGAGACTTTAACACCCCATTGATGATATTAGACAGATCATTGAGACAGAAAATTAGCAAGGATATTCAGGGCCTGAACTTAGCACTGGATCAGATGAACCTGATAGACACCTACAGAACTCTTCACCCAGAAACAACAGAATATACCTTCTCATTGCCACATGACATATACTCTAAAATCAATCAGATAAACAGAAATAAAACACACCTCAGCAAATGCAAAAAACTAAAATCATAATCTCTTGGACTACAGTGCAATAAAATTAGAAATCAAGACTAACAGCAGGGTGTGGTGGCTCACACATGTAATCCAAGCACTTTGAGAGGTTGAGGTGGGTGGATCACCTGAGGTCAGGAGTTCAAGACCAGCCTGGCCAACATAGTGAAACCCTGTCTCTACAAAAAACACAAAAATTAACTGGGCATGGTGGCATGTGCCTGTAGTGCCAGCTACTTGGGAGGCTGAGGCATGAGGATTGCTTGAACCCAGGAGGTGGAGTTGCAGTAAGCTGAGATCTTGCCACTGCACTCCAGCCTGGGTGACAGAGTGAGACTCCGTCTTGAAAAAAAATAATAATAAAGAGAAATCAAGACTAAGATATTCACTCAAATGTACAATTCCACAGAAATTGAATAACCTGCTCCTGAATGGCTTTTGGGTAAATAATGATATTAAGGCAGAAATAAAGAAAATGAGAACAAAGATACAACATACTGGAATCTCTGGGGCACAGGTAAGGCAGTTTTAAGAGTGAAATTTATAGCACTAAACACCCACATCAAAAAGTCAGAAAGAGCTCAAGTTAACAACCTAACATCACAACTATTAGGTTGGTGCAAATGTAATTGTGGTTTTGGACCATGAATTTTAAATCATTATAACTAGGTGCAAACATATCTTTATTATTATGTAATGCCCTTCTTTGTCTTTTTTTGATTGTTTTTGGCTTAAAGTCTGCTTTGTCTGAAATTAGAATATGAACTCCTTTTTTTTTGTTTTGTTTTCCATTTGCTTGGTAGATTTTTCTTCATTCATTTACTTTGAACCTACGGCTGTCATTGCATGTGAAATAGGTCTCTTGAAGACAGCATGTGGTGGGGTCTTGTTTCTTTATCCAAGTTGCCACTCTGTGCCTTTTAAGTGGGGCATTTAGCCCATTTATATTCAAGGTTAATATTGATATGTGCACATTTGATCCTGTCATTGTGTTGTTAGCTGGTTGTTATGTATACTTGAATGTGTAATTGCTTTATAATGTCAATGGTTTATGTATTTAAGTGTGTTTTTGTGGTGGCTGGTACTGGCCTTTTGTTTCTATATTTAGTACTCCCTTAAGGACCTTTCACAAAGTAGGACTAGTGGTAACAAATTCCCTTAGCATTGGCTTGTCTCTAAAGATCTTATGTCTCCTTCACTTATCAAGTTTAGTTTGGCTGGCTATGAAATTATTAGTTAGAATTTCTTTTCTGAATATAGGCCCCCATCTCTTCTGGTTGTAGGGTTTCTGCTGAAAGGTCTGCTGTTAGCCTGATGATATTCCCTTTATAGGTGACCTACCCATTCTCTCCAGCTGCCTTCAACATTTTTTCTTTCACATTGACCTTGGAGAATTTGATGACTACGTGTCTTGGGGATGGTCATCTTGTATAGTATCTTTCAGGGGTTCTCTGCATTTCTTGTATTTGAATGTTCTTTCTAGTGAGGTTGGAGACATTTTTGTGGTCAGTATTCTCAAATATGTTTTCCAAGTCGCTTGCTCCTTCTCTCTCTTTCAGGGATGTCAGTAAGTTGTAGTTTTGGTCTCTTTATATAATCCCATATTTCTCAGTGGCTTTGTTTATTCTTTTTTATTCTTTTTTCTTTATTTTTGTCTGACTGAGTTGATTCAATGAAACAGTCTTTGAGCTATGAGAGTCTTTCCTCACCTTGGTCTATGCTGCTGTTAATACTTGCAATTTTATTATTATATTATTGTAGTGAGTTTTTCAGCTTCTTCAGATTGGTTTCGTTCTTTCTTAAAATGGTTATTTTGTCTTTCATCTCTTGCATTATTTTATTTCAACTTTCTCCTGAATCTCAATGACCTTCATTCCTATCCAGATTGTGAATTCTATGTCTCTCATTTTAGCCATTTCAGCCTGGTTAAGAAACATTGCTGAGGAGTTAGTACTATCACTTGGATGTAAGAAGACACTCTGACTTTTTGAGTTGCCAGAGTTCTTGCACTGGTTGTTTCTCAGGCCAGGAACACAGTGGCCTGATGTTTCTTTAAACTTTAAAGTTGCTGTTCTTTGGATGGGGTTTTCTGCTTTTATATTCTTTGATACCCTGAGGGTTTGACTGTGGTATAAGTTGGGTTTAGTTGACTGGTTTTCTTTCTGGAAGATTTCAGGGGACCAAAGCTCAGCTAAGTACTCTTGAGCTGCTTGCTATAATCCTGGAGGTCTAGTACCAGGCCCATGGCTTTGTTCTCTGGCCCCTTGAGGTTAAGCACCTACTGCACCTTAGGAGCTAAGGTGCTCCCAGTCTGCTGGTAACAATACTCTGATGAGGAGTGCCAACCAAAGCACTTCATCAGGGTGGTGGCAGTGGAGTCGCTTGCACATGCATGTCAGGCAAGATCTAATCATAAGCTGCACACAAGAGACTCACTTTAGTAATAAGGACACACATAGACTGAAAGTGAAGGGATGGAAAAGATATTCCATGCAAACAGAAACGAAAAGAGCAGAGGTAGCTACACTTATATCAGACAAAATAGATTTAAGTTAAATACTATAAAAAGAGAAAAAGAAGGCTATTATATAATAACAAAGAAGTTAAATCACCACAAAGACATAACTATTGTAAATATACACCCACCTAAAATCAGAGCACCTAAATACATAAAGCAATTACTAAATGATCTAAAGGAAAAAATATAATTTAATAATATTACAGTAGGGCTCTCCATATTCCATTTTCAGTAATGGACAGATCATCTAGAGAGAAAATCCATAAAGAAACTATGGACTTGCATTACACTTTAGAGTAAATAGACCAAACAGAAATATACAGAACACTGTATCCAATAGCAACAAAATACACATCCTTCTTAAGTGCACATAGAACATTCTCCAGGATAGCCCATATGTTAATGCACAAAACAAATCTTAACAAATTTAAGAGAATTGAAATCATATCAAGTATCTTTTGAGATCACAATGGAATGAAACCAGAAATCAGTAACAGGAGATATCTTGGAAAATACACAAATGTGTGGAAATGAAACAACATGCTCCTAAACAACCAATAGGTTAAAGAAGAAAGCAAATAGAAAATAAAAAATTACCATGAGACAAAAGAAAATGGTAAGACAATGTATCAAAACTTATGGGAGACAGCAAAAGCAATCCTAAGAGGGAAATTCATAGCAATGAACACCTATATAAAAAAAGAAAGGTTACAAATAATCTAACATTACCACTCAAGAAACTAGAAAAATAAGTATAAACTAAGCCCAATGATAGCAGAAGAGGGGAAATAACAAAAATCAGCACAGAAATAAATGAAATAGAGACTAGAAAAACAATAGAAAATATCAACAAAACTAAGTTGGTTTTTTGAAAAGATAAAGTTGACAAACCCATAGCTAGACTAACTAGGAAAACAAGAGCCTACTCAAACAAGATTAGAAAAGAAAGAGGAGACATTACAATATACATTGCCTATATCTACTATAATAGACATATATACACACACAAATCAATATGTGATATACCACATTAATCAAGGATAAAAATCATATAATGATTTCAATACATGCAGAAAAAACATTTGAAAAATCCCAACATCCTTTTATAATAAAACTCTTAACAAGGCCAGGCGCGGTGGCTCACACCTGTAGTCCCAGCACTTTGGGAGGCCAAGACGGGCAGATGGCGAGGTCAGGAGATTGAGACCATCCTGGCTAACACAGTGAAACCCTGTCTACTAAAAATACAAAAAAATTAGCCTGGTGTAGTGGTGGGCGCCTGTAGTCCCAGCTACTCTGGAGGCTGAGGCAGGAGAATGGCGTGAACCTGGGAGGTGGAGCTTGCAGTAAGCTGAGATCACGCCACTGCACTCCAGCCTGGGAAACTGAGCAAGACTCCATCTCAAAAAAAAAAAAACAAAAACAACAACAAAAAAAACTCTTAACAAATTGGGTATAGGTATAGAGGGAATGTACCTCAACACAATAAAGGCTACATATGACAAACCCTTAGCTAATATCATTCTCAACAGTAAAACACTGAAAGCTTTTCCTCTAAGATCAGTGACAAGACAAGTATGCCTACTCTCACCACTTCTTTTCAATATAGTACCGTAAGTCCCAGCTAAAGCAATTAGGCAAGAGGAAAAATTTGAAGCCTAATAGGAAATGAAGAAGTGAAAATATCCCTATTTTCTATGACATGATCTTATATATGAATCCACCAAAAAACTATTAGAACTGATAAATTAACAGTAAAGTTACAGAATACAAAATCAACATATAAAAGTCAGCAGCATTTTTATATAGTAATAACAAATTAAAATGAAATTAACAAGACCATCCCCTTTAAAATAGTAACAAAAAATTAAATACTTAGGTGTAAATTTAATGAGCAGGTAAAAGGCCTGTACACTGAAAACTATAAAACACATAAAAATACAAGTAAATAAGAAAATACAAGCAAATGGAAAGATATCTCATGTTCATGGATTGGAAGAATTAAAATTGGGAACATGTCTATATGACTGACCTACGGCAATATACAGATTCATTGTAATCTCTACAAAATTCCAGTGTCACTTTTTTCACATAAATGTAAAAAAATCCTTAAATTTGTATGAAACCACAAAAGACCCCACATACCTAAAACAATCTTGAGAAAAAAAATCAAAGTTGAAGCCATCATACTCTGATTTCAAGACATATTATAATTATAGTAATTTAATCAAACTAGCATGGTACTGGCATAAAATTACGGGCATTGACCAATGCACTAGGATAGAAGGCCCAAAAATAAACCAATACATATACTGTCAATTGATTTTTGACAAAGGTGCCAAGAACACACAATGGGGAAAGGGCATCTTCTTCAATAAACAGTGTTGGAAAATCTGGAAATTAGACCCTTATCTCTCACCATGAACAAAAATCAACTAAAGTGAATTAAGCAGTTAAATATGAGACCTGAAACTGTAAAATTACTAGAAGAAAACACATGGGAAAAACTTTATGACATTGGTCATTTACATTTAATATTTTACTATTACAAAAAGATGCTCCAAAGAGCATACTTACACATATTTTTTTTGTTCACATGAGCACGCATTAATCTAGGTACACACTTATATCCAGAATGTACTGGGTTACAGAACATTTAGATCTTCACCTTTACCAGATATTGCTTAATTTTTCTCAAAAATAGTTATAATAATTACAATTCCACAAGAAATGCAGAGAACTGTCATTTTACTACATCCTTGACTTATTATCAAAGGCTTACATTTTTGTCAATTTACAGAAACCTGCTTCCAAAGATGGAGGAAGCTGGGAGACCAAAGAGGCTGACCAATCGAATTTCTCAGAAAGAAATACTTAGTAGAGACAAACAGAAGCGACCCCTGCACTTGCCCTCCAGAAAGTATGCTTTATTTAGCAAGCCTCTAGGGTAAAGACAAGTGCAACTAGTTAGCTCTTAGACTATTGTGATCACTGGGGACGTTAGATAAGCATCTTTATGAGGGGTTATATATGTTATGAGCATTGTTTAAAGACCTTTGCTGCAGAACACCTCGGTATGCTGTGGGTCAAACATCAGTCCCCAGGATAGTTTTGCTTCAAGATGGTGTCACTCTTGCCAGGAAACAGGCTGTTTTTCTACACAGTCTAATGGATGTGACATATTATCTTGCATTTTTCTGATGACTACAGAAAGTTTGGTTTGCTTTTCACATTCTTTTTCCATTTTTCTATTGTGTCATTTTTCTTATTATTTCTTCGCATATTTTAGAAATACTTTATATTTTATAACTATATTTTCCAAGTTTGTGCTTTAACTTTAATTTTCTTATATAGTCAATTTTTAATTAACATTTTTATTTTTAATGTTTTATGAAACTCTTCCAACAGCCTAAGTTAGGAAGATATATTTATATATTTTCTTATCAAAGTATAATATTTTGCTTTCGTATTTACATATGCACTTCACCTCGAGTTTATTTTTGTGTGTAACGCCGGGTAAAAAATTTTTCCTATGTGGATAGTCAATTATTCTGGCACCACAAGTTCATATTTACAAGGCTACTTGTCTATTTAATCATGCTCAAAACCAGCTCGGCCCTTTCATGTCTTTCATCACATCCTTTGTTGCTTACCTCTCACCACACCCTTCTACAGAAGCGTTATTTTCTTGTTAAACCAGACTATTCACTGCATTTACTCTTCTTGCAACATGCTAAAATTGTTCCTGTTGTCTCTACGAGTCACGCTTTCTGCCTTTTTTCCTTACTGAATTTAAACCTCTTGTGAAAAAGACTGTCCAATTTACGTTTTCACCCTTAATACTGAGCATTGATGTAGCAGGTTTTCAAATATTCTTGTTTTATGCTGAATTTCAGTTGGCCCTTATAGATGGAAACTTTCACTGAGTACAAGCTATATATCCATGTATTTAGGAACAATCAACAGTTTTAACGAATAGGAACCAGTCATCTTTTCTGCCCCGGTGGATAGGCTTAGTGGTGGTCGGTGGATGGCGCTGACCGCGGTTGATCAGAGGAAGCTGACGCCGTTTGCAGGCGTGGCCTGGGCGTGCCCGCTTCAAAGTAGACGCCCGGAGTTGGCCCAGTTCTGACCCTAGTGATGCGCCTGTGCGTGTGTTCCTATCGCCGTCCCGTCTTCACTTCCTACAGATGCCGCGACCCCCCAAATAGCAAGTGTGGACATTCACATTCAGGGGCACAGGCTGTCCGTACAGCGAACGTTGTCACCATTCCCGGAGATAGGGCCCCGACCTTCAAGGGGGCGGTGCGGTTGGCGCGCAGTTCTCAGGCGCCTTCTAGAATCCCCTGCCAGCCTCCCCGCTGCCTGGTTACCAAACTCGGCCGGGGACACCCAACCTCCCCTCTCGAGGACCTGGGTTGGCCAGCCCAGCTTTGTACGGGTGACTGAAGTCCACATCGACGTAACAGTTGAAAGGGAAGGACGCGGAGACCACCCGGTACCCGCCCCAGGCGTTTCCAGAGTCTCCGCTTAGGCGGCCCGTGGGGGTCGGGGTCGCGGTCGCGGTCGCGGACCGGGGACAGAGCAATGGGGCGGGCGCGCAGCGCCGGCTGCACTCCCAGAGCCTCCCACCGCCGCCCCACGGCCGCCTAGCGCGCGCCGGGACTGCATTTCCCATAGGCCCACGCTGCGGAGCACCGCCCACCCGAGTCTCACGCGAGTGCGCTGCCGCGAGGTGTCCCTGCCGCAGCCCCCGCCCGCCCGCAGAGCTTTTGAAAGGCGGCGGGAGGCGGCGAGCGCCATGGCCAGTCCGGGCTGCCTGCTGTGCGTGCTGGGCCTGCTACTCTGCGGGGCGGCGAGCCTCGAGCTGTCTAGACCCCACGGCGACACCGCCAAGAAGCCCATCATCGGTAAGGAGGCTGTGCGGGGCCGCAGCAGACGGGGAGGAGCTGGGTGTTGGCGCTGGGCGCCTCCCGCCGCCGCGCTCCAGCTGGCGCGTCCCGCCGGGAAAAACCCCCAGATGTGCTTCGCTTTTGGTGCAAGGAGGAACCCGGGCTGGGCACCATTTAGGTCGTACTGAAATGTACCTGGTTGAGGTACCTCGTTCATTCCTTTAGACTCATATGACTCTTAAAGGTGGGAGGGAGGAGGGTGCACCATGAAGAATCCTGCGGATTTTCTTTTTTTGTACACAGCTAGGAATTTCTACTAAAATAAAACATTTCCTTTTCGCACATAGTTGGGAAGTTTTACTCATTTACATCTACAAATTCTGTACATGCATTGCATTCATCAAAATGTATTGATGGCGTATTTAAAATACCAGTGCATTGTAATAGAAAATCAAGAAATTAAGGTATAACTTGGATTTTGTCATGTTCAGTAGCAGAGGACAACAGTGGCTGATATCCTAATGTGAGTTCTATTTGGTGTTAAAATGCAGCCCACAATTTTTCGTTTCCAACATATTTGTGTTTTAAAGAGGTAGTAAAATCAGTCTGTGTTACCAAAACACACATTTGAGACAGGCCCAAGGAAAGCTACCTAGGAGAAATCATCCTGGGGTTAAAATTTGCCCAAAGAAATTTGTGTGTGGACATTAAGATTAGTTTTATTTTGGCTGTAGGATTATGCCTTTCATACTATTTTTTTCTATGAATATTATCACTGTATTCTGTAACTAAACAGAAAGTAGATGAATGTTTTTTCATATAGGTAGTGCCCAGTTTTCAAATGGGTTGCTTACTAATATTTGGAACTTATTTCATAGCTGTTTAACATGGTGATTTGATTCTCCACGAATTAACTCAAGCTGTAATTAATGTAACAGGTTGCATATTGTGTGTCCAGAGAAGAGAAAAAAAAGCAGAGGGGATTCTTCCCCTTTCCTAGAATCAGGGGTAGCCCTGCGTCAAATATTTAAAAAAGGGACTTTGCTTTTGGTCACTGAGATCAGCACAACATCGTTAACTGAGTACCGACTATGTACACAATCTTGCTCTGGGAAGTGCAAAGGATTGAAAGATGACAAGCCACAAAAGTTGTGAGATGGCCTTAAATTATTGGTGGAATTTTGGTCATATTTTGAGGGACAGGGAGAACAGCTTGAGCTCTTTTCCCAGGGATGGGAAAAGTGAATATGCGTGGGCCCAGGGGAAGGGGAGATGTTGGTGGAACTCACTCTGATGTACTTCTCTTTCTGGTACCCTTGTGCTCCCATGATGCCCCATGTCTCCTTTGTGGTACCTCACCCCATGTACCCTGTACCACTCCATTTCCTATGACACTCCTAGTTCTTCGTTCCCTAGCCAAACTTTGTTATTCCTTAGTGAAGATGATCTTACCTACCAGTAAGGAGAAAAAGTTTTACTGAACAAATTTTGGCGTTTGACATGTTAATCTGAATACCTGATGAATGCCAATTGTAAGAAGCTGGGAATACAAAAGTGAGTAATACAGACAACAGCTCTTCCTATCAGGTGGCCTACAGAGACACTGAAAGTGTTCCAAATGCTGAAGTGCTGAATAGGAGTAGGCACAGGTACTCACCCGACAGACGTGTTTTGATGTATACTGGTTGCTATACTCTGCTGGGGCTGGGTTTCACTGGTAAAAGGAGGCCAGAGAGATGGGTGGGGCAGAGCATACGGGTCTTACAGAGTTTATTAAAGTTTAGGGACCCACTGAGGTAGTTAAACAAAGTGGTGACACCTGCTTGCTGATCTATCGCTACCTGATGTCCTTTCCTATTGCTTTCTGCTTTCACTCACCTGGCTCTAATAATATGGATTCCTTGCAACGTGACAGGCACAAATCTGACTCCTGGCCTTTGCACTTGCTATTCCTTTGTCCTGGATTGCTCTTTTCCCAGATATATGAATGTGGTTTACTCTGTCACCTCTCTGAAGTCCTGGCTCAAATGTCATGTTTTACCTTCTCAGGGAGGACTTGCCTGGCCACCGTGTTGAAGAGACTGTCCTTTCCTACATAGATGGGCTCTCCTTCCCCACCGTCTTTCTCTCCTTAGTGCTTACGACCAGCCATCACTCTATATATTATGCCTTTTTGTCTTGTTTATTGTTTGTCCTCTTTCCCCTCCCTGCTACACCCTCGAATTAATGCACACAGGGCAGGGGCTTTTGTTTGGTTCACTCATAGTCATGTGTCCCCAGCAGCTAGTTTGTTGCCTGGCATGAGGTATGATTCAACAGTATATATTGAATGACTGTAGGAATAGGAATGGTGATATGATCCGATTTGCTTCTACATGGGGAGCTGCTTGGAGCTTGGGGGGGTTTCTTAAGAAAAGATATAACAAGACCTTCTAAGAGTCTATTATGATAGTGTGGTGGGGAGAGGGTAGATATTGATAGCTTGGGCTAAGGTAATGTTGGAGAGGTGTGGATGGAAGATGTTTTCACTCCTTTGCTTCGTTGTCAGGGAATCAGTGTGTCTGTGAGTATGTGTGGGAAAGGAGTGACAGCCTTGTAAATTTAAGGATCTATATTCTTTAGATGGATTCTAGGTCTACAGTTGTGTGAAGGCTGCAAGTGCTATTGTAAGCCTTCTTTGGGGGCTTATTTGGCCTCCCTAATGAGGTGAGAGATAGATCTACTTGAAAGTAAGATCAGCCTCCCCTGCTGCTTTCCCATAGGCTATGGGTGGACTTGGAGGAGAGACTTCCTATTTAATTCTGTGGATTGAAATAATAAAATATGATATTTTTGCTGTGATATATTTCAGTTTCTGAGCAAGAAGAAAAGGAATTTGCTTGAAACTAAACTTTTTTTTGTTATTAGGAATATTAATGCAAAAATGCCGTAATAAAGTCATGAAAAACTATGGAAGATACTATATTGCTGCGTCCTATGTAAAGTACTTGGAGTCTGCAGGTGCGAGAGTTGTACCAGTAAGGTATGATTCAGTGTTTTTTTTTTTTTTTTACTCTGTATAAAAAATTGCTGCGTACGGGTGCGGTGCCTCATGCCTGTAATTCTAGCACTTTGGGAGGCCAAGGCGGGTGGACTACTGAGGTCAGGAGTTCGAGACCAGCCAGGCCAACCTGGTGAAGCCCTGTCTCTACTAAAAATACAAAAATTAGCTGGGTGCAGTAGTGCACTCCTGTAATCCCAGCTACTGGGGAGGCTGAGGCAGGAGAATCGCTTGAACCAGGGAGGTGGAGGTTGCAGTGAGTTGAGATCGCACCACTGCACTCCAGTTTGGGCAACAGATCGAGACTCCATCTCAAAATAATAATTACTGCCTAATATCTCTAAAATTCGTGCTTTCTCTCTTATGATTACATTGTTTAAATGCAGTAACATTGCACCTGATTTTTGACACAAACATGTTGCTTAGAGTCTCTCATTGAATTGTTTAATGTGGGAAGCTGTGTGTTACCTGTAACGTCATTAGAGGTACCATATGTCATATGCATTAACATCAAGAATGAAATGATAGTTTCCTTTATCCCAGAAAAGGTGGTTCTCACAGACACTATGAAGGTAATGGAGTAAAATAATCTAAAGTGGTTGGGGGGGCGGGGTGAGGGATAAAAAATTACATATTGGGTACAGTGTACATTGCTCGGGTGGCTGGTTCATTGAAATCTCAGACTTCATCACTATACAGTTCATGCATGTAACCAAAAACCATTTTTACCCCAAAGGCTATTGAAATAAGAAAAAAATTTTAATGAATCTACAATTTAACCAGCTTTGTTCTATAATATTAGGATAAGAGAACAGTTAGGGAATGAAGGAGGTTTTTAGAAGATGACTTTTAAAATACCTTCACACTCTACTTTAAAAGTTTGTAAATTACCAGTGCATTAGGGTTGCTTCAGTGTGGATTATAGGTATTGCAGTTTTAAAGGCACTGCATTATTTTTGTGATAAAATGTTCCTATAAGAATAAAATGATTCATCTCATTTTCATTTAGAACTGAATTCTTCCCATATTTTTCATCTGGAAGGAGCTAACAACCAGAATCTTATAAGGATTTGTAATGTCTTGTCAGCTAAAATTAATGTATTTTAGAATCTTTGAGCACCTCATCTAATCCATTTTGAGTGATTTCACACATAAAACACTATTTATTCTGTACAGCCTGTTTTTGCAAACAATTCCTCATCAAAAATTATAACAAAAATACTGTTCAAATATAATACTACTAATAAAATGCAAATATTACAATTTAGAGAATTGTACCACAAAATGGCTTTAGGTTTAGATTTATAAGAATTGTCTTCTTGTATGATCTTTTACATTTAAATTAACTGTTTCTACACCAAGATTGCCATTTGCTTTTGATATTAGTCTTTAATATTTTAGTAGCCTATCTAATTTTTCAAACGAAATTTTATTTGAAGCCCATATAACGCCAGAGTTTTAGAGCTGAGGAAGAGGCTCCAGAGAGTCTTCAGAACAGTGTTTCAAAGTTTTCATCAGGGAAACTTTTTAATGCAAGCTGTTCTTCTGGGATGTTAGTGCTGACCGTGTGGATGGGAGATATATATAAAAATATATATATATTTTTATATATATTATATATATATATAAGGAGAGACATATATATATATATATAAGGAGAGACAAAAGGCAGAGCAGCCATAAAAAAGAATGAAATCATATCCTTTGCTGCAATGTGAATGCAGCTGGAGGCCCAAGTGAATTAATGCAGAAACAGAAAACCAAATACCACATATTCTCACTTATAAGTGGGAGCTAAACATTGGGTACACATGGACCCAAAGATGGCAGCAATAGATGCTGGCGGCTACTAGAGGAGGAGGGCAATAAGGGCTGAAAAACTACCTATTGGATACTGTGCTCACTACCTGGGTGACAGGATCATTTGTACCCCAAACCTCAGCATCACACAATATACCCATGTAGCAAATCTGCACATGTACCCTCTGAATCTAAAATAAAAGTTAAAATTATAAAAAATAAATGAAGTAAAATCATAACTGAAAGAGGAGACATTACAACTAATGCTACAGAAATAAAAAGGTTCATAAAAGACTACTTAAACTATATGCCAACAACATGTGTAACCTAGAAGAAATGAATAAATTGTTAGAAACACACAGTCTACCAAGACTGAATCATAAAGAAATAGGTAACAAACCTGTCACTGGTGGAGAGATTGAAATGGTAATCAAGAGCCTCTCAACACAGAAAAGCCCAAGACCAGCTGGCTTCACTGGTGAATTCTACCAAACATCTAAAGCAGAATTGATACCAGTCCTTCTCAAACTCATCCAAAAAATTGAAGACAGTACAATTCCAAGAATGAACCCCAGTGTAAACTAGGTCTTGGGCAATTATGATGTGTCAGTGTATTTTTATCAACTGTTACAGTGTACCACCCAAGATGTTAATGGAGGAAGCTATACATGTTTTGGGGCAGGGGTTATAAAGGAAATACTTAACCTTCTCTTAATTTTGCTGTGAACCTGAAATTACTCTAAAAAATAAAGTCTTTAAAAAAATAAAACAAAATGCCTAAAGGCAGGTAGACCAGTTTAGAGGTAGTTGCAGTAGTCTAGGTGTGAAGTGTTGAGGGCTTGGCTTACACTGGTGGTGTGGGAATGATAGGTAAGTGTTGTTTAAAAAAATCACCAGTACATGATGACTAATAAAAGGGCACAGGGAGGAAGAAATATATAAGGATGATGGAAGTTTTGAAATCATGGGAGTTTTGAAAGTGGATGACTTTGCAGAATATTGGTATTTATGAGAGATGCTGAGAACACGACTGTCAGCATACAGGTTTATTTCCAAATTGGGTTCTCAGAGTTCACTTAAGGTATATTGGAATCATGTGATCTTGTAGAAACAGTGTAATACATATGGGGTGAGTTCATAGACTAGCCTGTGAAGGATTACCTGATGCAAAATAAGACTGGATCATGATGATGTTAGGTTCATTTCTGAATTTTGGATGCTGGGAGTCAACTTCTGTGGTTTAGAAGTGAAAAGGAAGAGATGGGAGACCTGGGAAGCATTCTGAAATAGATGCAGAAATTTGTCTTTGGTTTCCTTCTGCCTTCTTTCTGCCCCTTCTGTCTCAGGCGCTTGGTGCTCTCAGGTTGTCATAAATGCCCAATGTGGGACTAGTGGAAAAGAGAATGTCCTGCTTCCTCAGAGGTAGCATACAGGAGCCCATGGACTGCTGCTTTTGGTTTAAAAACGTGTTTTGTTCACACAGCGTTTTAAAACATGAATCAGGCTGGGCGCGGTGGCTCACGTCTATTATCCCAGCACTTTGGGAGGCTGAGGTGGGAAGATCGCTTAAGTTCATGAGTTTGAGACCAGCTTGGGCAACATGGAAAAACCCCTATCTATAAAAAATTTTTAAAAAATGAGCTGGGAGTGGTGGCGTGCACCTATGGGCCCAGCTACTCAGGAGGCTGAGGTGGGAGGATCACTTGAGCCCAGGAGGTGGAGGTTACAGTGAGCTGAGATGGCGCTACTGCACTCCAGCCTGGGTGACAGAGCCAGACCTTTCTCAAAAAAACCCCAAAGACCACAAATCAAACTTTATAAGAGTCTGAATTTTTGTTTCTTTTGAAGACAGTTATCTAGATTGAGTTTTAAATGGGGCAAACACTCCCCATTGGCAACAATGCCTTACCATCCTTTTCATGCTGCTAAAGCTGTGTGTCATTTGCCATCATCACCAGGCTTAAGCCATTTCGTTACAGTTAAGGAGAGAGTAAACTGTTCCTCATACCTTGTTGAAAGGGACTTTTGTTTCAAAAAATGTCTGACAACATGCAACTAACAGCTGTATTCTCTGCCAGGGCCCCTAGGCACCAGAGTTGTGACATGGCACACTCCTTCCCCTGTGACAATTAGGTCTCTTAATAGAGATAAATGGGGACCAAAACTATAGTCATGGACAGTGTGGGAGCCATTTATTTAGAATTAATGAAATGACTGAAACTAGCTTGCACCGCTAGCTGGCAGGAATCCTTGGAGTGCAGCTGTGTGATCTAAATCCATTTTGGTCCCTGATGGCGATGGTTGCCCATTTTGGTTTAAATATCCATGGGGAGAATTCTGGGTCCTGACTGGCTGGTTCCTTTTTGTTGCCACAATCTGGGGAGATTAGACTGGCAGAATACTGGGTACATGTATATTGATATTTCACCTCCCTATCACTTCCCAAGGCAGGGCTACCTGTCAGTATTTTCTCCACTTAAGAATGGTAAGCACCATTCTGGTATCACCCATTGCTTTGTGGCTCTCGCCAGGAAGAGATTACTATGAACTTGTGAGAGACCTGGACTTGCAAAGCTTGTTTGGACTTAGAGTAGATCCCAGAGTTGTTTGCTGGCAAAACACAGCCTGTGTTCTGGATATCACAGGTGTCTAGTTAATAATGGGTGTGAGGGACTTTACCTCCCCCTAAAACTTCTTTGAGGGCAGAAATGGACTAGTTGACATCTAATCATAAGTCTACTTCTTTTAGGGCAGGTTGAGAGGACAGGTACCATTTATTCTGTCACAGAAACAGAAGGCTGCTAAATGTGGGAGAGTTCTTGCAAGGATTTCACTAACTTGGTGCTCTCTTCCCTTATTGTTGCATTTTATTGAACTTTCGGGAGAGCAGATATCTGTGACTTAGTAAATGTTGTCACCATATGTCACAGATTAAGCCCATCTTTTTTTTCTGGAGAAAGGGAATAAAGTCACCAATAACATGGCGATTGTTAGGAGGCCCTTAAGGGGTGTTTGATCAAGGGTCTTTCAGAGTAATTACCTGGGCAGTTAGGCTGTTCTACAGTCATCTCTCTGTGGTCCTCAGTTCAGACTAGATGTGAACCATCCTGACTTTGAAATGCAGAGTAGTCCCTAGACTGTTGCAACTAGTTTGTTGGGGTGGGATCAGGCAGCGACTTGGCATTTATTTATGCATTTTTTAATCTGCCAGAGCTTCCTGTAGTTAAATAGGCATGATAAATAAAGTTATTTAAAGGAGTCTTTACATAAAACTACTGAATATTCTTACATTTCTTTTTGTAGTTCTTGGTTAGTAGAGAAATTACTGGTGGCCAAATCTCACGGTCTTTACTGTTTTTGCATACTAACACATACTTCACAATATTAAATTGCATTAGATCACAGAAAAACATATTTACTTGTCTGATTAGCAAAACAAGGATAGAATGATGTGGCTTTCAAGTGGTTTGCAAAAATGCCTCTAGAAAAGTAGAGAGGTAATATTGTCTAGTAATTAAAAATTTGTTTTTATTTGGCTTTTTAAAAGTAAATGTGGAGACTTCATTTAGAGGTTTACTTCTAAGTTTCACAAATGTAACAATAACTTTTATTGTTTTCAGGCTGGATCTTACAGAGAAAGACTATGAAATACTTTTCAAATCTATTAATGGGTAAGTTGGCAGCATTGGTTTCATACGGTATATGAGTGGTCTACATATGTCTGCTTTTGTAAAAGAAATCATATAAATATTATACATGTTTCTATGTAACTGTCTTAGAGTGGTATAGTATTAGTGTTCTGAGTTCTTTTATAGGATTTATTTTCTTGGGAGATGCAAAAGTCCTTCAAAAGAGGAAGAGGCAGGTTAGGAAATGTATAATTGTTACATAGTAGACACACATAATTTTTTTAAATGTGTGACTTAATCTTTGTTCTTTTAATGCTTGTCTTAAATGTTTTGAAGCTACCTTGAATGGCGTGGCATACTGCTTGCATATGGGGTTTATAAGTCCAAAGTCTGAGGATGTTGATTTTTTTTTTCAGGTAAATTGGGAAAAAATATTCACCATTACTCTTAATTTTAGGAAAGAAGGCTAATTACAGCAATCAAAAACATTTAATTACCATGTTGGCAGAGATCAGAAAATTTGCTTATACTCTATGGGGCCTGTGAGGAAACAAGTGTGCTCATACTTTATTAGAGGGAATGTAAATCAGGTAGTCTTTTTTGGGGTAATATTGCAATACCTATTGAAATTAGAAACACGTATACCCTTTGACCTGGGAACTTGAGGAGGAATTTTATTTTATAAATATATTCCCACCTTGCATGAAGACTTAGACTCAAATCTATGCATTGTATTAGTAGTATTGTCTGACAGTCACCCCGTAATCCATCAGGTGAGAATTGGTTAAATAAAACAGACTATGTACATTCAATAGAATACTATGCAGGAATTAAAAAATGCGGCTATCTGTAGATGCTGACTTAGATCACCATTGTCCTATGAACAATGTGATAGTGTTATGTGAAAAAGGCAAGGCACGTGATGGTGTGTATAGCATACACCCCGTTTGCTTTTTGTTAAAGGTGGGGGTGAAGAGATATGCATATTTCTACCAAATCAACACAGCAGATTTTAATGGCAGTTGTTTCTGATTGGGAATAGGGTGGAAGTATTTTACTGTAAAATGTTTTTTTAAAAGAGCTTTATTATTTTTACTTCTAAAACCATGTTAATTTATTGTTTCTTTTAAAAAGCTATGTTTAGAAAATTATTTGCCTTCAGTTCAGTTTGGTTCAGTAAATATTTACCATAAAATCAGTTCAATTTAGTAAAACATTTACAATGCCCAGTATGTGCTGTGTGCAAGGTACTTTGGCATGGACAAAGATCATTAAGTCTAGGCTAGAATATAATAGTAGAACCTCAAAAATAGACCTTTTGAAACACTTCATTTTCTTCCCACCCTCTCCCCAGTTGCATTCCTGTTTGGAGAGGAATCTGAATCAAGTAGCAGTGTAGACAGGAATACATACTTTGGGGAGCTAGCCTGTCCAGATGCTCAGTATGTCTTCATGCAAACCAGCAAAAGGAGTCCATTTTCTATCTTCCTCACTCGTTTTCTGCATTGCCACTAATTGTTGCTCCTGTAGGCCCCTTTTCTCTCTCATGTAGTCACTGAAAGCTGCACTCCAAAGTGGGTTAAATTAGGGGCCTTATTTATATCTCTGAGTGTCACCAGAAAATGAGCCGTATTCTAATGTGACTTCAAAAGCACCTTTATTGAGTCACTGTTATGCAGTGGACCCCATAGTATTTTGCAGGGGAATGCAGAGATGAAAAGACAGAGCCATGCTTTAAGGAGTTTGTCATATAGGAGGGACAGTCAGGTTTTGCTGCATGAAAGGAGTTTGGGGTTAGACATACCGTATTTGGTCATAGGCAGCTTTTTAAATACTAAGTTAATGTCTGTAAGCTGGAGACCTGGGATGCAAAACATAAAAATTAAAAAAAAATACTGAGTTAATGGAAAGAGAGAATGCTAATGAGTCTTCACTAAGCCACTTTTAATTGTTGGATTTTCTGCTTGGATTTGTGGTAGATATTCTCCCACACAGATGCTTATATGTTTTCTACCAGACTGTGATCTTCCTAACAGCAAAAGCCACTCATGTTTGTCTCTCCAGGCAAGTCGAGTCTAGCTCATGGAAGAAACAGAATATATTTCTTGAATAACAACAATCACACAAGTGATATTTCACATATCTCAAGCTCGTATTTAAATATTTTCAAAATTTTAATATGATTAATACCATTTTTCTTACCTCTTTTGAATATCCTTGGTTCTTTCAAGACCTTGCTATAAATTTTAAATTTAAAGTTTAATTTTAAAAGTTGATATAAAAACATGGTAAAATATTTTTCTATATTTCACCTTTATAAGTGTGTAAAATAATATCAAATATTTTTGACTGCCTTCTTTTCCTAGGCTTTTTCTAGAATCGTAATTATGTTTCTTGAAAAAAATGTTCTAATACTGTGCGTGTTTCTGAAGAGACTCGGGGTGATAAGAATTAAATTCTTGTAGAAATTTAATTCTAGCTTAAATATATTTTTATGACCAGCTTGTTCTTTATAGTTAAATTATTTGTGAGCTAAAACCTACCCATAATTATGGACCTGCAATTGATTTGGCATCACAGATCACCTTCATTTAAACCTGGCTATACCTGGAATTTTGTCTGTCTTTGATGTCTAGCTCTGTGTACTCTTGCCCCTCCCCTACTTATTTACTTTTAATTTTCCCACACTCTATTTCATTAAATAAATTTTTTGAAGAAGTTTTTGGAAAATATGCACTAAAGTGTTGTTAACTGCTGTAGTTTCTGAATGGGATTGTAAATATTTTATATTTTCTTTTTTCTTTACTTTTCTAATTTTCTTCAAGGATCTTATTGCATATGTAATAAGAAAAATTGTTTTAAAATAAAAAGATTGTTTTCTGTGTGTGTATGGGTCGGGGGTGGCAAAATACACCCTATTTGATTTATGTAACGTTGTTTCAGAATCCTTTTCCCTGGAGGAAGTGTTGACCTCAGACGCTCAGATTATGCTAAAGTGGCCAAAATATTTTATAACTTGTCCATACAGGTAAATATCAGTTATTGCTTATTATTCCAGATGGGTTTCTGTAAGTTTTTGTGCGAGTGGTTCATTTTTTAAGCAGATGGTAATGCTCCCTTCAAAATTACCCTTAGCCTCATCATACCTTTAATTTTGAGGTGCCTGTTCTTGGCTGCTCCCGCCTATTTTCCATGTGCTTCATCTAATCCTGGGCTTCCAGAGACCCTTCAGAGCACTGCTGACTGCCCCTCTCTTGATGCTTGTTAATGTGAACCGTGTCCTCATGTAGTGTAGACATTCTGATGTCTCTCTCTGTCCTATTTTTTTTTTATGGGCATTGTTTCTATGTTATTAATTCTCACCTCTTCTTGAAATCTGTTCTTCTTCCCAACTCATTCAATCCTATTGGAACTTTCTTCACAGTTACCATAGACTCCATGTCAAGCAGAGCTTCTGAGCCTCTGACTTCTCCTTTGTAATGTTCACAGTGGGACTGCCTTTGTACCATAGCTCAAACCTTTGCTGTTTCTCTCCTCAACTATTAACAGTGATTTTTAAATTAATCTTGCTGGCCCTAGAATCTTACCAATCCCCCTTACACATTTCCCTAAATAACTGTTTTTAGCCTTTGAAATACTTGTTTCAAACTTTTAATAGCTAAGGTCAGTAATCTATAGGCTTTTATAGTCTTTGGGTCAAGATATACAGTGTGTCCACAGCTCATGTTTTCCAGCCTGTGTGGGAGCTTGGTCTGAAGAGAGATTAAGTGATAGCCTACTTATGGATCCTGGAGAATTCTTCAGAAATCCATGTGTAACTCAGGTGCCTATTTGGTTATGACAAAAGATATGGCTAATTTTTATTTTGAAAAGTTTGAATAAACTTAGTTTTCTCTTTTTCCACTTGCAAAGAGTTTTGATGATGGAGACTATTTTCCTGTGTGGGGCACATGCCTTGGATTTGAAGAGCTTTCACTGCTGATTAGTGGAGAGTGCTTATTAACTGCCACAGATACTGTTGACGTGGCAATGCCGCTGAACTTCACTGGAGGTAAGAGTACTCTTTTCAACCCTTTGAAAAATATTTGCTGGGCAGGATTAGTAAGTAGCAAATATGAAAGTAAAAGTGCTTATTTTTATTTTCTTTTTAGCCTTTTCCCTGAAGGAAAAAATGCTTATGACATTAGCATTTAAATTATTTACACAGGTTGAAGATGTGAATGACCATCCTTGTACTCATTTATGAGGATGACTTAAGGAATTGTGAATTTTAATAACTCATTGCTTCTAGTGATATCAGGACTGTGTGTGATGAAGAACTCTGAAATGGGATCTGGTTTTGACTCCTAGCTTTGTCACTTTTACCTTGAGGAACCATTTTACCTCTCTGAGGTTCAATGTCTGCATTTGCAAAAAGGTCTAATAACGCTTAGGGGTTTTTTTTGTGAATATTAAATAAGATTTTTTTTTTTCTTTTTAAGACAGAGTCTCTCTCTGTCACTCAGTCTGGAGCGCAGTGACGCAATCTCGGCTCACTGCAACCTCTACCTCCAGGGTTCAAGGGATTCTCCTGCCTCAGCCCCCTGAGTAGCTGGGACTACAGGCACCCTACCACACCTGGCTGAATTTTGTATTTTTAGTAGGGACAAGGTTTCACCATATTGGCCAGGCTGGTCTCAAACTCCTGACCTCAGGTGATCCACCCACCTTGGCCTTCCAAAGTGCTGGGATTAGATGATCTACCGGGAAGCGCTATATTTACTCAGCAACCAGGAACTCCAGTGAGTTTTGGTGTCTAGAGTTTTTACTGGAACGTTATTATGAAATAATTGATTGAATCTTTGCCTGTGTGATTGAACTCAATCTCCAGCCCCTCTTTCATACTTGGAGATTGATTGGGCTGGCTCGAAGTTTCAACTTTCTAATCATGAAGTTAGTTTTTCTGATGATTAGTCTTCATCCTGAAATAATTGAGGGACCCACCTTGAATTACCACATTAGCATAACAAAAATACTTATATCATTCCGGGAATTCCAAGGGTTTTAGAAGCTTCCTGTCAGGAACCCAGGACAAAGACCAGATAGATTCTTAGTGATATCACTCTGTATAAATAGATAATGATTATTGTGGGTTACTTGATCTCCGAATGCTTAGAATTGAAGCCACCAGCTATTTCTGTTCTCATAGGGATTTTGCAAGGAAGGTAGCAGTCATACTTAAAACTTGTAGAATGCTTTGTGCTTTTGAAAGCTCTTTCTTCCATTGTCTCACTTAATAATTGCAAAAACCTGGTGGGAAGTACATGTATTAGGTCAGAGTACTTTGGTTGTGTGTTGCCAGAACTCAGTTTATACAGAAAAGGAATGTTTCAAGGTGCTGTGGTTTTCATGGAAGTCTCTAGTAAGAATAAGGGGCCTGGTTTGAAACAGCTGGCACTATCGCCTTGAAAACGTCAGTTTCTTTTTTTTCAAAATCTGTTTGTTGGTGTTTGAGTCTGTGCAGAACCTTCAGGGTTGACCACTAAGATATATTGCTTTTTGATCTGTTTACTGAGTCAAAATTTCTTGGCTTGGTTCATGTTCTTTTCTACATTGTTTGTATTTTTATTTGTTTGTCCCAGATACCTCTGAAAATATGTTATATTTGAAAGTTTTGGATACTTTCCTGGGCAAATACATACACCCATGGAAAGTTTTAACTGTTTTTCAGAATAGTCTGTGGAAATCTAGTTAAGATTCCCTGCCTGTTCTTTAGCTTGCCAATACTCATATCGGAAGAATTTTACTTATTCATGTTAAAATTCTAGAAGAAGATTACTTATAGCTGGAGCATATTTGAGTTTATGTTAAACACATTTTGTGACTTGATTGGAATACTTCTATGGAAATGATGTGTTTTGCATATCATTTGGTCATCTTGATTATGTCTTCATAATGGCTTCTCTTTGGGTGCAGTAAGTGACTTCAGTGGATTTTATTTTTTTGTGTTTAAATTATTTCTCTTGTACTTAAATTATTTCAGGTCAATTGCACAGCAGAATGTTCCAGAATTTTCCTACTGAGTTGTTGCTGTCATTAGCAGTAGAACCTCTGACTGCCAATTTCCATAAGTGGAGCCTCTCCGTGAAGGTATCACACTAATTACACAATGAAATTAATATGTTTAGAATAACTGCAGAAGTAATCATTTTGTTTTATTTTCGTATTCTAGAATTTTACAATGAATGAAAAGTTAAAGAAGTTTTTCAATGTCTTAACTACAAATACAGATGGCAAGATTGAGTTTATTTCAACAATGGAAGGTATATCACTATAACATGTATACTTTATTTCACTTATTTTATATTTTTAAATTTTGATTTTATATGTCTCATCAATAAAATCATATTACTTTGGGGCTTGAAGAGGGGTGTTAGGGCATTTTGGGAGACAGGAGACATGTTTTGTCCATGTTTCAAATTAATTGCAGTTTTCCTGGGTATTTTCCTGAATGGGGTGGTGAAGAAGAAAAGTAAAAGAATAAAGGGGGCAAGGATGAAGAAAGAAATGAAGAAAATGACTTCTGTTTCTAGCAATATTGCAGATTAAATACCTTGACAGACTTTCCTCCAGCCAACAACAAAATAAATGTGGGTGATAGAGAAAAACATAGTAAATACGTTGATGAATTGGCAAAGAAATAAAGATACTCAGGTCCAAAATTTTAAGAGTTGAGTGGAATATTTAAACCAGTGTTATTATGGAATCAGGAGAACTTGAGACAAAGTCAGGACTCTCTATACGAATAGTATCTCATGGAGCGGGACCTGGATGGCTATACCAGCAATGTAAGGGTGAACTCAAAATACACCTAAAATCCCCCCTACAGAATGGCAAGGAGAATTGCCCATCCTGAGCTTTGGGGCTAAGGGAGTGGGGTGGGGGACAGTGAATAAAGCCTTGAGTGTTTATAATGATGGGCTGTTCTCCTAGTGTGGCCAGCATTATACTAACTGGGAAGTTGGACAAATCTTAAGTAAGTAATTTTGTTCAAGGTTGCCTTAGACTGGTAATGCTCTCATGTGTGAGGCTGAAGCAAATGTAAATAGTTTTTTTGAGAGGACCAGACATTCATCCCAGGCTTCAAGGAATTTCAACATATGAAGTTTGAAGGAAAATGAGTGCTTCACAGCCAAAATACTACTAATGCACAAGCAAGCACTGTGAATGAGAACTTGCAGAGATAACAGATGTGGAAGCAGACCTGCACAAATGTTAGATATTAGTATTATGAGATAAAGTATAATATATTTTAAGTTTTAAAGAAAGAAAAATGCTTGAAAATATAGGCATGAAACAATCAGATTTGAAAATAACCAAATTCAGCTATTAGAAATTATAATTGAGGCCAGGTGTGGTGGCTCATGCCTGTAATCCCAGCACTTTGGGAGGCCGGGGCGGATCACCTGAGGTCAGAAGTTCAAGACCAGCCTGGCCAACATGGTGAAACCCCATCTCTACTGAAAATACAAAAAAAGAAAAAAAAAAAAAGCTGGGCATGGTGGCATGTGCCTGTAGTCCCAGCTACTTGGAGTTGCAATGAGTCGAGATTGTGCCACTGCACTCCAGCCTGGACGACAGAGTAAGACTTACTCTGTTTCAAAAAAAAAAGAAGAAATTATAATTGAAATAAAACCCTCAGTAGACATGTTAATCAGGTTAGACACAGTTGAGGAGAAATTAATGAACTAGAATAGAAGATAGATGTGAAGGAAACATTCAGAATCCAACATACCCAGACATGTAAATGTAAATGCCAAATGTGTCAGAAGAAAGGTTGGAATCTGGAGGGTAAAGTGATTTCTAACTTACCTAACCAGAACTCTAGAAGGAATGGGAAAAAGTAGGACAGAGACAGACTCTTTTTTCCATATTAAAAAAAAAATTTTCAGGTGGATAAAAGACCTAAGGAGAAAGGCACACTACAATAAGGTTTTAGAAAAAATAAAGGAGAATGTCTTTATGATCTTGTTTGAGGGAAGGAGTTTTGAAGACAAAATATAAACAAACCATAAAGGAAAAGATTGATGAATTCAATCAAATGAAGAAGTTGTGTTCGTAAAAAAAAAATTACACAGAGAAGAAAAAAGGGAGGTATTTGTAATGCATATAACTGACAAAGGATATGTGTCTAGCTTATATAAAGTAAAGCTGTGATTTAAGAAGAAAAGATAGCTTATTAAAAATGGATATGAGGTCTGGGCATGGTGGCTCACGCCTGTAATCCCAGCACTTTCAGAGACCAAGGCAGGCAGATTTCTTGAGGTCAGGAGTTTGAGACCAGCCTGGCCAACATGGCGAAACCCCGTCTCTACTAAAAATATAAAAATTAGCCAGGCGTGGTGGCGCACGCCTGTAATCCCAGCTACTTGGGAGGCTGAGGCAGGAGAATTGCTTGAACCTAGTGGGCGGAGGTTTCAGTGAGCTGAGATTGCACACTGCACTCCAGCCTGGGTGACAGAGCGAGACTCTGCCTCAAAAAAAAAAAAAAAAAAAAAAAGGATATGAGATTTGAATGGATACCATCCAAAAAAACTTGATTGTCCTGTCCACTTATGGCTTGGTGAGATAAGTTGCTCAGTGTAATTTCTGATCAGGGAATGCAAATGGAAACCAAAGTAAAAAACCATTTATACCCATCAGATTGGCGAAATTAAGAAGCCTGCTGATAACTAGTGTTACCCAGGATGTCGCACAGCAGGTGCTGTCATGCACTTACGATTGGAAAACATTTTGGCATTTCTTAGTAAAATCAAACATTTTCCAGTTTTGTTACCTGGCAGTTTTATTCATTGGTTAAAAAATATCTTAATGAAATAATTTCATGTAGATAGAAATGTACGTGACATTTTGTTCATACCAGCAAAAAAATGGAAAACAACTCAAAAGTCCAGTAGTGCAAAGGATAAGTAATACTATACAGCTATTAAAATCAGTGAACACACCTGCATGTACCACTGAATGAATCATGAAGACAATTTTGAGTTAAAGAAGCAAGTCACAAGGGAATACATGCTGTATGTTTTCATTTATATGATGATTAAAATTTGGCAAAAAAGAAACAATGTTCGGTGGTAAATCTAAGGAAAGGTTGGGGTGATGAATAATTATGAGAGTCCTTCTCACTGGGCTGAAGGGGTGGGAGGGACAGTAGAAGGGCTTTGGAAGTATTAATCATGTTTCGTCCTCCCAATCCGATGTACCTTGCTACATCAGCATTAACCACCTGCCACCTGGATTGCTGCAGCAGCAGCCTCTTAAGGCTTCCACAAACCCATCTTCCAGCCACCCACTCGTGGTCTGCTGAAGTGCCAGTCTGATAGTATTGCCTGAACAAAACTCCTCAGTGGCTCCTCTGCATTGGAGGATGAAGTCTAGATTTATGAGCTTATTTCCTCATGCCCTCTCCCTGCCTTCACCTCTAGCTTGTACCCTGCACGACCTGTTTGCTACACACAGTCCCTCCACAGAGCCATGCTTCTTGCCTCTGCACTGCTTCTCATGTGCTTTCCTCTTCTCTGAAAAGCTCCCCCTTTCCCCTATTCCTTTCTCCTGATGAACTCTTAGCCATCTCGAAAAACCCAGGCCACTTGTCATCCCTAGAGGCCTTTTCTACCATTATTCCTCTTCTCCACAACCTTGGTGCTTTGTGCTGTGTGGGAACGTTTCTTAATGCATGTATTTGCTCTTGTTCTGTCATCCCTCTAGATGAAAAGCTTGTTGAGATCAGGAACTGTATCTTACTCTCCTTTGTGTTTCTAGGGCTCATAGATGTTGAATGAATGCCTAATTATTTAAATGATAGAATATTGGATTGGAAGTTAGGAAATCAGGTTCCATGTTGGTTCTGCTTTTGACTATGCCATACCAGGCTCATTTGAAAATTTTCTCCCACCTCCAAAATAGGAACACTTGAGATGCTTTATTATTTGCATATTTTCTTTCCACTCTTGATACTTCTGTCTAAATCAGTGAGGCAGGGCATGATTCCTAGTTTTCAGGAAACTGCACTGGTCTTTTAGTAATGCAGTTTACTAAAGAAGAGTAAATCTCACTCGTTACTGAATGTCAGTGACTTCAAAAAGTTTGTGGGAAAAATGGAATTAAAATATAAAAATAAAAACTGTAAACTTTATTTCTCAAAATAAGCTCTATCAAGTTTAAGACACTTTTGCCCATGATGATACCAACCTTTTAGTTCATCCCTAAAGAACTGAGGGTCCTGTGAATTGAACCACGTCAAATGCGGTCTTTTACATTATTAACAGAAATGAGTGCCCTTTAAAGATTTTTTTAAGATTAGGAAACAAGAATAAGTCAGAAGGAGCCAAATCAGGACCATAAGGTCCTAATGGCTTCCCATCAAAATGCTCACTAAATAGCCCTCGGATGAAAGGAATGAGGAGGAACATTGTCATGCTGGAGAAGGACTCTGGTGAAGCTTTCTTGGGCGATTTTCTGCTAAAGCTTTGGCTGACTTTCTGAAAACACATAAAAAGCAAACGTTACTGTTCTTTGGTTCTCCAGAAAATCAACAAGCAAAATGCCTTGGAGCATCCAAAAAAACATTATGACCTGTGCCCTTGACCAGTTCACTTTGGCTTTGACTGGACCACTTCCATCTCTTGGTAGCCATTGCTTTGATTGTGTTTTCAGGTTCATACTGGTAAAACCGTGTTTTATCTGCAGTGGCAGTTCTTCAAAGTAATGCTCTAGGATCTTGATCCCACCTGTTAAAAATGTCCATTGAAAGCTCTTCTCTTGTCTGCAGCTGATCTGTGTGCAATGGTTTTGTCACCGATCGAATGGAAAGTTTGCTCAACTTTAATTTTTCAGTCAGGATTGTGTAAGCTGACCCAACTGAGATGTCTGTGGTATTGGCTGTTGGTTCTGCTGTTTATTTGCGATCTTCTTCAGTTAAGACACGAACAAGATACATATTTTCCTGGCAAATTGATGTGAATAGTCTGCCCTGAGGGCTTCAACATTGTTTCATTCCTTCTTGAAACAAGTTATCCATTTGTAAACTGCTGATTTCTTTGGGACATTATCCCCATAAATTTTTTGTAAAGCATCAGCGGTTTTACCATTCTTCCATCCAAGCTTCACCGTAAATTTGCTATTTTTTCTGCCTTCAATTTTAGCAAAATTCATATTGCTGTTACAGGGGTTCTTTTAAAACTGATGTCTTGTCCTTCTTAGTGCCTCATACTGGATCCTGTTCATACAAGTTACTACAAGTTTATTTTGGTGCAAAAAAATGGTGAAATCCTTGCATAATTTTTTTCATAATACACGTTTTCCATGAGCTTTTTGAAGATTTCTTATATATATGTATCTTTTCCAACGCATGAAGCATTATTGAGGACAAAAATAGTCTTAAATCATAAAAAAGATTTATATCCAATATACTAGAAGGTCTGCCTTTCAATTAACTCTATGTAACAATTTCCTAGTCCCCCAGCCTGTGGGTCTCTTGCTGGTAGCTTCACAGGTAGTCCCAGAATAGAGGGGAAAAACGGCAGTGTCACACGGAAGTGGGGGAGGCAGGGAGCTGAGTGCCTGGAGCTGCATGAGGCAGGTGTTTCCTCTCGTGAATACCCACAAAACTGGGATAAAATGTTTCCCTTCTGTGGCCTGCTCTCTAGTCAGAAAGCTTACTGGGATGAGAACAGACAGTGCTCTTACCCCTAGATATCTCTTCTTTCATTAATTCACTTCATTTCTCCAAGTACTTTCTGATGGTGGTCATGGTTACAATTCCAAAGCAGAAAATAATAGAGGGGAGATTTGTTTTTTTTAAATCAAAATGAGGAAAGGCACATCTGAAGAAGAGACAAATATGTACATTTTTCTGAAGGTAACTATTACACATATTCACTTTTTTTTTGAATTGTGGAATTGTTCATGAGTATGTAAACATAGAGAGAGTAATATGAACCCTGGGTGTCTATCTATCAGCTTTGACAATTGTCAACAGCTCTGTTTCCCTTCTTGTTTTATGTCTGCTTTTAAACTTCTAAAAAATATTTTAAAAATTTATACCACAAAGTCATCAGTCATTCCATAGACTGAGAGAGAGACACAGTTTAGGCAGTTTAGGCAGGGTGTAAAAGGATACCAGAAGTGCTGCCATACTTCATTCTCATATGAATAAGTCATTATGGGAGGACAGGAAAGCATGCTACAAGACGGGAGAAAGAGACCCACTGCGGAAGAAACTTGTATCACCAATAAAATGTGCATCTGACTTTTGGACAGGGATAGATTCCTCAGCTCAGCTTCTACTTTGCTATGAGTATCTCGAAAAGCAAATCGTCCTACAGATTGTAAAAGGTTGCTAATCAGTGAAATACGTTACAGGGAATTTTCACATTGATTATGAATGGAAATTATTTTGTGTCTGAGAGAATATGTACAATTTTACCTTGTCTGATAAGGTGAATTATAAAATGTTTTACATAAGAAATAAACCAATTTCATTATAAGTAACATTTTAAACCATTCTTAGTACTTACTAATTTGTGTTCTTCTTACAGGATATAAGTATCCAGTATATGGTGTCCAGTGGCATCCAGAGAAAGCACCTTATGAGTGGAAGAATTTGGATGGCATTTCCCATGCACCTAATGCTGTGAAAACCGCATTTTATTTAGCAGAGTTTTTTGTTAATGAAGGTAATATGAGGGTACATAATTTTGTTATTCTGGGGTAGTTTTGAAGAAAATTGCCCTTATCTGAACTTTTGCCTACCCTTTTGCTCTATAAATGTTTTGTAAGTTCTATAGGTTTAACTTTAAAGAATAATACAAATGTTAAATAATGTGAAAGCCCTAAAATCAAGATGTAAGGTATTCTAATAAAACCAGGACAGTTACTTCAATTATCATACATGCTTCAGTGGGCAGAATTCTTGAACAACAGTGTGAAGAATGTTGAGAGTTTTTTTTTTGGTTTCTTTTTCTTTGTTATTTGTTTTTTGACAGGATCTTGCTCTGTCGCCCAGGCTGAAATGCAGTGATGTGATCATAGCTTATTGCAGCCTCAAACTCCTGGGCTCAGGGGATCCTCCTGCCTCGGCATCCTGAGTAGCTGGGACTACAGGTGCAGACTACCACACCAAGCTCTTTCTTCTTGGATACTTTTAATTTAGATTCTTCCCCATTACTCTCCATTTCTTAGAATAATGCTTTAATTCTAACAGTGTCTGAGAATTAGGTGTTACTTTTCCAAGACAGTGATACAAATTGAATATATACCCACCAGTTTGTGATTTTAAGGCTACCTCTCTGTAGGCATTGGCATACTGGAGAAAGCAAATAAACTCTGCCTGCTGTTTGGTGATGAAAACACAGACATATTCATGCTGTGTTATGTTTGTGGGAAAAATCGAGAATTTGGTTGTAGATGCCTATTTCTTAGTTGAGCATTATAGGTACAGTAAGTCCTACGATTTAAGCAGAACTGTGTGTAGCAGGTCCTTGAACAACACTGTTTACTTTGAAGTCGTTTCATTATAACATTGTTAGAAAAAAATTGGTTTTGTTATACATCGTTGTGCTTAAAAGTACTACAAGAACCTATCGATGACGTTAAGTGAAGACTAGCTGTGTAAGACAGAGGTACAAAAACAACTTGTAAACGGTAGAGATCACTTTGGTGAGGTATAGCCATTTAAAGACTTAAGTGAACTTTGCTTTCATTCCATCTCCAAGCTTGCCCTAAGTTTTTATCAACTCTCCTGCCATTGCTGGGAAGTCAAGTACTTCCTACTGAGTTCACTCTGCTTTAGAATCATGCAGAGCTGAGTGGATGGTTTTATGACAAAAACTCCAAATTAAAAAAAAAAAGTATCCCATATACAGTATTAGTCCAAAGGAACATTTTCATGAGTGCGTGGAGTGAATGAGGGCAGCAGTGGCAGTGCCGCATTTGCTGCAGTAGTAGTCATGTGGCATTTGGTCTATGTGGTCTTTTATCTTCCAACATTCTTTCTGAAAATGCCGTAAGAGCCTGTATTTACTTTGACTTTGGGAGCTTTAGGAGCTCTCACCTCCTCACATTCCAGCTTTCATCATGCCAAACTTCTCACTGTGCCTCCTGGTTTTTCATAATGCTGCCTTACCAGTGAAAATGTCTCACTTCTCTGTCTGCCTCAGCTTCACCAGTTTCTCCATCTTTTTTACTCTTGTAGCATCCAGTGATGATACACCATATACCATAAAAACATTTTTATCATATGATTCTGTGTGGTTACGAGGCTGAGCTTTTTGAGTGTTAGGACCTGTTCTGTTTATATTTCCATCCCCAGGCTGTGTTATCAAGTCTTGTGTATTTGATAGGTAGGTATTTGAATGAGTTGCGGAGTGAGCATAGCATGGGATATGCTGCAGGGGGAGTACAGCACAGCTGCTGTGGCCATGCGCGACTGTGCCATAAATCGGGCACTGCTTTATTTGGGGAAATTTTGTCAAGCATTTGCCTCCCTCCCTTCCTTGGTTCCTTCTTCTTCTTCTTTTTTTTTTTTTGGAAAGTAAGTTTGTTAGAGAAGTAAAGAAAAAAAAAGATGGCTGTTCTATAGGAAGAGCAGTCGCATTTCTCTTCTTGTTGATATTTTCCCACTTAATAATGCTGATTGCAGGAAGAAATATTATAAAATAGTCTCTTGAAGATTTTGTCATCTGATCTTTTTAAAAATTAACTTTTTTTCTTGCAGCTCGGAAAAACAACCATCATTTTAAATCTGAATCTGAAGAGGAGAAAGCATTGATTTATCAGTTCAGTCCAATTTATACTGGAAATATTTCTTCATTTCAGCAATGTTACATATTTGATTGAAAGTCTTCAATTTGTTAACAGAGCAAATTTGAATAATTCCATGATTAAACTGTTAGAATAACTTGCTACTCATGGCAAGATTAGGAAGTCACAGATTCTTTTCTATAATGTGCCTGGCTCTGATTCTTCATTCTGTATGTGACTATTTATATAACATTAGATAATTAAATAGTGAGACATAAATAGAGTGTTTTTCATGGAAAAGCCTTCTTATATCTGAAGATTGAAAAAAATAAATTTACTGAAATACAAATATTTTTTCTAATTGATTTGCTTGGGAAATAAATACCATCCCCTACCTGCCCACTCCATCCTCCTTGCTGAAAAAGAAAATAGTCTTTTAAAATCCTACCAATTGTTCATCTTGTTCATTGTGATGTCTCCGTCCTTTGGGTCTGAGGAGTATTTGTGTGTGTGTGTGTGTGTGTGTGTGTGTGTAGGTATGTGTGTATAGGTATGTGTGTGCATGTGTGTATCTACTTTTCTGCCCTGTGTTAACTTCATATTTAAAGCGTACACATCCTGAAAACAGAGTCTGTGTCTTGAACTTTTTATCTTTCACAATGTCCATAATGTCTAGCCCAGCAGGCCCTCAGTAAGTAATTGTCACTAATTATAAGTTTTTTTCCCATGGAAAATAATTTAAAAGCTGTCATATATTTATTTTGGTACACTTTAATGTATTTTTCTTTTTTTTTTTAAGATGGAGCATCTCTCTTGTTGCCCAGGCTGGAGTGCAATGCTGCAATCTCAGCTCACTGCAACCTCCGCTTCCTGGGTTCAAGCGATTCTCCTGCCTCAGCCTCCTGAGTAGCTGGGATTACAAGCATGTGCCATCACACCCAGCTAAATTTTGTATTTTTAGTAGAGATGGGGTTTCGCCATGTTGGCCAGGCTGGTCTCAAACTCCTGACCTCAGGTGATCTACCAGCCTCGGCCTCCCAAAGCGCTGGGATTACAGGTGTGAGCCACTGTGCCCAGCCAACATTAATGTATTTTTCAATCCGTGCTACTCTCCTCCACCCCTCACCATCCCATATAACCCTCAGAAGTATGAAATTTAGGAACTCCTTGAGGACAACCAAGCTGCTGGAAGGAAGAGAGAGAGGGTTTGCTGAGCTGTGTCTGGTAAATGGTGTTTATGCATCTGTTCTCTGTGGGCTTCCAGAGCTTCTGCAAGAGAAGGGGAAACAGGAAACTGATTGGGAATGATATTGGAGGGCATCGTGGATGATTTTACCTGCAACAAGAGAAGAACAATCACCTGCAGACACTGAGCTAAGCCATAATCTTTGGGGAATGAGGACAAATAGCACATAGAAATTGGAAGAGATTAATACATTTAATTAACCAAGAAAGAACCTTACTAGAAATGTGGCAGATTTAGTTTCTGTCCATGAATATGAAGATTCTTTGTTGAGTCTTACTGTTGAATGTGTCTGGCTAAGTTTTTGTCTCCCACCTCTAGAAAAAGGTAGTGACACTATTATTGCTCACGGTGCCAGGGTTCTTCCTAGCCCATTTGTGTTGAAACCATATAGAACTGCTTGTCTCTGCAGTTCCCAAGAACAACTTCATCCTGACTCTCTGGATACTCATGATGCTGCATCCTCCATCCTTTTGCCCTGAAGACTGGCTTCCAAAGATTCTTACTGTGCTTCATAGAAGATGACCACAAATGCAAGAAAATGTGTTTTCTGCTCATGTTCAGCTTATTGTTTTTCCCCTCATGTATTTTTTTTTTGAAGACTTTGTTTGCTAGATCACTTTATTCCAAGAATGGAATCTCTTTCAAAGCTGACCACACCCTTGCCTCTGCCCACCACCACCAGCAGGAAAGATAGGCCAGCTTGAAGGCAAATGAGGAGAGCAGTGCTGTTCAGAAGCCTGGCGTCCCTACACCAGCGGAGGCAGGAGAGGTCGTCGATTAGAGGTGCCTGTTGAAGTTGCTGGGCAGCAGTCCGGAAAGCCCTTAGAGATGGATAGCCACTCCTGGAGGACGGCCTGACGTGGGGAGCCTGGGGAGGAGGGGAGATCACAGCCCTCTGTCAGCAGGAGAGGGCAGAGGCTGAAAGTGTGACTGAGGGAGCAGGTGTGGATTAGAAAGAATAAGAAGAATGAACAGAAACAGGAAGGACTGGGTGGGTATGGAAGAGATAGCTAATGTGTACCCTTCCCCAGCCAAAGCTGACTTGAGTTTCCAAGGGTTTTTGGAGAGCGATTGCCAAAGCTCTTACCTCCAGCATTTCCAATTCTCTTCCTGTGTGGAATATCCCAAATGGAGTAGAAACGCTGGGCTTCAGAGGCAGACCCTGCAGTCATTTCTGCTGAGCCAGATGTTTCTGAGGGCCCACAGCTTCATGTATCTTGAGGGCTGGCACAAGATATTTTATAAGGAGATGTTGAGTGTCTCCATTTCCACATAGCAGAGTAGGGAAATCCTCAAAACCTTGTCAGTAGGCCGAATCCGTCGTTGCACAAATGGTGCTATGAGAGTCCTCACACCTGGAGCCTGGTGCACAGAAGGGCTGCATGTGCTTCCCCATCTTCCCTCCCTCCATTGCAATAATCAAGCAGCCCTACCTACATGCTGGGTCTTTCCATTTTTATCGAATTGCAAGAAAATATTTCAAAGAATTTTCTCCTATGGGAAGAATTAAGCAAAAAAGGTCTTTCACTCCTCAGAAACAGCTTTGTTGTTTGCTTGGGATTTCATTTCATTTAAACAAACTTGTTTCAAAAATGAATACAATTTTTGTTCCACATAGCATTTTCATTCTTTTATTTTTTTGAAACGGAGTCTCGTTCTGTCACCCCAGGCTGGATGAAGTGCAGTGGTGCAATCTCAGCTCACTGCAACATCTGTCTCCAGGATTCAGATGACTCTCCTGCCTCAGCCTCCCAAGCAGCTGGGATTACAGGCACGCACCACCACAGCTGGCTAAATTTTGTATTTTTAGTAGAGATGGGGTTTCACCGTGCTGGTCAGACTGGTCTTGAATTCCTGACTTCAAGTGATCCCCCTGCCTCAGCCTCCTAAAGTGCTGGGATTACAGGTGTGAGTCACTGTGCCTGGCCAGCATTTTTATTTTAATATTTAAAAATTAACTGGGGTTCTCCAGAGAGGGCCCCACCGCATACCCTGGGGGAAGGAATGCTGACCTTGCGAAGCTTCCATTAAAGCCCAAGAGGATGGAGTTTGGAGAGCTTCTGGATAGCTGAACACAGGGAGGTTCCTGTAGAGTGATGCGCCCAGGGAGGGCATGGAAGCTCTGTGCCCCTTCCCTGGTACCTTGCCCTATGTGTCTCTTCGTCTTTGTCCTTTGTAAGTCCTTTATAATAAACCTGTAAACATTAAAAAAGAAAAACTGGTGTTTTGCAGTAATGTATTGGAAACACTAGATGTCAGGAGAGAACAAGCTAACCTAATGTTTAGCTGGTTGTGTTTGCGTTCAATTATTTAGAATAATAGATTTCAGGAAATTGTTAGAAACCTAAGGAATATTTACCAGTAAATTATATTTATTAAATATTGTATTTAATTTATTTAAATATATATTTATTTAAATATAAACATAAACATAGACTTACACCTAATACTGGATATTTTCCATTCTGATCTATGAGGAGGTCCTGATGACTCGATAAAAACACTTTTAAGCATCTATTAAGGGCCAGGTGCTATCATGTATATAAATCTGTAGATTGTACATACAATTCCAATTTTCTTTCCCCTGATGCTTAACTGGCCAAAATCTAGGCTAGCAGAGTGTTTCTTTGGGTGGGTGAAGAAAGAATCAACACCTCATATAATGAGAGATGCTTCTGGGAAAGCTTGCAGGGAAGGTACCAAATTAATCAAGCATTCCTTGGTCATTTCTAAGGATGTGGGCAGGAGAAGTGCTTCAAATGAACATGAACTTGGTTTGCATTTTTCTTTTTCTATAGCATAAGGTTTCTCAACATAATGTACTCTAAATCTTGTCATGGTTTCCCCTCCAAATTCAAGGGAAAGTTTCTAATCATTAGCTTTCTTGTTGAACTTGTTCCTTTTTGCATAAATTTGGCATGCTTTTAGGCTTCCAGTTCTCTGACATTTGTTATAATTTCTCATAATCTTAATTTAAAGCCAGTTTGTTTCATAGCATAGATCCCTTTAGAATTTTACAATAACACTGTAACATCTTTTGCTATAGTTCAGCATTCAAGTTAATCCCAGAAGTTTTTCAGGGAGAAACTCAAGGTTTTGAGGGAATTAGAGAATCTCAGAATGGAAGAGAATTTAGATGATCACACTGGGTAGTGGGAAGACTGTATTT
This sequence comes from Homo sapiens, assembly GCF_000001405.40. NCBI lineage: Eukaryota > Metazoa > Chordata > Mammalia > Primates > Hominidae > Homo > Homo sapiens. The sequence goes on along the minus strand of NC_000008.11, from coordinate 63,011,012 downwards.
TCATTAATGAAGCTTACATAGTATTTGTTTTAGACCAGTCACGTCACTCCTGGATTATTACAATGAACTGTTCACAAACTAAGAATTGCAATTCTTTCTTAACCAGTTTGTATGTCATACCTTCCATCCAGCTTCCCAGTGGAGAAGAGTGGACAGGTGCACCAGAAGTCAGGATGCCAAGGGTCATGTTTTATGTGTGCCATTTACTAACTGTGTAACATTAGCCATGAAAGCTTCTATTTATATTCTGCATACTTTGAGTCCTTTAAAATTGTCCTTCGTTTTTAAACTGAGAAAAGATGCTTTTTATTTTATAGTCTCTGATAATCTAAAAAATTATTTCATACACTTTTAATAAAATTAATAATTTGTACAATAAGTGTTCAACTTGAGCAGCTAGAAGAGCAATTTTACTTTGCCAATAGTTAAAACTATCCTTTCTCTTTCAGTTTTGTAAAATGAAGTGAGGATGGGAATTTGCATTTTTTTCTTCTCTAGTTAAAAGAATCTAAATTACTTGGTTCCTCTTTGCTCGTCTCTACCCAAGGACAAAGGAGCTAACAAATAATGTATGCGAATCTGTTAGTATAATTAAATATAATGATTGACCCCAGTTTTGAGGGAAAATAGCCACATAAAACAAGATTTCAACTTAGAATAGACTTCAGAACAATAACAATGTAACGATGATAATAAAAAATTGAATTAAGGAAGTCCTTTTGTTATTTCCCCTTGGCCTATTTTCACACAGTTGCAAATACAGTTTGTGTTCTGCTCCTTTTACTTAACTAGATCAAAAGCACGTTTCCTCATTGCTGCAGGGCCGCCTGAGCTGCTGGGTCTTTACCCTCTGGGAGGGTTGAATTGCCCTGCCGAGTGACTAAGCTCAGCAGGCTAGGATTGGTCACTGTAGGAGGTGGATCCAGGGTGCAGACAGGTCAGGAATTCTACTTTTATGGCCCAAAGTGGGGCAGGGAAGCAGATCCAAGTCAAAGTCCACCTGCGGAATCAAAGTGCAAGAGCCAAAAGGACCAGAGCAATTTAGTAACGGGACAATGGAGTCTGGAATTAGGAACGGAACTGAAGAAAGCTTGACATGCAAGCAAGTTCCCACAAGCCAAGAGAGTCCAGGACAAGTGCCCCAGTGTCTGATGGAGATCGCAACTTACTTTATGGTGTTCAGAAGGGTGACTAGGGGCTTGTCTCTCTGTCTTGGAGATACACTATCAAGAATTACACTTTAAAAAATTTTCAACGACTGCAAGACATGCCATCTGGAAAAGCTGCCAAACACTTGCCTCCTTTGGGCATGAAGGATGGTTCCTTTAAAGCCAACACAGACTGACGGAAACCCTGCTTCTTCCAACATTCAGGTGCAGGCTCCCTGTTGAGGCCTCCTGGGTTAGAATTGCTCTAGGCCACCAGCCACTGCATACCCCAGACCTCTTCTCTTCCACGCTCTCCCTGGTCTCTCCCCCAGAAGGGGTTTGATATGCAGGATTTTTTTCTTATCCAGCACTCTTGGGTGTGTGGATCTTTGGGGTGATTTGACTGGCTTTGTAATTAACTGAGTAATGTAAAAGTTCAGACTGCAGCCCCAGCCTCGGGCTCAGCTGCGCCAGTGTTTGCTGCCTTGTGGTTAGAACATGACTGAGAGCAGAACATTACCACATGTGGGGAAGACTGGACTGCCCAGCCCAGCATTCACTGGGTAAGTTTAGTTCAGGCAGAAGTGGTGAGAGACCTCATTTTGGCCTTGTGCTTAAGCAGTGCAGCTTTACAGAACAAGAAAATTGGCCAAGCATCGGGGCTCATGCCTGTAATCCCAGCAGTTTCGGAGGCTGAGGCATGAGGATTGTTTGAGCCCAGGAATTTGAAACCAGCCTGGGCAATAGAGCGAGACTCTGTCTCTATTTAAGAAGAAAAAAAAAAGAGCAAGAAACTGATTACTGCATTTGAATCCTCTCCCCTGTGTATAGAAAAAACAAAACAAAACAAATAAACAAACAAAATAAACCCCTGAAGGACCAGGCTTCCTGAGAGTCCTTAATACCTGCACAAAAACAAGCTGCATAAAAGTCCTTGCTCCCCTTTACCTTGGGCTTTGGCTTAAAATCCTTCTGAAAATGAGGTCCGCTGCAGTGGCCTAATGTTGCTGCAGCTTCCTGGAGCTGGACCTCACTGCCTTCTTCAGCATACCCTCAGTGTGCCTATCAATGCTTCCCCTGGCTGGCAGGGGCCTCATTTGCAGTGTCTGCCAGGCTCAGTTCCATGTTCATCTAGTCCTCCCACAGGAAGGGGTTCCAAGTCCAGATTGAGGGAATGCTAACCTTAGGACATCAAGCGGTTTCAGAAGCTCTTGTTTGTTGTGCAACAACTCTATGTTCTCCTAGTTTAGTGGTTTAAAATAACCATTTTATTTAGCTTCTGATGCCGTGGGACCACTGGGCAGTCCTTGTCGTCTGGGCTGGCAGCAGACAGACAACCATGTGTCCTTCCTGAGACCCAAATCCTCCCAGGATAAGCATATGAGATGCTGAAAGCATCGCGAGGGGGTTGATTCCTTTTGTATCCATAAGATGTCTTTGTCCAAGCGTTGAGCCAGTTAGATACCACGGACCCCTGAAAACACTGAGACAAGACTGCTCAAATTTGCCAGCTTGGAAGGAAGCTGACACTGCCCATGAGCCCCTTTTAAAATGTAGATTTTATTTTTTATTTAGGTATGGTGAGGCCAACAGATCAGGAGACAACTGCCATTGAAATGATAGTTTATTAGAGTTTCCAGGAGGAGGGGGGCAGGTCAGCCACCCATGCAGGCCACAGGAGGGGCTCTGAGGTCGGTTGTAGGCACAGAGAGTGAGGCGAACTGCCACCTGAAAGAGCCTTTTTGTGGTGTTTGCAGGAAAGCGTGGGTGAGACAGGGTGAGCAGGCTAAGCAGGTTTAAGATTGGCTCACTTGCATAACTCGATGCCCTGCCTGTGCCTGAGGTGATTAGGACAGGGGAATAGTGTCCCCCAGTGCAAGAGCTCATTAAGCAGGGGGTGGGGAGAGGGCTCTGAATTGGTTAGTTTGCTTATGAAAGGCAACCCCACAGGAGGGTTTGTTACCTCTAAGAATTAGCTGGCACTGGGAAAAGTAGCACCCCGCCTCCCCCCACAGGCCCCCCTCCCCTTCAGGAAGGCCTCTCAGGTCAAAGCATCCGATATTGAAGCTAGAAAACAGGTGGTTAATCCAGTCACTTCTGTGCCTTCTGTGCCTTGGCCAGGTGACTTGTGCCATATCTGATCTACAAATGCCCCCAGGAAGTTCTTGCTTGGACTTCTCTTTCTATTTGACTCCTCTTATGGTTGTGAGATTTATGTTACACCCTCATAAAAATGGTAGATGCCATCCGCTGGAGTGCAAGTCCCCCATTCCCTTCTCCACTGATTACCAGCAACAGCTGATGGCTTTATGGATGGCCAAGCCAGCCAACATTTGATCCCAGTGCTCAGTTTGTACCTGGATTCTGAAGCCTCTGAGTCAGGTTCGTTGTTCAGGATTCTTCATTCACAGACCCAAAGCGAATCAGAGCTTTCAGGTTAGGGCCTAGAGCCCCCTGCATCTGGTCAAGCACACCTCTGCCACCATTGCTGCCCATTTCCCTTTCACATGAACTATGGTTTTTACCCTGACTACTTCCTCACTTCCTCTGATAAGATACATACCTGGCCGCTGGTCACTGCCTGGGACAACCAAAGGGTCACCCAAAAGGACCTCCGGGGTGCCTCTGACCCACAGGGATTAGGGATCGTTGCTGCTTTTTGATTCGGCGTCTTCCTTAGCTATGGTGGCATCTGACAGGTTGGGCTACCAGTGTCAAGTGACATCCTGCCCTGGTTCCTGAGCAGGAACTCTGAGATAATTTCCTTAATTTCCAAAATGGGATTATTGGGAAACCTTTGGTTCTTGATTCAATTTCAAAGTTGCTTTCCACAAGAATCAACATATTTTACAGTGTTTCTGACAGCATATTTTGTAATTAATTTATTTATTATTATTATTATTATTTTGATACAGGATCTAGCTCTGTCACCCAGGCTGGAGTGCAGTGGTGCAATCACAACTCACTGCAGCCTTGACCTCCCAGGCTCAGGTGATCCTCACACCTCAGCCTCCCAAGTAGCTGGGACTACAGGTGCACGCCACCACACCCAGCTAATTTTTTATGCTTCTTGTAGAGATGGGGTTTCGCCATGTTGCCCAGGCTGATCTCAAACTCCTGGGCTCAGGTGATCGTCCCCCCTTGGTCTCCCAAAGTGCTGGAATTACAGGCATGAGCCACTGTGTCTGGCAACACATTATGGCACCAATTTTACCAGACCCTCAGTAGCCTTGAATATTATTGAATACTGCTACAGTCTGAATGTTTGTTTCACACACAAGTTCATAGGTTGAGATCCTAATCCCCAAGGTGATAGTATTACGGTGTGGGGCCTTTGGAAGGTGATTAGCGTGGAGCCTTTGTGAGTGGCATTAGTGCACTTATAAAAGAGGCCTGAAAGAGACCTACTGCCTCTTCTACCATGTGAGGTTAGAGTAAGAAGCTGTCCAGGAAACAGGCCCTCACCAGACACCAAATCTGCAAGACCCTTGTTCTTGGACTTTCTAGCCTCCAGAACTGTGAGAAATAAGTTTCTGTTGTTTGTAAGCTGCCTAGTCTATGGTATTTTGTTATAGCAGCCTGAATGGACCAAGCAAGAGAAACATTTTATTTCATTATATGCTAATAAATGAAGAAAGGTACATTACTGTTTCTCTCATTTCTTCATTTCTTTGATGGCTAGTGATAATAAACGAGCTCAGTATTTTTTTTTTTTTGAGACAGAGTTTCGCTCTTGTTGCCCAGGCTGGAGTGCAATGGCACGATTTTGGCTCACTGCAACCTCCGCCTCCCGGGTTCAAGTGATTCTCCTGCCTCAGTTTCCCAAGTAGCTGGGATTACAGGCATGTACTACCACGCCCGGCTAATTTTGTATTTTTAGTAGAGACAGTGTTTCTCCATGTTGGTCAGGCTGGTCTCAAACTCCCAACCTCAGGTGATCCGCCCACCTTGGCCTCCCAAAGTACCGGGATTACAGGCGTGAGCCACCACGCCTGGCAGTATTTGTTTCTTTATTTCTTTAATTATTAATTTTTTTAGAGGCAGGGTCTCTTGGTATTGCCCAGCCTGGAATGCAGAGGCTATTCATGAACATAATCATAGTACAGCCTCCATCTTCTGGGCTCAAGTGGTCCTCCTGCCTCAGCCTCCCAAGCAGCTGAGACGATAGGCACACACCACCACACTAGGCTCAATATTTGTTTTATCTATATTGCGAATTAACTATTCATTTCTTTTACTTTTTATTAGTTTCTTAATGTTTATCTTATTTGGTATACAGTTCTTTTTTTCTTTTGGTACGCAATTCTCATTTTATCTTTCTTTTACCCTACTTTCAAGCTAACAAGTTAGGTATATAGTTCTTTACATAACATTATTAACCTCTTACTTGTCATCTTTATAGAAAATGTTTTTATCTCAGTCTTCTTTGACTTTATGTCTTCTTTTTTCCTTGACGTAAATAAATTTTTCTTTTTATGTAGCCACATTTTTAGATTTTCTTTCAATGTTTGTTTAGCTCTTTCTTTAAGCCTAGAAAGTATTTCCCTCTTTTTTGTTTTATTTTTTTTCTGATTTTCTATATTATAATTTTTAACTCTGTAACTCAACCACGGTTGATTTTGGGATATGAAGTGAAGTTAGTAACTAATTTTTTGTTCTATATTTACAACCAGTTTTTCCAGAATTATTGTCAAATAATCTTCCTCCAGTTATTCATGATGCTGTCTATAGGATATAATGAATTATTGTAAACACTGTTGTCTGTTTTCTGCCATCAATTTTGTTTCATTAATTTATGCTTATTCTTATGCCAATATCTCTCATTTAATTGCAATATATTTGTAACATATTTTAATATAGGACTGACTTTCCCTTATTGGTTTTCTTTTAAAGAATTTGTTTTGATATCTTTTCCTATTTAAATGTTAAGATGAATTTTAGGATTATTTTCTCAAAATTTCCCCTCTCCCCCACAATATGGATTTTATTGGGAGTACAATAAGCCTATGTATTAGTTTGAAAAAAGCCCATATCTTTACAATGTTTAGCTTTTTTGATATGGCAATACACAAAGTGTCTTTTATATCTCCTAGTTCAGCTAAGTAGTTTTTTATATGATACATTTCTCATTGGATTAGTTATTTCATTATCTATTGGTATTTCTCAATGGGATTAATTTATATACTATCTTAGAAAGTTTTAAGTATACACCCCTTGAACCTATCAAAAGAGTATCCCTAAAAATTTTTAAAAGATTTTTTAGGGATGTGGAAGCGGGGAGTTTGTTTCCTAGCATTCCATTGATATGTTTGTCTGTGAATTTTGTACCTATTCTTTTTATTGAGCCATTTATTAATTCTAGCAATTTTAAAATTAATTCCTAAGGGCTTATTATATTACATATATTTACATGTAAATATGCAATTACGTATTGTACATAAATATAATACATTACAATTATTCATTTATATTTTTATACATATGAATATTTCCATATTTTATGTAATGGATTTTTTCAGAAATAAAATAATTGTGCACATTAAATTAAGAGGAAGCTGAATCATTCTGACATTGAAATGGTATAATTAAAGTAGCCTGGTTAAGGCTTACAGACTTCTGCTTTACATGAATAAAAGCATTCCAAGAGGTGATCATCACAGTATGAAGTTTTCCAGAAGGCATGATTCCAAACCAGCTATTTACATGTAGGATCAGTTGTGTGTCCTTTGTTGCTGCTCTGCTACTACCATTAAGCTTTTACCTTTTCTTTGCTTTCAAACAGAAAGGCCTGACAAACTATGAAGGGCTTCAGGGTGCCCAGAAACCACACAAAGGGTGCCCTCCTGTTGAACTGTACCTTAAGGCAAGAACCGATGCTGAGCTAATGAGAGTGTGTCAAGGTATTTCCAGTTCAGTTCTCATCACTTCTAATTAGGGCTTCACGAATTCTGTGAACCTTGCCAGGATTCTTGCTTGGGTCATTTTAATGTGTTTCCATTCTAAAGCCTGGCTGTTAATTTAGATTTTTTTTTTTCTGTAGGATTTCCTGAATCATTATGACTTAAAACTCATTTATTTTGCCTTTTATAATGGAAACTCTTTATTTTGAAATAATTTTAGTCTTACAGGAAAATTGCAAATATTGTACAAAGAATTCCTATTCCCTTCACCCACAGCAAAATGTTAACATTTTACACATTTGCATTATTATTCTCTTTCTCTCCTATTCTCTATTCTCTGTGTACGTGTGTGGTGTGTGTGTATATTCACCGACACATATATACATATTATTTTTAACCACTTGAGATTAAATTGCAGATGTGTTGCCTTTTACACCTAAATACTTCAATGAATATTTCCTAAAAGCAACGACATTCTTTTACATAATATTGCATAATTATCAACATCAACACACCTTATTAAAATTTTACACATTGTCCTGACATCGTCCTCTATGCAAATAAAAAAAGTATTTTCAGGTCTAGAATCCAATTCAGAATCACAAGTTGCATTGAATTTTCACGTCTCCATAGTCCTTAATCTGCTCCTCAGTTTTTGTCTTTTATGACCTTGACATTTGTGAAGACTATAGGCCAGTTATTTTGTAGAAACTTTCTCTTAATTATAAACCTTCAACTAATTCCAGAGGCATGACTTTTAACTTGCAATTGAACTCTCTGATTATCTTAATTTTTCCATGTCTAATCTGAAAACATCTATCTCCAGCTTATTGTTAAAGAATTCAAACATACAAGGGCAGAAACATGGGAAGGGAATTGACATTTGCTGAGCACTTGAAAAGCCCTGGTACAGAGCAGTTGATAAACATTTAATCAGCACATCCTCTTGTAACTTATTATTACTGTTATTACTACTACCCCCATTATGCAAATGGGAAAACGGGTGCTCAGAGACTGTGACCTGCCTAAAGCTACACAGTTCGAGATAAGATGTTTTGTAATCCAAATCCTCCCCTTCACCACACTCCTTCTGAAACTATCCATGAAATTTACCTTGGCCCTCTCCGACACTTGGCTCCATATAGACTTTGACTTTTGCAGGCTCTTCTAGCCTTCCATGGAGCTCACTAATTTAATACCTTTCTTCTCCACTGGACTGGGAGTTAGCTCTTGAGGAGGAAGGGCCACAGTTGTTTACTTTGTAGCCCCTGTGCCTAACTCAAAGCCTGGAATTTAAACTGTATTTCTTGAAGGAAAGCATTTGAGTGTATAAAGTCCAAGGAATAAGCAGTGCTTCCTGTGCCTGTGGTCCATATTTGGGACCAAAGCCTCTCCCTGAGCTCTGGAACTGTCCCCGTGCCCCGTGTACAGCGTGAGCCTCAGCGCCACCCAGGGCACAGGACCCCGGCTGGCTCCCCATGGTGAGCTCCAGCCTGGCGCTTTGATGCCATTGTTTGAACTTTGAGATTTAAAACATTCAAAAAAATATTCACCTTGTGAAGTAGAAAGAAATGTTGCATCATTTTCAAGAGGTAAAAAAGATCAAAGACCAGTTTTTCATGACTTTTCTCACTTGTGAAATTTTGTGAAACAAATGGAAGAAATGTCACCTGCTTCTAGGAAATTTAAGTCTTTTTTTCTTTAATATTTGCCTGTTCTACTTAAGTGTCACCTACCAGAAGTACACATGGTTAAGTCTTCATGTACATGCTTTCCACTCATCTACGTACTTAGGCTGCTGACAGCAGGATAATATTGAGAGCCACACTGAATGTGAGTCTGGAACCATAATCCTTAGGTGAATAAATATCAGTAAAAAGGGAAGGTCAGTGGATACCACCAGATGTGCATTTAATTTCTCAATTTTCTCAAACTCCACTGTGCACAATCAGCAAAAAACTATTGAAAAAGCTATAAAGATAAAAAATAAAATGCTGTATTTTGTGTATAAATGGCCCCTAAATGCAAACCAATTCTTCCATTTGGTGCTCATTTGAAGAGGACTGAGCTGGTTTTGGCACTACCATAAGCAGGCCTTCAGTGCTACTGCACCACCTGAATACACTTTCCTAGTCTGTTTTCTTCTTCATTCTCCTTGGTAACTGCTTCTCACCCTTCCTGTCAAATCTCCGACACCTTTCCTCTCTCCTCACTGTAAGATAATGAATTTCCTTCTGTTAGCTCAGAAATATTGAAAAGGATTAGAGGAGAACCCCCAACAAGCCCCACTGTTCAGTGCTCCCCCACTGTCATCTGTACACATATTCTCTCCCTTCCCTACCTGAAGCTCTGGCCAATCACTTATTGTCATCTGAGACCACCTCCTCTACTGTGCACCAGATCCTTTCCCTTTTCTACTATCCAGGGGCATCACACAAGCAAATGGCCCCCTCCTCCTACATCATCAATATTTACGTCTCTCCAGACTCATTCCGGTAATCACACTTACATACTATAGTACCTCCTACCTTTAAAAGTCCTCTGTTGACTCTGCACATTCTCTCATTATCTCCTTAATTTGCTGTATACCTGTACAATAAACCTTCTCGAAAGAGTCATCTATACTTGATGACTCTCGTTTCTCCCCTCCTATCCTCTCTCAAATCTATTCCACAGGACTTTGGTGTTTTCACCCCTGTGCTCTATAGAAATTACTCTTGTCAAGGTTACCAATGACCTCCAGGTGGCTGAATCCAATGTCCCAAGTCCCCGTGTAACTTGATCCATCATTTGGTGTGGTTGTCCCTCTTTGCTTCTGTAAACACTTTGGCACTAGGAAGACATGCTCCTTAAAATATTTTTATTATTAATATTATTTTTAATTGTAAAATTATAATTGTATACATTTATGGAGTACGATGTGATCTTTTGATGTATGTATACAATGTGGAATGATTAAATTCAGTTAAGTAACATCCATTACCTCATTTACTTATCATTTTTTAAGTGAGATGTCTGAAATTTACTCTCTTAGCAATTTTGAAACATATCACACACTATTATTGGCTATAGTCACCCTGCTGTGCCATAGATCTCAAAAACTTATTCCTCACCCCTGTAATGCTAGCACTTTGGGTGGCCGAGGCAGGCGGATATCTTGAATCCAGGAGTTCAAAACCAGTCTGGGCAACATGGCGAAACCCCGTTTCTACTAAAAATAGAAAAATTAGCCAGGTATGATGGCCCATACCTGTAGTCCCAGCTACTTGGGAGACTGAGGTGGGAGAATTGCTTGAATCTGGGAGGCAGAGATTGCAGTGAGTCGAGATCACGCCACTGCCCTCCAGCCTGGATGAGGAAGCGAGACTCTATCTCAAAATAAATAAATAAACACACAAACAAACCAAAAACCAAGAAACAACAACAACGAAAAACTTATTTCTCCTGCCTAACTGAAATTTTGCTTCTTTTGACTAGTAACTCCCCATTTCCTTTCTCACTTTCCCTCCCCACCCCTGGTAACCACCATTCTATTCTCTACTTTTATGAATTTGGTTTCTTTCGGATTCAACGTATAAGTGAGACCATGCAGTATTTGTCTTTGTGTGCCTCGCTTACTTCGTTTAACATCATGTCCATCAGCTTCATTCATGTTGTCATAAACGACAGAATTTCCTTCGTTTTAGAGGCTGAATAGTATTCCATTGTGTATATATACCACATTTTCTGTATCCATTCATTCATTGATGAACATTTAGGTTGAGTCCGTATCATGTTATCGTGAATAATGCTGCAGTAAACATGAGAGTGCAGCTATCTTTTCCACATATGTATTTCAATTCTTTTGGCTATATATCAAGAAGCAGAATTGCTGGATTATGTGGTGGTTCTATTTTTAGTCTTTTGAGGCACCTCCACACTATTTTCCATTATGGCTGTACTAATGTGTGGTCCTACCAGCAATACATAAGGGGTCCCTTTTCTCTACATTCTGACTAACACCACAAATAAACTCACACATTTATAGTCAGTTGATTTTTGACAAAGGTGCCAAAGACATACAATGGGGAAAGGGCAGTCTCTTCAATAAATGGTGCTGGGAAAATCAGATATCCACATTCAGAAGAGTAAAATTGGATCTCCATCTCACATCATATTAAAAAATAATCTCAAAATTGATTGAAGACTTAAACAGCAGAGCTGAAACTGTAAAACTACTAAAAGAATATATAGGGGGAAGCTTCACAACAATGCTCCCGGCAATAAATTTTTAGATAGGTTCCCAAAAGCACAGGCAACAAAAGCAAAAAATAGACAAATGGGATTTCATTAAACAAAGCTTCAGCACAGCAAAGGAAACAATTAACAAAATGAAAAGATAACTCAAGGATGGAAGAAAATATCTGCAAACCATATGATATAGTTTTGATATTTGTCCCCTCCAAATCTCATGTTCAAGTGTCATCTCCAGTGTTAGAGGTGGGAGATAGCAGTGTTTGTGTCATGAGGATGGATCCATTATAAATAGCTTGATGCCCTCCCCACAGAAATGAGTGAGTTCTCACTCTATTAGTTCACCTGAGAGCTGATTGCTTAAAAGAGCATGACGTCTCTCTTGCTTCCACTCTTGCTATGTGATGTGCCTCCTCCCGCTTTGCCTTCCATCATGAGTAAAAGCTTCCTGAGTCCTTTCCAAAAGCTGAGCAGGTGCCGGCACCATGTTGCTTGTACACCCTGCAGAAGCATGAGCCAAAAAACTGACTACCTTTTCTTCATAAATTACCCAGCCGTGGGTATTCCTTTATAACAATACAAAACAGACTAACACACCATACATCTGATAAGGGATTACTATTCAAAATATATAAGGAACCCAAACAAGTCAACAAGAAAAGCAATAACCCAATTAAAAAATGAGCAAAGGGCCTGCACAGACATTTCTCAAAAGAAAAATTTAAAAAGGCCAACAGGTTCATGAAAAACTGCTCAAAATCACTAATTATTAGGGAAATGCAAATTAAAATCACAATGAGATATCACCTTACACTGTTTGAATGGAAGACACACTTTTTATTCTCTTCTGATATCACTAACTGCTAGTTTTTAGTCTTAGTTGGTTTATCAAGCAGGAAATTTCATCCAGTTTGAGGTGGTGGGATTGTGATGCAGTGGTAGTTTTTAAAACATCTTTCAAGTTATCACTGAAAGACAAATGGACCAACCACCATAGTGAAAGGAAAAAATATGCATGACAATCATCCTCAAGAAAACTGGATGACAGAAAATCTTCCCAAATCACGAATTCATGCATATCAGCCAAACCTCTACCAGCAACAGGACTGGTGAGGGATCAGCAGTTGTATAGTGCAAGTGATAGAAAAATGAAAAGCAGCCAGGAGCGGTGACTCACACCTGTAATCCCAGCAATTTGGGAGGCCGAGGCAGGTGGATCACTTGAGGTCAGGAGTTCAAGACCAGCCTGTCCAACATGGTGAAACCCCGTCTCTACTAAAAATACAAAAATTAGCTGGTGTGGTGGTGAATGCCTGTAATCCCAGCTACTTGGGAGGCTGAGGCACGAGAATCACTTGAACCCAGGGGGTGGAGGTTTCAGTAAGCCGAGATTGGGCCACTGCACTCCAGCCTGGGCGACACAGTGAGACTCCATCCCTCCCTGTGGGGGAAAAAAAAAGAGAGAGAGAGAGAGAGAAAGAAAAATGACTACACTTAGCTTTTGCTTTATGCACTCATTTTACAACTTAACCCTCTGACTAATATTTGACACCATTATAGAAGACAGTGTCCATATGGCCTCTTTCATAAAATAGATGACAAGAACTTGGAGACACAAGGGGATGTAAAGTCTCTGAGCACAAACAGCAAATGAGTGCTGATGTGAATGGCCCTAAACATGAAATATATTGGAAAAAATGTACTGGGCTCATAGTCTCAATTTTAATAATTCAACCCAAATAACATGAGGCTTTCTTGATTCCAACTCAAACCTCATGTCAACCCAGTACCATACACAGAAAAACCCATAAATCTGACTCCAAAAAGCCCTAAGGGGTAATACAAGTCTTTAGTTGAAGTTTTTATTTTTATGAGGTTCTGGAGGAGGGGGCTATTGCATTGTCAAAAATACGCTCAGATTTCATAACACACTCACCATACATTGTTCCTCCTCCTCCTCTTTTTTTTTTTTTTTTAAAGAAAAGAGCTCATTTATTTGGTAAATTGAAAACTAATAATAGCCCTAATTAAACACTTTACTTCTCTCACTATAGGGCAAAGTAAGAACAAATGAAAGCATGTCAATCCCTAATGTTAAGTGAATTATCCAGAATGATATAATTTACAGCTGGTGGATCTGAACACTGACTCTGAAAACCCAGGCTCTTCTCACTCCATTACATCTCACTACTACCAAGGTGACCCTCAAGTGAATCATGAGTTCCAAATCCTCTTAATTTGTTTTTCTTTATCACTTTTATTTAAGTGCCTTGTGTATTATTGACCTTTTAGTTTTTTAATTAAAACAAACCCAACATTTTTTTTTTCTGTTCACCTCTTCATTCTTACTCACTGCCATGGTTTTAAAATCTCCTCTCAAATTTCTAGTTTTTTGTTTTTTCAGAAGTTAATCCAAATACACTCCCATTATCACCTGCCTGTCTTTATTATCACTTTCCATCTACAATTTACAAATTTTATTTGGAGCTTAATTTCTAGAAATGTGCCAGAAGCAACTTTTTTCCAAAGCTGGGTGGGGTGGGGGAAGGAATTTTTTTCTTAATATTTCTTTCAGTAAACAGTTCTATTGCCTCCCACGCTGGTCTTCATAAGACAGCCTCAGGGAGAACCTCTGCTAAGGCAGTGTGGAAAGGAAGTGTGGCGCTGGAGCCCCCACACAGAGTCCTCACTGGGGCACTACCTAGTGGAACTGTGAGAAGAGGGCCACCATCCTCCAGACGCTAGAATGGTAGATCCACCGACAGCTTGCACCGTGTGCCTGGAAAAGCTGCAGGCACTCCACACCAGCCTGTGAAAGCAGCCGCAGAGGCCATACCCTGCAGAGCTACAGAGGAGGAGCTGCCCAAGGCCATGGGAGCCCACCCTTTGCATCAGCGTACCGTGGGTGTGAGACATGGAGTCAAAGGAGATCATTACGGACCTTTAAGATTTAATGACTGCCCCATCAGGTTTTGGACTTGCATGGTGTCTGTGGCCTCTTTGTTTTGGCCAATTTCTCCCATTTTGGAATAGGAACATTTACCCAATACTTGTACCCCCCATTGTATCTTGGAAATAACTAACTTGCTTCTGATTTTACAGGCTCATAGGTGGAAGGGACATACCTTGTCTCAGATGAGACTTTGGACTTGGACTTTTGTGATAATGCTGGAATGAGTTAAGACTTTGGGGGACTGTTGGGAAGGCATGATTGGTTGTGAAATGTGAAAAGGACAGGAGATTTTGGAGGGGCCAGGGCAGAATGATATGGTTTGGCTGTGTCCCCACCTAAATCTCTTCTTGAATTGTAATCCCCAAGTGTCGAGGGAGGGACCCGATGGGAGGTGATTGGATAATGGAGGTGGTTTCGCCATGCTGTTCTCATGATAGTGAGGGAGCTCTCATGTGATCTGATGGTTTTAAAAGGGGCAGCTTTCCCCTGCGCACTCTGTCTCTCTCCTGCCACCATGTAAGCCGTGCCTTCATTCCCTTTCGCCTTCTGTCATGATTGTAAGTTTTCTGAGGCCTCCCCAGTCATGCAGAACTATGAGTTAATTCAACCACTTTCCTTTATAAATTACCCAGTTTCAGGTAGTATCTTTTTAGCAGTGTGAAAAAAGACCAATACAGACAGCTTCTAGCAATTTTACATCACTTTTATGTTCAATGGGAATATTTACAACATAGGTCAACCTAGTTATCATGTTAAATAGAAGGTGTGGACCAGTGGTTCTCAGTCTTGAGAGTGCATAAGAATCACCTGCAGAGCTTGTTCACAGACTTTTGGGCCCACCCAAGAGTTTCTGATTCAGTCTGAGGTGAGGCTTGAGAATTTGCATTTCTAACAAGCTCCCAGGTGATGCTGATGCTGCTGTTTGGGTACCTCTCTTTTGAAAACTATTATAATGTTTCTAATATTTTAAATATTTTTGGCTTTATGGAAGTATAGTTGAATACAAATTTTATATATCTATGGTGAACAACTTGATGTTTTGATTTACATATAAATTCTGAATTGATTGTCCACTCTTCTTAAAGTTTCTTATGTCATCTAGCCTTTTTTCCTTCCTACCTCTCTAAACTCCCAACCTACCTTTCCTTCTTCCCCCTTGTGTTTACCATTTCCTCCATCTTCCTTCTACCACATATCTCTATGACATTTATGATATAGATCAGTTTAGCTTTTCTTTGTTTTTAGTTCGGCAACAACCCTAGTCCCAGGTCAGCACAACAGACACAGAGCAGTGTGAACAAAGGTCCTCCCTTCCCTCTCAGGCACCAGCTGAGCAGCTTCTACTGTAGCATTCATCTATACCACTGTGTGGATTCTCATTCATCTACTCTCTTGCTTCTTAGCCTTGTTTAATTCCCCAGCCCTTACCATGCAGCCATTTTGAATAAACTCTTGTAAAGTACAGAGGACAGACATTTGAAATATCCACTTCTCACCATTAAGCATGCAACAGGATATGCTTCTGCCACGCCCATCTAATTGGGGTTTATTTGCTTAATATTAAAATGCTCTCAGATATACATAAGCCATCTGCTTTTCCTCCAGATTCACTGAGCCCTGATGCATTAAGCATCTGTAGAGCTATTTAATTTTATGTCATTAAGGATGGGAATGTGCAAATGTAAATACCAATTGGAAAGCTTAAGTAGTTTTTCAAATTTTTCAATCATGCTGTTTACTCTATTATTATTCTGGATTAGTCTACTTTAGGTACAATTTCAGAGTATCATCAAAGTCCTACTCCAATATTTAGATCCCAAATGACAAATTTAATGGCCTTAGTTAACACCCCAATGATGTAGGCTTAATTTTATGGTTCACCTATTTTTGCTATTTACTTTCCTGAGCTTGAGCCAAGCTGAAAAAACTATAAGAAAGCAGAGTCTGATTTTCCATGAAATAAAATGCCACCTTCCTTGTAAAGGGAAAACCTAGATTTTCCTAAGATGACACCTGAAAGGACTCTCCAGATGGAGATGGAGGAAATGTAGGTTACATTTCTCTTCTCTCGGTTAATGCCTTAGTCAAATTCCCTTCAAGGAGATGCTCCTTCTCTGGAATGTTCCAGTTAAAATGAGGAGCTGAAACTCTGCTCTCAGTAGCCTTTGACACTGCTGGTTAAAGACCATAACATTTAATGAATGAATGAATGAATGAATGAACTTGAAGTGTCCAAACAGGTTTTATGAGGAAAGCCTAAAATGTCTCCTTCCTTGATCTGTGGTGCCTAGCCACTCAATCCTTTTTCCCAGAGATGACCAGTGCAACTGATTTCTTTTACATCATTCCTGAGACATTCTACACTTAGACAAATCATCATACAATCCCTTTCACACTTTTCACGAACATGGTGGCATACTGCACCTACTTCTGCATGTGGCTTTGCCCTTTACCCTATCTTGGAAATACTCCAGCACACAGACTCCATTCTTTTCTGATAGCTGCATAACGACCCATTGCATGGCAGTACCATAATTTATGTAAGCAGTTTTCCCCTGGTAGGCATTTGGGTTGTTTCTAATCTTTTCTTACTACCAAAATGCTTCGATGAAAGCAGTGAATGACTTTTTTACACATATGTGGGTATATCTGCAGGACAACTTTCTAAAAATTTCTGGGTCAAAGGGTACGTGCATCTTTAATGTTAACACATGGTGACAAATCTACACTACTGATATTCCAATTTAAAGTCTTCCCAAAGTAATTAATGCATTTAAAGAGCTTATAAAAGGCTCTGGAATAATGTAAGGGCATTAAACCAGTGACCTGAAGTTAGATAAGATGGTTTATAAGTTATGGGGCATGCTTCTTTCATTTGTGCTTTTCTTCCTGGCTCTCAACTTGCTTTTACAGGGCAGAAATTATCTCAATGAGAAAAGGTAGTTACTTCTACCCCCTTATCTGCCTCATTCATTTCTCTAAGTCACAAAGAAACATAGGCTGCCTTAGGTAATGCAACTCAAAGAAGAGAAAGTTACCAGGACTCTTTTAGCATAGTATTTTTCTCATTTCCATCCTTCCAACCCCAACATCAGGCCCAACCAGAACAAATACCAGAGGCTAAGGACAAGAGTGATTCGTTTGCAAAAAGGCTGGAGAGACAAAGGGGCCATAGAAGGCTGAAAAGGAGAAACAGGACATGTGAGAGATTTTTCCAGTGCCGGGAGAAAGGGGGCCATATGGTGCCTCTAGAGAATAATGTTGTGGTGGCATTATTTACTCTCCAGGTTTACATATTATTTTTGTAACATGCACAGAGGATGAAGATTAAGACAGTCACTATTATTCTATGGAAACTTAAAGTTTGAGTACATTTTCTTTTTCTCCTAATTTTCCAATTTTCTTAAGTGTTGGTAAAATCCTAATACATCAAATACACATTACAATGTAAAAAATACTAAACGAAACTATTTGTAATAAAAGGTTGTGTGGCAGAGTTTGCTATGTGTTCACTATATTCTATTTCCTTTTCTTTTTGGGCCACAGCTAGATCCTGTTTTTCTGCTTTCCTTGCTGTCTGGTGGGATACTATGATTATGTTCTGGCCTGAGGAATGTGGGCAGAAAGAGGTAATGTGGACGACTTCCAGGCCTGGCCCCTAAAAATTTCCCCATGCAATCACTCCTATTTTCACTCTTTTTTCTTTTGTACCTAGAGGCAAAAAAACAAAACAAAACAAAACCTTCAGGATCCTAGGCTTTCACAAAACCAGAACACAGAATGAGACTGGGTCCCTGAATCTGCTTGGAGGTGAGGTACTCAAGAAAGCTTGAGTTTTATGCCCTCATTAACCGGATGTTAGTTTTCCTTTTGGACTGGCCTCTGATGACAGATTGCTCTTATGCACGAAGGCAAGTATAGGATTCAACTTCGTTATGCAGCTTTCCCCAACCAGAAAAAAATCTTGCCTTTAACTAGCAGAAGGGATCAGGTAATTCTTTTTGAAAGAATTCTTTTGAAAGAATTTGCATGCTAGAATATACTTCTGAGTGTATAAACTCTATACTGGTGGCCTCTAGCCCTTGGAACCCATGGGCCACAGGTAGAGTGAATCATGGCTATATGAAAAACTTGACCTATGGCATGGGCAAGGGAAGGGGAGAAAAGGGAAAGTTGAAAGGGTGGGATGGGTGAGGGTGAGGGAACACTAACACTTGGAGGGGACTTATCGATATATCATGGCCTGTGTTGTCTGTTTTCCATAGCAACCCAATGGGACAGGCGTCAGCCTCTCTTTATATAAAGGCAAGAGAACTCAGGCCCTGGGAAGTTTCACTGATTCAAAAATATGGAGTAAATGAATAGTAGAACTGGCACTAAAGTAACATAGAGAGGGGCATCCCCAAGTATAAGAAATACAGAGAGATCAGAGATACAGGAAGGAAAAGTAAAGAATAAAAGAGAAGTGGTTGGGAGTGGTGGCTCATGCCTGTAATCCCAGCACTTTGGGAGGCTGAGGCGGGTGGATCACTTGAGGTCAGGAGTTTGAGACCAGTCTGGCCAACATGGTAAAACCCCGTCTCTACTAAATACAAAAATTAGCTGGGTGTGGTGGTGCATGCCTGTAATCCCAGCTACTCTGGGAGGCAGGAGGGTCACTTAAACCTGGGAGATGTAAGCTGCAGAGTGCTGAGGTCGTGCCACTGCACTGCAGCCTGGACGACAAAGCGAGACTCTGTCTAAAAGAAAAAAAAAAAGAAGAAGAAGGAAAGAGAAGAAAGTGGGGTGGCGAGGGGAGCAGTGCTGGGTATGGGCCCCGGGTCTCAGTGGCACCTCAACTCCAGCTACTGATTCCTCTTTTTTCTGAACATATTTTCTCTGTACCAATGCCTGCAACTCAAGGAAATTGCTTGAGCTGTTTTTTATTCACCAGGACACTTTGTCCCTTAAAGACACGTTCAATTAAAGAGTTCTAAAAGTATTGCATTAACAGGAGATATCCAGTCTTCTTTTATTTTTCATCACCAAAATGACAAAGACAGAATCAAGCACCATTAGTGCTGATATTTCAGTTCATGTAAGTCTTCATTAGAGCTCTTTAATGTAACCATTTAAAGAGACATCAGCTTTTCAGAAAAACACTCTGAAAACAAACTTAATGAAGTCATTTCTACATAATCTGGAAGCAAAAATGTCTTTTGTGATTGAATTTCCTTTTCCGACATATTGACTAATGTCAGATTATTATGTGTCAGTGAGCTGAGCAAGCACATACTTTGCTCTGCATTGATATCTGTATATTCTCAAAGGATTAAGATGGCACAAGCTGGGAGGAATGACATTAAATTTAATTTCTGCTCAAGCAGAGGAAGAGTGCAGTGTCCTTTTTCTTTGCCAACAATTCTGGTTTTTAAAGATACATGCAGTTCCTAGTATTTGCTGGGATTTTATACCCAAAGAGGTGGTATTGAGGTGATTAGCCTTACCCACTGCTATTAACACCTAACACCCTCTCATGGTTTCCTAGTGAATAAAACCTCAACTTCTTGCCTTGATCTACAAGGCTCTGAATAATCCAGCTACCTCCTACCTCCCACCTGTCCAGTCTCAAGCCTCTCTCCTAAACTTACTAGGCTCAACCACAGAGGGCTCCTCTCAGTTCCCTGAACATTGTTCACCTCTTTCCCATCTCATGGCCTTTGCACTTACTCTTTTCTCAGATTGGAAGGCATCTCCTGAGGTTCTCTGCATCACTGACTCCTCGTTCTTCAGGTCTCAGCTCAAATGCTGCTTCTTCAGAGAGGTGTTTTCTGGCCACCCTATTGAAGGTAGGGCACCATGATCTCACATCCTTTTCCCCTCTATCACACTGTTCTGTTAATTTTTGTAAAAAATGCTTTCTGGTTCTGTTCATTTTTTTGTGGCACTATAATGTAAATTTATTTTAATGAATTTACTTTTGCTCCAAGTTTACAATGAGAAAAGGTCTAGTTGGTCCCTCAATGTGTAATTACGACACTTCGAATGGATCGATTGTGTCTGTTTGGTGTAAGGCGAGCTCCAGAGCCTGGCACATTATAGAAGTTCAATAACTACTTGTTGAAAGATTGAATAAATAAAACTGCTGGTATAATAAGATCATGGCTTTTGATGAGCTTGCAGGATCTTAGAGGAAGAGAGAGGTGCTACAACACTGAAAATGGGAAATTCACATGAAAATTTTCAAAAAGTAAAATCAGATTTCACAAATCATAAATTGGTGAATTTAGTGGAAATTCCAGGTAAGATGCTAAGATAATTTATAACATTTTATACAAAGCAATGGCAATCTTTAGGAATCAATGTAAATTCTCAAAGAGCACTGCTGGTTAAAAAAAAACCTATGCTTTTCATAAAATTTATATATTAGACTGCACTAGAAAGATTAGGAAGATGTTGAATCTGGGGTTTAGAATGACACTCTAAAATAATGCATCACCTCAGTTCTTAGGAAGCACATGAGGCTTGACTGATGTGACAATTTGGTGATAATATCTTACTAATTCTTGCTTATTCAATAATTTGCAGCATCTGGATAAAAAGATGTTTGCATACTTGCAGATCACATGAATCTGAGAATAAAAAATAAGTTGATTTTTAAAATATCAACATTTAAATTGATCTTATTAGATTGAAATGATTTGCTGAATCAAACAAAATTAAGTGTAATAAAAGTCAATATAAGTGCCTGAAATCAAGTCTAAACATTCATTGAGCAGATACAAGATGAGGAATTTTTACTTAACACTTACCTTTGTGTGCAGGGCAGG
This sequence comes from Homo sapiens, assembly GCF_000001405.40. NCBI lineage: Eukaryota > Metazoa > Chordata > Mammalia > Primates > Hominidae > Homo > Homo sapiens. The sequence continues at coordinate 62,989,969 of NC_000008.11, read as the reverse complement.
GAATGATAACCTTATGGCTCCAGGTTAGAAAGGTTTGATGGGAATGAACAAGGTAATGTGATTGCCAAAAAAGCTAATTAGATTCCTATTTACAAAGCACTCAGAGAATTCATGATGTCATAGGTGTATTTAGGGTTCAATGTCTAATAATGGAAGTAATACTAAATTTCTTAGGGTGTAGAAAGACCAATTCTGCCAAGTAGAACCAACATCTTCCACAGAGTAAATGTTCAATAATTATATATATACATATTTTTCTTTTTATTAAAAAATGTTTTTTCGAGACAGAGTCTCCCTCTGTTGGAGTGCAGTGGCATGATCTCAGCTCATCGCAAGCTCTGTGATTTGGCTTGGCTGTGTCCCCACCCAAATCTCATCTTAGATTGTAGCTCCCATAATTCCCACATGTTGTGGGAGTTATAGAATCATGGGGGTGGGTCTTTCATGTGCTGATCTTGTGATAGTGAATAAGTCTCATGAGATCTGATGGCTTTGTAAGGGGGAGTTACCCTACACAAGCTCTCTTCCTTGCCACCATGTAAGACATGACTTTGCTCCTCCTTTGCCTTCTGCCATGATTATGATGTCTCCCCAGCCATATGGAACTGTGAGTACATTAAACCTGGTATTTTTTATAAATTACCCACTCTCAGGTATGTCTTTATTAGTAGAGTGAGAACAGACTAAAACAGTAAATTGGTACCAGATGGTGGTGCACCTCTGTAAAGGTACCCGAAAATGTGGAAGTGATGTTGGAACTGGGTAACAGGTGGAACAGTTTGGAAGGCTCAGAAGAAGAAAGGAAGATGTGAGAAAGTTTGGAACTTCCTAGAAATTTGTTGAATGTCTTTGACCAAAATGCTCATAGTGCTATGGATGATAAAGTCCAGGCTGAGGTGGTCTCAGATGGAGATAAGGAACTTGTTGGGAACTGGAATAAAGGTTGTTCTTTACTCCAGTAAAGAGACTGGTGGCATTTTGCCCCTGTCCTAGAGATCTGTGGAACACTGAACTTGAAAGAGATGATTTAGCATATCTGGGGGAAGAAATTTTTAAGCGGTGACGCATTCAGGAGGAAGCAGAGCCTAAAAGTTTGGAAGATTTGCAGCCTGATGATGTGATAGAAAAGAAAACCCCATTTTCTGGGAAGAAATTGAAGCTGTCTGCAGAAATTTGCATAAGTAATGAGGAGCTGAAATGCTAATCACTAAGACAATGAGGAAGATGTCTCCAGGGCATGTCAGAGATCTTCATAGCTGCCCCTCCCATCACAGGCCCAGAGGCCTAGAAGGAACAAATGGTTTCCTGGGCTGGGCCCAAAGCCCACCTGCTGTGTACATCCAAGGGACTTGGTGCCCTGCCTACCAGCAGCTCCAGCCTTGGCTAAAAGGGGACAAGGTACAGCTCAGGCTGTGGCTTCAGAGGGTGCAAGCCCCAAGCCTTGGCAGCTTCCATGTGGTGTTGAGCTTGTGGGTGCATAGAAGTCAAGAACTGAGGTTTGGGAATCTCCATCTAGATTTCAGAGGATGTATGGAAACACCTGGATATCCAGGCAGAAGTGTGCTGCAGGTGCGGAGCCCTCATGGAGACCCTCTGCTAGGGCAGTGGAGAAGGCAAATGTGGGGTTGGAGCCCTCACACAAGGTGCCCACTGAGGCACTGCCTAGTGGAGCTTCAAGAAGAGGGTCACCATCCTTCAGACCCCAGAATGGTAGACCCACTGACAGATTGCACTGTGCATCTGGAAAAGCCATAGACACTCATAACCAGCCCATGAAAGCAGCTGGGAAGGAGGTTGTACCCTGCAAAGCCACAGAAGTGGAGCTGCCCAAGGCTGTGGGAGCCCACCTCTTGCATCACTGTGACCTGGACGTGAGACATGGAGTCAAAGGAGATCATTTTGGAAATTTAAGGTTTAATGACTGCCCCATTGGATTCCAGACTTGCATAGGGCCTATAGCCCTTTGGTTTTTGCCAATTTCTCCAATTTAGAACAGGAGTATTTACCCAATGCCTGTACTCCCCTTGTATCTAGAAAGTAACTAACTTGCTTTTGATTTTTACAGTCTCATAGGCAGAGGGGATTTGCCTTGTCTCAGATGAGACTCTGGAGTTGGGATTTTGTGTTAATGCTGTAATGAGTTAAGACTTTGGGGGACTGTTGGGAAGGCATGACTGTGTTTTGAAATGTGAGGACATGAGATTTGGGAGGGGCAGCGGCAGAATGATATGGTTTGGCTGTGTTCCCCACCCAAATCTCATCTTGAATTGTAGCTGTCATAATTCCCATGTGTTATAGGAGGGACCCAGTGGGAGGTTATTGAATCATGGGGGGGAGGTCTGTCACATGCTGTGCTCATGATAGTAAATTAGTCTCATGATATCTGATGGTTTTGTAAGGGAGAGTTCCCCTGGACATGATCTCTTCCCTGCTGCTATGTAAGACGTGCCTTTGCTCCTCCTTTGCCTTCTGTCATGATTGTGAGGCCTCCTCAGTCATGTGGAACTGTGAGTCCATTAAACCTCTTATTTTTTATAAATTACCCAGTCTCAGGTAGGTCTTTATTAGCAGTGTGAAAACAGCCTAATATACTCCACCTCCTGAATTCAAGGGTTCTCATGCCTCAGCCTCCCAAGCAGCTGTGATTCTCCAAGAATCAAGTGATTCTCATGCCTCAGCCTCTCAAGTAGAATTACAGGCACACGCCAGCCACCACACCCAGTTGATGTTTTTTTTTGTATTTTTAGTAGATACGTGGTCTTGTCATGTTGGCCAGGTTAATCTTAAACTCCTGAACTCAAGCGATTCAGCCACCTCGGCCTCCCAAAGTGCTGGGATTATAGGCATGAGCTACCACACGCAGCCAATAATTATATATTGAGTGCACTTTTAGTAGGACATAATTGAACTTAGGTCTTAAACAATGTGGAAATATATCTAGCATTCAAGATGATATAACCATTATACATGAAGAGCTCCCAAATCATATAAGCATGAAAGAGCAGGGGCAATGTTTAGATAAGAGCAAGAAAAAAACACGTTGTGTGTAAGAGACAAGGCTGATAACCTATGTTGGGTCAGATAATGGATGAGTTTATATACCAAGATGAGAAATTTGGATCTGAGTCTTTATCCTATTTCAAGATTTTAAGCAGGGTGATAAAACACGGCTCAGATTTCTTACTTTAGAAATATAATACTGAAAAGCAGAGTTTTGGGGGATGGGGGAGGGTCTAAGCTCCATGAAGAGACTATTTAATAAAGAGTACCATAATAAATGCAATGGCAGTGAGATTGCAGAGGAGGAGCAAAGACATGATTAAGTTATTGTGACACAGGCAAAAGATGAAAGAGAAGAAAAATAATATATACTAGTCTGTAGTTTAAATCATAGCTATGATTAGATTATAGGAACATCTAATATGTGTCGTGCTTGATGTCATTCACTTTGGTAGGGAGGGCACCATGTTTGAGAGGCTGAATAAGAGACCTGAAGCCAGTGAATGAGACACAGAGTTTATTGAGGGAACTTACATATGGGGCAGTCCAGTGATAGTGGGCTGGAGAGGAGGACTGCAACCACTTGTAAAAAGCATGCAGTTTATATGACATTTTCACTTATCACTGTTCTGCTAGCAACATCCACTTGGCAACATTCGTTTAACCCAAAACAAAGGGCCTCAATCTCCTGAATGGGCTGCGTTCCACAGGATGGACTAGGGGCTCAGATGTTCCTTATAGATAAGAGATGAATCTCCGGGTTAGCCACTCCTGGATTCTTTAGCACAGATCTCCAAATACACATTCTTCTTAAACCATAGGGTCATTCTTAGGGTATGCTTAAGTTGTTGCTATGAAATGTGTCTGCCATACAATATGATTTCCATTTGTCCAACGAGGCATAGGAATTCAAATCCTCATCCAAGGGAAAAGGCAGTCATATCAGCAATGTAAACTTTTCTTCTTAAAATTTGGCTTGTAAGTAGATAGACACTCTGAGACTAGACTATATTTCTACTTTGATAAATGGAAATGGAAAAAAAAGTATGAATTTTTATGTTGTTGTGCTTTCATCTCTAAGAGTAGAATCTGGAGTATGTCACTAAAACAAGCCTCCCTGCTTCCTTTTAAATAAAGTTGTAGAACTACAAAAAGTTGCAAAAGCAATACAGAAAGTTCCCATAAAAGTTAACAGGCTCCTCCCTTTTTTTTTTTTTCTGTGATGAATGCACTGTGAGGTGCTAGCAATTTGTTCAAGACAAATTCACTCACTGTTTTTGGGAAAGTCTGATCTGGGGATGGAATCCCAGTGCAAATGACTCAGGTCAGATGTTAAATGTTCTGTCAAATAATGTAAAGAATAAAGTGTTCTTTTAAATAATTTTTGTGGAGACTACAGTACTCTCATGTTAAGGGGATTTTACTCCCTGGCTGGGTTGTGGTGGAGGATGTTTTGATGACCTGTCTCAGAGGCAATGAAGAAGTCAAAAGTGGGCAGATCTCCTTGGGAGCAACAAGATAGAGGCAGGGGAGCAAGAAGAGTCTGATGGAGACCAGCCTGTGAAGGTGGATTCAGAATGTCTCTGGACTCATTGGTACCTGAGACCTACTTTAAGGTTTTCTTTTCTGGAGTATATTTACCACAAAACCTTAGTAACACTTGTTAGTTACAAAGGTTTGTTTCAACTTTGCTTGTGGAATCAAAAGAGAGGCCGAGTTCCTGTTTTGGGAAGAGGCAGGGTGGAGTGAGTGGCAGGGGTGAGATGTAATTGGAGTCAGGGGCATTGGTGGGGAAGCCCAGAGCAGCTGTCTGCAGTGGGCAGTGGCATCACCTGGGTACACTTGCAGAACATTTAAACGCTCTCCAGGGTTGCTCAGAAATTTCTAGGGGAGGGACCAGGTTTCCTATAGTCATGTAGCTTAAGACTTTTATTTGTGCATGAAATAGGGGGGTAATCCTCCAAAATCTGAAGAATTCAGGAACATTCAAGATGCATATGGTTTCTAAGTTTACTACAATAAATATATAATATAGTGAGAAAATGTATTAAAAACAGTAGTCATCTTGTACTTCAGTGTACATTTTTATTCATAGTTGAAAAGAATAGTCTATTACTGCTAACTTACTGTAAATTTACTTAGAATCAAAGGGTCCAGAGAGACATAAAAAATGTATGTAGTTTCTGTTAAATAACACTTTCTGATCACTTTCAAATATGAGTATAATATACAGGCATTATATGCACAAAAATGTAAATAGTAATTGTGAAAGCAAGTCTTGTTATCAGTTTGTATAAGAAAAAAGACATTTATTTTTTCACAGGCTACCAACATCATATAAGATAGCTCCTGATAGGCTTTGACTTTTTCAATTAATTCATCTCATAAGTCAAACATCTGTAGAAAAGAAGTTAATATACAGTGAAGTCACTACACAGTGTTATGGGACAGTAGAAATTCATATCAGTACAAAATATCATTCAAGATTTTTACATTGAATTCCAGTGTCAAGATCAAGAGACATCTTTGCTGGCAAGCAATCTAAGAATTATTTGAAGATTGAGAGATTTAAAAAAAAAATGATTTCTGCTGGTAAAAATGTTAAAGATTAAAAACATGTAGTAGAAATAGAAGGTACTATGTTCTTGTCTTTCTGTCCCTCTTACCAGCAACCTGTGCCTTTGAAATATAATGAAATGCCCTAGGTACTTCCAATATTTTCCATAAGATGGCAGAGTTGGTATTGTGAATGTGAGAGCAAACTCCCTTTAGTTCTGTCAGTCACAGCAACAAAAAGAGGCTTAGAGTCATTCTCACCACTTAAACATTGCTATCGTGCTTTCAATAATCATCATCAACATAATAATAAAGCAATAATATCTAGTTTTTAGAAACAATAATGAAAAACCCAAAGATGTGTCAATCTGCAATTACATCATGGTTACCCAGGCACTCCCTTTGAGCATTGCTTTTGATCTTTTACTGAGTTCCTTTAGTTGCCTAGTCTGTTAAGTTTTATTTAAACGCTAACCAGTCAAACTGGGTCCAAAGTCACCATTCTCAGATCACCACACATGTAACAAGAAAATGTCTGTTTGTATCACTGAAGCAAGCAGTGTTCATAGTTGTTTTTGATTGTTAGGAGCTGTAGACGTGCTCTTTTTAATGCAAATTCAGAGGTCTGTCAGAAGTGCTTTGGTTTGTATAAAATGGGTGACCGCAGTTCTGAAATGTTAGTCAGGTCCTGAGCAAGAGGGGGCTTATTTTGTCCATTTGCTCCTTCATCCAGAGCCCTAACTACTCAGATGAATGGGGCGGTCTAGGAGGACTTCAGTCTCATAGCACGAACAGGTGTTGGTTGCAGAGGGCAAATTCAAGGAAAGCAAATCATTGACCATGTGAAATCCACACTAGGATGTATCTCCTAAACTCCCTAAATTAAAATGTGAATTTGATTTGTTTTTATCACTCCCCAAGCTTTTTGCACAAGACAGATGGTCACTAAGTGTTTGTTGAATGCTTAGGGAGACAGAAGAGGGTTGCAAATGGGCTCTCCTTCATCCTGGGATCGCTGGGGCTCTGAAACTGGAAGAAGAAAAGCACTGGCACCTCCTATCAGAGCCCGGCTTGTGCAGAGCCCTATTGGGGATTTTCTTAGGGCCTTGAGGGTTAATACACCTCTTCACCACTGGACTAGGAGCTCCCGGTGGGTAGAATCTGTTTTTTTTGCTTTATATTTCTAGTGCCTGCACAGTGACTCACATACAGTAGGTACTCAGCAGGGGTGTTTTCAAAGAAGGACGCAACAATCATAATTTGTCTCCCAGTGGATACTGGCAAGTAGTGTGGCACGAAGGAGGTCATCTAATGCTGTCTCACCTAGGGAGCTAGTTTACCAAATGCTGGTATGGTAGCTACCTGCAGTGAAACTTCCAAGTCAGTAGTATCTTGTGGGTATTGTCAGTTTTACACACCGGAGAGAAAATTAGACTTATTCATGAATGAAGAAGAAACATGTCCCAGTTTGATATAAGCTCTACTATCAACAGACAGGAGATGAGATTTCCTTTTACAGAGTGCTGACAAACCAAGAATGTGATGGGAAGCAAGTTTGTTTTGAGTGTGGGCAAGATCTTGTGGAGGATGACAACTTCCCACAGAGAAAGCATGCCACACCCATGCTTGCTATAAATGCTTCTCTTTTCTGTGAAATATTCCTGGGATTTTGATAACTTTGGAACTGAAAAAAAATCTGGGCATTCTTCTAGAAGAGACAATTTGGCAACAGCTAGGTAAAGGAAAATTTATCAAAGGGGAAAATTCTAGAGAACTCATGTCAGGACTCACAATCTTGAAAATCTATTCATTTTTTTCCAGAGATAGCATCTCATTATACCATAGCTCCTATTCAGAACATGCATGAAGCATGTCTACAGAATTACTGACGCTTTGCCCTTTTAGCCATTTTGGAAGGAGAGGCGTTTTGGAAGACTCTAAAATATAGTTTACACAAATCTAATTATTTAACAAGACCATAATGACTGCGGGGCCACCACATATCGTTGTGAGGTTATGGAAGAAACAGAAACGCCACATTGAAAGGGCTCTCCATTCAAATTGTAGACATTGAAGATATGTATGGTTATCAGAAAAAGTTTTCCAGCAGATGAAAATAAGATCTTATTTAAGTAGAAGTCAATAATTAATAATTTCAGGACAGATGAAGGGGAAGTATCTGGAGAAAATGGTACCTGTTCTTAATTTATACTAATGAATTTTTAAATTGATAGTCTGAAATCATCATAATACAAATGAAATGCTGTTTTGTAAAGCAATACAGTGCTGCCTGCAGGCTCTTACCTTAACTATCCCCATAAAACTGTAGTTTAGATTTTTATATGAGTTTTCTATCTCTGTTCTTTTAGGTAGAGATAGTGTGTTTAATTATTGCCATTATTTCTGCTTATTTACATAATATCTACTATACCTTTCTCATTCTCTGTTTCTAATCTGTTATGTGCTTGAAAATTATTTCATTTAGATAATTCGAACTGTGTATCGTTAAGAGTTAATAGGATTTAAACAAAGGGTTAAAGAGTTTTTCTTTCTTTTCTTTTTTTTACTATACTTTAAGTTTTAGGGTACATGTAAAACTCAGGAGTTTTAGAGTATGGATTTTATAAAATCTATTGGGATAGAGATCTTTTTTTTTTTTTTTTCGGTCCTTAGTTCTGTTGTGGATACATAAGGTTGCCACACAGCAGAGTTCTTGTCACATTTAGGAAGTCTCAGAAAAATTTGAAAGGTAAGCTCACCTGAGAATACCATTTTTGTCTTTTTTTTTCCTACCTGCAATGGCAGAAATTCCTTAGTGCTTTCAGATCACAAGTTCTCAATGTGAGTTATCACTCCTAAGTTCCTACCACAGGATGAGAAAGAGCTTTGTTAGTCTGTGTCAGGCATTTTGCTTTAGGAACTGATGTGGATATTAATTCCTTTCAGTTTGGATTTCCCCCAAAGGAGGTAAAGGTATTTCAAAGTGTTAACACCCAAATTTTCTTTGAGTTATACAGGATTAAAATGGAATATCTATGTCTTTAAAAGAAAACGAGACATATTCTTATTACAGTTATCACGGGTGCTATTAATACTCTGGCCTTCTGGTAGAATCTGTCATCTAGCATCATAGATTTGCAGGGGCCCTTTAATGAAAACTCTCCATTTTCTTAAAGGTTGTAATTATTATGTAGCACTATACTTATAGATGTGGAAATAAGAGGCTTAGGCAGAATAGAATCAAGGAAGGTTGTAGATGGCCATGAGCACTGAACAAATGAGGAAAGAATAAAATGGGACCAGGAGTTATCTTCTCAACACTACCCTGAAACTGCCGCCCAAACTTCCTTTTTGACAAAGATTAACAGGACCAATGCAATTTAAGCTCTGAGTCTTCAGACCAAAGACTTTGTGGGCCTAGGAACACAAAGAGAAATTTACAGAGGGCCAGGTGATTTTGACTTCTGGGTAAACCTTAGATAATTTGAGTTCCATATTCAATGGCTTTCTCTGTGTTATTAAAAATTCTAACACCAACTGATTCTTAAAATCCATAACACCAAACAAGTGGCTTAAAATAATAAATGGAATTAATGAGCTTTGCTTGTGCCATAGAAACAAATTAAGCTAAGCATGCCACACAAATTGTCCAACATTCCATTCTCCACAGTTATTTCACTTGGTGCTCCAGACATTATGTTTTGCCTAAAAATATCATGTACAAGGAATATTTTTTTCTGGTTTAGATACATGTCAAAAATAAAAAGCTATATAATAGCATAAATATTAAAAGATATTAGTAGAAGAAATGGGTTAAATATTATGGTTTGTAATAACAAAACCCCTGGACAATGCAAAGAAAAGGCTGCACAACACAACGCAAGTTTTGATGAAGGAACCAGAAAGCTAATCAACATTTACGTATGTCGTACTCTTATTTGTATTATCATTATCTGAATACAGTAGAAATAATTGCAATGATTATGCTTGGTTTCATATCTGATAGATGGTCCTAGTATATTATCTTATAAAACTACATTGCATGCCTGCTATTTGAAGTTAAAAGTAGATTTGAGAAACCAGAAGGAGAAAAGAGCAATCCCCTTTAAAAAGAATTGTCAAAGAAATGATAGTATGTGAGGCAGTTAAAAAGTGACTTTAGCACTGATTTGCAAAATCAATTCCTTAGGAACAAAATTTTTAGAAGAGACTGACACCCAGCAGTTAAAAGTAAGCTATTTTCATGTTTGATGAAAAATCATCAGGAGGCTTGTCTAGGGCATGTGGGATTACATTTAAACCAAGAGTAAAGAAAGAAGGTGGCAGCCAGGACTGAGCTGTTCTGTCTTTTGGGAAGCAAAGAACAGTGATCTGAGGTCTAGGATTTCCTATTTGCCCTGAGAAGACAAAAGCAAAGATGAATAAAAAGCAAAGACAAGACAAAAGCTAGGCAAAGACCCACTGGAAGGTGGCTTTCTGATGCTCAGACCCAAGCAGAGGGAAGGCGAGGAGCAGGTAAGCCAATAGCAGGTGTCTTTCTGCAGCTGCCCTGTAGCCTTGATTAGCAGGGTCCAAACAAACGCAGGCAAAAAAGGCATTGAATTGTAGTCAACAACAAAGCCCTTGTCTAGTCAGGACTTGTTACAGCTGATGGCCACCAAGTGCAGAGGAAAGAAGACTAGACTGAGAGCTTGCATAGCAGCCCCAGTGGGATGGGACATGAAGCAAAACCACTGTAACTACCAGCCTCAATCTCCTCATCTGAAAACGGGGCAAATGGAATTGCTGAGGTCCTTTTCAATGCTAAAACTGTACTGTATAGAGAAAATGCCACATCGTATTAGACATATTATTTCTTTTAGCTTTCACTCCCCAAAATAATAATTTACCATTTATTGTTTAAAGAAATGGGCCATGTGGCACATTTTAGCAACGTGATTATTTAGAAAAGGGTACACTCGACTGTTGAAGTTTGATTGTGGATGTGTGTGTACATAAATAAGTCACCCAATCTTGTTTAAATCATCAGTGACAGCTGCCAGATTTGCAAACACTAGGTATTAGGAGAATATAACACTTTTCAGCTACTTCATGGGATATTGCTTAATAAGTAGAACCTGGAAGATGACTCTGTTTCTGTTTCACTGTCTCTGTCTCCTTGTCTCTGTTTCTGTTTCTCTCTCTCTTTCACACACACACACCCAGCCTAGGAAGAATATGCAATAAAATATAATTACAGATTCCCAGGCAAGATGGCCGAATAGGAACAGCTGTCTGCAGCTCCCAGCAAGACCAACACAGAAAGTGGGTGATTTCTGCATTTCCAACTGAGGTACTCGGTTCATCTCACTGGGACTGGTTAGACAGTGGGTGCAGCCCACGGAGGGCAAGCAGAAGCAGGGTGGGGCATTGCCTCACCTGGGAAGTGCAAGGGGTTGGGGAACTCCCTCCCCTAGCCAAGGGAAGCCATGAGGGACCATGCCGTGAGTGGGGGTGCACTCCGGTCCAGATACTACGCTTTTCCCATGGTCTTCGCAATCCACAGACAAGGAGATCCCTTGGGTGCCTACACCACAAGGGCCCTGGATTTCAAGCACAAAACTGAGTGGCCATTTGGGCAGACACTGAGCTAGCTGTAGGAGTTTTTTTCGTACCCCAGAGTTGTCTGGAATGCCAGAGAGACAGAACCATTCACTCCCCTGGAAAGGGGGCTGAAACCAGGGAGCCAAGTGGTCTTGATCAGTAGATCCCACCCCCATGGAGCCCAGAAAGCTAAGATCCACTGGATTGAAATTCTTACTTCCAGCACAGCAGTCTGAAGTAGACCTGGGATGCTCAAGCTTGGTTGGGGGAGAGGTATCTGCCATTACTGAGGCTTGAGTAGGCAGTTTTCCCCTCACAGTGTAAACAAAGCTGCCAGGAAGTTCAGTCTGAGTGGAGCCCACTGCAGCGCTGCAAAGCCACTGAAGCCAGACTGCCTCTCTAGATTCCTCCTCTCTGGGCAGGGCATCTCTGAAAGAAAGCCAGTAGCCCTAGTCAGGGGCTTATAGATAAAACTCCCATCTCCTGGGGACAGAGCACCTGGGGGAAGGGGCAGCTGTGAGCGCAGCTTCAGCAGACTTAAACATTCCCACCTGCCAGCTCTGAAGAGAGCAGCAGATCTCCTAGCACAGCACTGGAGCTCCGCTAAGGGACAGACTGCTTCCACAAGTGGGTCCCTGACCCCCATGCCTCCTGATGGGGAGACATCTCCCAACAGGGGTCGACAGACACTTCATACAGGAGAGCTCTGGCTAGCATCTGGCAGGTGCCCCTCTGGGACACAGCTTCCAGAAGTAGGAGGAGGCAGCAATCTTTGCTGTTCTGCAGCCTCTGCTGGTGATACCCATGCAAACAGGGTATGGAGTGGACCCCCAGAAAACTCCAGCAGACCAGCAGAAGAAGGGCCTGACTGTTAGAAAGAAAATTAACAAACAGAAAGCAATAGCATCAACATCAACAAAGAGCATGACCATGTAAACACTCCTTCCAAAGGTCACCAATGCCAAAGACCAAAGGTAGATAAAGCCACAAAGATGAGGAAAAACCAGTCCAATAAGGCTGAAAATTCCCAAAACCAGAACGCCTCTTCTCCTCCAAAGGATCACAACTCCTTACCAGCAAGGGAACAATACTGAATGGAGAATGTGTTTGACAAATTGACAGAAGTAAGCTTCAGAAGATGGGTAATAACGAACTCCTCAGAGCGAATGGAACATATAGTAACCCAATACGAGGAAGCTAAGAACCTTGATAAAAGGTTAGAGGAATTGCTAACTAGAATAACCAGTTTAGAGAATAACCAGTTTAGAGAAGAACACAAATGACCTGATGGAGCTGAAAAACACAGCACGAGAACTTCATGAAGCATACACAAGTATCAATAGCTGAATCGATCAAGCAGAAGAAAGGATATCAGAGACTGAAGATCAACTTAAGGAAATAAAGCATGAAGACAAGATTAGAAGAAAAAAATGGAAAAGGAATGAACAGAACCTCTCAGAAATATGGGACTATGTGAAAAGACCAAGCCAACGTTTGATTGGTGTACCTAAAAGTGATGGGGAGAATGGAATCAAGTTGGAAAGCACAATTTAGGATATAATCCAGGAGAACTTCCCCAACCTCGCAAGGCAGGCTTAGGAAATACAGAATACAAATTCAGGAAATACAGAGAACACCACAAAGATACTCTTTGAGAAGAGCAACCCCAAGACACATAATCGTCAGATTCACCAAGGTTGAACTGAAAGAAAAAATGTTAAGGGCAGCCAGAGAGAAAAGTTGGGTTACCTACAAAGGGAAGCCCATCATACTAACAGCAGATCTCTCTGCAGAAACCCTAAAAGCCACAAGAGATTGGGGGCTAATATTCAACATTCTTAAAGAAAAGAATTTTCAACCCAGAATTTCATATCCAGCCAAACTGAGCTTCACAAGTGAAGGAGAAATAAAATCCTTTACAGACAAGCAAATGCTGAGGAATTTTGTCACACCAAGCCTGCCTTTACAAGAGCTTCTGAAAGAAGTACTAAATATGGAAAGGAACAACCAGTACCAGCCACTGCAAAAACATTCCAAAATGTAAAGACCATCGACACTATGAAGAAGCTGCATCAACTAATGGGCAAAATAACCAGCTATCATCATAATGACAGAATCAAATTCACACATAACAATATTAACCTTAAATGTAAATGGGCTAAATGCCCCAATTAAAAGGCACAGACTGGCAAATTGGATAAAGAGTCAAAACCCATTGGTGTGTTGTATTCGAGACCCATCTCATGTGCAAAGACACACATAGGCTCAAAATAAAAGGATGGAGAGATATTTACCAGGCAAATGGAAAGCAAAAAAAAGCAGGGGTTGCAATCTTAGCCTCTGGTAAAACAGACTTTAAGCCAACAAAAATCAAAACAGACACAGAAGGCCATTACATAATAGTAAAAGGATCAATGCAACAGGAAGAGCTAACTATCCTAAATATGTATGCACCTAATAGTGGAGCACCCAGATTCATAAAGCAAGTTCTTAGAGACCTACAAAGAGACTTAGACTACCACACAATAATAGTGGGAGACTTTAACACTCCATTGTGTGTATTAGACAGATCACCGAGATAGAAAATTAACAAGGATATTCAGGACTTGAACTCACCTCTTGACCAAGCAGACCTAATAGATATCTACAGAACTCTCCACCCCAAATCAACAGAATATACATTCTCCTCAGCATCACATAGCACATTTTCCTAAAATCGACCACATAACTGGAAGTAAAACACTCATCAGCAAATGCAAAAGAATGAAAACCATAACAAACAGTCTCTCAGACCACAGTGCAATCAAGTTAGAACTCAGGATTAAGAAACTCACTCAAAACCACACAACTACATGGAAACTGAACAACCTGCTTCTGAATGACTCCTGGGAAAATAATGAGATCACAGCAGAAATAAATAAGTTCTTTGAAACCAACAAGAACAAAGACACAATGTACCAGAATCTCTGGGATAGAGCTTAGAGGGAGTGCTTAGAAGGAAATTTATAGACCTAAGTGCTCACAGGAGAAAGTGGGAAACATCTAAACATCTAAAATCTAAACATCTACAATCAACACGCTAACATCACAATTAAAAGAATTAAAGAAACAAGAGCAGACTATTTCAAAAGCTAGCAGAAGACAAGAAATAACTAAGATCAGAACAGAACTGAAAGAGATACGAAAAACCCTTCAAAAAATCAATGAATACAGGAGATGGTTTTTTGAAAAGATTAACAAAATACTTAGATGGCTAGCCAGGCTAATAAAGAAGAAAAGAGGGAAGAATCAAATAGACACAATAAAAAGTGATAAAGTGGAGATCACCACTAATCCCACAGAAATGCAAACTACCGTCAGAGAATATTACAAACAACTCTATCCAAATAAACTAAAAAATTTAGAAGAAATGGATAAATTCCTGGACACATTCACCCTACCATGACTAACCCAGGAAGAAGTTGAATCCCTGAATAGACCAATAACAAGTTCTGAAATTGAGGCAGTAATTAATAGCTGACCAACTAAAAAAAAAAGCCCAGGACCAGATGGACTCATAGCTGAACTCTACCAGAGTTACAAAGAGGAGCTGGTACCATTCCTTCTGAAACTATTCCAAACAGTAGAAAAGACAGACTCCTCCCTAACTCATATTTTGAGGCCAGCATCATTCTGATACCAATCCCAGGCAGAGACACAACAAAAAATGAAAATTTCAGGCCAATATCCCTGATGAACATCTATGTGAAAATCCCCAATGAAACACTGGCAAAAGAAATGCAGCAGTACATTAAAAAGCTTACCCACCATGATCAAGTCAGCTTCATCCCTGGGATGCAAGGCTGTTTCAACATATGCAAATGAATGAATGTAATCCATCACATAAACAGAACCAATGACAAAAACCACATGATTATCTCAATAGATGCGGAAAAGGCCTTCGACAAAATTCAACCCTCCTTCATGCTAAAAACACTCAATAAACTAGGTATTGATGGAACATATCTCAAAATAATAAGAGCTGTTATGACAAACCCACAGCCAATATCACACTGAATGGGCAAAAACTGGAAGCACTCCCTTTGAAAACTGGCGCAAGACAAGGGTGGCTTGTCTCACCACTCCTATTCAACACAGTATTAGAAGTTCTGGCCAGGGCAAACAGGCAAGAGAATGAAATAAAGCGTATTCGAATAGGAAGAGAGAAAGTCAAATTATCTCTGTTTGCAGATGATATGGTTGTACATTTAGAAAACCCCATTGTCTCAACCCCAAAACTCCTTAAAGAGATAAGCAATTTCAGCAAAGTTGCAGGATACAAAATCAATGTGCAAAAATCACAAGCATTCCTATACACCAATAATAGACAAACAGAGAGCCAAATCATGAACAAACTCCCATTCACAATTGCTACAAAGAGAATAAAATACCTAGGAATGCAACTTACAAGGGATGTGAATGACCTCTTCAAGAACTACAAACCACTGCTCAAGGAAATAAGAGAGGACACAAACAAATGGAAAAACATTCCATGCTCATGGATAGGAAGAATCAATATTGTAAAAATGGCCATACTGCCCAAAGTAATTTATAGATTCAATGCTATTCCCATCAAACTAACATTGATTTTCTTCACAGAATTAGAAAAAACTACTTTAAATTTCATAGGGAACCAAAAAGAGCCCATATAGCCAAAACAATCCTAAGCAAAAAGAACAAAGCTGGAGGCATCATGCTACCTAACTTCAAACTATACTACAAGGCTACAGTAACCAAAACAACATGGTACTTTTACTAAAACAGATATATAGACCAATGCAACAGAACAGAGGCCTCAGAAATAACACCACACATCTACAACCATCTGATCTTTGACAAACCTGATAAAAACAAGCAATGGGGAAAGGATTTCCTATTTAATAAATGGTGCTGGGAAAATTAGCTAGCCATACGCAGAAAACTGAAACTGGACCCCTTCCTTACATCTTGTACAAAAATTAACTCAAGATGGCTTAAAAACTTAAATGTAAAACCCAAAGCCATTAAAACCCTAGAAGAAAACCTAAGCAATACCATTCAGGACACAGGCATGGGCAAAGACTTCATGACTGAAACACCAAAAGCAATGTCAACAAAAGCCAAAATTGACAAATGGGATCTAATTAAACTAAGGAGCTTCTGTGCAGCAAAAGAAACTATTATCAGAGTGAACAGGCAACCTACAGAATGGGAGAAAATTTTTGCAACCTATCCATCTGACAAAGGGCTAATATCCAGAATCTACAAGGAACTTAAACAAATTTACAAGAAAAAAAACAACTCCATCAAAAAGTGGGTTAAGGATATGAATAGACACTTCTTAAAAGAAGACATTTATGCAGCCAACAAACGTAAAAAAAAATCTCATCATCACTGGTCATTAGAGAAATGCAAATCAAAACGACAATGAGATACCACCTCACACCAGTTAGAATGGCGATCATTAAAAAGGATACAACAGAGGCTGGAGAGGATGTGGAGAAATAGGAATGCTTTTAACACTGTTGGTGGGAGTGTAATTTACTTCAACCATTGTGGATGACAGTGTGGCAATTCCTCAAGGATCTAGAACTAGAAATACCATTTGATCCAGCAATCCCCTACTGGGTGTATACCCAAAGGATTATAAATCATTCTACTATAATGACACATGCACTCCTATGTTTATTGCAGCACTATTCACAATAGCAAAGACTTGGAACCAACCCAAATGCCCATCAATGTTAGAACGGATAAAGAAAATGTGGCACATATACACCATGGAATACTATGCAGCCATAAAAAATGAGTTAATGTCCTTTGCAGGGACATGGATGAAGCTGGAAACCATCATTCTCAGCAAACTAACACAGGAACAAAAAACAAACACTGCATATTCTTACTCTTAAGTGGGAGTTGAACAATGAGAACATATGGGCACAGGGAGGGGAACATCACACACCAGGGCCTGTTGGGGAGTGGGGGACAAGGGGAGGGATAACATTAGGAGATATACCTAATGTAGATGATGAATTGATGGGTGCAGCAAACCACCATGGCACATGTATACCTATGTAACAAACCTGCACATTCTGCACATGTATCCCAGAACTTAAAGTATATATATGAAAAAAGAATGTAAATAAATCATAGAGAATATTGGCAAATACTCAAGATCTGCAAAGGAATTTTGGGGTGGATTTATTCACCACTGTCTCATGTGTATAATCTGCCTTCACAAATGTCAACTGAGAAGCACGTAAATAGACGACGAACTTGATTCAGAGAGAGACAAAAAAATCTTGGGAAGTTTAATTATTGATGTTAGTATCACTTTTCTATTTGAAAAACTAGGAAGATAAAAGACTGGCATTTGATGTATCAACATACTCAATCTGGTGGTTAAAAATAAAAATAAAAAGTCATATTTTGCCCCCCAATATATACATATTTATAATTACAAAAAATTTTATTAATTCCCTCACTTGTATATTTTTTTGGACAATTTGAATACTCATTCCACTTCAGCCGATATTATGTTCTTGAAGAAAAAGAGATGAAGGGAAAAACAGGTCCAACTTATACTGAGAGAAAATAAGAGAAAAGATCATATACTTCTTATTTATCTCTCGTACTCCTGACTTCCCAAGCACTGATGTTGATTATGTACTTGTTAAACTGAATAACAAGAAAATAACAACACTACCAATCAATTCAGAAGAGAAGGCCCTACCAAAATAAAATAGCCAAGTGTTATGACCATAGAAGAATTAATTTATTGTGGCAGCACAATGAGGACCAAGCAAAATGTTAGATTGGCTCTAGAATTTTAAACTCAATTCTAGAGAAGAAAAGCTAAACCTGTCTGCAAAATTATGGGAAACCTAGAAGGATGTAGTGCTACTGATTTATTTTCATTTCTTTCTAACCACAAAGACAAGATAAGGAAACAAGATGAGGCAGAAATTCTCATTTCACATACTTGATGATTAAATCTCTCACAGTACTGAAGAATATATGTACATTTTTTCTAGAATGTGTTATAAAGTACTACAAATGAAAACACTGTTCCAAGAAATCATGTCAATTAGTTTGAACTGTGTGATTGAAACTGCTAAGTATGATTTTATAAATATTTTTCCTTCTTACTAATAAATGAAGCCCCCCCCGCTTTTTTTTTGAGACAAGGTTTGGCTCCATCTCCCAGGTTGGAGTGCAGTGGCATGATCTTGGCTAACTGCAACCTCCGTCTCCCAGGTTCAAACAACCCTCCTACTTCAACCTCCCAAGTAGCTGGGACTATAGGCACACACCGCCACAGCTGGTTTTTGTATTTTTTGTAGGTATGGGGTTTTGCCATGTTGCTCAGGCTGGTCTCGAACTCGTAAGCTCAAGTGATCTGCACGCCTTGGCCTTCCAAATTGCTGAAATTACAGGCATAAGCCACCATGTCCAGCAAAGCTCTTACTTTTTAGTTAAGCATAAAGTCATTAAGAATAAAGACTATAATACCCAGGTTTCTTCACTGCAAAGTTGGGGGTGGACCAAGTTTTGGCTAATGAGATGTAAACAGAAGTAGTGTGTGTATTTCTGAGGCATATCCTTAAAGGAAAGAAACATTCCTTTTGTTCCTTCTCCACCTCCAAGGCCAGAATACAAAACCAATGGCTGAAGCTTCAGCAGCCATTTTGAGTCATGTTATGGTCTTAAAAATGGCGGCCACAGAGGATGAAGCAATGAGAGGAGTCTCGGTCCTTGTCTCTAGGGAAATCACATCCGGCTCTTTGCTGACTGTCTCCAGAATTTCGAAATAAAAAGAGAAATAGACCTCTATGTTATTTAATCCATTGTCATTTTTCTTTTTCTGTTACTTGTAGGTAAACCTAATCCTAACTAATATAGACTAAGTTGTCTGCCAAAGCAAATTCTATGAGAAGAAATGGATAGATTATTGGTTTCTTTGAACTGTTTCTAAATAACTCTGAAGAGGAAAGGAAAAACATGCCTTACATGGAAAATGATTCAATGTTTTTAGTCAATCAAAGAAACAAGAACAAAATTCTGAGTTAAAAACTGACTGTTCAAATCCCAATTAGGTGACTTTCAACTTTGGATTCTTCCTTCCTGTCTCCTTGTCCATTCCCTTTCTTTCTCTTTCTCTTCCTCATCTTCTCTCCATTTTCCTCTCCCTTCCTTTCTACCTTCTATTCTTTTCTTCTTTTTACTTAACTTAGCTCTCAAGTTTAAGCTAAAGCATATTTTGGATTCTTTAAATATTTCAGTTTTTAAAAATGTTTAGCATTTAACATGATTTTTACCCTTTATTTGAATGCAAGTTCAAGAAAGATGATTCAAGTTTTGCCTGCCACCAAATTTTTCTACAAATACCAATATTTAAGAAGCTGTATCCACCTTCAAGAAGTGGCATTTTTCTTTTTAGTCTTCAATAAGAAACTAAGCTTTTTCAGATGAAAAAGAGATGCTACCCATAACTTTTGAATTTTTTGATAATTCCATTTTTTTGAGAATTCTTTATTGATAAATACCTTCTTCTAATAATTAAAACATATCTACTTATCTCTCTCTCTTTTTAGAGACAGGCTTTTGCTGTATTGCCTAGGCTGGAGTGCAGTAGTGCACTCACTGCAGCCTCTAATTCCTGGGCTCAAGTAATCTTCCCTTCCCTCAGTCCCTCAAGTGGCTGGGGTCATAGGTACATGCCACCATGCTTGGCTAATTTAAATTTTTTTTTAGGTATTTTTTGTTTATTTGTTTGTTTTTGTAGAGATACGGTCTCACTATTTTGCCCAAGCTGGTCTTGAACTCCTGGCCTCAAGTGATTCTTTCATCTCAACTTCCCAAAGCTTTGGGATTACAGGCATGAGCCACTGTGTCTGGTCATCTGTTCCCTTTCTAAATTGTTCACTGTGCAGTTATATGAAGAGTACTTTCCTCTGTCAGTTCACTTTTGGGCATAATATCCTTAAGTTGTGGCCTATTTATCACAAATATTTCAACATGGTTCTTAGACACTTCAACAGACCTTCTATCAAACAAAGGTTACAGATAACTTTTAAATTAGATGGAAATAAAACCGCAGGCATTCAAGTTGTTATAGTTTTAAAAGAGCAATTATTTATATTTTTCCTACTTAATTCAGCTATACCTGGAAAGAACGTATCTTGGGCAAAAATGTCAAGTTAGAACATTTGCATTCTGATCAACTATGAAATTTATCCTAGTTACATACTAAAGTGACTCAGAAAAAGTAAGTGAGGATTTGCTTAAAAAATGATTAGCCAGAATAGACCATATTTGGGGACACAATTCGTTTTAAAATTAGGTATGAAATGAAGATTTGTTTATTCTTGGCAAGATTCCTTTTTAATTTGCAAAGATTGAAAAGAGAAATTTTGGTTTTTGCTTCTCAAATTAGCAGAGTCATGATTGTTTTCTTCAGATTTGCAATGTACATTTTAGCTAGTTTTAATGAAGACAAATTCTTCTCAATCAGGAGTTTCCCATTCATTAAGTGAGACAGATGACAGCCTTGGTATATTTTGTTAGAGCCAGCCTCTTGAAACTGGCTGCCTCCCTTATTTAGGTCTATAGGAATAACAGGGCTTATTTTTCTGAAGGAAAAATCAAAGAAGTCAATATTTTGCTAGGGCAAAGTGTCGAGTATCTTCAAAACAAATGAGCCAACCACCTCCCAGATTTGAAGTGGTAAGAAAGTGTGTTTTCATTTTTCTCATTTGAGGGACACATACCCTCACTTTATGTGGTAGGTGGAAGGCTAAGATACTTGGGGATATACACATTTAGAGATTTTCCTAAGAGATGTTTGAGATTTCTCTGATGTGTGCTATTCCACAACCCAAGACATTTTGTGTCCTTTGGTAATTCTCTAACCCTCCCTGTAACTCCCTTGCTTAGATTTTGATGGCTTTGAAACATGACCAGAAGCTCAAATAAAGAAAAAGTAAGCTCGAAAGCATCCCAGCTTCCTGCGGTGCTGCACGAGGTCAGCAGAAGACGCTTAAGAAAGGATGCATCATTCACACAAGATAGAAGGCACGGCCTGAGGAAGGGCTGGCCAAGGTTTACAAGACTCAGTGCTAAGGTGGCTCCAAGAGGAAAAACACTGGCTTTAAATGTTCACCATTCCAGTCAGCACTAGAAGCTAAAGAGCAGTGGATGTCCTATCTTCAGTTTTGCCAGGGCCACTTCTGAGGAGAGCTATTGAATCTAGAGCTGCACCATCTCTTAAGATAGTTAAGATTCTGACCAATGAATGCAAGCTAAGGGATGCATTCATTTTCCCTTACTCTGACCAGACACACAATTGCATATGGAGAAGCTGAGGTTTGGCAAGAACATACAGTGCATGTAGTGACCATGTCTTTGCTGAAAACCCTACTGGATACGCACAATGCAGAGTGCATTCTATAAGACTGGAGGCAAAAGCAATAACTGCAAATGCTCATTTCCATGGAACAGTAACTGTGACAGTACTTCATTGGAATTACCCAGATTAACGGGTAATTGCCAAGTATTACTGTACAACTCTGCACTTCTTTTTTTCCCTTTGTCTTACAGAAGCATAGCCCTCAAAGAGAAACCAGGAAGATGAAAGGCAGGGAGAAGAAAAGAGAGAAGAGGAGGTGGCAGATCAATCTAACTTGTTTCTGATGAGTGGCAAATATCCAGAATGTTAGGACAATCTTTATGGATTGCTGAGGTTGGAGATTGAAACAGTTATAACTTCATATTTAAGTGAAGAAAGATTAAAAATGAAAACATATACACCATATTAAATAGTTGCCTACATTGAATATTCATAGACAAATCACTAAGGTAAGGATTTTTTCCTCAAAGCTGTTATCTGCACTTAGACTAAGTTCAGACTCTGCAGTGCCTACTAGAACTATGTACAAATTCACGTGAAGATAAAATAGAAACAAAATTTAGTATGGTTCTATTTTGTGAAATGTTAACCACATTTTATTTGCATGTGTATGTGTGGGGGTAATTAAGTGACAGTTTAAAATATGTCAATACTCATTTTATCCTTTTTTACTGACTCTCTACAGTTTTGATGTTTTATCAGCTTTTTCAATAATCGTAACAATACTAACAATAATTATTGGCATTAGTTTTGGAACTTGAATATTAATGTTATTTTTAAATTAAAGCATTTTTTAGTTTATTTCAAATCATTTAAACTTGGGCAAGGTTTTCCCAGCTGCTTTTTAAAAAACAGAGTTTGTTGTTTCTGTGGGCTCTTCATAGCGCTTGAGTGGAAAGCAAGAGCTCCAGACAGGGTACAGAGGAGTGTTTTGACATTATTAATAATAATCACCTCCTTTAATTGTGGAGTGCTTCACTGTGTACTGAGAATTTTTTTACATTTTTCGTTAAATTCTCACCTCACCTTTGGGAGGTAGGGATCATAGTTCCACTTCATTGATGAGGAAAACTGTAGTGCAGAGATGGCAAACACTGTCCAAGAACATGGTGGTGGATGGGACCCAAACCCCAACTTTTGCTCCCATGTTCTCTGTCCACTGGCTATGGCTCTTGCCCCTGTGTACAGATACAGGCTCTGGACAAGTTCACCAAATCCCTTAGGCTTCAGCCCCCTCATCTGCAGAATAGTGGCTTGGATTCCACCATCTTCAAGGTCCCTGCCAGCTTTTCTTTATTTGAATTTGGATTTATTAAGCAGAAAAAAAAGTAATGGGAGTTTGTGGGTACCAATGGATTAAAGGGGTAAAATCTGGAGGCTAGTGAGTAAATTAGGTCTCCAAATGGCTCACTGTGGTTGTGATGAGCTTGGAGGAATGAAGGCAAACTTTGTCACATTAAACTCTGATTCTTAACAGAGTCTCATGAAACCTATAGGCTCCGAAAGAAGAACAAGAAGAAAAAAGACTTTCACACACATACAAATATTTGTAACAGTTTTAGGTGGTTAATAGACGGACTTCTTAGAGATGCATGGGCTGAGTTAATAACCACATATTCACAACTTTCTGGCCTATAGGGAGCTTCACTGTGGTCGTTACACAAAGTGAGCAAAACTTATTTTCATATAAAAAATAGTGATTGAGAAGTGTGGGCAAAAGTGATGTGAAAAGTGTATATATTTTATATTGAGAACAGACCAAATTATCAGTGATGATGAAAATTAGCACAGTGGTTGTCTGTGAGAATGTAGGCATTGCCTGAAAGAGGGCATAAGGGAATTTTTTAAAGTGACGGAAATGTTCTGCATTTTGATTGAGGCCTTGGTTACATGGGTATGTACATTTTTCAAAACTAATCAAATCGTACCATTAATATTTGTGCATTTTACCATATGTAAGTTTTATGCCAGTTAAAAAAATACAACTGTGATGCGTTTTCAAGACAGTCCTTTTTTCCACAGATAATTGCTTCCCATATCATTTTCTTGGTTATTGGGAAGGGGTAGGAGAAAGAAAAGCTGATGTTGCTCACACGTGAATGTCTCCTTTAGAAGTATTTATAGAGAATGCTACAGCATTTTCAGGCTTCTTTTGAATATCCTAAGAGAAAAGTTCCTGACTGCAGGTCTATGTTTGTGATTTCTGTCCCACAAGCCCATGAGCTGTATGTTTAGGTCTGACAGCAGTGTCAGGAATGGAATAATGAGTAGAAAATATGGACCTCAGAGACACCCATATTCCCTCCAAAGGGGAAAGGGGTTCTACTAATCCTTTTACTCTTCCATGTGCCTACATATATATATATATCAGGAAAAACAAGATATGCACGAATCTGAAAATTTAGATTGCCATAATATCGTTCTGGGTTTTAAGAAGTCAGGAACAAAGGAGGACTCCATGTTTTGTTTTATGCTGTTGAAAAAATGACCCATATTCAATCCAAAAGCTGGATCCATTATTTGTACCTATTTATCAGCTGTCACAGGGTCTACCTTGGTGGCTGATAACCACAGGTAATGTCTGCTAAAACAAATTCATCAGGCCTAGAATAACTTCAACAGTCAGCAGTGCTGACTTAACATCTCCACAGCACACACTGAGATTTCTCTTAGAATTGACTGTAGAAGGTTTTCACAGATTTGCTTTTTCATTTTGCATGCCTCACATTAAATATTGTTAAAAATTTAAAACCAAATTCTGTTTTTTCTTTTTTTTTTTTTTTTACAACTTACAAGTGTTCATATAAGAAGAAAACGACTAAAAAAATACCCACCCAAGCACCTAGAACTCATCTAGAGAACAATGCTAATAATACAAAGGCTGTGACCAAAATGCTCCATGATTCGTGGGAAAGCCAGGAAGCACAGTCTAGCCTCTGGAAGGAATGTCAGGCGGGTCGGATCCACCGAGGCGCGCAGTCAATGGTCCTTTGCTCCCTAAGTCAAGTTCAGCAGCCGCATTTCTGGTTCAATGTCATTACTTATTTCGACCTAAAACAGAAAATACGAATTGCTTTCAAGAACTTCAAAGCTGACAGCTAAATATCTTTTATATTCATTGAGGCCTTTTGAAATGCAAAATAGCTCCTGGGTGCACCTGGTGCTGTCTGACTGTAGCAATAAGAAAGTTAAAGACTTGGGCCTTCCTGCTTTTCAGATTAGGGCATGGTAATCGGGCATCATCATCAGAGTTCAGGATGATTTCCTGGGAGAGAAGTGCCAACCACACAGTAATTGTTGTGTGATATGGAGTAGTCACTATTGCTTTTCTTAAGGGTAAAGATAACAGGGTAGTGTTGTGTGCGCAAACTATGAGATATTCACATAGCCTGTTCTTTCTACAGTATGCTGGGTAGTTAAGTGCTCAAGATCATCCTGCTCTTGCTTTCATAACACCCAATCATTGACTTATGTTCCTTACACACATCCCATCCTGTGATGGCTACTTTTATGTGTCAGCATGGCCAGGCCATGGTGTCCAGATGTTTGGTAAAACTTCAGTTTACCTCTCGCTGTAAAGGTGTTTTTTTTTAAATTTTTTATTTTGAAAAGTGATTAACACGTAAATCAGTAGACTTTGAGTAAAGCAGATTGCCGTCTGTAATGTGGGTGGGCCTCATGCAATCGGTATAAGGCCTTAAGAGAAAGGACTGAGGTCTCTTGAGTTAGAAGAAAGTCTGCCTCCAGACTGTCTTTGGACTTGAGCTGCATCTCTTCCTTGGGTCTCCAGTCTGCCAGCCCCCAGATGCACGCATGTGTGGGGAAGCACACACACACACACACACACACACACACACACACACACACTCTCTCTCTCTCTCTTTCTCTACTGGTTCTGTTTCTCTGGAGAACCCTGACTCATACAGATCCCCATCTCCAATCACTGTTTTCTCCACACTTTTGACAATGACTCTACTTATTCTATCCTAAGCTGTAAGCCTTTGGAATGTTAGGGCATCAGTTTCTGCATCTTTGCACAATGTCAACCTCAACACAGTACCTACTACATAGATGATACTTCATAAACATCTGTTGAACACTTTTGCTCTCACAGTTTCTCTCCTATGAAAAGTCTTAGCTAATCCAAACCCTACTCAACTTTGAATGTTGGCTGAAATTTCTTCTCTACTGTGAAGAAGACTTCCAGTTCTCCCTCAGCCATTTTGCTTTCTCATCCTGCTAAGAGCAACTCTCAGGCTATCAGCTCTTCCCCATGTCAGCTGGTGGCATCCAGGCCTCATGATTAATTACTTTACCCAGGCATGCAAGTTTTCTTCCTTCAACTAAATTATAAGCATCATTCCAACAGACTGCGTTTCACACTCACTTCATAACCACATCTAGCAACTTCTTTTCCTCTACTTCAGTTTGATGACTTTGTGCCTTGGAGTGAACTCTTTGGTTATAATTTGGAATGGCTGAAAAATTTCCCAAAAGTTTTACTTTTTGGTTGCCACTCTTCTCGCTGTACAGCATGAAGAAAACGACTAAAAAAATACCCACCCAAGCGCCTAGAACTCATCTAGAGAACAACTCCCTCCTGCACGCCCCAGGAGTGGGAATCCTCCAGGCCTCTCCCTGTGCCCCATCACATTTCCTCTGCTCATCTATTCTCTACATTCTGAATCTCAATGTCTACCCTTTCTACTCCTTGGCATGTTAACAGGGATTTAAACTAAAAGAGAAAGGGATGGGATTATAATGGTGGAATTTTATAGCTTTATGCAATCTTTACGTTAGAAGGAATTTTCAAGGTTTATTTATCCATCCAATACATGAATCCCTTCAAGAGTGAGGATAAGGCAACAGGAGAAGGTGTTTTTCTTTGTTAGCAGTAGTGTCAGTGAGGGTTTGGGGGAACTTGTAGGTATCCATTACATTTATCTTTAACACCAGCTCTGCCTCTAGCTAATATTTTCTGCTTCTGGGCTTTAGCAACATGGATTGGTGAAGCAGTGAAACAGGCTGAGCCTGTTCTTATGATGTCAGGTAGGAATTCTGGAAGTGTTACTTCAGGAGCTGGGAAACATGTCTGTGGGGAGTTTTTGCAGAAGACAGTGAGGCAACTCTGAAAGAGGGCATTCAAAGGAAAACCTATTGGCAAACCTGTGTTAGGTTTTATTAACAGATTGAATTTTAAAAAATCAAACAGGGTTGGGCACAGTGGCTCACGCCTGTAACCTCAGCACTTTGGGAGGCTGAGTCTGGTGGATCACCCGAGGTCAGGAGTTTGAGAGCAGCCTGACCAAAATGGTGAAACCCCGTCTCTACTAAAAATACCAAAAATTAGCCAGGCGTGGTAGCAGGCACCTGTAATCCCAGCTACTAGGGAGGCTGAGGCAGGAGAATCCCTTGAACCTGGGAGGTGGACGTTGCAGTGAGCTGAGGTCATGCCATTGCACTCCAGCCTGGGCAACAAGAGCGAAACTCCATCTCAAAAAAAAAAATTCAGACACAAAGATAGACAGAATAGTATTATGAATCTCTACGCATTCATCACTCAGCTTCAACTAAAATAAAAGTTATGCTATTAAAGTTTCACCTATCAACTAGCACCCCCCACAGCCTTTTTTGGCTAGAGTATTTAAAATCAAATCTCAACTATTATATCCTTTCATTCATATCTCCATGCGTCTCTAACTCAGTGATTCTTAACCAGTCGACACTTGCCAGTATCTGGAGACAGTAGTGGTTGTCACAGTTTGGTAGGGAATGGTGTTACTGGCATCTAGGCGGTACAGGCCAACAATGCTGTTAAATATCCCACAGTGGCACAGACCCACTGCAAAGAATTACCTTGTCCAAAGTCAAAAGTGTAGAGGTTGAAAGAACCTGCTCAATTGGTAAGAATTTCTTTTCTTCTTTTTACCTATTCATTAGCATACCTATCAAAATTGACAAAAATTTCTTAATATCATTTAATACTCAGCCCATAATCACTTGCTCCAATCATCTGGAAATATCTCATTACAATTGGTTTGTTGAAATTATGCCTTATATGTCTGGCAGCATCACTATGAAGTGCATATATTTATAATTTTCACTAATAACAAGGTAAATATAAAACTGATTAATTAAAAATCTTTCATAAGAATTCAAAGGACACAGAATTTTGTGAAATGTAGTATTTTTACTTAAGTGTCTTTTTTCTTTCTATTTCTACCCCCAGTCTATTATTTCATAAACCAGTGGATACATAAGTAGTTTCTTGGGGGATAATAGATTACTTACACATTTTCTATGTAGTAAACATGTATGTGCATGTGTGTGGGTGTGTATCCAACTATTTGTTGGAGTGATTCCTATCGTTGAGAACTGCCTGGGCCAAATTTATGCAAAAATCTACATTTTTGGGTAAACTCCCCATGACTAGAGTAACTTGCCCCAGTATTTGAGAATTCTTCATTTCCTAAAGCTGTACAAACATCAGATATCAATATTTGTAAGCATCGATAATGTAATTTATAATGAAATTTCTTTCTCATCTAGTAATGTTAACCATATCAAGATGAAGATCATATAGCCTTATAACTCATTTGTGCTATTCCATTTTCCTCTTTTCCTTTTGTTTTCACTTCCCTTGTAATGTGAGTCTGTTAGTACTGATTTCTGAAGAGTTCATTTATGACTAAAGATGTTAACATTTTGTCAAGAATTGCAAATATGTTTTTTTCTCATTCATTTTATTGTGGTGTTTTATTTTTTGGTTATACAGAAGTTGTGTTTTGAAATATAATCTAGTTCTGTTTTAAAAAAAGTTTTAAAACCAAGCAAACCACATATACACAATGTGTTTGACTATTGTGTCTCTTTAAATCAATAACAGTTTCCCTTCCTTTCTTCTTCTTCTTCTTTTTTTATTTGCTTTATACTATTTCTCACATGCTAGATTTGGCTGATTGCTTCCTTGTGGTGAGATTTAACTATTCTTGTATTTCTATAGTATCAGTCCAAGGTCAGGCTTGACTTTATGGCAAGGCATTCTATAGGTGGTGCTGTGCACTTCTTATTGTAGCACATCTGTGGACACAAAATGTCTCGTTGACCCACTTTTTTTTTTTTTTTGAGACAGAGTCTCACTCTGTCACCTAGGCTGGAGTGCAGTGGCACTATCTCGGCTCACTGAAACCTCTGCCTCCGGGTTCAAGTGGTTCTCCTGCCTCAGCCTTCCAAGTAGCTGGGACTACAGTCACGCACTACAACTCCTGGCTAATTTTTTTATTTTTTGGTGGAGACAAGGCTTCATCATGTTGCCCAGGCTGGTGTCGAACTCCTGACCTCAAGTGATCTGCCCGCCTCGGTCTCCCAGAGTGCTGGGATTACAGGCATGAGCCACCATGCCCGGCCTGGTTGTCCCACTTTTAATGATGCTATGATTGATCAATGGGTCTGCATAGAATACTTCGATTTTGGGGATCCTTGAGATCATCTCCCTCTTTCTTTCTCTTTTTCTCTCTCTCTGTTTGCAGACGTTTGTAGATATGTTAGTAGTTACTTAAGGGTAACTGCCCTCAAGGCAGAATGGAATCAAGTGTTTCTTCTGATAGAACTGTAAATGTTTCTTTTTCTATTGCTTTTCTAATCACTTGTGTGTGTGTGTGTGTGTGTGCTTTTTTCCTGCGTATTGTGTAATCTTTCCTGTATATTGTTTCTTCCCAGAACTTATCATAATATGGGGATTATAAATTTTTTTGATGTCAATATTAAGTGCAAAATATGTGTATTTAACATAAAATTTGGTTTATATCATTGGCTTTAATTTTAAAATCAGAGGATACTTTCTCTTGGAAACAGGGCAAAATGACTTTTTTTATGTTGTTGATTTTTTTTTTCAGGGGTGGTGGTGGACTATATCTCCACATCACTGCATAAATCTATTTTCTTGCCATTGAAATCAATGGCAAATACCCAGCAAAGTTCTGAGAAAGTCAGGAATTGATATTCTCCCTGGAGGACACTGTTCAGATATGGGCTTTCTGATTTTGGAAAAAGGCTTTATGTGCTTCACAAGGAAGCATGAGAATCAGGCTCCACAAATTTTAGGGGCAGAGAGTGAAGTCACATGTCAAAGGAAATGATCTGTGTTTCCTTTGACACGTGACTGGCCACTGGTCACAGCAAACCCTCTTGCATGTTGCCAGTTGCACTCTTGGCATCATTCCGTCCTAATAAAAACAGAGGTGCACTAACTGGATACTACGGTGATAAGTCTGAACTGCGTAAGCTATATACACACAGCCATTTCACTGCTACATAGTCAAATAAGTATATATCAGGATGTGTTCTTACAGTAGTCCATGACATGGTACAACCATTCTTATGATGCATCAAAAAGTTATTAATGTCAGTGACAAAGGGAAAGAGGTCCAAAGCTAGAGAAAGCAACGAGTCCTGAGTGCCACTGCATTGGTGCTAAGTAAGGCAGGCACACAAGGAAGCCCATCTCTCCTTCGGGACAACTAAGAAGGTGCTGAGTGCTTTACAGCTGCAGTGCTCTTGAGACAGCCCAGGAAAGTTAACGCCTCATGAAGTCCTTTCCATTTCCAGGGACTGATGGTAAGCCTCAGGGAACGGGGCTCCACCCTTAGTAGTGGGAACAGTGAGACAGCCACTGATAGGAGCGGATCACAGTCACCTTATAGTCACATGCCACAGAAGAGAAACAGCATGCAGAATTTGACATAGCTCAGTGCGTGCTCTATCTGGATAAATATAAGATGTGAAGGCTAATTAAGGACAAATGAAAACAGTATCAAGACAGAGTTATTCTATTCCTCTTTAGGTGCCTCCAGCTGCAGTTTACTAACACATGGCTGGTGATTGCTGGTTTTTAAATCAAGGTTTGAAAGCACATTACTCCACCTTCCCAACTCCTACACACACACACACACACACACACACACACACACACCCTGATTTGTCCTACTAGCTGGTACTTAATGTTGATGCTATAAATGCAAAATGGCCTGACATCAACTTACATATAGGGGTACTAATGCAAAACAGCTGTTCTCAGGAAAGTGCAGAGAGACGTGACCACCTCTGCATCTGTCCTACAGCCTGATCATCAGAGGTGGGTTTCCTGTGTACCCGGATTGTCAGAGACAGAAAGCAGGCAGTGAAAGTACCTGCAGAGCTCGCTGCAGGGCTACCCTGAAATAGGGATTGGCCTTGGCTGTCTTCTAGTACCTAGTTGCAATAGCAGCCACTCAATCAGCAGTGGCCACCTAGCATGTAGCAATTTTTGTGAAGAAAAATTAGCCTCCAGCAAAGGCAATCAGACAAGTTAAGATACCAAAGAAAACAAGTTTTCCTTTGGAAGCCTTAGAAAAAGATTTGCTGAAAGTTATGGGGGAATCTCAGGTCAGCTTTTCTCATCAAGTCTTTCTTAACTGCAGTCATAGGCATCATCCTCATGGAAATTTCTAACATAATCAGATCTAGCTCTACCTTTGCTGTAGAAGTCAGTTCTGGAATTCCAGCTGCTGTCCTTCTTTGATAAACTGCCTTGCTCTAATTATTTTTATGTGAAGAATTACTGCTACATGGAGCTTAATCTTCCCGGTACTCAGTTGCTAACCATTTGGATGGAAATACACCAGTCATGATTTTGACAAACTTCAATTTAGTTGCTCACTATGTTGTTCTCTGAAATTCCATATCTCTTTGATAGCTGTATATGTTTATGCCATGCTATTTTTCTTCCTGAGGGGTAAATCTGCTTTTGCTAACCCTCTTCTCCTGGTGTTACTGCTGCCCCTACTGTAAGCTGATGTGTAGGTATCCTTTTCAGAGCCACTGCTGCTGACCACTGGGTTCTGGGTTCTGATGATAAGAGCAGTCTTTACTCTTTCCTTTCATTGGTGGTGCTGTCAGTGAGTGGGGGTGGTGATGGAGTAGATCCCGGTGGAGACTCCATGGCAGTTATGGTGAGACTTATACCTCCCTCGATAGCAGTTGTGGTAAGATATTGAAACCCAACACGGATGACTCCTGACCTGTGTATCACATGTCCCCAGGCCAGACCCAGATAACCACCACTGAAAGCATCTCGATAGCTTTAGGCATAATGGTGGAGCCCTGGCTGCTGCAGGTCTCTTAGGGTCCTCACCGAGAGCTGTCAAGACACCTGCTCTGCTTAAGCCTCTGCTTCCTATCCGTTCACTCACTTTATACGAGAACTATGGCAAACATGAGATTAGGGAGTCATGAGCTTCAACTTTGTCTTCTGTAGAACGGCCAAGCCAATCAGCCTCCATGCTGGGGATACCCGTTTTCTTGTGCTGCTTTTTTTTCCCCTTAAAGACTTAATATTTTAAGAGCAGTTTTAGGTTCACAGCAAAATTGAGAGGAAGGTACAGAGATTTCCCAAATGCTCCCTGCCCCTGTTCCTGCCCTCACACAGCCTTTTCCATTATCAGCATTCCCTACCAGTGTGTTACATGTGTTACAATTGATGAATCTACACTGATATAGTCACTCGAAGCCTATCGTTTACATTAGGATTCACTCTTGGTGTTGTACATTCCATGGGTTTGGACAAATGTATGCTGAAATATGTCCATCATTCCAATGTCATACAGAGTAGTTCTACTGTTCTAAAAATCCTCTGTCTTTGCCTATTCGTGTCTCCCCTCCCGCAACCCTTGATCTGTGTACTGTCTCCATAGTTTTGCCTTTCCCAAAAAGCCATATAATTGGAATTATATAGCATGTAGCCTTTTCAGTTTGACTTCCTTCATTTCATAACATGCATTTAATGCTCCTCCATGTCATTTCATGATGCCATAGCTCATTTCTTTTTAGCATTAAATAATCCATGGTATGGATGTCCCAGAGTTCATCCATTCACCTACGGAGGACATCTTTGTTCTTTATCAAGTTTTGGTAATTATGAATAAAGCTGCTATAGGCCGGGCGCGGTGGCTCACGCCTGTAATCCCAACACTTTGGGAGGCCGAAGGGGGCGGATCACAAGGTCAGGAGATCGAGACCAACCTGGCTAACACGGTGAAACCCCGTCTCTACTAAAAATACAAAAAAATTAGCCAGGCGTGGTGGCGGGCGCCTATAGTCCCAGCTACTCAGGAGGCTGAGGCAGGAGAATGGCGTGAACTCAGGAGGCGGAGCTTGCAGTGAGCCGAGATAGTGCCACTGCACTCCCCACTGGGTGAAAGAGCAAGACTCCGTCTTAAAAAAAAAAAAGGCTGCTATAAATATCGGTGTGTAAGTTTTTGTGTGAACAAAACTTTTTAGCTTCTTTGGGTAAATACCAAGGAGCTCGATTGCTAGATCTCATGGTAAAAGTATGCTTAGTTTTGTAAGAAACTGCCAAAGTATCTTCCAATATAGTTATATTTATTCTGCTTTTGATAAATTGTGTCATCTTTTCAAAGTAGCTCAATTGTTATTTCTCAGGGAAGCCTTTCCTCGCTAAGCGAGAGTTAACCATTCCCCCTCCCGCATAAAATTTCCTTGGGGATAAATATTGTTTTGCATCTACCCTTTCTATGTAGATCTCCCCTCCTAGATCATTGGCTGCTAAGGGTCAAATCTCAAGTATCATTTATCTTTATATCTCTAGCACTTAGGCTGTGCCTGTTGTGCACAGTGTAGGCAATCAATCAGTGATAGTAAAGTGAATTAAACTGATTGATGTAATCAGTGGGCTTTTTTTTAGCTTGATATCATTACTTTAAAAAGAAAGAAACAAAACATGAGAGACCAAATCCATATGTGAACCACCTTACCCCTATCCCAACCCCACTTCCCCTATACACATTCCCATACAATTTGACTGTGGACACTTGAAAGGTGCACTTTGTGGTTATGAGCAGTGACACACTCAAACATGAGAATTAAGGCTTCCTGTACAATTCTGCAGTATTACCTAGGAATGAGCTGTTGGCTGGAAACTCTGCATATGGAGTTCAAAGCTACCTGTTCACATACATGTACCTGGGAATATGCTAAGGATTCTTCTGATCCCCTTATTAAAGTGGCTTCCTCACAAAACCTGGCTTTCTACTTCACTGTGATAAAAGAGGCTTAATGAAAGTCAAAGCCAGCATTCATTCCCCTCTCTAACAATTTCGCACAGAAGGTTGGCTTTTTCTCCAAGCTGTTGCTGGGTAGTGATATGGCATCATTGGATTCAATGGAATTCAATATAACGGGCTTATTAAAAGAAATCAAGTAGATTGACAGAGGCAGACTGGATAAATGCTGAAATATTTGCATACTGGTGAAGAGTACAGATACTGACCTCTTAAATTGTTTCATGCACAATGATTTCAATTCAGTCTTAGTTTGATTTTTAGATTTTTGCTTCCTTCATGGTTGAAAGGCATTCCATATTCATCTGACATGATAATATGCATAATCTGTCAAAGCAGAAGCTTGTTCTATTGCTTTCTGTAGAGAATAGCTTGTAGTTTATGCTATATTCAGCTATCCACTGCTAGGTCAGCAGTGAACAGGGGTGCTGAGAAAACCCTTGGAGCAGACAGTGGAGTTGATCAAAGCCTTTTAGGTGATCTTAAAAGTATGTTTTGGGTGTTTTTGATTCACAGAGATGGAAGTGACTTTAGAGAACATAAGTGGAAGTCACTTGCCTCTGGGCCATGCCACAGAACACCCTTTTGAGGTACATAGGTACATGGGCGTCAAGTTTTTGCAAATCATTCAAGAAGAAAATTTCATTATCAACATTTATCAAATGGAGTTTTTAATAACTTTCCCTAATAGAAGGATCTCTCTTAAATTGCAGCATTTTTCATATTGCAATTTCTCTGCTGAGTTTTTTTTTTCACAGTGGAGATGAAAGAAACCCTTCATCATCCTCTTATCACATAACAAATATATGAAGACTCTTTAAGTCACCACTAGGCATTGTCTTAGTTCTTTTCTCACTCCCAATGCACTAATCATCTTGATTATTGTCACAATCCCTGACAAGTTCCCCATATCTACAAACATCAACTTTTGGAACATATCCTTTATGAGCACTTAGTGATATGAGTAATGAGGTGGTGACTGCTTGGTTCTGGAGTGTTATATAGGGTGAATGTTCTTTCCAAATTGGATTTGCTTTAAGAAACCAAAATTTATTTAAACATCTATCATGTGACAGGCACAGTGCTGATTTGTGTTTCCTGTGAGCTATGTTTACTTTAGATCATTCTGCCAGAATAAAGTTAATTCAACCTGGGGAGGTAGAGGAATCAGTGTAGCCTTCTCAGATCTTCAATCCTCACATATGCTGGGTGAGGGAGCTGCATATTTGGGTAAGAACCACTGTGGCAAAGAGGCAGCAGGTGAAACTTTTCATATGTGTTTATTATACAAGCGACTATTTTACATAATTTCTTCTATCGCCATCAAATTACAGAACACTGAGCTGAAAGAAAAAAAGATCATCTGAGCAAGTCCATCATATCAGGTTGGGTGATGGTTTGCTACCCAGGAAAGATCTCAGCTCCACAACTTACTAATAGTGGGACTTTGAGAAAGTTGCCTAACCTCTATGAACCTCAGTTTTCTTATTTATAAAGTGGGAATATTAATTAGCACATTGCAGTGTTTTCATGAAGATTTAGTGAGATAATATATGCAAAGTGGTTAGTGTATGATAGCTATTATTAATTTATACAGTTTTATATGTGCTACTTGGAATTTTCTAGGAATGGAGTCACCCTATCTATTTCCATGTTTCCTAGTATTTTATTAATTAGGTGACTTAAGATTTCTTTCTTTTACTCAACTGAAATCTCACCAGTTTTAGGTGGTTTTGTTGTTGCTGACTTCCTTTCATGTCCTCTAAGAACATAGAAAACTTGTTCCTGAACTTGTTAGTCAAATGTTTGAGTACTGGGAAGAGTAATAGGCAGCTTTACATATATCATACACACATTATCCAATTTAATCTATTTCCCCCCTGTGAAACCATAGTATGGTGATAGAACAAGTCTCAGAGACACTGAGGAAGGCACCTGGATGTCACATGGAGGACCTGGATTCACTGCAGGTCTTTCTCCCCTTTTTACTTTGCTGTGCTGCCCCAGGACACATATTCATTCTTTACTTCTGCAGATTAAATAATCTCATTAAAAAATGTAGTTACCAACTATTGATAAGGGGAATAAGACAGAACTATTGTTTTTGAAATATAAATCATGTCACCAGCTTCAAATCCTTTTTGGAATGAATAATAATAATGATGATGTTGGGTTACATGTGAAAGGTGTGTTTTAAATATGAGTGGAAAATTAAACCAATGATTAGTAGTAGTAGGTTCAAATTATTTCACTTTTGGTTAGTTTTGGCTGAGTTAGAAGGATTAATATTTTCCATATCATCACACCTTTACTTACTGGTTTAACAGGCTTTAACTCAACATGATCCTGGTAGTAGGAGTGTGTATCAAGTCCACCTATGAAATCAACTGAAAATATAACATAGGCCATATGAATAAGTGTGTAAAAAATACACATAATACTAATGTTTAAAATAGAATGCATAAGAGCAAAGTTAACAAAAATATCCGTTCACCATAAAATGAAAAAATGTTTAGTAAAAAGGACTACTAAAAATATTGTCAATGAGCCAAAAAGAGGAAATTTAAAAAATACAGAAATAACCTGGATTCATAGGGTCTGAAAAATAAGTTGTTATTGGTTTCAGTAAAAAATGAAGTAATATTAAATAGCATGAGATTTTAAATAATGTGTTTGTCCTTAGGCATACAGACATGCCCTTTCTCCCTATATATCAAAAGATATACTGTCTCCTCTTGCTGCTAGAATCCTTTTTTTTCCTTAAGAATATGTATTGCATCATTAGAAAGGCATTTGAGAAGCCACACAATCTATCTCCAATGCCTTCTGTCCCCAAGCCACTCCCCAAAAATCGGCATCTGCCTTTTGCAAAGATTTTGTTTCCTCCCTAATGGCAGAGTAACTGGCTGTCTGTATAGACTTCTCATTTTTGTAATATTCTTTCCAGTTTCTTTTGGTTTTGATCAAAGCCTCAATCTTTTCTTCTCCCAATTCTAATGTACACGTATGATGTTTGTTTCTCCTGTTTCATAGTCCATTAAAGATACTAATTACTTTAAACCAAGCTTTGGTTGCATTATAGCACTCTAACATTAACAGGCATACAGGCATGTAGGAAAACTGAACTCTCAGGAGTGTGTGTGTGTGTGTTTGTGTGTAAATGCCAAGCAAGTTTGCTAAATGGAGGATATGTGTAGTATATTTTAGCCCAAATATTTTCCCAGATACTGTAATTTTGCCTCCATACAGAGTAGCATTTTTTTGGCAAAAAATTCATAAGACAAAACCCATAAATAGTATCTATTTATGATTCTTTTCACCAAATATAGACACTACAAAATTGTAAGACTTCTCAAATCAACTTCTATTCCTTCTGGTGCAGAAAATACAGTTTTCCAATTAAAAACTGGGGCTCCATTCTAAAATGTCTTTTCTCAAGTCAAGATATCTCAAAGGGAAATTATAAAATTAAAAAATCAATTCTTGTGCAACATTTTGAGTTCTCATTTGTCTTCCTTTGCTTTTGTGAGGAGATATGTCAATGTTTTCTGTAACCTTTCAATTATTGCAATTTATGAAGAGTTTTGAAAGTTTTTTTGGAGGTGCTTTGGTTTGTTGAATAATCAATTTAAGTTTTTCAATTGATCTTGAATGTAACGCAACTAAAATGTAGAAGATTCATTTATAAAAATACTCACAGACATTGTAAGAAACTTAGGTTGATTTACAAAGCAGTTCTTCAAAGGTCGAAATAGTCAGAACTCAGATTGATGAAGGGAAGGGAAGAGAGAAAATGTACATTCTTTCATGATGAATTTCTTTTTGTTTTCAACATTAGCCTCATCACAAAAATATTCTATTTTATTTACTCTAAATATATAGATTTTGAAAACACTTTGAATTTCTGTTTTCATTGGTAAAATAGTGTGGCTTTATTAGGATGCAGTTGTAAGTTTCCTGTGCACTTGAATTCCAAATACAGTTCTGCTTCATGTATTTTTTAACTTAGTAAGAATATTTTTTGTTTTTTTTAACCCATATGTTGTACTTCACAAAAATTGTATTGTATTATTTCCACAAAATAAATATATTTATCTTTAATATTTACTACTTAATTAGATTATGACAGGATTTAAAATAATATCAGAGTTTTACCTTGGACAGAATGAACATCTAAAAGGCTTATGCTTGCTGGGCATGGTGGTTCATGCCTATATTGCTAGCAATTTGGGATGCCAAGTTGGGAAGATTATTTGAAGTCAGGGGTTTGAGACCAGCCTGGCCAACATGGTGAAACCCTGTCCCTATTAAAAATTAAAAAATTAGCTGGGCATGGTGGCACACACCTCTAATCCCAGCTACTCGGAGGCTGAGGCAGGAGAATTGCTAGAACCTGGGAGATGGAGGTTGCAGTGAGCTGAGATCATGCCACTGCACTCCAGTCTGGGTGACAGAGGGAGACTCTGTTTCCAAAAATAATAAAAATAAAATAAATAAAAAATGAAATAAAATAAAGGCTTATGCTAAGCCAGGTGCAGTGGCTTATGCCTGTAATTCCAGCACTTTGGGAGGCCAAGGTGGGTGAATTGCTTGGGCTCAGGAGTTTGAGGCCAGCTGGGCAACAATGGGGAAACACCGTCCCCATTAAAAAAAAATTCAAAAATTAGCTGGACGTGGTGGCATGTGCCTGTAGTCCCAGTTACTTGGGAAGCTGAAGTGGAAGGATAGTTTGAGCCCACAGGGCAGAGGCAGAGGTTGCAGTGAGCCCAGATTGTGCCACTGCACTCCAGCTTGGGAAACAAACTCAGATCCTTTCCGCAAAACAAAGCAAACAAACAAACAAATTTAAAAGGCTTATGCTAATTCTATGAACTGGATTAAAAAATTAAAATTATTTAAATAATTTAATTGGTGTTCTGTTGAAAGCATTTGATAAACTAATGTAATTCCAGTATTATAAACTGGTATATAAGACTGATATCATTATTTTAACTCTGAGAAATTCTTCTTCTCCTAATGTGTCAGTGCATTAACTTACACTTCCAGGTGCTCTCCACTGACCCTACCAGCTGGATATGGTGGGAAGAGGTGCTGGTAGGAGCTGTAGATTTCAGTGCCTCTCACACACCCACCTGAGACTGGAAGGTGTTAGCCATCTCCACTACTCCTATCCAAGTACATATCTTTATCAGTGACCAGGTTGCATACTGCCCTTGAAAGGAAGGTGCTAGTTATATTGTGTCTTTTAAGTTTTGGAGAAAAGAGAGTGGTATTGTTGGTTTTCTTACAGATTTAACCATACAGTTAAAAGAGAATTCTAAAAAAAAAAAAAAAAAAAAAAAAAGGATTCTGTTTATTGCTCATGCATCTCGCATACCTTGATAAGACTATGGTAGAAATGGAAAGAGTTGTCTACGTGGCCATTCTAGATTTGCCTAATACAACTATTAATAGTAATATTTCATTTGAAAACTAAAAAATGTAGGACAAAGTCTAAACCAGATAAAGTGCCAGGGCAACTTGTGTAAGCAAGGACTGTTTTAACCAAATTAGGACATCTGGTTCCTGCAGTTGATGGCACTATAAATCAGCCACACCTTCTATGTGTTTTTTCTTTTCTTTTTTTTTAAATTGCTATTTGTTTTCTTCTTTCTTTTTAAACTGTTACTTGTTTTTTGGCTATACCTTCTCTGCATATCAGAAACCTAGCATGATGTAAATGTTGTAAACTCTAGAAATAATATATCACATATAGGTAAAACTTAAATTATCAAGATTCTAGAACTAGACAAGACTACAAAAAATTTAACTATTAAGGAGGAATCTTTGAAAAGTAAGTAATAAAGAAACTGAAATATCAAGAATTCTTCATGGATGGGATAGAGCAATGAGTCTTTTTGGCCACAGAAGCCACCAAGTCCTCAAGGTGAGGATGTTTTCATATTAAAAAACAGTTTGTCATGCATGCATCAATACCTTCCATTTGCTAGAGTGGGATGAGAGCTCAAGTAAAGGGGCAAATTAAAGTGTACACAGAGGGCGAGTTTACAGATTCTTAAAGCTTTTTTAAAATGACATCAAGTGCTTTAAAAAATGAAGAAAATTAAGAAATAGAACACTTAACAAAAGACTTAAAAATAACTCATTAGGAAAGACCTTCAGTTTTTAATTATGTTTGGGGAAAGGCAGTCATATTACACTGATAAGAAAGTAAAGCAACTGCATTTTTAAATTCACTTTTTTGAGAAAGATAAGAGAAGAGAAGATGCTGAATTAAGTACTTTCTTCAGTGGAAATCAGGGTGTGAATTTCAATGAAACACGAAAAGAAATAGAAAAGGTATGGACAGGTTTTCAAAAGTATTAGAAAAGGAAGGTTGGAATAAAAACATCCAAGGAAATCTGTAGTTATAACAGCAAGAACACTATTGAGCAGAAGAGATGGAGCAACTGAAGGAAGCATCAGGGCACAGCTTGCTGGGAGCCTGCAGTACAGTGAAATTGAGTTCCATGTACTTTGATTATTAGATCCTGGAAGTGAAAAATATATTTTAGAAAAAAAAAAAGCAACACAATTAAGGGTTGGCATCAACTATCCAGAAAAGCCAGCCACACAGTGGGCTGCTCTCTACACCCATTCTCAGAACCTGAGGTGTTACCATCAAAGATCCCCTGGAGAGAGCCTGCAGCCAGGAAACCCTTTTGCAGTCCTTTCAAATCTTCTTCCTGTGCCAACTTCCAGGAGCACAGCCGAGCAACTTCTTGGAAGAAATAATATTACTTGTAACAGAATATCTTTGTGGTTACTCGCTCTAGCCACCACCAATTCCTGACAAGGATTCTCACAGAACTGAAGGAATTACAGAGCTACTTTAGATTTATAGCAGCATCTGACTGTGCAAATACAGACTTGTATTCTACTTGTAAAAAAATACACAACCAATAGCAACTTTTCTATTTGTTTATGGGACACACAAATGAAGTTTCCATTAGATAATTCAGTGCTACTGATTCAGGTCCCCACTCAGCCATGGCAAACCTGATTGACTTTATGCAGAATCAAAGGGGAACTCAAGGCAATTGACTCTCCTTCGTCTCGTGCTGCTGTTCAGGAGACAACATGTGCAAGGTGGCTGGCTTTCAACCTGGCAGCTTCCTATGAGAAATAATTCACTACATGTCACATGAAGTTGAAGATGTAGCCCTCCAGGGGCTATGGGGAGAGTCACCCTCAGCTCTGAGAAATTTACTGTGCTCCTCAGAGGCAGTCTAAGTGCTAATGTTTCCCTTCTCTTATGGAAATGCTTGCTGCTTATGGTAAATCCAGAATAGATACTTGGATCCTCCTCTGTGGACTGGAGTCTATTTTCCTGTACGTTTATGCATATCTCTTTGGATTTTTCAAGATTCTGCTGAGCTAAAAGCTCAGAACATTGGCACGAAGACGTGAATTAACACCGTTAGATGAAGAAAGAGAGGTTGGAACTGGGCAAATTGAAGCAAGATCTTCTTTTATCATCTAGACATTACATTAGTAATGCCTCTGGTTTTATAAATATGGCAACTTAACACAATTTAAAGTTTAACTTATTTTTCATGTCTGATCTTAAACATATTTTGAAATTTGATAAGGACTTTGCTTTCATCTTTGAAAAGATACTTTAAAGTTGTAAAACACTTTTAATACACAGAAAAATGTAGAATATAAAATAATAGATGCCTGTGTTTCCACTTTAAGATAAATATTTTTTGCTATATTTTCTTCAAATTTCTTTTTATTTTAAGAAATACTGGCCAGGTGCGGTGGCTCACGCCTGTAATCCCAGCACTTTGGGAGGCCGAGGCAGGCAGATCATGATGTCAAGAGATGGAGACCATCCTGGCCAACATGGTGAAACACCATCTATACTAAAAATACAAAAATTAACTGGGCGTGGTGGCGCGTGCCTGTAATCTCAGCTACTCGGGAGGCTGAGGCAGGAAAATTGCTTGAACCCTCGAGGAGGAGGTTGCAGTGATCCGAGATCACCCCACTGCACTCCAGCCTGGGCGACAGAGTGAGAGACTCTGTCTCAAAAAAAGAAAAAAAAAAAAGGAAATACCAAGTCACAGATATAGGTAAAACTCTCTCTTTCATCCTCTTGACTTGATTTTATGTATCAGGCAGATCTTGTTTTGAATTCCAGCTCTACACTTACTAGTTGTGTAACTGTGGGCAAATTATTTAACCTCTAAGCGGCAGTTGCTCATATGGGCAAGCTGCTTGCTCTAGTTATCTATTGCTATATAGCACCCAACCACATAACAGTGTCTTAAAACAATAATCACCATTTGTTTTGCTCATGTATTGGCACGTCTGAGCAGAGCCTAGCAGGAAAGGTTTATTTTTGCTCCATGCAATGTTAGCTGGGGCACGGGAGGCTGCAGGAGCAGCTTCTGAGGTGGTGCATTCACATGGCAGGCAAGTCAAGACAGGCTGTTGGCTGTTTGCTTAGCTGGGGCTGAGGGCTGGAGACCTTGTTGCTCTCCACAAGGGGCTCTACATGTGGCCTGAGCTTCCTTGCAAAATGGTAGATGAGTTCAAGGGCTAGCAACCAAATATAGCCAGGCAGAAGCTGTGTCGCCTTCTATGATCTGGCCTGAAAAGTCACTCAGAGCCACTTCCACCAAACTTGATTAGTCAGGACAGCTGCCCATCCAGCCTGGGCTTAAGAGGCAAGAACAGCAACTCCCCACTTCTTGATGGGGAAGTTAGACAGGAAATACTGTTGTGACCATTATTAGAAATTAAATTCTTCTACAATGGCTAACACTAATAGTAACTTCCAATGGGTTTACTATGAAGATTGACAAGAAAAATGTATATTATATACAGGACAGTGCCTTGCCAGCCCTTGGAAGGAGCTCAAATATATCAATTTAATTCTTCTTCTTCACTAGAACTTTAATTCATGTTTGTTTCCCCAAAGCAGATGTCACGGGAGTGCGGAAGTCCTAGGCACTGAGCAAGTGTTTGCTGCCTCAGTGAAGGAGGGGAAGGGGTTAATAATTATAAGATTTTGAGAATATTTAGTCATCATTCTTATTATCTTTAGGATCACAGACCTCTTTTATAATCTTATAAAACTTGAGGAACCCCTTTGTAAGAAAGTGCACACTTCTATATCCATTAAATGACTTTATTTCATGGGGTTCACAGCCCATTGCATTTATAGACTCCAGGTTAAGAGCCTCAGATTGAGACTTTTGCCTTTGCCTTTGATACACTTAAAGTGAAAACCTGCCATTTCCAGTGAGCTCAAGCTGTCATTTATGTCCCAGGTTTAACTATATTCAGCAAATAATTAACCAGAACGTAGGCGTTTTGTTTTGTTCCAGCTATATTGCACACTGCCTCGTCACTGAGTTTAGGAGCACAGATCCCCTATAACATTGTGTTTAGGTCAGAGAAAAGAAAAGACTCAGGAAGCTGAGAGGCACTTAACACATTTATTCTGAGCTTGCTTTCTGTTCCATCATTGTTCCTGCTATGTAGGTATTAGGCTTTTCTAATCAGCATTTATTTTACAAGTTGCCAAGTCCAGCAATAACATCTTAAAGAAACATTTGAAGAACTCAAATATGGGGGCTATTACACTGTGATTTTCTTGTTCCGTGATATAAATTCATAAGGATAAAGCTGGGGAAGAGGCTTGACATCAACTTAGTTCACACAGAGAGGCCCTTCAAAGACTGCAGAGAGGAGTTCGCAGCACCCCACCATAATGAAGGCTTTTAGGAGAGACTAGTTATTTCAGAGGTAGCTGGCAACTAAACCCTGCTGCTGTTACGAGAGAATGAGCTACTCTGCAGTGTCACTGATCTGTTGCTGTCTCCTGTCTGAAGAATCTGAGCATTCAGTAGGCACGGCCTGCTGTGCCAAAACACAGGCCACAGTTGGGGCTGCTTATGGCATACCTAGTGGCCACCAAGGCACCATGATGGGTCTGCTGGGCACAGTGGACTTGACAGTGCCTTAAACCGTTGCTTATGTCCCGGGGGTGGTTGGGGCTGTGCTACCCCCTTCCTGAAATAACTTTGTGATCCCGAAGAGATGTCCAAGCAGGGAGATGATGCCCAAGTGCCAGCTTTATCACTATTTATGGTTGTTTTCTTTATGCTTCAGGAAGTTTAAAATCTCCTCCACCTTTCAGAAGGCATGTGAAATTGAAGAGAAGCACATGGGACCAATGAAATGCTCAATGTTAAGCCAGTTCCAACTGGAAGAATAGAGTATGCAGTCCAAGAGCCTGCATTGTCCATATCAGAGTTTACCAACATTTTTTACTTCTTTCTGCTCAGCAATACTATGCAAAATGGATGCTTCCCACTCTGTCCTGTCCCCCTCAGTCTCAGGTACTTATGTGAAGAACTGAT
The DNA here is from genome assembly GCF_000001405.40 of Homo sapiens. Taxonomy (NCBI): domain Eukaryota; kingdom Metazoa; phylum Chordata; class Mammalia; order Primates; family Hominidae; genus Homo; species Homo sapiens. Next base: position 62,945,873 of record NC_000008.11, on the reverse strand, counting down.
ATAGTTCAATTGTCCTTGAGGGCAACTTGTTTTGACAAACACTGAGGGCAATCCCCAAGAGTCTGGAGGGTCTGGAAGTCTCCCCAACTCTGTCTCGGATCCTCATTCTTCCTCATTGTGGGGAGTGAGAAGGGCGGCAATAAGAGACCAGTGGTCTTCAAACTGGAGAAGGTGTGCCCCAAGTGAATGTAAGACCTCCTAAATGGTGTGTAGGCATGTAGAGTGTTCAATTTCAAGAGACTCAATTCCAAAATTTATGTGCCTTTGAAAAAGTATGGCCATTCTGGACCTTGCTTCTCTCATTCCCTTCTATAATCATCTTCTTTCCAGTTTGCAAGGACAGGCATTTATCTCAGCCATCTGGAACCTTAACTTGGTGCATCATCCTGGCAGAACAAGCCTGCGGGTCACCAAACAAAGTGATAGTTTTAATTTTGTATGCTGATGTTAATAAAGTAATAGCTACTAATAAAAAGGTAGCTGGCTTTCAATCTTTTGCTTCCAAAACAATTGAAGAAGAACCTCATCAGCTAGTAGTAGTAGTTTAAAAATAACTTTAGATGATAGGTCATTATGTATTTTTGGGCACATATCTCAGCCTCTTTATCTACAGATCAACCTTCTGCACATGTTCTATCTCCTTCCCTGCTTTACTTTTTTCTCTTTTATACTTATCACTATTTACTATGCTATATTGTATATTTTACTTAAAAAATTCATTTGTTATCAGACTCCCTCATTACAAGTTAAACTTTATAAGGGAAAAATTTTTGTCTGCTCTTATATGTTTTGCTCCCTGCTATAGCCCCCAAACCTGGAACAGTGTCTAGTACAAAGCAGGTCTTAAAAAATACTTGGGGAAGGAAGGAATTTTAAAAAATTGAGTGACATTGTTATAGCAAATTTCTTCCCATTCTTGTATTTTTTCTGTGAACAAGGTTTCTATAAATAAATACTAGCACCAAATATTGGAAGTATTTGAGGTAGCCTATCATTCTAGCAATAACTAATATTCATCCATGAAGACATGAACTGATTGAAACAAAACTGCTGCATTCATTTCATTAAGAGGTGCTTTTCCAACAAATATTTCATTTTATGATTAGGACTTACTCATCAAGATTTATATTGAATTTATGTTTACTCAATCATGTTGATGGCCAATAATTGAAATTATATTCCCATCCAAAGCAGAAATTAAACACTTAAAAATTTCCAGTTTACAGGGAAAATTCATTTTTTGGGGAGAATAAATCTGAAAAGATTTGCAAGCCACTACACTGAATTCAGTAAAATGTAATTGAGAGAAATTAAATATGTCTAAATGAATGGAAGAATATAAAGCATTAATGGATTGTGAAACTCAATATTATAAACTACCAATTGATCTGTGGAGCAATTAATCTATGAATTCAAAGAAAGCCCAATAAAAATTTCAGCAGTTTAATAAAAATGCTGATTTCTAAAATGTATGTGAAAAGGCAAAGACTCAAGATTAGTTAAGACAATCTTGAAGAAGAACCAAGTTGAAGAACTTATACTACCAGATATCAAGACTTTTTTTCAAGTAAATTACAGTAATTAACAGAGTATGCCATTACATAAGAAAGGACAATAGATAAATGAAACATAATAGAGTTAGAAAATAGATCTACTTGATTTATGAAAAAGGTGCCATCATAGGACAACAGGGAAATAATAGTTATATATATATGTTTCAATGGGTTTTTGGAGAACAGGTGGCGTTTGGTTACATGGGTAAGTTCTTTAGTGATGATTTCTGAGATTTTGGTGCACCCATCACCCAAGCAGTATACACTGTGCCCAATGTGTAGTCGTTTATCCCTCACCCACTCCCACCCTTCCCCCTATTCCCCAAAGTCCATTATGTCATTCTTATGCCTTTGAGTCCTCATAGCTTAGCTCCCATTTATAAGTGAAAACATACAATGTTTGGTTTTCCATTCCTGAGTTACTTCACTTAGAATAATAATCTCCAATTTTATCCAGTTATTTTGTTCCCTCTAATGGCTGAGTAATAGTCCATGGTGTATATATATATATTTATATACCATATAAAAATAAAAATATATTATACCATATATAATATAATATATCATATAAATATAAATATATAAATATATACATTTTAAAAAATTTTCTTTATATATATACACACACACACATATAAATATATGCCACATTTTCTTTATGCACTTGTTGACTGATGGGCATTTGGGCTGGCTCCATATTTTTGCAATTGTGAGTTGTGCTGCTATAAACATGCACGTGCAAGTGTCTTTTTCGTATAATGACTTTTCCTCTGGGTAGATACCCAGTAGTGGGATTGCTGGATCAAATGGCAGATCTATTTTTGCTTCTTTAAGGAATCTTCACATTTTTTTCCGTAGTGGTTGTACTAGTTTACATTTCCACCAGCAGTATAAAAGTGTTCCCTTTTCACCACATCCATGCCAACATCTATTCTTTTTTGATTTTTAAATTATGACCATTCTTGCAAGAGTAAGGTGGTATCACATTGTAGTTTTGATTTGCATTTCCCTGATAATCAGTGAGGTTGAGCATTTTTTCATATGTTTGTTCACAATTTGCGTATCTTCTTTTTAGAATTGCCTATTCATGTCTTAGGTCACTTTCTGATGGGATTGTTTGTTTGTTTTTTTCCTGCGGATTAGTTTGAGTTTCTTGTAGATATTGGATATTAGTCGTTTGTCAGATGCATAATTCGCAAAGATTTTCTCCAACTCTGTGGGTTGTCTGCTTACTCTGCTAATTATTTCTTTTGCTGTGAAGAAACTTTTTAGTTTAATTAAGTCCTATCTATTTATCATAGTTTTTGTTGCACTTGCTTTTAGGTTCTTGGTAATGAAGTCTTTGCCTAAGCCAATGTCTAGAAGGGTTTTTCCAATATTATCCTCTAGAATTTCTATGGTTTCAGGTCTTGGATTTAATTCTTTGATTCATCTTGAGTTTCTTTTTATACATATAAGGCGAAAGATGAGGATCCAGTTTCATTCTTCTACATGTGAGTTGCCGATTATCCCAGCACCATTTGTCGAATAGGGTGTCTTTTCTCCACTTAATGTTTTTGTTTGCTTTGTCGAAGATCAGTTGGCTGTAAGTATTTGGCTTTGTTTCTGTGTTCTCTATTTTGTTCCATTGGTCTATGTGCCTATTTTTATATCAGTACCATGCTGCTTCAGTGACTATAGCCTTGTAGCATAGTTTGAAGTCAGGTAATGTGATGCCTCCAGATTTGTTCTTTTTGCTTAGTCTGACTTGGCTATGTGGGCTCTTTTTTGGTTCCACATGAATTTTAGGATTTTTTTTTTTTTTTTAGTTCTGTGAAGAATGATGATGGTATTGTGATGGGAATTGCATTGAATTTGTAGATTGCTTTTGGAAGTATGGTCATTTCACAATATTGATTCTATGCATCCATGAGCATGGGGTGTTTCCATCTGTGCCATCTATAATTTCTTTCAGCAATGTTTTGCAGTTTTCCTTGTAGAGGTCTTTCACCTCCTTGGTTAGGTATATTGTCAAGTATTGTGTGTATATATATATGTGTATATATATATGTATATATATGTGTATATATATATGTATATATATGTGTATATATATGTATATATATGTGTATATATATGTGTGTATATATATGTGTATATATATATATATATTGCAGCTATTGTAAAAGGATTGAGTTCTTATTTGATTCACAGCTTTGTTGCTGTTGGTGTACAGCACTGCTACTGATTTGTGTATATTAATTTTGTATCCTGAAACTTTACTGAATTTATTTATCAGTTCTAGGTTCTTTTTGGATTAGTCTGTAGGCTTTTCTAGGTATATGATCATATCAATGGTAAACAGTGACAGTTTGACTTTCTCTTTACTAATTTGGATGCCCTCTATTTCTTTCTCTTGTCTGATTGCTCTGGCTAAGACTTCCAGTACTGTGTTGAATAGAAGTGGTGAAAGTGGGCATCCTTGTCTTGTTCCAGTTCTCATGGGGAATGCTTTCAACATTTCCCCAGTAAGTATAGTGTTGGCTGTGGGTTTGTCATAGATGGCTTTTATGACCTTAAGGTATGTCTCTTCTATGCCAATTTCGCTGAGAGTTTTAATCATAAAAGGATGCTGGATTTTGCCAAATGCTTTTTCTGCATCTGTCGATACGATCATGTGATTTGTGTTTTTAATTAACTCTGTTTATGTGGTGTATCACATTTATTGACTTGCATATGTTAAACCATCCCTGTGTCCCTGGTATGAAACCCACTTGATTATGGTGGATTATCTTTTTAATATGCTATTGGATTTGGTTAGCTACTATTTTATTGAGGATTTTTGCATCTATGTTCATCAGGGGTATTGGTCTGTAGTTTTTGTTGTTGTTATTGTTGTTGTATCCTTTCCTGGTTTTGGTCTTAGGGTGATAGTGGCTTCATAGAATGATTGAGGAAGAATTTCTTCTTTCTCTGTCTTGTGGAATAGTGTCAATAGTATTGGTACCAATTCTTTGAATGTCTGATAGAATTCAGCTATGAATCCATCTGGTCCTGGACTTTTCTATTGGTAATTTTTTAAAAAAATTACCATTTCAATCTTGCTGCTTGTTATTGGTCTGCTCAGGGTTTCTATTTCTTCCTGGTTTAATCTAGGAGGGTTGCATATTTCCAGGAATTTATCCGTCTTCTCTAGGTTTTCTAGTTTGTACACATAAATGTGTTCATAGTAACCTTGAATAATCTTTGTCTGTGTTATTCTTTGTAATATCTCTCATTTTGTTTCTAATTGAGCTTATTTGGATTCTCTCTCTTTTCTTGGTTAATATTGCAAATGGTCCATCAATCTTATTTATCTTTCAAAGAACCAGCTTTTTGTTTCACTTATCTTTTGTATTTTTTTTTTTCAATATATTTGGTTCTGCTCTGATCATTGTTATTTCTTCTGCAGGGTTTGGATTCGGTTTGTTCTTCTTTCTCTAGCTCCTTCAGGTGTGACCTGAGATTGTCTATTTGTGCTCTTTGAGACTTTTTGATGTAGGCATTTAATGCTTTAACTTTTCCTTTAGAATTGCTTTTGCTGTATCTCAGAGGCTTTGATAGGTTGTGTTACTATTATTGTTCAGTTCAAACAATTTTTAAGTTTCCATCTTGATTTCATTGTTGACCCAGCAATTATTCAGGAGCAGATTATTTAATTTCTATATATTTGCAGGGTTTTGAGGTTTCCTTTTGCAATTGATATCCAGTTTTATTCCTCTGTGGTCTGAGAGAGTACTTGATATAATTTCAATTTTCATAAATTTGTTGAGACTGGTTTTGTGGGCTATCTTATGGTCCACCTTGGAGAATGTTCCATGTGCTTATGAATAGAATGTCTATTCTGCAGTTGTTACTTAGAATGTTTAGTAAATATCTGTTAAGTTCATTTGTTCCCAGGGTATAGTTTAAGTTCATTGTTTCTTTGTTGACTTTCTGTCTATATCACCTGCCTAGTGCTGTCCATGGAGTATTGAAGTCCCCTGCCATTATTGTGTTGCTGCCTATCTAATTTCTTAGGTCTAGTAGTTATTATTTTACAAATTTGGGAGCTCAAGTGTTAGATGCATATATATTTAGGATTGTAATATTTTCCTGTTGGACTAGTCCTTTTATCATAATATAATGTCCCTTTTTGTCTTTTTTTTTTTTAACTGTTGTTGCTTTGAAGTTTGTTTTGTCTGATATAAAAATAGCTACTCCAGCTCTCTTTTGGTGTCCATTTACATGGAATATCTTTTCCCACCTCTTTACCTTAAGTTTATGTGAGTCCTTATGTGTTAGGCGAATTTCTTGAAGACAGAAGAGACTTGGTTGGTGAATTCTTATCCATTCTGCCATTCTGTATCTTTTAAGTGGAGCATTCAAGCCATTTACATTCAACATTAATATTGAGATGTAAGGTACTATTCTATTCATCATGCTAGTTGTTGCCTGAATACCTTGCTTTTTTTTTCATTGTATTATTGTTTTATAGGTCCTGTTAGATTTATGTGTTCAGAAGTTTCTATTTTGATGTATTTTGAGGTTTTGTTTCAAGATGTAGAGCTCCTTTGAACAGTTCTTGTAGTGCTGGCTGGGTAGTGGCAAATTCTCTCAGCATTTTTTTGTCTGAAAAGACTATATCTTTTTTTTCATTTATGAAGCTTGGTTTTGTTGGATACAAAATTCTTGGCTGATAATCGTTTTGTTTAAGGAGGCTAAAGATAGGACCCCACTTCCTTCTAGCTTGTAGGGTTTCTGCTGAGAAATCTGCTCTTAATCTGATAGGTTTTCCTTTATAGGTTACCTGATGCTTTTGCCTCACAGCTCTTAAGATTCTTTCCTTTGTGTTGACTTTAGATAACGTGATGACTATGTGCCTAGGCAATTATCTTTCTGCAGTGAATTTCCTGGGCATTCTTTGAGTTTTTTGTATTTGGATGTCTAGATCTGTAGTAAGGCCAGAAAAGTTTTCCTCACTTATTCCCTCAAATGTGTTTTCCAAACTTTTAGAATTCTCCTCTTCCCCAGGAACACCAATTATTCTTACGTTTGGCTGTTTAACATAATCCCAAACTTCGTAGAGGCTTTACTCATTTTTTTCTGATTTTTTTCTTTGTTTTTGTTAGATTGGATTAATGCAAAAGCCTTGTTTTTGAGCTCTGAAGTTCTTTCTTCTACTTGTTTGATTTTATTGCTGAGATTTCCCAGTGTATTTTGCATTTCTCTAAGTGTGTCCTTCATTTCCAGAAATTGTGATTGTTTTAAAATTTGTGCTTTCTATTTCTCTGGAGATTTTTCCATCCATATCCAGTAACATTGAAAAAATTTCTTTAAGTTGGACTTCACCTCTCTCTGATGCCTCTTTGAACAGCCTAATAATCGACCTTCTGAATTATTTTTCTGGCATACAGATATTTCTTGTTGGTTTCGGTCCATTGCTGGTGAGCTAGTGTGATCTTTTGGTGGTGTTAAAGAACCTTGTTTTGTCATATTACCAGAATTATTCTTCTGGTTCCTTCTCATTTGGGTAGACTATGTCAGAGGGAAGATCTGGGGCTCAAGGTCTGCTGTTCAGATTCTTTTGTTTCATGGGGTGCTGCCTTGATGTGGTGCTCTCCCCTCTTCCCGTAGGGGTGGGGCTTCCTAAGAGCCTGACTACAGTGATTGTTATTTCTCTTTGGGTCTAGCCATCCAGCAGAGCTACCGGGCTCTGGGCTGGTACTGGGGTGTGTCTGCAAAGAGTCCTATGGTGTGAACTGTCTTCAGGTCACTTAGCCATGGTTACTAGCAACTGCTCCAGTGAAGGTAGCAGGGGAGTGAAGTGGACTCTGTGTGAGACTTTGGTTATGGTTTTGTTTAGTGCACTGCTTTTCTTGAATGCTGGTTGTGCTGGCAGTAAAGTTGTCACATGGAAAGACTCAGGACCTCTGGTTAGCCAGGATGTTACAGGTGGTGAAATTAGCTGTTGTTTTCTCCTTTCTTGGGGCAGTGATGTTCTTTTATGAGTTGTTCTTTTATGGTTTGAGTTGGTTAGCCTCCAGCCAGGAGGTGATGCTTTCAAGACGGCATCAGCTGTAGTAGTATAGGGAGGATACAAACTTCCCCTACGGTCACCTGGAGGAGCACTCAGCTTTCTCAGGTTGAGGGCAGGGCCGTTAGAGCTCCCAAGATATTATGTCTTTTGTCTTTGGCTACCAGGGTGGGTAGAGAAAGACCATTAGGTGGTGGCAGGGTTAGGCGTGTCTGAGCTCAGCCTCTCTTTGGACAGGCCTTTCCATGGCTGCTGTGGGGTATGGAGTTGTGGTTCTCAGGCCAAGGGAGTTATGTTCCCAGGGGAATTATGGCTGCCTCTGCTGTGTCATACAGGTTGCCAGGGTAGTGGGAGAAAGCCGGCAATGATAGGCTTCAGTCAGTTCTCATGCAGCCAGAAAGGCCAGTCTCACTCTCACTATGTCACCCCCAATAGCACCAAATTTATTTCCACGCAACCAGTAAGCAAGGCTGAGAACTTGCCCCAGGCTACAAACCTCCCTGCTGAGAAAGCAAGCATGGCTTTCAGACTTCACCCCTCCCTGCCTGCTGAGGCTTCTGTGGTTGTATCTGTACTTCCCTTTTGCCCCCCCACTACAGATTCTGTCCAGGAAAATTCACATTATGTTTAAATTATTACAAAGTTTAGTAGGGAGTTTCTTTCTCCTCGTAGTTTTTCCCCAATTCCGCTGGCAGCCCTCCCCAAGGTCCCCTGTGAAATAAAGTAATAAATAGCTTCCCTGGTCTTCCTTGGGGGCGAGGAGTCCTTACAGGGCTCTTCCAGCTGCTGCTTCTACTTTTATATTTCACTCAGCTCTCTAAATTCATTTCAGCTCTAGGTAAGGTTAAATTCTTCTCCCGTGATGTGAATTTTCAAGTTTCCCAGTGAGGATGTGTGGTTGGAAACAGACATTCCCCCTCTCACACTTTGGGCACTCACAGTTTTCGGCTGTTTCACGGAGTACGCAGTGGCAAGCCACTTCTTTCAAAGGCTCTACGAATTCTTTCAGTTTTCCTGATATGTTCCTGCAGTAGTTCTTGGAACAAAAGTTCATGATGTGAGTCTCCACATGCTGTTCTGTCTATCTGAGTGGGAGCCGCAAGTTAGTTCTGTCTCCTGTCTGCCATTTTCTTTGCAATGTGGTCAAGAATAGTTTTTTATGTGAAGGGTTTTTGGTCAACTGAATACACATATGGAGGAAATAAAGAATGTTGATTTCTACCTCACATGATATGTAAAAATCAATAGATCACAATGTAAGATGCTTAATATATAATATAATATGATATAATATAGAAGAATATCTTCATGGGACATAGTTTAGGCAAAGTCCTAAAAAGTATGAAAAAGTACTAACCACAGAATTTCTTACTTTAAGCTTAATAACTGAACTATACAAATTAAAAACTTTTGTTCATGAAAAGATAACATTGAGAATGGAATTACAATCTGCAAGATTTTTTACTGCAGAAATATATAACGAGTTAAGAAAACATTTTTAGCAGAATAAACATATGACATTAGGACAGAATTTTATGGGGGAAGTGGAATGTAGAAAATGTCCAAAAATAAGATGGAATGGTTTAAAATTGTAACTACTAAAGTTTGTTTAGGGACATTAAAGATGGATAATGATGAATATTAAATCACTATAGCATTTAGATTCCATGGGATAATTTCAGAACAGTAATGCTTTCATTTTTATTATTAAAAATTGTAGTGATTTTGTATGGTGTTAATTTATCTAAGCTGGAGTTATGTGTCCTGGAATTTCCTTCTGTATATGGTTCTGAGTTAGGGTTGGTTATATAGACATTTGTGAGATTATGGAAGACAAGTGAAACAGCAGTTCTGATGCTCAGGAAGTTGGTATGGAGTCCCAGGCTCCACTGTAATTCACATGCGGAGTGCTGACAGCTAAGAGCAGGACATGCTTGACAACTGAGACCACAGTGGGAGTGGGTCACTTACACAGCTCAGTGGATGCCAACAGGAAAGATGGGAAAGGAAGCGGATGTCTACTCCCACTCCTCACAGCCCACACCACCACATCAACCCTGACTTCAGAATCAGTCCCTGTGCTTGCACTTGATGTAGCTGCGAAATCACGAAGATGGCCAAGTTCTTCTGCAAGCCACTACCATGAGGAAGAAGCATTAAGTCCGGTCTTTGGGAAATAGCGGTGGTTACATTTTTGCTTTTTAAAATCATACCCACAACATCTGTCATGTCATATTCTCTTACATTGTATCAAGTCAGACTTTAACAATGGTGTATTCTTCTATTTCATAATTTCACTGGATAGCCATATAGAATTTTGCAGCTATTAAAATGAAACACAGTTTTTGTTTTTAAATTTTTTTGTTTTTAGATTTTTTCAGTATTTGAACTGGATTCTGAAATTCTGTTTTTCTAATGATAAGCTTCACATATTAAATAGTCTGTGCTGAGACAGTTGATTTGAGAGAAGATTATTGAGTGTGTTCTTTTACATGTGCCTCCTCATATCCACTTAAATTTTAGTGGGCTAATCCATTATTTTCCCTACATTGTGCCAGTACTTTGTATTATCACTCAATATTTAAATATGAATATTCTAGTTTTAATCTAGTGAGTGACTAACGTCTCTCTTTCTCTCTATGTATATCGATCTTTTTTAGCCTATTTATTAAGAACTTTATTGTTAACAAAATTCTGGAAAGAAAGGTACTACTGCATTTTGGAATGCATTTGGATTTTGGCACCCAAAATATCTGGATTAAATATTAATTGCAGTTCTTACACGCTATGTGAGTTGGGAAAAAAAAATTGTAGTTTACTCATCTGTAAAATGAGGACAATGGCTGCCTCACAGGGTGTCATTACCTTATACAAGGTAATGGCGATGGAGTGCCAGCACACAGAAAGCATGCAGTAAACAACAAGCTGTTGCTGACTTATTTAAACATTTATCTTATTTTGAGGATACACTCTCATTAACTGTTATTTCCAAAATTTCAAAGGCTCTGTCTAATGTAGGATTACATAATGATCTGTAAGAATTCCAACATTCTGTCCTTGCTGTCCCCCGAACAGTGTTGTGTCCCTGTGGAACTTTCACGAACTTGTACTTGTGTTTGGTTGGATTTCTTCATATTTAAAATGAACAGCTAGTTTGGAAGGGAAAATTCATTAGTGTGCCACATTTTGAGGAATAATGGTTTTATCTTCTATGACTTGTTTTTATTCTGGAAAGGAAGCTTGTCTGCATAAAGGTCTCTTAGGAAAGAAAAGAAAACTCCGTGGAGGCAGAATTTGTGAATTTGAGTGTCATGTGGAAGTGCTCTCCTTCCCCCTCTCCAGGGCTGCTGAATAGTCCATGGGCAGGTCAATGCCTGGTGCTCAGGACAATCCTGCTCACCTTTCCTTTAGCTTTTGACTGGCATTGCTTTCATTTTCTACCCCGTTTTTTCCCCAGTAGCACAAACCATGAGATAAGATCTCTCTCCTGTCGTGTCATTTCAAGTCACTCCAGAGAGTCTTTGAAAATAATATCTCCTTTGAGTAAGGTGCTCAAAGTGGCTTTTTCCAATTGTTTTCAGTGTTATTCCTTTAGATTCACTGATACGCTTATTCTGGTTATTCTGTGAGGATCTCCTGGACTGTGCTTGCTTTAGTATTTAGTTTTTGATTCTTGAGTCAGGGAACCAGGCTGTAGAGTCCTTACAGGGGTGCATTTACTACTGCTGCAGCTTCTGTCATTGCTTTTTGTTGCAAGAGTTGTACTGTCTTAATAAAGATGTCTGTAACACACCAGCTCTCACCATTCCAGCCCTCCCCTAACAGATAAAAACTTTTTTGTGTTGATTTTCTCACATTTGGAAAAAATAAGTTATTTTTCTTACTTTAGTCTGCATTTTTTTTTTTTAAGAGACAGGGTCCTGCTTTGTTGTCCAGGCTGGACTGCAGTGGCATCATCACAGCTCACTGCAGCCTTAATCTCCTAGGCCCAAGAGATCCTCCCACCTCAGCCTTCCAAGCAGCAAGCACCAGCACACCCTGCTACTTTTCTTTCTTTCCTTTTTTTTAGAGAGAAGGTCTCACCATGTCGCCCAGACTGGTCTCAAGCTTCTGGCCTCAAGAGATCTTTCCACCTTGGCTTCCCAAACTGCTGGGATTACAGGTGCGTGTCACCACACAAGACTTTATCAGTATCTTTAATAGTACATTTTCTCTTATTTTAAGAGTCACTCAGTTCTTTTTAAAGACACACAAATTGTGCTCTCTTTCTCTATAGTAGATATGCCCTCAATCATTCCTTAATCTTTGTCAAGAGCTCAGTAATTAGATGGAGTGACTGCCTTGGCCTTACTGAAGTCCCTCTCAAAGTTTTTGTAATTTTTCAATTACTGTCTGTTCAGTTTCACTGGTGGCTGAGGCCTTTGTGTCAGTATTGTTGGGCTCATTTGGAGGAACCTTTTATTCAGGAGAAAATAAGATTGGAAAAAATTCTTGAAAACACCTACCTTTTCTATTTTTGGAGCTATTCAACATTTTTATTTGACTGTACTTCTGGCTTTTGCTCCCACTGTGAGTCCAGATCTTTGGAATTAGATGTTTCTCATACTCAGTGCTGACAATTTTTTCCCATTTTAAAATTTTCTAATAGTGTATGATATTTAAATAATAGGATAATGAATTTCTAAACTCTTTGGAGTCAATGAAGCAGAATAGAATGGCTGAGAGAAAAAATCATGGTCCAAAAGGTAAGAGGCTTAAAACAATCCTGAGAGTTTGCCTAAATAGTTTTAGACAAATTCTTTTCCTATGTAATACATTTTTTCTTAGTTATCCAGTTTTTTCCCGCAATATATTTTTTAATCATTCTTATTTAAGTGTAGCCAATGTTTTACTTTGCTCTTTAAATCAAGTAACAAATGCTTGCTGGCATTGAAGTCTCTTCATAATTCCTTTTTACTGTCCGCTTTCACAATTTTGGACATTTCCGTTTTGAAATACTTTCTTTTTTTATAGCTCCTATTATTACTTTTGTTTCTCTCTTTCCTAGGACAATCTCCATGAAAATGCCATTTGCTCACTGAGATCTCTTTTATAAATCCTTTTCCCTTTCTATGAATTGCTGTTCAAAGAAAACTGAATTTGATCATATTCCCAAGATTAAATCCATTCACTGCTCCACATCATCCAGCAGAGCATCTGAAGTGGTGTGACCTGAGTGGGTACAGATGTGACAAGGTATCAATTCTCTCATTCCCTGGTGTGTGTGTGTGTGTGTGTGTGTGTGTGTGTGTTCATTGAGTGAGGCTTGGGGTAGTTAGCCTTCTAGGGCAGACATTTCTTCCTCGGAGATGGCTAGTTTATCTACCACTGGATGCCTATAAATGTTGGAATTCTCCAGCCGGGTGCTTGTAATCCCAGTGCTTTGGGAAGCTGAGGTGGGAGAATCACTTGAGCTCAGGAGTTCGAGGCTGCATGAGCTATGATTGTGCCACAGCACTCCAGCATTGGTGACAGAGAGAGACCCTGTCTCTAAAAAAACAAATTTAAAAAAGAGGCATTCTCCATGAGTGCCAAGTATGAAATAGGTTGAAAATCACTAGTGTAAAATGGAATCCAAGGTCCCTCAAGGACTGATTCACCATTCATTTCGTGAACTGAATGTACCCAGTAACTTATGACTTCCTGATTGATCCAGATTTTCCACAAACATTCCTAAATATTTTATGGTGTTTCTGTGCTATTATAGCTTATTTTCCCTGGTATCTAAAATGTCTTTCCTTTGTTCTCTTCCTGATGATGTGTATTTTGCACATGAGACCATACTATATGTTCTGAGCAGCCACATTTGATGCCTTGAGACACAGTTAGCCTCTGCTTACGTTTTCTGCACATCTGACTCACTTTACACAAACCAGTATCTGCATTTCACTCTTCTGTAATTATTTGCCTACCTCACTTCCTTATTAGAATGTAAGATCTTCTGGCAGATCGAGTTTTATTAATCTCTGTATCCTTGTGGCATGGCCTAACTCACAGAAGTCTCCCAATAATTGCTTCTTGAATGAGTGAATCAATTAATAAGTGAAAAATTAGCTATTTAAGTTTGTTTATTTATGCTTGTTTTGTTTATTAGGACAATATTTTAAGGACTAAAAAATGATATTAATCATTACAGTGAATTCATGTTTGCAGTTTAAGTATTTAAGGGACTTAAAAGTCTAAAATTAAACAATAATATTTTGCCTCTGGACTATAAATGCTTTTGAATATGAACAGTTTAGTGACCTCAGAACAAGAAAAGATATGAGAGAAATACAGCCAATCAAACATTTCAATGCGTACAGGAGTTAGCAGCCTACTTAAAATATGGAAAGAATACAGGATTCCATCAGGTAATATGATTAAAAGAAGCAAATGGAATATCAACAAAGTGTCTGTCAAGCCATATGAAAAGATGTTAAAATGTTTTAAAGGGCTAACAATTATTAAACCAACCAAAATGAGACTCTTAGTAGGAGTAAAGTCTTCTGTATTCAAATCTAATGTCCTTTGAGTCCCGTAGCTGTGGCCTGCTAGATTATTTTATGGAATGAGATTTTCTTTTGTTCCAACAACTATTAAAGAAAAGCTCTTTAAATTCATTAGTGGTAAGCTATAGAATCTTCTTAGAATTTGGGTACCGCTTCCCTGCCGAAAATTCCTGAACATATAGAAATCTTAAGTTGTCTGAGATGCTTATTTATTGGAGAAGTGTATTTCTAACACATGAAATTAACTATAGAGAAAACAAAGTAAGCTAATCCCATATAGTGTTAATACTATTTCAGAAAGTACAGGTTAGAATTTTATAATCATTGGGATAATCTGTGTCTGCTTGGTATATAAAATCTTTTTAGTTCTTAAAATAATCAGATGGATTATATTAGATTTGTTAGATTAACCCACTGAAACCAATTCAAAATTTTAATTGAGTGATTGATTTTATACTTGTGATTTTAGGTTGAAAGACATGACAATATTTTATTAAATTTGTGTAATGTTATAAAAACTTGAGATTTAATTTATGAATGAGCTTATTTTATTAGATTTATTAGATTTGCTGGATTAGCTTAAAAACCAGCGAATGTTTTGTTTATTGGGACAAATATATGAAGGACTTCCAAAAATGATAATTACAATGAATTCATGTTAAATGTTTAAGGGAATTTAAGTTACAAATGGAACAGATTATTTAAAGGAATGTAGACTATTGAATTTAAACAGATTGAATAGTAACTGAAGTTTCAGTGTGGTGGCTTACGCCTGTAATCCCAGCACTTTGGGAGGCCAAGGTGGGAGGATCATGAGGTAAGGAGATTGAGATCATCCTGGCTAACATGGTGAAACCCCATCTCTACTAAAAATACAAAAACAAAATTAGCCAGGCATGGTGGCGGGCACCTGCAGTCCCAGCTACTCGGGAGGCTGAGGCAGGAGAATGGCATGAACCCGGGAGGCAGAGCATGCAGTGAGCCGAGATCGCGCCACTGCACTCTAGCCTGGGTGACAGAGTGAGACTCCGTCTCAAAAAAAAAAAAAGGATGAAATTCTGATACATGCTACAATATGGATGAAACTTGAAAACCTTATGGGACATTAAATAAACCATACACAAAAGAACAAATATTGTGTAATTCTATTTGCATGAGGTAATTAGAATAGACAAATGCACAGAGATAAAAAGTAGAATAGAGGGCAGGTCGCTGTGACTCACGCCTGTAATCCCAGCACTTTGGGAGGCCGAGGCGGGTGGATCACCTGTGGTCAGGAGTTCGAGACCAGCCTGGCCAACATGGTGAAACCCCATCTCTACTAAAAATACAAAAATTAGCCGGGCATGGTGTCAGGCGCCTGTAATCCCAGCTACTCAGGAGGCTGAGGCAGGAGAATTGTTTGAACCGGAGAGGCGGAGGTTGCAGTGAGCTAAGATCGCACCATCACACTCCAGCCTGGGGGACAAGAATGAGACTTTGTCTCCAAAAAAAAAAGGTAGAATGGAGGTTACTAGAGGCTGGAGGGAGGGGAGGATGAAAAGTTGAAAAGTTGTTGTTGAATGGGTACAGAGATACTGTTTAGGATGATGAAAAAGTTCTGGAAATGATAGTAGTGATGGTCGCACAACACTCTGAATGTACCTAATGCCACTGAGTTGTACACTTAAAAATATTAAAATGGTTAATATTATGTCACGTATTTTAGCACAATGAAAAGAAGCTCTCCCCTAAAGTGACTCTTAACACTTGCTAGATTTATAAGCAGAATACTTAAAGTTCTATGTAGCATCTAGAGCAGTGGTGTCTAATTTTTTGGCTTCCCTGGGACACATTGGAAGAATTGTCTTGGGCCGCACATAAAATAAGCTAACACTAATGATAGTTGATGAGCTAAAAGAAAAATCTCAAAACAATCTCATAAAGTTTTAAGAAAGTTTACAAATTTGTGTTGGGCCACATTTAAAGTCACCCTGGGCTGCATGTGGCCCATGGGCTGCGGGTTGGACAAGCTTGATTTAGAGCTTAAAAAAACAAAAAACCACAGTTTTTAAAAAATTTGTTACTTTAAAAAATTGCATAATGGTTTAAAACCCTGAGTAGATATTAATAGAATTTTCTGGGCAGAAAAGCCTCCCTCATGAAAATGTACAAAGTCATAGAGAAACTTTGGTCTTCACCTGTTTCCCTGAAACTTTCTTGTCTCAGTTAGGAGGAAAACACAGTCAGTATGACACCTTGGCTTTGACTTTAGGACTAGTAACTAAGTGTTTGTTTTCCTTAAGTAAAAAAGAAACAGATTTAATTTACTTTTCCAAATAAACACGTGGGTGAGTAAATAGAAAAGGAGGCAAATATAGAGCAAAGGAAAAGAAAATAAAACTTAAGCCCAACCTGTGATTTTTTTCTCACAGCATACGAAAACACAGTATACTTTTTATCCTTTTCACAGAGCCCTCCTGCTCAATACGGGATTTACAATGCAGTCTCTGGGACAATCTGCCCTTTAATTCACTACTTTTTTGAGAGTCAGCAGGTCAGGGAAGCCCAGATCATCTCTTCGACCATTTGGTATGAAGCTGCTTCTGAAGTCAAGCCCTTTGTTTTGGCTGGAAGGCTTTCCAGTAAGTGATTCCCTGCATGCTTACTGCTCCTTCTGCCAGGAATGGTCTCCTGGCCTTTGCCTCTTAGCTCCTTTTCATCCTCAGGTGTTAGCCTACATGTCCTCTTCTCAGAGAGAGCTTCCCAGGCATGCTGGAGGCACTTCTGTTTGCTGAATGCTTGATACGCTGGACTCCTAACTCTCCCTTGAATGACAGGAGAACTCCTGCCTGTTTCTACTCGGGGTCTCCCTGTCTGCGAGGGAACCTTTCTCTGACAGACTCTCTCAGGTGCTCCTCAGTGCCTTATGCCTCAAAGGCACTTATCACCTGCTTCTCAAATTATATGGTCAACCTTTCTCTGAGCAACACTCAATGACCCAGGCCCGTTTGATACTGTGGCTCCAGCATTTGAAACGTGCGGCTTCCAAAGCTTCAGTGCTGGTCTATGTCCAGCAGGAAGAAAGGATAAGAACATGAAGAATCACACGTGGAAGTAATTTGGGGGCCAGGACTGGAACCCTCGTCTAGAATACAATCTCATGGGGCATCTAACTGCCTGGAGGCTGGGATAGATGGTACAATTGTGTGCTTGGGAGGAGAACAAACAAACGGGCTTAGTGAAGAGCCAGCCAGTCTCTGACACAAGCTTGTACATAGCTGTCATGATATCGCTGAAGGTGGTATTAAATGAATAAGGGTTGGGAAACAGTAGGAGTTTTGTAGTTGATTGAACTGTGACAAAGAAAGATGTCTTCAGAAAATACCACTAACTTTAATATAGATTTTCTGTACTTAAAATCAGCGAGAAAGAGAGAGAGGGAGAGAGAGAGAAAGAGAAAGATCTGTTTCCTTCTATGAGGAAAAATGTGGATAAAATGGAAACACTAGTTTGTTATAACTTAGAAATAATTTATAATTAACTTACTTTGTGTCTTATACAATTTAGAAGGAGAGATAAATGCTTTTACCAAATGTTCCCTATTTTTTTTCACACTTGCATTCAAGTCATATGAATACTCCCTAATATCTCATTTAGGTGGCAGTTTCAAATATTGTTCCCAGAAAGAACACTAAATTATTATTTTTTTCTTAGTAAAGTACATAGTC
Source organism: Homo sapiens (assembly GCF_000001405.40). Classification (NCBI taxonomy): domain Eukaryota; kingdom Metazoa; phylum Chordata; class Mammalia; order Primates; family Hominidae; genus Homo; species Homo sapiens. The sequence goes on along the minus strand of NC_000008.11, from coordinate 62,928,046 downwards.
TAGAGAACATGAAGATGAGTGTTCCATATATGCCCTTTATTGCTGGTTACTTGTATGATACTTCTTTTTAAGGTAGTGTAAAATCAGATCTCCATTAAATCTTAAATAATTGGTCCAAGACTATAGCTCTTAAAAATATTATATGCCATTTTGTTATTTAAAAGGATAAACATCTCTTTTATTGTCTGGTCTTACTTTAAAAACATTTCTGTTTTATTGGCTGACCTTACTGAAAATGCTTTAGTATAACAGTGTGAATGTTAATATAAACTCTATAGTAGGAATGATTAGTTAATATTTTAAGGACATAATGACAGCTCATCACTCCAAAAGCAGCTTGAACAAGTTGTTCAAAATTGGTTACCTGTGTCTGCATCAGAAATCTGCTTAATCTGCGTAAGAATATTTAAAGTACCTTTAAAAATTGAGGCATAATAGATGTACATAGTTTTGGGGGCACATGTGATAATTTAATACATGCCTATAATTTGCAAAGATCAAATCAGTGTACTTGGGATATACATCACTTAAATATTTGTCTTTTCTTTACGGTAGAAACATTCAAAATATTCTCATCTAGCTATTTCCCAAAGTGCAATAGATACTGTAAATTATAGTCACTCTACTATTGAACACTAGATATTAAAAATAATTTTTAATTGGCAAAATATGTGCTGTTCAAGAGATGCGATTTTCTGGAAATCCAGGGGAGAAAGTGTTCAAGGAAGGAGAAGTCAACAGCAGCCAAAGCTGTCAATCAATCTTGATAAGATCCAAGAGAACTTGACAATTAGGAAGTCCCTGCTGGCCTCTGAGACAGCATCTTCAGTGATAACTCAGGAGGCATGAGAGTGAGTGGGAGGGGGGTGAGGAAGGGAGTGCTGTCAGTCTCGGCCACTTTGCAGAGAAGCTGGGATGTGGAGGGAAGGAGTATGAGAGAAGTTGGGATGTGGAGGAAAGGAGTATGACAGACAGGAAAGTTAAATTCATGCCAGTTGGAGTCAAGGGTGATTTCTATTTTCTTTTTCTGGTTGATGTGACTTTGTTTATAAGCTGAAGGGAAAAGACCTAGTGGAGGAAGAAGCTGGGCAGAGGGAGTAAAGTTGGGGGAGGGGACAGAGAGAAAAAATAATTAAGAGAGCAAGGTGCTTAAATAGGTGGGTGGGATGGACATAGCAGCCACAAAAGCCACGGGACAAAATGAAGTCTGCTTTTTCTGTCAGGAAGATGATGATCACAGATGGATACAGACAGATCTGACAGATAGAGAGCCTGGGAACTTGAGGAAATCATTCCCACTGCTTTTATTTTTTTGTGTGACAGAGTCTCAGTGATGGAGTCTTAATGCTAAGGGTGCAGGGCAGAGGAGGAAAAAGCCGCCGGCGGTCACATTGCCTCTTTGGGCCTCAATTATTCATCCCCAAAATGAGGATAGAAACTCTAAGTTCTCTAAAATGAGGCTAGGGTGATCTGCGGCACTGACAGCTCAAATAATTCACTTTTAGGGGCCTTGGAGAAAGCAGTGATGAAGAATGAGTGGGAGGCCCCTGGAGCGGGTTGGGCGGCTCACATGTGACGTTGTGAGGTTGCATCAGGCTATGTGCTCCTCTCTGCACCACTAAGCAGCTTAGGGACAGACGTGCAGAAGTGGAGGTTCAGTAAACCCACAGGGGGGCTGGCAGAGCCAGCTTTGTGAGACCGTTGAGAAGGGGGGTTGTTGGGATTAGAATACTGAATTTAGATTTAAAATGGAAACACAGAGGCCCTGGCAAGATGCTGTCAACTGCTCTTCTGCTGGGCTCTTAAATTTTACCACTAATAACCAGGATAAAACTATTGCACAAGATCCTCATGAAATCCTTACAGTCCATTTTTTTCTTTGCTGTGCATCCAGGGTGTCACGAGGGTGTGATTTTTAAATTTGGTACTCTGCTCCCTCATTATCACATCTGCATCCCAAATCCCACATTTTCCACTCGGCACCACCTGAATGGCAGATTCTTCATTCTTCCTTCTCAAGTAAAGTGCTTGAGAAGTGCTGCACAGCCTGGCACTGTTGGTAATGGTGAGAACTGGAGAGCTCTGACCTGTCTAAAGCAGGGAGTAGGGAGATGTGATTCCTCCTTCTGAGCGGGCAGGCATTCGTGTAGAGGGCCTGTTTTAGTGCTGAGGCTGATACATCAGACTTTGTTACTGTAACTCTGGAGCATAGAGGTCAGGGTGTTTTGAAACCACTCCTGATGTTGACCATTTGTAAATCAGTGAAGAAGGAAATGTGACGTGCCTGATCACACGTTGAAATCACCCCCACCCAAAAGCATCATCTATAGAACTGCAGTGTCAGAGCTGTCAGTGACTTGCGGATCCCCAAAGAGGTGATGTGATTCAGCAATGGTCACAGAGCTAGATATTGGCAGTTAGGACCACCATCACTGAAATCATTTCTAACATCTGGTTTCAAGTAGAAACACAGAAAATTAGAACCCCCTCTGGGGTGCAGGAGTTGTCTGCTTGCTGGTCTCAAGTTTTTGGCAAAACAAGCTACACCTTCTCTCCAGAAAATTTCCAGATAATGTAAGTGCATAATATAGGGCCATGCTTTTGCTCTGGAAAATTGATAAAAGATATAAGTGCACAAATACCTTATTATGAATTAATCATTTTTTTTCCTGTGGTACAGGGAATGGGAAGTTTAAATTTTCTTAGGGAGTGAGGAAAGAGATATGAGAGATAACGTAAAGACAAGCATTTTCTCCACTATGTATTTTGTATAACAAATATGCACTGATTTCCTATGATGTTCCATACACTGAAGCAGGTTCTGAGATTCTACGGTAGGTAAGATATGATCTCCACCTTTTATGAGTGGGGGATGCAATTAATTAAAAAGTAAGTTGAGTGCAGATTCAGAGACACACTCAGGGTCTACTGCGGCATGGAGAAGAGGGTGTTTGTGAGAAGAATGTTAAAGAACATGTAGGAGTTTTTAGTTATTTGAAAGGAGATGCTATGGTCTGAATGTTTATTACCCTCCCACCCCCACCAATTCATATGTTGAAACCTAATCCCCAGCGTGATGGTGTTAGTAGGTGAAGTCTTTGGGAAGTGATTAGGTCACTCATGGATGGGTTAGTGCCCTTATAAAAGAGACCTCAGAGAGCTGCCTTGCTTGCTTGCCCATGTGGGAACACAGGAAGAAGACAGTCATTTATGAAGAGAGAAGTGGGCCCTCACCAGACACCAAGTCTGCTGGTACCTTGATCTTAAACTTTTCACAACAGAACTCTGTGAAATAACTTCCTGTTATTATAAGCTACCCAGTCTATGGTATTCTGATATAGCAGCCCAGAAGAACTAAGACAGGAGGTGAAGATGTTTCATTTGATGATTAACTGGGTGTGGACAATCAGGGAAGAGTCAGGGAATACAAGGAATATGCCCAAGCTTTTCAGCTGATGTGAAGAGCTGTCATTTATATAAATGGAGATAGAGAGGAGAAAAGGAAGAACCTTCTCCCCGATCTCTGCCATTGGAAACCCTAATCATCTTACTGAGTCCATTTGTTCATACATTGACTCATTCATTTAATATTTATTCATTGAAAATAGTGTAGGGTTCCCTTTATGTTAGGAAATGGGGTCAGCCTTGGTGAATAATATGACTTTAAAAAATTACAGTTGTGTTAAATGTTGCCAAGGAAAAAGCACAGTGTGCAGTGAAAGCATCTCACAATATATCATCCGTATCTTCAACTAACCCGGAAAGGGTGGGAGAAAAATGGTTAAATTTCAGAAGAGACAGCTAAGCTGAAATCTGAAGGGTGTATATAAGTTAGTGGGTCAACAGAGGGAGGAGGCCTCTCTCAAAGGCCTGGGTATGAAAGCTCTTGGTGGATTCAGGAAAACAGATGTGGCTGGAGGTTGGGGAGGGAGGAGAGTAGGATATATCGCTGTAGATGATTCTTAGTCAGGCTGAATTATAATCAGGAATCCTGGCTTAAGGAGATAGGCAATCTTTTAGGCTCTACTTCACTGTGAGTTTAGTGGTAACCTTGGATCTGGTTCTGGTAAAGGGGCTTCTCTATCTTTCCCCTGTAGGGAATCTCCAGTTGGTTTGCTGGTTTGGGCATTTGAATGCTTATGATATTCTTGAGAGAGAGTCTGTCTCAGTAACCTATTTAAGGGATGGAATCTTGTCACTCAACCAGAGCACTGTAGCTGGGATCCTGTTCTGTGCTGCCTGAACTTCCTCTGTGTGGGGTGGCCGAGGTTACAACCCTGCTGGTCCCCACTCTTTGACAGTAACTCTGTCCCCTTCACCACATGTTGCAGATGAGTCGACTCCTAAATGCCTGCCTTACTCTGTGAGTGCATCCCTTTCAAGTAAGTCCCTGTTTTCTCAGCAGTGTCTTGTCCAGGAGTTTACAAAATTAAGCTCTTGTTCTGACGTGGTACAGTGGATGTTTACTTTATCTCCCTATACCTTGATTTTCAAAATTACTAAAAATATATCTAATTGCATTAAAAATGTAGGACCTCCACTTGCCTCACATAAACATTTGCAAGTGCATCGGACATCTCACTAAATTCTAAATATAAAGCAGTATCAAACTTGAGAACCTTGGAGTTTTAAAAATGACTTTGTAAAACTGAGTTGTTGGGCCCAGAAAATTTATTTAACACTATAAACTCAACAAATATTTCTTTTTCTTATTTTTTTTTTGAGACAGCGTCTCCCTCTGTCAGCCAGGCTGGAGTGCAGTGGCAGGATCTCAGCTCACTGAAACCTGGAACCTCCATCCCACCAACTCCCACTTCCGATCCCAAGCTCAAGTGATACTCCCACCTGAGCCTCCCGAGTAGCTGGGACCACAGGCACACACCACCACACCCGGCTATGTTTTTGTATTTTTGGTAGAGATGAGGTCTCACCGTGTTGCCCAGGCTGCCCTTGAATTGCTGAGCTCAAGTGATTTGCCTGCTTCAGCCTTGCAAAGTGCTGAGATTATAGGGTTGAGCCACCACACCCAGCCAACAAATATTTCTTTATTGAATTCTACATACAAGGCATTTTTCTGAACTATAGGGTTACAGTGGGGAGCAAAACAAAGATTCTACCTTCATAGATCTTGCTAGTGGGAGGATTAGCTAGTCATTGTGTAGCTATTTGGCAGAGCCATCTCAGCAAATTAGGAAAATGTTTCAGGATCTAAATCTGAGCTCTAGTGAGACTGAAGGAGAGAGAATCAGCCTTTAGGACAGTTACATGCAACCAACTAGATAGTTACCAAAAAAAAAAAAATATATGCACTGTGAGAATCAGTAGATTCTTAATGGCTTATTAGGCAAATGTGGTGGCTCCTTTGAAATGTTCACTGTGACTTCAGGATCACCCTTACCAATTTTGCACATTTTTCCATGTTTGACTCACAGCACTGTCCTCTGCTCTCACCTTCAAATGTTCATACATTGCTAGGGGTGCAAAACAATGGACTGGTTTTCTACTCTGAAGATCTTCCAGGCCTCTGCTTATTCCCTCCCCTGGTGTCTGGCCTTGTGGTCACCTTACTTCTCTGAGGCTTCCATACATTATAAGTTGGAAAAGGAAATTCATAAATTAACATTCAAACTAGTCTTTTTTTTTCCTACCACATTCGCTTCTTTCATAAATTCTTAGGTGGAGATAGGATTTTAAAAAGTTTTCAGCTCACACCAATGCTATGGAAATATCACCTCATTTTCTTAGAAGGAGTTCATGGGCAGACAGGTAAATACATGAACATTAGCCAGCAGGAAGCTTCAGGACAGTAGAGCGATGAAATGTTTTTCCGATAGTTACGCTTCCTTCCAATAAAAAGTTCCTCAAAAGTATAATAGCAAGGGTCAAATGTTTATATAAAGAACTATTTAGAGCTTTTTAATGTAAAATATTGAACCCACATCTGAGGGATTCATTTCCTTTCAAAAACTGTTAGGGTTTTCAATATACTTTTGTCTCTCATCATTCAACATATACAACCCAGACTAGCCTTTGTGAGCCCAAATAAATGTGCCAGTTGCAATTTGCAGCCTAATATCAGAAGAAGTAGTGCTAGCAACAGACCCTCTGAAAAAGCCTGGCAGTATTGATACAAGTAAAATGCTATTTTTCACCTTATCTCCACACTTCTCTGAATTAAAAACATTATTTCTGGAAAGTCTAACAAGTAGTAACAAATCCTCAAGTTCATTTTCAGCAAATGATTCCCAAACAAGGTGTTGACAGATTTCTATCATTATGATTCCAGAGATTCTAGTCTCATGAAAGTGTTCATGGAGATTGATATATATTTATGTATATATATTTAAAAGCAATGAAAAATGGAAGGAAGAGATATAACTAAGCTTTTTCATTAGAATGAATGACGAGAAGCTCTGACCCCACCTAGCACTCTGCCTTTTGTGAGCTTTTTATTTCATTGTCTTTGACCTGCAATCATAATCTTTATAAGAAATAGTTAATAAAAGAGGCTGAGAGGTAACTAAGAAGACGGGTGGCTAGAAATAAGTGTTTCCTCAAGTATTTATTACCCTTCGGAAATATCTGTCTGAAATGTTAGTCCCATATATCCACTTTAACAGTGCAGAGGAGAGAAGTGGTAGCTGTTATTAATTTTTAAGGCTGGCTGGCAGTTTTCAGCCCAAGAACAAGGCTTAACTTTGCATTTTGAATAATGCAGAAATTTTCATTAGTTAGAATAGAATCAAAGTTATGAATGATGTATTGCCTGCCAAAAAACTGACATTATATTATATTTGCAGATCTCTTTTAGAATAAGATTTCCAGAAGTGTACTTAGACAAATTGGAAAGATACCAGTATTGTTTACTTATTTTATGTGTAAGTTTTGGAAAAATAATTCAAAGGACATGTCTTCCTCACTGAGGGTTGGTAATGTCATATCCAAGGGGCAGTTCATTTTTGCACCTAAAAGCTAAGTGTTGGCACAAATAGTACTAGTGTATGAGATCATTGCAATTGGCTTCAGACATTACTTTTTGCTCACATCTGCCTTCTGAAGACCCTGGGACAACTTAATTACATCTGCACTTTTGTTTCCTACCTCATTCAATAAAAAATATAAAATTACCCTCATTTGAGAACTATCAAATATTTGTGACTGCTTTCCATTATCATCTCTCTTCCAGCAGATTATCATGTTAAGTTAGTCTTTGGCATATATACTTTGCTTTGAGCACCCAAGTTTCGTTTTGACTCTGAGTCAATTTGAATTGATGACAATACAAGTACTATATCCAGATGTCTCTTGGTAATGTAATGTATGGCCCTAATAACAAATGCTAGAATTAAACCACTAATAGAATAGTCTCCTAGCAGCTGCTTCAATCCCAGTTTGAAGGGCACTGAAATAGCTGATTCAGAGATTTCTATAGAGAAACTTAAGTTAATTAAAGACATCAAAGTCAATGGAACGACGATATCTGGCAGTGAACAATACAATTTATATACACTGAAAAGAAGGCTAATAGAAAGTTAACAGAAGTATCCATTTAGATGAGTCTTTTATTTTACATGCCATTTTGCATTTCCCAGCTTTGCTTAAACCACAAGTCTCAAGGAAAAGACTGTTGTATATTTATTGCACTACATAATAAGACTATTGATTAATCTGCCTTTTCTCCCACTGTTAGGTACAACTGAGCACTGGTGTCTTTTGAGAGTCTTTGACCAGTTTAGTGAGGAGGAAAAGAAAGAGGACTGTTTGTTTTGGATGTTGTTGTTGTTTGATAACTACTCAAAAGTAGGTATCTACTTTGTAAGAGATTCAGCTAGGACTTATCAATTTATTAATTTTTTGACTTATTCAGCTCAAATTCCAATAACTTTCAGGTTGAAATTCCAGTTAATATTGTTCATGCTCAACCAACTGTTTTTTGGCTGTGCAGCCTGTCTTAGCTCTGGGTTGGAAGCATGCTGCTAACCTTCTGTATATTAACTCCATCAGGTTGTAGAACTACTAATAAAACTCCTAAAAATAGAGATTTGAAGTTAACCTCAAAATGAAAAGTGTTGTCATTAGAACTGCACTTGTCAAGTGACAGAAATTTTTTGACTTATCTAGCATTAAAAAAAAAAAAAAACTCTGTGTAAGCATTAAATACATGATGCAATTTGTCTGCATGCTTTCACTGCCTGATACTTTTAATCTCAGGGTCTGAGGTTTGGTCAAATAAATTGAGACAAGACCCCATCAGATTCTGGATTCCAACTCATATATCATGCACCACTCATCTGTTTGATGGGAAGCGTTCATCAGACCCCTTTGAGGTTGTGTTCTGGAAGGAAGTTACAATGGCTAGCTACTTTGCTTCATTTTGTTACAAATTCAAACAATGACTGCAATGCAATCTCTGGTTTGGTTAGGTGTGATTTCTTTATCTAAAATAATTTATTTTTTGAAAGTAAATTAAAATTTTGAAAGTAAATTAAAATTTTGAAAGTAGGCTGGGCATGGTGGCTGACGCCTGTAATCCCAGCACTTTGGGAGGCCGAGGCGGGTGGATCACGAGGTCAGGAGATCGAGACCATCCTGGCTAACACGGTGAAACCCCTTCTCTACTAAAAATACAAAAAAATTAGCCGGACATGGTGGCGGGTGCCTGTAGTTCCAGCCACTCAGGAGGCTGAGGCAGGAGAATGGTGTGAACCTGGGAGGCGGAGCTTGCAGTGAGCTGAGATCACGCCACTGCACTCCAGCCTGGGCGACAGAGGGAGACTCCGTCTCAAAAAAAAAAAAAAAAAAAAAAAAAAAAAAAAAAATTTTGAAAGTAAATAAAAAAAAGTGAGTCCCTAACAGAGTTGTGCCAAGAAGTGTCTTATACATCAGCAGGTACTCAATGAAAGTCATTTGTTGACCTATGGTGCTAAAGCTCTATCATATAACTTCAGGTCATAATATTAATAAATGTTTTTCCTTTGGGTGTTCTGTTAAAACATGATTTAGCTTTTAAGCATCCCATTAACTTTTTTTTAGCACCTCGTAAATTTTTTTTTTTTTGCATCTCATCTGGAAGGTTGTAAATTTTAGTTTTTTTCATTGCATTTTATATGGTTTATATACATATAGATCTTTCTGTAATGTATTATTGTATTGATATCATTACTGTTACTCAGACTTCAAAATTCTGCCACCAACATGCCTAAAATTGGTAATAGGTAAAACAACCGCTGACTGTCTACTCGGCATAATGGTTAGGTGTCTGATGAAAAGTTGCTAATATATGATATGACAGCAGTCCTTGTCCTTCTAAGTCTCTGCACGTGCTCTCACAAATTGAGTGTTTCTATATGTAGTGTCACCTTATTTGTGTGCAATTCAGTCTGTCAACTTTTGACTGTAACTTTAGTGTGCTGAGTTCAATCATTTTAGACTCCAAATATAAAAGATTTCATTTCATAGCCCTGTAATGATTAGTTTTGGAAGCTGTATCTCATTCAAAAGGAACCCACAGGGAGAGAGAAAACAGTACTTACATGTGTCTTCTTCTTCCATGGAAATACTGATCACATAACAGGCATACACAAAACCCACCAACTGCAAAAGGGAAAAAATGTGTACCTTAAGAATCTATGCCAAGTTTCCATACTTAAAGAGCCAATATAATCTAATAAAGATAAATATTTATGAGCAACTTTTAAGAGTTTGCAGTGGAAAAACTCTTTTAAAATGATAGCTGTGATTTTAAAAGAGCCTTTTCATTTCTATGCAGCCTTAATAGCTTTCTAAAAAGTACACAGAAATGGGGGAAGAAACCAGTTTCTAGATATTTCACTTAGATTTTGATTTGGGACTTACAGTTCCTGTATTTTATAATCAGCAAAGATTATTAAGAAATCCATTTTAAAGTTTTGATTTTTTTCTGATGATTGAGCATTTTGTACTAGCACTAATTAACTATAACTATTTTAAAGTTTAAAAGCTACAGAAGGAATCAAAACATGTTGCTTATAAATTAAATACCAATCATCTACTTAATTATTTAAAATGCTCTGGGAATGTAAATCATATTTGGATACTAAATTGCTTTGTTAATCAAACCACAAGAAAACACGTTAACTTGCTGGTGATTCAGTAGTGATAAAATAAAACAGAAGAGATGATTTGTACTTTGGATACTAGTAATTCAGAGAATAAATGCAGGAGTAGAATTTAACCTCTGCATTTATGATGCTAAGAGGACGATTTTTATTCCATGGAGCCAAAGACACTGCAGTTCCTAGAGGACAAAATTGTCTATGAATCTAGTCCAGTCTAAAAATACTTACTATAAGCACTTCAATAGGTATGAAAAATAGATACTTGATAGCTGCTATAGTTTATCTTCTTGTCTTTGTTAACGTTTGTTTCTACCCTTTAACCCCATTATAAAATAATACCGGGAAAAGAAACTTTTTCTGATAGTCCTGGTGTCAAAGGCTAAAGTTTCCAATGCAGAGAACAAGATATCTGGGGCTTTTGACTGCCCATGTGAATTAGGACCCTGAGCTTGTCATCCATCTCTGGACTGTCTGGACAAAGGCCAAGAAGCCCTGAGAGGGTGAGAGGTTAGGGAAAAGTTTAGGGTGAGGTCTTAGGAGAAGGACTTACAGAGAAATCTGCCAGGGTGCTGATGGTTCCTCCCACCCAGCGGGCACCTCCTCTCACCTCAAGCCAGGTGAGGGGGTGCTGCGAAAGCACTTGGGGAGCTTAACATTTCTTACATTTTGGGAAGCATGGGGCTTGGCACCCAACTCACACTTGGAAGAGTCAGAAGGCAAGAGGCTGTGTCTAGAGGGGCTTTTGGTTACAGTGTGTGGAGACAGGACTGGGTGGAATTGGCAGGGCAGGATGTGTGTGTGTGCCCTTAGCCTGGGGGTAAGGCCTCTGGAGAGATCTTCCTGTGCTGTTCTGGAGTTGGAGCCATCCCAGAGGACTTCCTGGTAGGGCAGGTGACCTCAGAAGAAGGATGGTGGTACTTTGGCTATAGAAGCCAAGTAGGGGTGCAAAGTGGCAAACCAGGGAGGCTGATCATCCGAGAAACAGGTAGGGATCCTAAAGGGGGGTGGGGTGGGATTCTGAAGAACCCCTAAAAGCACCCCACAAGAAGAAGCATGAGCGTGTGGGAGCTGTCACACTCAGAGAGTATCCCTGCCAGATTACAATGGAACCCGTCATGCTAACACCTTGTTTCCTCCTTTTCTCCCATCATTTCTCCTTCTACTTCATCCCCACGATAACGCAGAGGAACAGTGAGAGAAGTGGGGTGAGAAGAGGAGGAAGCAGTGTTGTGTTCCTTCCTCTCTGCAAATCTGCAAGTTGAAATCAGGCCCAAGCTGAGCGGGAGAGTTTTTAAGTGGATGAGAATTTGCAGTAACCTGGACTAGATATTTAATATCTCTGAGGAGCTAAAAGAGCTATAAATTCTGCTTGAAATATGATCCAAAGGGTGAGACTGAACAAAGCCGTAATGTGTACTTGAAGGGACAGTGAGAGAACAAACAAAATTGCCTTTCAACTGTATTCTACCAACCCATTCAGTAAACCAGTTACATACACAAGAAAGAAATGGTCCCTAATCCCATCACTAATAACTTTACAATAGATTTCTCTCCAATCTTTCTCTCTTGCAGTTGCTATATATCACTTATACTCTTATGACCCAAGTTAATACTCTTCATAAGCTTAATTATTAATGACTACATAAATTTGTATTATTTAAATATACTGCTATGTATTAATGTTCTATTATTGAAAGTTGTTTTCAAGTTATAAATAATATTGTGAAAAATATTAATGCTTTTCCTGAATTTTTGATGATCTGATTCCCAGAGGTAAAATTATTATTTCAGAAGTGCCATTGAATATTTTTATGACTATTTTTTACACATTATTGGTTTTTGGAAAGTTTGTATCATCTATCCTATCACAGCAGTGACTGACAATGCCTGCTTTTCCATACCATAGGAGAGTTCCACTTAAAGATACATGCCAAGAAAATAAACAAAATGGCATCTCTTCATTTATTTATTTTTGCAATAGTTCTTTTTCATCTGATGTATTTTCATATTTTATTAGCCATTTATGTTTTTTATTTTGTGAATTACCTCAGAGGTTTTTTGCTCATTTATTAACTTGATCTTGCTTTCATTAATTTATATGAGGTCTTATGGGGGAAAAAGCCTTTGCTGTATTTGTTGCAAATTTTTGTTTCTTTATGTTGGCCTGTGATAGTGATGGTTTCATAACGTCGGGACATTTTCTTACTAAACCATATGTTAGAAGGCTTTTGCCAGCAAACAACTTTCTAGTTCTTGGTGGGTTCTCCCTTAGGGGTGTGTGTGTATATGTGTATACCTGCAAGCATGCATACATGTAAATCAAGAACTCTCTTGCATTAGTTTTCGGTTGCTGCTGTAAGAGATTGCTGCAAACTTAGTGACTTAAAACAACACAAATCTTACAGTTCTGAAGGCCAGGTGTCTGAAATGGGCCTTACGAGGCTAAAATCAAGGTGTCAGCAGGGCTGTACTCCTGGAAGATCTGGCAAACTCTGTTTCCTTGCCTTTTTCAGCTACTAGAGGATGCCTGTGTTCCTTAGCTACTGATTCTGTCTCAGGCTGCCATCTCCCTGGTCCTTCCTCCCCTGCCTTCCTGTCCTACTGTTAAGGATGCTGGACACACCTGGACAACTTAGGACAATTCCTCCATGTTAAGGTCACATGATTATCAATCAATTTTATCTGCAACCTTTATTCATTCTCGTTTGCCATGTGCAATGATTTATTCACAGGTTCCAGAGATGAGGACGTGGAAATCTTTAGGGAACTGTTATTCTGCCTATCACATCTGTGAACTCATATTTAGACTCGCAGCAGGTTCTGCACAATTTAGGCCACAGTGGAGATGGAGAAATGACACTGAGAAAATTGCTTAAGTCTTACACAGGAACAGAAAACCAAACATCTCATGTTCTCACTCATAAGTGGGAGTTGAACAATGGGAACACATGGAGACAGGGAGGGCAACATCACACACCAGGGCCTGTGGGGGGGCAAGGAGAGGGAGAGCATTAGGACAAATACCTAATGCATGTGGGGCTTAAAACCTAAATGACAGGTTGATGGGTGCAGCAAGCCACCATGGCACATGCATACCTATGTAAGAAACCTGCATGTTCTGCACATGTATCCCAGTACTTAAAGTATAATAGCAAAAAAAAAAAAAAAAAAAGATTACAGTAACTGCTCAAAAAACTTAAAAAAAGAAAATTACTTAAGTTTTAATGTATGAAGTATGATTATGACATCCTAATTTTAAAAAATGATGAGAGGAATATTTGACAAGTCACAGTTCATAGCAATCCATTCTTGTCAGCAAATGCCATCTTTTGATATTGGGGAGAAAACTACGATCATCAATCTGGTGTTTGTACATCTAGTCCATGTTTTATCCTACCTACAAATATATATCCTAAAAGCAGAACATAATTATTTTATTTATTTATTTAACTTTTATTTTAGGTTTGGGGGTACATGTGAAGGCTTGTTACATAGGCAAACATGTGCCAGGGGTTTGTTGTACAGATTATTTCATCACGCAGGTATTAAGTCCAGTACCCAATAGTTATCTTTTCTGCTCCTCTTCTTCCTCCCATCCTCTACCCTCAAGTAGGCCCCAGTGTCTATTGTTTCTTTCTTTGTGTTCATAAGTTCTTATCATTTAGCTCTCATTTATAAGTGAGAACATGTGATATTTGGTTTCCTGTTCCTGCATTAGTTTGCTAAGGAAAATAGCCTCCAGCTCCATCCATTTTCCCACAAAAGATACGATTTCGTTATTTTTTATGGTTGCATAGTATTCCATGGAGTATATGTACCACAATTTCTTTATCCAGTCTATCATTGATGGGTATTTGGGTTGATTCCGTGTTTTTACTATTGAGAATAGTGCAGCAATAAACATAGGCGTGCATGTCTCTTTATAATAGAGTGATTTATATTCCTTTGGGTATATACCCAGTAACAGGATTGCTGGGTTTCATGGTAGTTCTGCTTTTTGCTCTTTGAGGAATTGCCACGCCGATTTTCACGACGGTTGACCTAATTTACTCTCCCACCAAAAGTGTATAAACAGATCGTAATTATTTTAAATAGCACATTTCAAACAGTTTTCTTGACAATTTCAAATTCTGGGGGTATTGTCTTTTCACTTTGATTAGATCATTGTTGTTTTTATTTTGCATTGTACTTGACAGGGAGCTTGTACTAAGAGGAGGACACCTGTCAACTCTGCTATTAAAATAATTCATTTGTGTCCATAATTAGTTTTATCTTTAATGCATGGATTCTTCCAAGATAACGTCTTTGCCACTTGAAATTTTGTGAACATTAGTTTTCTTAAAAACAGATAATATAATCTGTAAATCTACTAAATCCTGCACAGAGATTGTAATTCATCTCAATACACCCAACACGATCGTCACTGCTAACTGCATTATAGTATGGAGTTTTGCTCCACACAGGTTGCTGCTAGCATAGTCACGCATCGCATAACAGCATTTCCGTCAGTGATGAACCACATAAATAATGGTGGTCTTATGAAATTATAATGGGGCTGAAAATTCCTATTGACATTGTAGCTGTTGTGACATCAGAGCACATGCAACACTCACATATTTGTGCTAATGCTGTTGTAAACAAACCTACTGTGCTGCCAATCATATAAAAGTATAGCAAACACAAATACATATAGTATATAATACTTGATATTGATAGTAAACAATGATGCTACTGGTTTATGTATTTATACTATACTTCTTACTGTAGAGTGTAGTCCTTCTATCTAAAAAAAAAAAATGTTCAATGCAAAACAGCCTCAGGCAGTTCCTTCAGAAGGTGTTTCAGAAGGCATTGTTATCATAGGAGATCATAGGAGATGACAGCTCCATGCCTGTTATTGCCCCTGAAACACCTTCCCGTGAAAGAGGATGTGGATGGAGAAGACAGTGATATTGATGATACTGATCCCAGTGACACTGATGATTAGGCTGAGGCTAATGTGTGTGTTTGGATCTCAGTTTTTTCTTTCCTTTTTTTTTTGAGACAGAGTTTTGCTCTTGTTGCCCAGGCTGGAGTGCAATAGTGCAATCTCAGCTCACCAAAACCTCTGCCTCCTGGGTTCAGGGGATTCTCCTGCCTCAGCCTCCCGAGTCGCTGGGATTACAGGCATGCACCACCATGCCTGGCGAATTGTGTATTTTTAGTAGAGATGGGGTTTCTCTATGTTGGTCAGGCTGATCTTGAACTCCCGACCTCAGGTGATCCGTCCTCCTCAGCCTCCCAAAGTGTTGGGATTAGAGGCGTGAGCCACTGCACCCAGCTGGATCTTAGTTTTTAACAAAGAAGTTTAAAAAGTTAAAAAAAATTAATAGAAAAGGGCTTATAAATAAGGATGTAAAGAAAAAATATTTTTGTACAGCTGCAGAAGGTCGATGTGTTTGTGTTACAAGCTAAGTGATATTTTAAGAGTCAAAAGGTTCTTTAAAAGGTTTATAAAGTAAAAATGTTACAGTAAGCTAAAATGAATTTATTATTGAAGAAAGTAAATTTAAAAATTAAATGTAGTATAGCCTAAGTGTACAGTGTTTATAGTCTACAGCAGTGTGGAGTAACATCCTAGGCCTTCACATTCACCCATCGCTCCCTCACCAACTTACCGAGAGCAACTTCCAGTCCTGCAAGCTCCATTTATGGTAAGTGCTTATCAATATACAGGCTTATTAACTTTTATGTGTTATACCATATTTTTACTGTACTTCTTCTATATTTAGATATATTTAGATACATAAATACTTACCATTGTGTTACAATTGCCTATAGTATTCAGTACAGTAACAGTGCTATAGAGGTTTGTAGCCTAGGTGTGTAGTCAGCTACACCACCTAGTTCTGTGTAAGTAAACTCTATGATGTTCACACAATGATGAAATCGCCTAAGGCCGCATTTCTCAGAATGTATCCCTGTAGTTAAGTGACATATGACCTTCTGGCATGTGGGCCTAGTGAGGCTACCAGTGTTAAACTATAAGTCAGATATTGTTACAAGCTAATGTTCCTTAGGTTTTTAGATAAAAAATAAATAGAAAAAGAAGCTGCAACTTCCCATGCTTCCACGGATTATCCTGTGTACACCTTTTGATACATGCATTTTCTGTTGTTACTTTGTATACCTCTTTGAATTCATTACTTTGGAGAACTTACTTCAAAGATGATCCTTTAGCTTGAAAAATAGTTCAGTAAGTTTGGGCAACATGAGTTCTAGTGTCATAAACATGGATAAACCAGATTTCTTTTGAAACCTAAAGAGCTAGACCAAGCAGCAGCCAGGCAGATCAAGAGTCTCTTCCTATAAACTGTGACTAAAATGACTGACACTCTGGATTTTCTTTCAGTGTCACTGCAAGGAAGGAGAAGGATAGTAACAGAATGGAGGAATCAGGCTGCAATGGAAAATTTCCGAACGAGGAGTTCTGTTGTTTTGCCTATAGACAGAAATTTAGATGATGCATTGCGAATTCTATCTTGGAAGTTGCTTATTGGATCGTAAGCCCATAGTTGCTTGATAGTTTTTGTATTCCAATGATTATTCCTCCACAACAAACTCAGGTAAGTTAAATCCCACAAATCATTATTTTTTCATGCATATAGGTGAGAGGTAAGCAAAGATATATCAAAATGTTTTGATTGAGTACTATGGGACTTTTCCAGTGTAAAGCTAAAGTCTTCATGATAGCTTAATGCCACAACGAATATTATTTTCTAATGTTCTAATACATTGCCTCCCTCTTTTTTGGAAAAAATATAATACTTCTACCCACACCTTTATATTGACTTAAAGCGAATTATTATTTTGTCTTTTTTGATGTTTTTCAATATGAGAATGATGCCTAAAGTATACGTTAACATATTGTTAGCCTCTTTGACAGGAAATACGTATTTTGGTGTTTTCTAATATTGGCTCATTCAATTTGTCATGCTGGAGTCCATCAGCATTTATTGGTTGGTCCATCAGCATTTACTGGTTCATCCATTGGCATTTACTGGAAGAAAGGCCTGAGGATTGATGAGAACGTCTCTTGAGAACAAACTCAGTCATGCTGATACATTGTTTTCACATATCAATATGTAGAGTTAATTTGATGGAGTTGAGCCTGGAAATCCAACAGGAGACCAATTTCCCTTGAAAAAAAAAAAAATCCTGTCCCGATGGAAGAATCTTGACCTGAAACTAAGTGTATACCACCCTCTACTAAATTATCTTTCCACTGTTGTAAGAGGACTGGAAAGTATTAACTGTTAGTAGTTGAACCATATATTATTTTGTTATACATATTCATATATTTAAGGATAAAAATCTAAATACCCTCTAAGAAATCTGTATAATATAAAATAAAATTGTACTTGTTGCAGGAAATTTTTATGTGATTTTAATGCACACTTTCTTCTAGGCTAAAAATGAAGATGTTGACCAGATGACTAACATTGAAAAATAAATGCAAGCTTTTTAGTCTTCATTTTATCCTTCAAGTAAATACAGTTGAAATTCAAAGAGAGGTTTGGGAGTAGGATGAGACATGAAGCAAGCTATGTATGTGAAGATGGTTATAGATGAACTTTTATGAAGGCAAAAGAGAGTAAGCTCTTTGGATAATTTTTTCAGAAATATGTGTTTACTTAAGTTCTATGTAACTTATATTTCTTTCTTATAATTTTAAGACCATGGATTATTATAAAAATATTGGTTTAACTGCATTTTCTGAAAAGATTCATTGTCTATGTGCTAAAGAGAACTGGTCAATTTATTTATTTTTCCTTTTCCAAATAACAAGTCTTTTGATGGACAGAAAGTAAGGTTAGTTTCTTAACATGGAAGCATGTTATGTCTCCCTATCCAGTGAATATTTTCTTACTGATAAATGTAGGAATGCACAGTTTTAAAAGAACAGAACAATGTATAGCAAGAAAAAATTTGTCAGATCTAACTATTCACTAATGGACCTTAATATTGTCTTGATAGATGACATGAAAGAATTTTTGGCCAGGCAATGGAGATAGACAGTACCATTAGCTGAAAACAATAAGACAATGACATGCCATACTAGAAATATTAAATCATTCTTCAAGTCCTCAAACAGAATTTGCCAACCATAATCTCTATATTATTATAAATGAATTAATTAAAACATTTCCTTTTACTTTTGCCTTATTGATGGGCATACTCATGAAATATTTACTCCAAAAATTACTTTTGCTATTGTGATTAACCAAACTGCTGCTTAATTAATAATGTTGCCCTCATGAGAAACTGTCTAGACATCATGTTGATCATCAATTTGTAGATGGCTGACTGTTGTGTAGTTCTTGATTTCCCAGAATTTGAATTTAAATAGTCTCTGTGGCTTTCTGCTTGTCTACAAGAAATGGAAAATGCATTCTTGCCAATAACAAACACAGGCAAAGTAAATAACATCAGCACAACAGTCTTGATTATCTCTGCTTTTAATAAAATTTGGAAAGAGTCATTCATTTTAAAGACAACTTTTGTCTTTCACTAAAGGTATCCATTTCTGTAGTTATATAATTTAAAATGACTTTCTTCTCTATATTGTAAATTCTGATAGCATACATTCCATCTTCTTTGATATATTTAATTAATGCAAATGACATAAAGCTACATTCTAACTCCACTTTTTGTTAAGAGATTGATTAGTTTTTGCAAATAGGATTTGTATGTGGGATTGGTTTGTTTTGACCTGCAG
This sequence comes from Homo sapiens, assembly GCF_000001405.40. Classification (NCBI taxonomy): domain Eukaryota; kingdom Metazoa; phylum Chordata; class Mammalia; order Primates; family Hominidae; genus Homo; species Homo sapiens. The sequence goes on along the minus strand of NC_000008.11, from coordinate 62,909,191 downwards.
GCCTTGTATAAGAATTGACTAGATTAGGTTTCACACCTGTAGGTACTAGGAGGATAACCATTTGCTGTGTGTCCTGCTAGTTGTGAATCTTATTAAGAATGAATTAAAAAATTGAGTCATCCCTGAAATCATGTGTCTTTAGTGACCACTGTTATGTGAAATAGAGGGATTAAAAAAGGTCCTCCAGGGAACTCAGAGAAGAGAGGCATTCAATGAGAGGATTGCTGGGCTTGAAGAAAGGCAGAAGAATCCTTGAACAACATAACTCCCCAGTCACTCTCCTAAGTTTCCCCACATTCACACCAACATTGAAGCCTTAAAGCTTAAAAGAATCCTTAAGGAATGATAGATGTTTCTCTATTTTATATATGGTATATTAGTCTGTTCTCATGCTTCTAATAAAGACATACCTAAGACTGGGTAATTTATAAAGGAAAGAGGTTTAATGGACTCACAGCTCCATGGCTGAGGAGGCCTCACAATCATGGCAGAAGGCAAAGGTGGGGAAAAGTCATGTCTTACATGGTGGGAGGCAAGAGAGTGTGTGCAGGGGAACTCCCCTTTATAAAACCATCAGATATTGTGAGACTTATTCACTATCATGAGAACAGCATGGGAAAAACCCACAGCCAAGATTCAACTACCTCCCACTGGGTCCCTCCCATGACGTGGGAATTATAGGAGCTATAATTCAAGATGAGATTTGGGTGGGGACACAGCCAAACCATAACATTCCACTCCTGGCCCCTACCAAATCTCATGTCCTCACATTTCAAAATGAATCATGCCTTCCCAACTGTCCCCCAAAGTCTTAACACATTTCAGCATTAACTCAAAAATCCAGAGTCCAAAGTCTCATCTGAGATAAAGCAAGTCCCTTCCACCTATGAGCCTGTAAAATCAAAAGCATGTTAATTACTTCCAAGATACAATGGGGGTACAGGCATTGGGTAAATACACCTATTGCAAATGGGAGAAACTGGCCAAACAAAGGAGCTACAGGCCCCTTGGAAGTCCAAAATCCAGCAGGGCAGTAAGCGCCAAAATGATCTCCTTTGACTCCATGTCTCACATCCGGGTCACACTGATGCAAGGGAGGGGGTTCCCATGGTCTTGAGCAGCTACACAGCTGTGGCTTTGCAGGGTATCACCCCCATCCTGGCTGCTTTCATAGACTGGCAATGAGTGTCTGTGGCTTTTCCAGGTCCATGGTACAAGCTGTCAGTGGATCTACCATTCTGGGGTCTGAAGGACAGTGGCCCTCATCTCACAGCTCCACTAGGCATTGCCCCAGTGGTGACTCTGTGTGGGGATTCCCACTGCACATTTCCCTTGTGCACTGCACTAGCAGAGATTCTCCTTGAGGGCTGTGCTCCTGCAGCACACCTCTGCCTGGACATCCAGGTATTTCCATACATCCTCTGAAATCTAGGTGGAGGTTCTCAAACCTCAGTTCTTAATTTCTGTGCCTCTGCAAGCCCAATACCACGTGTATGCTGCCAAGGCTAGGGGCTTGCACCCTCTGAAACAACAGCCTGAGCTGTACATTGGCCCCTTTTAGCCACAACTGGGATGCAGGGCACCAAGTCTCCGGACTGTACAAAGCAGCAAGGTCCTGGGCCCAGCCCATGAAACCATTTTTTCCTCCTAGGCCTACCAGCTTGTTATGGGGGGCGCTGCCATGAAGACCTCTGAAATGCCCTGGAGATATTTTCCCCATTGTTCCAGCAATTAACATTTGGCTTCTATACAAATTTCTGCAGCCAGCTTGAATTTCTCCTCAGAAAATGGGTTTTGCTTTTGAATTGCATCATCAGCCTGCACATTTTCTGAACTTTAATGCTCTGCTTCCCTTTTAAACATAAGTTCCAATTCCAAACCATATCTTTATTAATACATAAATACATTAATATATTAATACTTAGCAGCACCAAATCACCTCTTAAATGCTTTGTTGCTTAGAAATTTCTTCCGTCTGATACCCTAAATTATCTCTCTCAAGTTCAAAGATCTACAGATCTCTAGGGCAGGGGCAAAATGCCACCTGCTAAACATAGCAAGAGTCACCTTTATTTTACTTTCCAACAAGTTCCTCATCTCTATCTGAGACTACTCAACCAGGACTTCATTGTCCATATCACTATCAGCATTTTGAACAAAGTTATTCAATAAGTCTCTAGGGAGTTCCAAACTTTTTCACACCTTCCTGTCTTCTGAGCCCTTCGAACTGTTCCACTCTCTGCCTGTTACCTAGTTTCAAAGTTGATTATACATCTTTGGGTATCTTTACAGCAATACTCCACTCCTGGCACCAATTTACTGTATTAGTCTGTTCTCACACTGCTAATAAAGACATACAACCCAATACTGGGCAATTTATAAAGGAAAGAGGTTTAATTGACTCACAGTTGCACATGGCTGGGGAGGCCTCACAATAATGGCAGAAGGCAAATGATGAGTAAAATCATGTCTTACATGGTGGCATGCAAGAAATCATGTGCAGGGAAACTCCCCTTTATAAAACCAGCAGATCTCATGAGACTTATTCACTATCACAAGAACAGCATGGAAAAGTCCCACTCCCATGATTCAGTTGTCTCCCATCAGGTCCCTCCCATGACATGTGAGAATTATTGGAGCTACAATTCAAGATGAGATTTGGGTGGGGACACAGCCAAACCATATCACACAGGTTCTACAATACTGCTTGTTAGTTATTTTATCCTCAAGTTCAAAATGACTCTCTGAAATCCTTCACCAAGTCTGCCTATGGGAGGCAGACAGAGACTGACACACTGCTCTGTGCAGAGCTTTATTCTAATGAAAGTCATTAAGTTGAACATTTGTGAATAGAAAGCTTCTATATGTAACGTATTTCAGTTAAGGTATTAAGTAACTTCTAAGAGAAAGCATAGCTACTTAATGTCAGAAACTTTGCAGGGATTTTACCCTACTTATAAATTAACAAATTAGTCTATTACTGTTCCATGGGTGCTGGGTCAGAAACAGAGGACTTTTATTCACAGTGCAGAGGGCAACACAAGTTTCATATCTCTTTTCTCCATTTATCATGCCTCTTGGGCCTTGATGGATGCTCGCACACTTGTGGGTTGTGTTACTGGAAGGAAATTCTGTGCTGTTTTCACAGTAAGGTGAAGCCAGCCTACTTTCTGTGGGGGTGAGATGGGGAAGAAGTTACCTCATGCACGAAGGTTGCTTGATGAAAGCACAACGCTGAGAAATTCTCAGGTAAAGAGCAATGACACATGTAGAGGTTAATAGAATATCTGTAGATGGTATTTAAAGCCATGTGACTAAGGAAGTGAGTGAAGTCAGAGAAGGGGTCCATGGATGAAGTTCTGGAGCATCACAACATTCAGCAATTGGAGAGAAGACTAGAAACCAGCAAAAGAGACCAAAAAGGACTGACCAGAGAAGTATGAGGGGTACAGAAATTGAGGCTATTGGCTGTGTTAAAGGTCTCTGATTGGTTAAGAACAATGAGTGAGCGTTGAACACTGGACTGGACCAGTGGAAGACATCAGTGGTCTTAATTATGGTCATTTTGGTGGAGAGAAGGGCAAAAATCCGATCAGAGCAGGTTCAAGAGAAAATAGAATATTAACAGTTCTTTCAAGGAGTTTTACTGAAAGAGGAGGAGAAAAAGGATAGTCGCTGGAGAAAAATATGAAATCAGTGAGGTTTCTTTATTTTCTTAAAGGTGAGTTTTATAGCAATTATAGCATGTTTGAATTTTGATGGCAATACACATCTTCTTAAATCTTTATTCACAATTTGAGGTAGGTACTCAGTAACAAAGATTGTTTCACTGGTGCAAATGCATATGCACTTGCTATCCACTTCCAGTCCCTTTATGATCCTGCTTCAGCCTGGCTCCAAGGCTTATCTTCCACTCTCCTCTGCCATGCATCTGTACTCCAACTCCCTGAGTACACCCCATTCTTTGCTTTCCCATGACCCCCTCACCCTGTTCTCACATCTCTGCATGCACAAACCCTCTCATTCTTTAAGCCCAGTTGTAAATGTCACTTTCTTTGATTTTTTTAGTTGATCCATCTCTAGTCTGAACAGTCTCTGCACTTTGTTCTTATATCTGTAATGGCAGCTTCAAGGTACTGCTTTGTATCACAGCATTGTGTCCATTCGTTATCTTCTAAGTAGGTCCTGGAAGGCAGGAACTACCCTCCGAGAGACCTGATGCAAAGATCGTGTCCTCTGAGAGTCCTGCCCCAGCTCCATCAGGGAGAGAATCTGCTTCTTCCTCTACTTTGACACATCATCATACTCCTTGAATAAGGCACATTTCGCATGGTGATTATACTTATTTACATGTTTGTCTCTACTATGAAGCTCTTTCAGGATGAGAGCTTTTTCTCAATTCAACTTTGCATTTCTAACACTTAGCACTGCCTGCTAAGAAGAATGTTTCATCAAATGCTTCTGAATGAATAAATGAGAAGAATTGCATTGCAAAGTGAGGTAAGGGAGGAAAACCAGGGTGTCTGAAATACAGTGGATGAATTTCAGAACTCCAGCATGGTAGCAATTCTGAAGTTCCCTTGTGGGTCACCATGTTGCTCAGCCACTGTAAACTCCAGCTCTGCTTGTGTGCATCAGAGTTATTGCCATGATTCAATAAGTTCTCCAGATTTTTGCTGCCTTGCTTTGATATTGTGTGGATCATGCACTAAAGATGAGAACAAGCCAATGATTATATAATACCATCTTCAACAGATGGATGAAGTATAAACATGTGGAAAGAAAAAGGATAGTAGAGTCTTTTCATTTATGGGTTAACTTTGGTTGATTTTACATGAAACCAAACACTTGAAAGATATCAAAAATGCTATGGATATTTCAGAATGCATACTGCTTCCTTCACTGGGGAGAGAGAAATAATATGATAGGATAAGACTTTTCCAGTCACCCTGTTGAACTGATACAGCAGTTTTCATCAGGCAGGCAGTGTTCCAACCCTCATAGCAAGCCTGAATTCAGCATACCCTCTTGTCCTAAGTCAGGATGATAAACAACGGAATGTCCAGATACATAACATGTGGCTACTAATTTGGGAAACTTTCAAGTCCATCTTCTAAGGGGTTGAGGGCTCAGCTTTGTCCAAGGGTTCACCCTCAGTGGATTGGACAGCAATATGGTTTGGCTCTGTTTCCCCACCCAAATCTCACCTTGAATTGTAATAATCCCCATGTGTCAAAGGTGGGACCAGGTAGAGATAATTGAATCATGGGGGTGGTTTCCCCCATGCCATTCTCATGATAGTGAGTGAGTTCCCGTGAGATCTTGTGGTTTTATCAGGGACTTCCCCCTTCTCTTGGCACTCATTCTCTCTCCCGCCACCCTGTGAAAAGGTGCCTTCTGCCATGATTGTAAGTTTCCTGAGTCTGCCCCAACCATGATGAACTGTGAGTCAATTAAACCACTTTCCTTTATAAATTACCCAGTCTTGGGTATTTCTTCATAGCAGCGTGAGAACAGATTAATACAGGCAGCATATTTATCCTTCCTTATTCTAGAGGGCTTATCAAGAAACTCTGAGACTGAAGAAGAGGCAGCAGGTGGACAGTTTCATCTCCCCATGCTTTGTGGCCACATTTCTTTTTCTATGGCTCCCGAGAGGGCCTTTTAGTGCAACTGTCACCCAGGCCTATCTGTGCTATCTTGTGCGCCCAGCAGAACAGAAGTCTAGGCTCTTAGGATCCTCAGGGGAAGAAGTCTTAGGAGAGACGGTCCTCTTATTTATTTGGATCACTCTGGGGAGAGTGTGACTCCCAGTAATACCTAATCTGTTTGTTTTTAATCAAGCTGCTCCTACTGTTCCTTCAGGAATCCAGAATTAGAGCTGCATCTTCTATGGAAGTGTCTTATGCCAAGTGAAGCCTGAAATTATGTGAAGAAATTTGGTTCACTCTTCTAAGAGTCCCACTGGCACCCTGGACTCCAAATGAATCAATGAATATGGAAATAAGTTGTTTTCTCCACGATGACCATAAAAATGCACAACAGAAACAGCATCACATTTATTCAAGCTCTGGGGATTTACTGCCCTTATGTGTATGGGAAGCACTTGTGGAGACAGTTTCAAAATGAAAAACAAATGATTCGCTGGCCTCTACCAAGAAAGATAAGACTTTCAGTGACATACTTCTGTGATGCAGACACTCTGCACACACCAGCTCAGCAATATCATGGAGGACATCGATGTTACCCTGACTCACAAAGAACCTTGTTCTAAGATAATGCATTTCTGGTAGCAAGTCATTAAGGAATAAGAACATTGCCTAAGATTTTTTTGTAAAGGGGCCTATTTAAGTAGATCATTTCATGTAGGACTTTTCTAAGTGTACATTGCCAAATTCAATAATTCTTCAATGGTATTATGTGGCTAGTTTGATAGGATCATTATATCTGAGTGTTATGAGGTCATTTGAAGAAAAATACTTCTATCAAGGAAAAGTTCCATCTAATATTTACCCGTTTACAATCCAAAATGTAAACTAAAAGAGAATTCATAAATGTGTCACATGACTACGAGTATATTTTGAGGATAGAGAGTGGTTTTTGTCTTGTCAGAATGTGACAGGCAAGGTCTTGGGTTGGGTTGAGTATACATGTCTTTGTGGCTATGGGGACTTATAAATTATCTAGGTTACACTGAGCTCTGCCTCCTCCATGCCTGATCATTTAAATGCAGTCAGACCCAAGAAACTGGAGTAAAAGTTGGGCTTGGGCAGGAGCTCTTGGCCTGTATCTATTCAGGCTGACCTCAGACTTGCTTATTCAACCTCTGTCCCACATTCCCATCTTGAGCTATTGACTTCAACCTCTAGCTACTTAAAACCCTTGTTCTTACCACTCATTTTGAATCTGGTTTCTGGCTTACTAGAGCATTTGGACTCTTTTTGTGCCCCTTTCATTTTGGGGCACCCTCAGTATTTCAGGAAGCATATTTGTGCCAATGGATCCTCAAATACAGATTTCCACAGAACCACATAACCCAGCAGTAGGTGTTCATCTCCAGGTTGTATGCATTGAGAGCTGAGGTCCCCAGAGCAGCCACTGGGAGGCAGTGGATGGCAGAGCAGCTGTGCTCTGATCCCCATGCTTAGGCAGTCAGGCACCACCCTCTGGGCATACAGACTGACATGTCCACCCCCTGCCTGTCTGCTTCTCACTGAGCAGCTGACTTAGCCAATAAGGAGCCATTGAGGGTATGTTTTTACAAATGGCAATGTCTGGAGCTCTTTCTGTTGCAGGTGCTGCTCCTGCCATCCAGTGAGTCATGGTAAACTCAGTAGACTGTTCAGCCCCTCGATGCAGATAAAGCCACATGTAGAAATATGGAGTTTATAGTTCTCAGGAGAATGTAAGAGAAAGACAGGCATTCCTCTATCCATATGTGTCTGTGGAAGTTGAGAGGGGATGTTTCGTAGTAGGGAATCCTGCTTTTCTGTAATTGAATGGTGTTTCATGGCCTTCCTAACTTGCGGGACGTACGTAAAAGTCCTACCTAGTGAAATGTGGCAGATGCTGTGATATGTATGGCTGAATCAGCAGATGGAGTGCATGACACCTAATTCCACTGCCTTGCACAAGAGTCAAAATTAGGCTGATGATGCTGTAGGCCCAGCTCTGAGAAGGCCCCAGGGTGTTATGTGTGAGAAACTGGCCACAGTATCAGCTTTCTCACTCTCTCTCTCTTCTTTTTTCTTAAGATAGAGTGTTTTGCTGTGTTTTCCAGGCTAACCTTGAACTCCTGGACTCAAGTGACCCTCCTGCCTCAGCTTCCCATGTGGGAAGTAGCTCATATTGGAGGCCCACACCACTGCTCCCAGTTCAGTACCATCTTTTGTTACTGATAGACCTTTGAGTGAAGCCCATTGTGTAACCAAGGATCTGCTCATCCTCCGTCATTGCTGCAACAGATCACAGACCATCCACTCCATGATCAAGGGTGGGAGAGGATCTCATGTCATTGACTACTGGGCCTCCCCTATGGTCTTGGCAAAATGGACACTGAGTATCACCACTTTTCCTGTATTGTGCTCCTACATCCTCCTTGGATCTGAGATTTTGTGTCTTTTCTCTCCTGACCGCTGGAAATAATTCACCTCTATTCTCAGGACCATTACTGTTCTTGGGTGGCAGGGATTCAAGGGGTTCCATCTGACAGTTGGGGGATCAACATGAGGCCACTCTTGCCAACAGCGTTGCTCTGATATACCCAGGTCTCAGGATGGGTTTCAGCCTTGTTCCTGGGTTCCAACACTCACCTCACAGTTGATGGTTATGGTGGTCAAGAGTCCATCTTTGTGGTCAGAGAGATCTCAGTTTAACTTTTACCTTTGCCACTACTATTAGAGTGAGCCTTGGGTAAGGTATTTAACCTCACTGAGCCTCAGTTTGTAATCTGTCAAATAGATATAATCATACTACTTCACCAATTATTGTGAAGATTATCAAGATAATGGATATCTAGTGCTTAGCACAGGGTTTAGTTGGATACTATTTTGAACACTGTATGTTCATTAATTCACTAAGTCCTTCTATCTCCAAGTGCTAAGTTGTATTGTTGATTTTATTCTATGTATGAGAAAATTGAGGCACAGAGTTTAATTAACATGTCCCCAAACCACTTAGGTAGGGACACTCTGGCTTTGGAGCCCATGATGTTAACCTCTCTGCTTACTGCTGATCAATATGCAGTTCTCCTTTCACAATCCAAAGCTGCATTTACTTAGCAAAGTAGTGGCAAGGTCTTTTATACTGTAATCCCCAGGATGATGGTGTAATTCTTCAGAGTAATCCTTTCTTAGAATTAAGTGCTATCCACCTCCACACGTTGCTCACTATATGCTATGTACTTTTTAAATGGTGGCTTAAGCTTTTAAAAGCATTTTTCTGCAGCACAAGAATACAAGATATGAGTCAAAAGAACAACATAGCTCCAGGATGCTTGTGTCTAATAATCTAGAGTTCTTAGACTTTACGTTTGGCCTTATTGTAACTTTTTCAATTCAGTGAGCAACAACCATCAATTTTTCATAATAATATGTTCAAATCAATAGAAATCAGAACTTTTTTTCATGAATGGTACCCATTTTCTTTATTTCTTTTTTTTTTAATTTCAGTAGCTTTAGGGGTATAAGTGGTTTTGGTTACATGGATGAATCGCATAATAGTGAAGTCTGAAATTTTAGTGTACCTGTCACCTGAGTAGTGTACATTGTACCCAATATGTAATTTTAAAAATTATTTTATATCTCTTTGTGGGTATATTGAAGGTGTATGTATTTGTGGGGTACATGAGATGTTTTGATACAGGCATGGAATGCATAATAATCCCATCATGTAAAATGGGGTATCCATCCCTTCAAGCATTTTATCCTTTGTGTTACAAACAATCCAAATTATACTGTTTTAGTTATTTAAAATGTACAATTAAGTTATTATAGACTATAGTCACCCTGTTATGCTATCAAATACTAGGTCTTATTCATTCTTTGTAACTTCTTTTTTTATACCTATTAACCATCCCCAGCTCCTCTAACCCCTCCCGCTACCCTTCCCAGCCTCTGGTAACCATCCTTCTACTGTCTATCTCCATGAGTTTGATTTTTAGATCCCACATATAGGTGAGAACATATGATGTTTGTCTTTCTGTGCCTGGCTTATTTCACTTAGAATAATGTCCTCCAGTTCCATCCATGTTGTTGCAAATGACAAGATCTCAGGATCTCATTCTTTTTTTATGGCTGAACAGTACTCCATTGTGTATATGTACCACATTTTCTTTATCCATTCATTTGTTGATGGACATTTATGTTGCTTCCAAATTTTGCCTATTGTAAACAGTGCTGAAACAAACATGGCAGTGCAGATATCTCTATGATATACCAATTTCCTTTCTTTTGAATATTTACCCAGCAGTGCGATTGCTGGATTGTATGGAAGCTCTCTTTTCAGTTTTTTGAGAAACCTCCAAACTGTTCTCCATAGTTGCTGTACTAATTTACATTCCCATCAACAGTATACAAGGGTTCCCTTTTCTCCAAATACTTGCCAGCATTTGTTATTACTATTCTTTTGGATATAAGCCATTTTAACTGGATTGAGATGATATTCCACTGTAGTTTTGATTTGCATTTCTCTGATGATCAATGATGTTGAACACTTTTTCATATGTCTATTTCCCGTTTGTATGTTTTCTTTTAAGAAATATCTATTCAGATCTTTTGCCCATTTTCTAACTGGATAATTGGAGTTTTTCCTATAGAGTTGCTTGAGCTCCTTATATATTCTAGTTAGTACCCCTTGACAGAGGGGTAATTTGCAAATGTTTTCTCCCATTCTGTACATCATCTCTTCACCTTGTTGATTGTTTCATTTGCTATGGAGAAGGTTTTTAACTTTATGTGATCCCATTTGTCCATTTTTGCTTTGTTTGCCTGTGCTTGCGGGGTATTGTTCAAGAAATTTTTGCCCAGACTGATGTCCTGGGGAGTTTTCCTAATGTTTTCTTGTAGTAGTTTCATAGTTTGAGACAATATGTAGTTTTTTAAAAATCACCTTATCCTCTTTCCACCCTCCTCCCTTCTGAGTCTCCAATATCCACTATACCACTCTGTATCCCTTCGTGTACCCATAGCTTAGCTCCCACTTATAAGTGAGAACACATGATATTTGGTTTTTCACTCCTGAATTACTTTGAATAATGGTCTCAAGTTCCATCCAAGTTGCTGCAGAAGACATTATTTCATTCTTTTTTGTGGCTGGGTAGTATTCCCTGGTGCGAATATACCTAATTTTCTTTATCCACTCTTCAGTTGATGGACACTTAGGTTGGTTTCATATCTTTGCAATTGTGAATTATGCTGTGATAAAAATATGCATGCTTGTGTCTTTTTGATATAATGATTTTTTTCCTTTGATTCCCATTTTCTTATTGCCCAAACTAAGAGTTCTGAGATGTCTTTGGAAAAGCCCCAGAACTATATTAACATGATATTTCCCTTCAGTTGCTTGCATCTGGTTTTGGTCCAGGAGATTCATTATTTTTGGAGTGTAATTGATTGCTAAATGCTTTGATGAAATTCAGGTGCACTTGAATTTGCACCTTGAGGTGCATGTGTCTTGGCTTGTTTTGTGTTGCTATAACAGAATACCTGAGACTAGGTAGTTTATAAAGAAAATATATTAATTTGGCTTACAATTCTGATGGCTGGAATGTTCAGAGTTGGGCATCTGCATCTGGTGGGGGTCTTAGGCTGCGTCAACTTGTGTCAGAAAGCAGAGGGAAGCTGGCATGTGCAAATCGATCGCATGGAGGGAGAATGAAACCAAGGAAACCAGACTCTAACAACCTGTTCTCTCAGAAACTAATCCATTACCATGAGAGTGAGAAGTCACTTACTCCCAAAGGAGAGCATTAGTCTATTCATGAGGGATCTGCCCCACTGACTCAAACACCTTCCACTGGGAGTCACCTCCCAGTATTGCCATATTGAGGAACAAATTTCAACATGAGTTTTGGCAGGGACAAAACAAACCATAGCACCTTGGATCATAGCACACTTGAATCCCAGCATAGCCTAGTAACTATGTCCAAAAGTGAAGTGAGGTTAACTCATTAGGGCTTACTCTTAGAGTGTCTATGTCCCCATTGGGACTCTTTAGATAGTGTCAAGTCCTGAAGGCCACTAGATTACTTTAAACCAGTCTTGGCAAATCAGTTTATTTTTTTCATTCATGGTTTCCCATCTCTTTAAATGAAAAAAAAAAATTACACCAACAGATTTGTTTCCATAAGCTTTTCTTACAATACAAATCTTTGATTCTATGAAAGTCCTCAATGTAATAAAAAACATTGCCTGTTCTATTACTTTGTTGAGTGTAAGACTATTTAGGTGAACCAATGTGCAGACACACCTGATTGTATTTTGTGTCTACATTTATTCCTTCATTCTTTCTTACTATATATGAGAAGTTCCTCCTCTTTAGACAACCCCTCTGCAGTGTTCCTTCATTATCTTTACTCTCAAAGATTTTTCTGTTGCTCTATTGAGTTTGTCTCCAGTATGTCCTTTGCACAGACTCTTTCCCTTCTGCTTCAAAAATGTGTAGTTCTCCCTTATCTTACAAAAATATAATTTGATTCTGTTACATCTTATAGCTTCTTCCTTCTACCCACAGATGTCAGAAATGAATGTTATCAGCTGCCTCTTCTCCTCTGTTTTTCATTCCTTGCTTAATTCATTGCAATCTGCCTTCTGGCCCTACTTTTCTGCTGAGATTGCTCTCTTAAAGGTAAATAGCCTACATTTTGTCAAATCTAATGGCCTTTTTATCCATCCAAATTCACATAGTGTTGACATTAGGACCCAACTAGACTGCAATTATTAGGTTCTGCTAAGCTTGCCTATCTCCATCCCAGCTAGAGCCACTTAACCAACCTCTGCATTTCAGCCTGGCCCCAGCACCTAGAAGCAGTTCTTGCTGTGCTAACAGTGGACTTAAAAAATGGTGGGACAAAGCAACAAGTTACACCTTGACATTAGCAGCATGGTCTTTTGGGCATTAGGCTGATTTTACCCTTGGGTAAAAGAGAACCATCAGGGACGCTCAAGGCTTGGTATAAACTTACGGTGGAAAAAATCTGCCTGAGATCTGGGAGGCAGGACTGACTCTAAAAGAGACTTTGAGAGGGTGTCAAACTCAGCCCTTAGCCTAGCTACTGTAAATAGCCAAGTGTTATGAACTGAATGCTTGTGTCCCCTCAGAATGTACATGTTCAAACTCTAATCCTTAACATGCTGGTATTAGGAGGTGATGCTTTTGGAAGGTAATTAGGTCATGAGGGTGGAGCCCCCATGATGAGACTAGTGCCCCAATAAGAAGAGACAGGAGAGAGCCTGGTCTCCTTTTGTCTCTCTTCCCTACCATGTGAGGTTACAGACAGAAGGCATCCATCTGTGAATCAAGAGGGGGGCCCTCACCCGAGCCTGACTATGCTGGCACCCTGATCTTGGACTTCCTGTCCTCCAGAACTGCGACAAATACATTTCTGTTGTTTAAGCCACTCAGTCTATGGTGCTGTGTTGTAGCAGCTCAAATTGACTGAGACATCAACGTTGTCCTGACTCAATGAAGCAAAAAAAGAAAAAAAAAGCCAGGATCTAGGCTTCAGGATGGTGATAAATTCTCAGAGTTTTTGGTTTTAATGATTAGAAACAAGTGAGGCTCATTTGAGAAGAGTCAAGGAAACTGGAAGCAAGGACAGCTCCGTAAGAAAAGGGAAGATAAAACCAGGGAGTTAGCTGGAGTTGAATGCTACTTTCCTTCAAGTTTTGCAGAGAGGGAGTGGGGATAGGAGGAAGGACCCAGCCCACGACATTAGGGAAGAAGGACCAGAACTTCTGACTACTGGCACAATCAGAAATAGATTAGTAAGTTTACAGCTTGATGCTCAAACTGGTGCTGGTTTACTCTAGGGTTCTCACAGATACCCCGCCTAGGATATGGAATTACTTCCAGACCCCAAAAGCTAGTTGGGAGAAGGCTCCTAACAGACTCTCAAGCTTTGCTGTCACTAATCTGGAACCTTAGAAGGGCTAAATGTGCATACTGCTTCTCAAACTGAAATCCTCATCCACACTACCTGAGATCTTGTTAAACTACAAATTCTGATTCAGTAGACTTGGAGAAGAGCTGAGATTCTGCATTTCTAGTAGACTCTGGAAGCTTTTAGGTAACAGTGATGTTGCTGGTTTGTGACTGCTCCTCTTTGCATAGCAAGGAGTGCAGGAAGCAATTGTTATTATGAGCAGCTGAAGGAGGGCAGAGCCTATCTTTTAGAGGAATCAGCCCTGGCCTTTGGCCTTTGGTTTTGGTACCACTGAAATCTAATGAATGTGGAGGATAGAGTTAAAAGCAATGTGACTGTGTTAGTAAGCTACCATTTGTTTAAAAAATGTGAAGGAAGAGAATACATATACGTGTAGGCTTCTATATTGTGGGTTGCTAGTTGCCTATTCAATATCCCTTCTTCCTTTATTCTTTACCAACAGAACCCCTGTATTTGGGACTTGCAAAGTATCCAGCTTAAAACCTACTTAAAACCTTAAAACCTACTTTAGGCTTAAGCCTAAAAGGCTAAACAATTAGATGTGATGTGGGATTTTCAAGAAAGCTCTTTAAAGGGAGCTGACTGCTGGGAGTGATATCCTTTTGTTCTTCCTTCTTCTTGCCTGGAATATTGATGTGATAGATTTCACTCTAGCAATTATGTTGTGCTCATGAGGTGACTTTAAGGATAAAAACTACATCCTGAGAATAATGACAAAGAAAGATTAAAAGTGCCTGAGTCTCTGATATTTACTAGCTTGGTGTGCCTGCCTCCAGACCTCTTCGACATGAGAGAAAAACAAATCTATACCTTCTAAGTGACTTCTATTTGGGCTCTTTTATGTGCTTAATTCAGTGTCTAAGTGATACTTATATGTATGTAATATTTCTGGAAGTTTATCCAAAGAACTGATAGCAGCTGCTGCCTCTGGAGAGGTGAACTATGCCCTGGTTTAAAGGCTGGGAGGAAAATTTAAATTTTGTAGCATTCCCTTCTCTCTAGTTTGGAATTTTCATTCCAAGAAGATAATATCAACAAACAAACACAAATAATAATAAATAAACAATAACAACAAAACACAAACAAAAGACCGAACAAGTGAAACCAAAACAAAAGTAATGTGAAAATCTTGAGTTCCTCGAGTGTTCAAGAAAAAGATAATTTTGAATTTTCAGTTCCTAGTTTCAAATCCTTTCAGTGATATTTTCTTTTCACTAAAGGTGAAAATGGACCCAGCTTCATTATATGAGTTTCATCAGATATTTGTACATGAATGGAAATTAGCATGAATAATTGACATTCAGCTCAACCCTAATTTTCTGTCTTGCCTACTGGAGAAATTTACATCAGGATCACTATACAAATAATCAAAACTCCAGCATTTTTGCCACTGAAATCAACTAAGATTTGAAATTCATATTTATGATTGATAATAAGTGAGGAGGAAGAAATATTTTTGAAAGTGTCATTGTTTGTTGGGTCTTGATACAATTCATTTAATCTATTATATGGAGTCCTGGGTTTTCATTGGTAGTATTATTTTATGTCCGGTATCCTGGGAGACACACATCTTTATATATGATCAACATGTAATTAATTAAGATTGTTTAAGAATTTTCTGCTAGCACAAACATCTTCATCTGCCTTTCAAGGCTCTGTTTTACAACAAACTCAATCTTCTGTCTCCTCTAGCCAGGAAAACATTCTACTGTGATGACCAAACTTTCCATACTTTCCTATCATTCCAGCCATTTGATCATGGATATTTCCAGGGTCTGGATATTGGCCTCCATTTTTACCTTCCCAGTTATATATATCCTTGTGTGTACACAGTTAGTTATGTGCATATGTGCATATGTGTGCACGCACACACACACACACACATTCAAGGAGTAGCTCAAACCCTGCAGTAAACATCACCGGCTTCCCCTCACTTCTCCAGTTCACACTGAATCACTGGAACAAATATAACACACTGGTGTCCTTAGTCTATGTCCAGCCCATAGCCCATAGCTTATAGATATATTTCATTTGGTTCATATGTTGTTTCCTTAAAATGTTATGATGGTTGTCAAAAGGGAAATATTATTTTAGAAGGTCATTTTGGAAGATTTCACATAAAAATTCAAGTTTTTCATTTCTCTTAAAAAATTAGAGGAAAAATTGGACCTAAATTCTGTATATCAGCAGTCCACTCAAACTGAGTGGCTGCTACTCCTTGAAACAGTGCAATCACATTTTTTGGAGTCCTCACACCCTATTTGCAGGCCACTGAGCCATTTGAGTGTTTCTCCTTAACGTACGGACATGGAGGAGCCTTGACCCAGAGGGAAAAGCATGGATGGGAGGTGAGGTGAGCAAGTTGCCCTGAGCTCAACCTTTTATGCACAAATTTGTAGGTCTCTGCATTTATCTGGAGAAGTTGATTCAGTGACATTTAGAACCATGCTGCACTTCTTGGTACAGAGCTGTCCACTCTCGATAGCTATGTGAAAAAATTATACAATTTATTTTCCTCTTATTAAACCACCTTTTTATACTGATATACACTTTTGAGATGGAATAAAGCCTATTGAGTTAAAGGATCCCTCCCCATCCCTTTATTTTTTAGGTCATGAAATTGACCCACAGAACTAGTTATCACCACCAACAAATCTCATTGCCATTTTTTAACTCTTTTATGCTGGTGTGTCTGACCTTTCCAAATTAATGACAGATTCTCAGAGGAAGGAGTATCACCTTCTTCTATTTGTTTGTGAGAAGCTAATAGAAGACTGTGTGAATAAACAATGACCTAAATAATTTGTTACCAAATTAAACAACTATTTTTTTTTTACCAAATAAAACAACTGAGATTTTGACATGAGAGTACCTTTCTTTCTAATCTTTATATTTAAGAGTTCCTGTTCTTCATATTTGAATTTATTATTGAACCAGAGTAACAAGCCTGATTTGGTTTATTTATTTTCTTCAGAAATATGTTTGTATCTGTATTTTCAAACATGTGATTTCAGCATTTCACTAGGGTACTAATAATCACAGCCTGGAAAATATAAGGATATAACTAATTCATACTTCATTAGATTCAGAAACATTTTCTCACATCAGTTAATAAGACGACAATTTTAAAAATGTCTGCCTTTTTCTCCACATGGTGCTAATGTGAAGTATTTAACACTATGATGGAAGCAGATTTAGAAAGAGATTTTGCAGATGTCATTTGAAATGTTAACCTATGTTAGGATCTGACTATGAAATAATATTGTCTAAAGGACAATGCTCCTTCCTTTCCTTTTTATTTCTGTTTATTATTTTTTTCTAATTTGGAAAGATTTTACATTATATAATACATACAGATACCTCTACTCAGGAAAGTAATTAAATGGTTGTATAAAAAGGAACTATTAAGTATATCTAATCCTTGCTAAAATGAATTAAGGCAGCCTTAGGAATCTATTGTATCTCCTATGTCACCCATCTTCATCAGCCCTAGTTTTGTTGTTTGTGCCATTGCTACCAATTCTAATCCTACAAATAGCAGGAGTTTAAGCCTTATTCCACTGGTCATGGATTCTCAAATAGTTTTCAGCAGGGTCTTTCCTGACATCCCTACTTTAGTCTCATCATTCAGCTAGTATTTATTGTGTGAAGATGAAAAAGAGAAAGCGGGGGGAAGGCAAGGAAGAAGAGAAAGAGGATGAAGAGTGTGATGAAGAGAAAAGAAGGAGAAAGAGGGAAGAAGCCACATTCTTAAGGCTGAAACTATATCTTGTGGCTTTTGAAGGATTTTTATCTACATCTTAGAAATAGTAAAATTACCATGTGAATTGGTAAATATGGAAGGAATTTTGTCTCTGTTCAAAAGGCTAACTAGATGTAGCATTTTAATAGTTAATAGTGAAGTCAAGCTGGCTCGATTTTTCCACCACGCAGCGACACTTGCTGTATTAGTCAGGGTTCTCTAGAGGGACACAACTAATAGGATAGGTGTATATATGAAGGGGAGTTTATTACGAGAATTGACTCACATGATCACAATGTGAAGTCCCACAATAGGCTGTCTGCAAGCTGAGGAGCAAGGAAGCCAGTCTGAGTCCCAAAACCTCAAAAGTAGAGAAGCTGATAGTGCAGCCTTTAGTCTGTGGCCAAAGGCCAGAGTGTCCCTGGCAAATCACTCTTGTAAGTCCAAGAGTCCAAAAGCTGAAGAACTTGGAGTCTGATGTTCAAAGGCAGGAAACATCCAGCACAGGAGAAAGATGAAGGCCAGAAGACTCAGCAAGTAAGTTTCTCCCACCTTTTTCTGTCTGCTTTATTGCAGCCGTGCTAGCAGTTGATTGGATGGTGCCCACCCACATTGACGGTGGGTCTGCCTCTCCCAGTTCACTGACTCAAATGTTAATGTCCCTTGGCAACACCCTCACAGACATACCCAGGAACAATACTTTGCATCCTTCAATCCAATCAAGTTGACAATATTAACTATCATACTTGCCTCTGCCCATTGGCCTTCAGAAGGGTCCAGCATCATGGTACCCTCCCACCTTGCTCTCTTTCAGATATTCTCAGATGCAGCAAACTACAGACATCTGGTAGTCTTCAAAGGATAGAAAATTAAAGGGACAAAGCCATTTAACAATCATAAAGGGATAAAATTTTGGAAATACCACATTAGCAAATGGTGCGGAAGGACTTTGGTGATGAGAGGGTGGAATGAAAAACAAATGCCACACCCTTTCTTTTTGGTTACCACTTCCCTTTTGGGTAGACAGGCAAGCCTGCAGAGAGGGTACCTCAATCCTGTCCCTCTCCTATTGATGAGAGGCTGCTGGTGAGTGTGCAAGCAGGTTCATTCCAAGAGCATCAACATCTAATGGTGCTCCAGGTGGAAGAGATGAAAACTCAAGTATGGAATGCTAATTCTTTGTTTATATACATTTCATACCTGGATGCTCTTTCTACACTATTGTATAAGGAGCACAGAGGAAAATAAAGTACTTTCATTGTGGGCAGAGAAACTACTTTTCAATAAATTAGAAAATAACTTCATGAAACATAAGTTAGTTGAAAGGAAGAACTGGCCTGAACAGAGAATTGTGACCTGCATCCTGCATGTAGGCAGTGGGCTTGAATGAGGAAAGTACCTGTATGACATATCCTTTCATTGTTGCTCAAATTAGCTAACAAAAGGACAATTACAAACAAAGACAGAGCTATCAATGCTTATTTGCTAAACATCTATTTGGTATTGAGTATACTTATTTGCTATCAGAGAGCATAAAAATGCTTCCATAATCCCCTTGGAAGGGCAGTGTTTTTAAATGTTTAGTAAATGTTGGCTTACTATCCTTCCAAGGGAGCTTATCAGAACATTTTAATGCTGCTTCAGATCAACTGATTGAAGAAGGGTAGTTGTGGATTCCAACAGCTGAAACTATCACCTATTCAACTAAAGAACATGTTCAAGATAAATTATTTTTACAGCCTTTTCTACACACCACACTCTAATTGGGAAGGTGAATATAGAGCTTGTATTAATATATATTTTCTCTGTCTTGAAACCAACCAAAATCATATTGAGAAACTTTGTTTTTTTTTATACCATTCCACTGTGGCCTCTCAACATGGAACCAGAAATATTAATAAGATATATTTTCTTTCTTTTCAAACCCAAACCTAATTAAAAGTTATGCCACGCTCATCCCAATGTCAGACCTTTGCTCACCAAATTCTCCTCTCCGAATCCTGGCCGTTGCTCAAGGTCTATCCTAGGTGCTCTGTCATGAAGGCTTCCTGAGATCACCTCGATCTTCTCTGGAATTCTATGTTGTGTCTATTCTGCATTTCTAAATGAAACATTACCTAACTAGTTTTTCTCAACTTACAAGAACCAGAAAAAATATTTCTTCACTTCCTTAGGTACTTTTTAATCACTAAAAACATACTTATCCAAAAGTGGCATATCAGTTGTTCAATAATGGTTAGATTTTATCAGTGAGAAGTGATGGCTCCCTCCTTGGGAGAATCTACTATTTACTATCTCTCATCCTGAGCTTATCAGCAATACTATATTACATTATTTTGGTGGTCTTCTGAGGGACCTCTTATGATGTTCAACAAGTTTTGTTTTATTTTATTTTATTATTATTATTATTTTTTTCGAGATGGAGTTTCACTCTTGTTGCCCAGGCTGGAGTGCAATGGCATGATCTCGGCTCACTGTAACCTCCGCCTCCCAGGTTCAAGCAATTCTCCTGCCTCAGCCTCCTGAGTAGCTGGGATTACAGGCACCTGCCACCATGCCCAGCTAATTTTTTGCATTTTTAGTAGAGACAGGGTTTCACCATGTTGGCCAGGGCGGTCTCGAACTCCTGATCTCAGGTAATCCACCCGCCTCAGACTCCCAAAGTGCTGGGTTTACAGGCGTGAGTCACCGTGCCTGGACTGTTCAATAAAATTTTGAATTTTTATTGTACTGTTACTTTATTTTATTTTTCTTTGTAACTTTGCATCTAGTCCATTGCTGACACACAGCATTTGTCTAAGAAACTTTTGCTAAAAATTGAAAATAATTCTTTGGAACCTCTCAAATCAGTTCAACAAAAGGTAAGAAGGTCTCATTAAAAACCTGTTTGTTGAATAAACAACACAGAATAACACATAAATACATAACTCATTGCTCTAAAAGTAAGAAAGACTGATATAAGCTAAGAAGCAAGACAACTAAAAATTGTTCTAGTGGACTAATACAAAACTTCAGATAGGAAGGGTTGAAATAGATGGCAAAAAGCTAAATCACAAAACATATTCACTTTTAAAGATGCCTAAAGTTAGCAATTTTGTTTTTAAAGGTTACATTTCTGGTCTGGAAGGGAAAAAGCTTAGAAGTCGTCAGTCCATGCTCCAACAATAAAAGCTAGAAAAACTGAAAAATCAACAACTCTTCTTAGATACTCAGAGAAGTAAGGTTGCAGGGCAAACCACTGCTCCCAAAATTGGAGATATGCACGTAGGTACAGAGAATCACAACTTAATGGAACAGAAACCTAAACCGGGTAGAAAACTTTGGACCGTAATTGATGAATTGTTGGAGGCTTACAGTGGACCATTTGAAAGTTAAAAAATGAGGACCCCACACATTTTTGTAAGTTTTATTTACAGGAGCTCCACCAAGTTCTCACAGTGAGTATTAGAGAAAAATCCCCTTGTGCCCTCAGCAGGGCTAGGGGAAAAGAAACCGTTTTGAAATATGTCAGAGCATTCTGTTCTTAACAAGCCCTGCTCTCAAGAGAAACTTTTATTTTAAACATGACCTAAACTATTAGGATTTTATCAGAACCTAATGACCTGGGGAAAGAGAAATACCCAACTCTAGCCTGCTTTACTAATCCTTTCTCATCTAAGTGGGAGAGCAAAAAACTAAGACTTATTTGTGAAGGTCACAATTCAGAGGCTCAAAAACTGAGACTTAATCGCAAGGCTGTAAAATGCATCACTTCCCCCTACACCTTACCACCACATCGTTAAAGGCACATTTATCATGTTTCCTTCTGCTCTGCACTTACGTCCAGCTATCAGAAAACAATTACAAGGCATACTAAAAGAGAACTTCAAACTTCTTAGTTTGAAGAGACAAAGGAAGTATCAGAGCCAGACTCAGAAATGGCATGAATGTTGGAATTACTGGAATAAAAATTTGAAACAACTATTATTAATATGCTAAGGGGTTTAATGAAAAAATTGGTCAGCATGCAAAACACAAGGACAATGTAAGCAGAGAAATGGAATTCTAAGAAAAAAGTAAAAGGAAATGCTAGAGATAAAAAACATTGTATAAGAAATAAAGGATGCTTTTGTTGGGCTCA
Source organism: Homo sapiens (assembly GCF_000001405.40). Lineage (NCBI taxonomy): Eukaryota > Metazoa > Chordata > Mammalia > Primates > Hominidae > Homo > Homo sapiens. The sequence goes on along the minus strand of NC_000008.11, from coordinate 62,887,666 downwards.
TTACTAGACTAGACACAGCTGAGGAAAATCTCTGAGCTTGCGCATATATCAACAGAAACCTTCAAAATGAAAAAGCAAATAAAAAAACTAAGAAACAATAACAGTTATTTAAAAAACAAGAACAGGTTATTTAAAAACAGTGGGACAACTACAAAAGGTATAAAATATGTGTAATAAGAAGAGCAGAAGGAGAAAAAAGAGAGAAAGGAGCAGAAGTAATACTTGCAGTAACAATGACTGAAGAGTTTCTTAAATTAATATCAGATATCAACCCACAGATCCAAGAAGCTCCAAGAACAGGATAAATGCCAAAAAAACTACATACAGGCCTATCATAGAAGAGAAGCAGGTAGATACAGAGATTCATAACTTAAAATCAGAAAATCAAAGATAAGGAAAAAAGTTCTGAAAAAAACCAGAGGCAGAAAAAAAACACAACACTTTACTTACAGAGGAGAAAAGAATTACAACTGACTTATCCTTGGAAACCATGAAAGCAAGAAGAGAGAGAAGTGAAATATTTAGTGTTCAGTACACACATATGTTTATTGCAGCACTATTTACAATAGCAAAGACTTGGAACCAACCCAAATGTCCATCAATAATAGACAGGATAAAGAAAATGTGACACATAGACACCATGGAATACTATGCAGCCATAAAAAAGAGTGAGTTCATGTCCTTTGTAGAGATGTGGATGAAGCTGGAGGCCATCATCCTCAGCAAACTAACACAGAACAGAAAACCAAACACTGCATGTTCTCACTCCTAAGTGGGAGTTGAACAATGAGAACACAGGGACCCAGGGAGGAGAACATCACACACTGGGGTCTGTCGGGGGTGGAGGCCAAGGAGGGAGAGAGCATTAGGACAAATACTTAATGCATGCAGGGCTTAAAACCTAGATGATAGGTTGATGGGTACAGCAAACCACTATGGTATACCTGTGTAACAAACTTGCAAGTTCTGCACATGTATCCCAGAACTTAAAGTAAAATTAAAAAGAGAGAAGTATTTACTGTTAAGAAAAGACCTTCACCAACCTAAAATTCTGCACCCTGTGAAATTATCCCTTTAAACTGAAGAAGAAATAAAGATTTTATTATAAAATAAAAAATTGAGATAATTTGTTGACAAGAAATTCTTTAGAGAGCTGTAAAGTAATATAGGTTAGAGAAACTTGTATCCACATAAAGAAAGAAAGAGCATCAGAGAAGGAGTAAGTGAAGATAAAATAAACATTTTAGTTTTGCTTATTCTTAACTGATCTAATAGACAATAGCTTATTCATAATAATAATATATTTGATTATATATGTTTACATATGCTTCTGTATGAGTAAAATAAATAAGTAGTGATACAAGGCATGGGAAGATAAACTAGGACTATTTTACTATTATGAGGCACTCACTCTACCTGGGAACTGGTATAGTGTTATTTGAAAGTGGACATGAAATTGTTGTGAATGTATATTACAAAGTCTAGGGCAATCACTAAAAAAAAAAGTTAAAGAAAGTATAATTGATCTGATAAGAAAGGAGAATAAACTTATATAAAATGCTCAATTAAAACCACAAAAGGAAGAAAAGGGTGGAAGACAAAAATAGAAACAAAGAACAAAGGTAACAAATAGAAAACAGCAATGAATATGGTAGACATTAATCCAACTATATCAGTAATTACTTTAAATGCCAATGATCTAAGTATACCAATTAAAAGACAGAGGTTGTCAGAGTGGATCTGAAAACAAGACCCAACTACATGTTGTCTATAAGAAACCCTCTTTAAATGTAAAAACACATACAGATAAAAAGTAATGGGGTGGAAAAAAATATTCCATGTTAACATTAATCAAAAGAAATAGGAAATAGCTATAATAATTATTGACAGAGCCAACTTCAGAAGAAGGAAAATTATCAGGGATAAAGTTCGACATTACATAATCACAAAGGGATCACTTCCCCAGGAAAACATAATAATCCTTAATGTGTATGGGCCTAAGGAAAGAGCATCAACATATGTGAGGCAAAAACTGATAGAAGAGCAAAGAGAAATAGAAAAATCCACTATTGTACTTGGAGACTTCAATGTCCCTGTTCAGAAATGGACAGATCCAGCAGGCAGAAAATCAGTAAGAACGTAGTTGAACTCAACACAACCATCAACAGATGGATATAATTGACATCTATTGACTATTTCATCCAGCAACAGTAGAATATACATTCTTCTCAAGCTCACATGGAACATTCAGCAGGAAAGAACAAATTCTGGGCCATAAAACACAACTTAACACAATTTAAAGCATACAAATCATACAATGTCTGCTCTCAGACCACAGTGGGATTAAACTAGAAATAAATCATGGAAAGATAGCTGGAAAATCTCCAAATACTTACAGATTAAGCAACATCCTTCGAAATAACATGAGTCAAAGAAGAAGCCTCAAAGGAAGTTTTAAAAATATTTCAAACTAAATGAAAATAAAAATAAAACAACAAAATTTGTGATATGCAGAGAAAGCACTGCTTAAAGAGAACTGTATAGCATTGAATACAAACATTAGATAAAAGCAACATATAAAATAAATAATCTAAGCTCCTACTTTAGGAAACTAGAAAAAGAAGAGCAATTTAAATCCAAAGTAAGTAGAAGAAAAGAAACAATAAAAATTAGAGCAAAAATCAATGAAATTGGAAAAAATCAGTAGAGAAAATCAACAAACCATAAGTTTAATAGGAAGCTATTGAATAGAAATAAAAAAAATCAATAACATTGATACACCTGTAGCCAGGCTAAGAAAAAAAGGGAGAAGACACAAATTACTAACATCAAAACTGAAAGAGGGGACATCACTACACATCCATAGGCATCAAAAAGACAATAGAATAATATTGTAAACAAATTGGACCACCTAGATAAACCAGATCAATTCCTTGAAAGACATGTCTGCCAAAATTCACACAAGAAGAAATAGATAATTTAAACAGGGCTATATCTATTAAAGAAACGGAATCTATAATTAATCTTCCCAAACAAAAAGCACCAAGCTCAAATGGGTTCACTGGTGAATCCTACCAAACATTTAAGGAAGAAATGATATAAATTCTTTAGTGCTGACGCAGGGGCTCACGCCTGTAATCCCAGCACTTTGGGAGGCCGAGGTGGGCAGATCACTTGAGGTCGGGGGTTCGAGACCAGCCTGACCAACATGGAGAAACCCATCTCTACTAAAAATAGAAAATTAGCTAGGTGTGGTGGCGCATGCCTGTAATCTCAGCTACTCAGGATGCTAAGGCAGGAGAATATCTTGAACCCGGGAGACAGAGGTTGTGGTGAGCCGAGATTGCGCCATTGCACTCCATCCTGGACAACAAGAGCAAAACTCCATCTCAAAAAAAAAAAAAATTCTCTAAAATCTGTTCCAGAAAATAGAGGCAGAGGGTATGTGATCTAACTCGTTTTAGGAGGCCAGCATTATCCTAATACAAAAGCCAGACAAAGACATTACAAGAGAAGAAAACTGCAGGCCATAGACACAAAAACTTCAACAAAATATTAGTAACTTGAATTCAACAATGTATAAAAAGAGTTCTGCATCATGACTAAGTGAGATTTATCCCAGTTATAGAAGGCTAATTTACTTTTCTAATATCAACTAATGTAATTCATCACATCAGCATGCTAAAGAAGAAAAATCACAGGATCATAGGCACACAGAAAGCATTTGACAAAATCCAATACCCATTTATAATTACAAACTTTCAGCAAACTAGAAGTGAGAAGAAACTAGGAATTGAATACAAGTATTAGAAAAAAGAAAGATCTAAAATTAATAATCTAAGTTTCAACTTTAGGAAACTAGAAAAAGAAGAGCAATTTAAATCCAAAGTAAGTAGAAGAAAAGAAATAATAAAAATTAGAGCAAAAATCAATTAACTTGGAAACAAAATCAACTTGGCAAAAAACATCTACAAAAAACCTACAGCTAACATCATATTTGATGACAGCCTATAAGTTTTTCTGCTAAGATCAAGAACAAGGCAAGGATATTCCTCTTACCACTTCTATTCAACATTGTACTTAAATTCTTAGCTAATGTAATATGACAACAAAAATAAATAAGAGGTATTAGGAACAGAGAACTGAAACTGTCTTTTTTCACAGATGACATGATCTTCTATGTAGAAAATCTGAAAAAAAAAAAAAAAACCCATAAAACTCCTGGAAATAATAAACAATTATTCCAAGGTTGCAGATAAGCAGTTAACATACAAAAGTCAATCACTTTCCTATATACTAGCAATGAATAAGTGGCATTTGCAATTAAAAACACAATACCATTTACATTAGAACCCCATAAAATGAAATACTTAGGTATAAATCTAACAAAATATGCACAAGATATTTATGAGGAAAATTACAAAGCTCTGACTAAAGAAATCAAAAGACTAAATAATAGAAGACACACCTCATGTTTGTGGATAGGGAGACTCAATATCATCACCATGTCAGTCTTTCCCAACTTAATCTATAGATTCAACAAAATTCCAATCAAAATCCCAGAAAGTTATCTTGTGGATGCCAAACAACCAAATCTACAGTTTATATGGAGAGCAATACGTCCTAGAATAGCCAACACTATGTAAAGAAGAAAAAAGTTGGCAGACTGTTACTACCAAACTTCAAGACTTAGTATAAAGCTTTAGTAATAAAGTAATACAGTAATAGAGAGAGTGGTATTGGCACAGAAATAGACAAATAGCTCAATGGAACAGAATAGAGAGCCCAGAAACAGCCCCACATAAGTATAGTCAACTGATCTTTGATAAAGGAGCAAAGGTAGCATAATGGAGCAAAGATAGTCTTCAACAAATGATCCTGGAAAAATAGGACATCCATATGCAAAAATATGAATACACTCCTTAAAAATTAATTCAAAATGCATTATAGACTTAAATGTAAAACACAAAACTATAAAATTCCTTGAATATGTAAAAAAAAAATCTAGGTGATCTTGGGTATGGCAATATCTTTTTAAATACAACACCAGGCAGGGCATAGTGGCTCACACCTGTATTCTCAGCACTCTGGGAGACCGAGGTGGGCAGATCACTTAAGGCAAAGAGTTCGAGACCAGCCTGGCCAATATGGTGAAACCCTGTCTCTACTAAAAATACAAAAATTAGCCAGACAGGGTGATGGATGCCTATAATGCTAGCTACTAGGGGGATTGAGGCAGGAGAATCACTGAGCCTGGGAGGCGGAGGTTGCATTGAGCAGAGATCGCGTCATTGTACTCCAGCCTGGGCGACAGAGCGAGCTTCCGTCTCAAAAAACTAAAAAATTAAATAATAAATAAATAAATACAACACCAAAAACATGTTCCTTGAAAGAAATAATTTATAAGCTGAACTTAATTAAAATTAAAAAGTTCTGCTCTGAGACAGTTTCAAGAGAAGGAGAAGATAAGTCACATTCTGGGAAAAAACATATGCAAAAGAGGCATCTGATAAAGGACTGTTATCCTAAATATACAAATAACTCTTAAAACTCAGCTATAAGAAAATGAATAACTCTATTAAAAAATGGCCCAAAGATCTGAATACACAGCTCACCAAACAAGATATACAGAGGTAAGTAGGCAAATACAAGATGTTCAACATCATATGTCACTAAGGTATTGCAAATTAAAACAACGATGGGATACCATTACACACCTATTAGAATGGCCAAATTCCAAAAACGCTGACAACGCCAAATTCTGGTGAGGATGTGTTGAGGATTCTGAGTTCAACAGAAACTTTAATTTATTCCTGGTGGGAATACAAAATGGTCCAGATGCTTTGGAAGACAGTTTGGCAGTTTCTTAGAAAACTAAACATATTCTTACCATATGATCCAGCAATCACGCCTTTTGGTATTCATGCAAAACAGTTTAAAACATGTTTGCACAAAAATCTGAACATGGCTGTTTATAGCAGCTTTATCTATAATTGCCAAAATTTGGAAGCAACCAAGATGTCCTTCATCAGGTGAATGGATAAACTGTGGTATATCTAGACAATGAAATATGCGGTCTAAAAAGAAACTAGCTACGAAGACTATTGCTGGGTTCTCTATTCTATCCTATTGAGCGATGTGCTATTTGTCTATTCTTTTGCTAGTACCACACACCTTTTATCACTGTAGTTTTATGCCAAATCTTGGAGTTGAGTAGTAAAAAGACATGGAGGAAACTTAAGTGCACATTACTAAGTGAAAGGAGCTAGTCTAAAAAGGCTACTTACTGATTTCAGCTACATAACATTCTGGAAAAGGCAAAAATATGAGTATAGTAAAAGAATCAGTGATTGTCAGGGACTATAGGGAGGAACAGATGAATAGGTGGAAGACAGGGGATTTTTTAGGGCAATGAAACTATTCTGTATGATACTATAATGATGGATGGAGGTCATTATACATTAGTCCAAATCCATAGAATGTACAGTGTCAAGAGTGAACCCTAATGTAAATGCCAGAGTGAACCCTAATGTAAAATGATGGGCTTTTGGTAATGATGATGTTCAATATATTACACTTGTAATAAATGTAACACTCTGATGCAGAATTTTTATTAATTAAACATTTTATTTTTTTAGAACAGTTTTACGGTCATAGCAAAATTGAGCAGAAAGTACAGAGAGTTTCCATAAACCCCTTGGTATGGGATACTGATGGTGGGGAAAGCTGTGCATATGTGGGGAGTGGGTATATGGCATGTAAATTAAATATACAGAAATGATTTTCTATGTGCTCTTTAATCAAATTTAAAATTAACCATGTAGTTTCAGCACGTGTATGCTTGGCCATGCCCACCCTCCTACAGTATTTAGTAGATTTTGGACTCTGATAGTTGACAAGTAGGATAAAGTTATGTGGAATAGGAATCTTCTATCTGGAGTCCCCATAGGGAAGATGCCTAAACCATCTATGTCCTGTGTTGTCTTTGTCATAAAACAGAGGAATCTGGAGGAGGATGTAAGTGTGCACAAAGCTGTAAGTAAATCTTTTAAAATTCCATTTTTTTAAGGGAAAAAGATCAATCTACTTAAAGTGTGCAATTTTGAAGAAATCTTCTCAATTTAACTGTGGTCCTCTATCTCTTCTCATCCCACACTTTGTTGTAAAAAGATGTAAGCCCCTTCACTTCATGCTAAGTTTTGGGCCCAGACTTGGCAGGAGGATGGGATGCTAGGTTTTAAATGAAATCTTTTTGTTGTGTAGGTAACTGTGGTGCTTTTGAGAAAGGATCTGTCTTCTGTTAAGTCATCTGATTGGAGGCATTGGATGATATCAAACACCTGTGTGAATTCAGTCCCCTGGCTTCACTGAGAGATGGGTTTGGCATGGTGGTAAAACGTCCAGACAGCTTGGAGCCATATCCCAGTGTTACCACTTATTACATGTGTTTCCTTGGCCAAGTTTTTCCCTCTCTCTGCCTCTTTGTTTCCACATCTAAAAGTAAGATAAATAATAATAATAACACCTAGCTCATGCACAAAATTTATGTTTAAATGAATTATAAATAAATTGGTTAATGTCTGGCATGTGGTATTACATGCTCATCTTAATGTAGGGACTGGCGATCTCTTACTCGGAGGAGGCTGTAAAGTTTAAGCAGCTTCTGCCACCTCTTCATTGCTTCCTAATAAGGTGATCTCAGAAGATGGACCCAAGGCTAAGGGCAGCCTAATATGGAGGACTTGGAATGGAGGCATGTAAGGTATGAATGAAGACATGCACAAGACTATGGCCAGTTGACGGGGTGGGAGTCAGATTCTGAGTCCTTGGTGCAACTCTCTTCAGACACTGCAATACATTCTCTGTGTATGATATTGCAATTCTCTGGGGGATGGATTTGACCTGAAACCAACATGTACTCCCATGAAAGGCTGCTGACCTTCCTGGGGAACAGTCCCTCTGTTAGGTGGGAGCATTGGCCTAAGCAGACAGGATGGGGCTATTCACAGGGGCAAGCCAAACACCAAGCTCCCACATTTGGACCCACCCATAGACAGCTGTGCTCATGCATGCCTCCTGTTCAACAAAAATACAACAGCATAATGCAACAACAAAAACACAACAGTATAACACAGCAGCAACAAAAACACAACAGCTAAAGAGCTTCTGCACAGCAAAAGAAACCACCATCAGAGTGAACAGGCAACCTACAGAATGGGAGAAAATTTTTGCAATCTACTCATCTGGAAAAGGGCTAATATCCAGAATCTACAATGACCTCAAACAAATTTATAAGAAAAAAACAAACAGCCCCATCAAAAACTGGGCAAAGGATATGAACAGACACTTCTCAAAAGAAGACATTTATGCAGCTAAAATACACATGAAAAAATGCTCATCATCACTGGCCATCAAAGAAATGCAAATCAAAACCACAATGAGATACCATCTCACACCAGTTAGAATGGCGATCATTAAAAAGTCAGGAAACAACAGATGCTGGAGAGGATGTGGAGAAATAGGAACACTTTTACACTGTTGGTGGGACTGTAAACTAGTTCAACCGTTGTGGAAGTCAGTGTGGCGATTCCTCAGGGATCTAGAACTAGAAATACCATTTGACTCAGCCATCCCATTACTGGGTATATACCCAAAGGATTATAAAACATGCTGCTATAAAGACACATGCACACGTATGTTTATTGCAGCACTATTCACAATAGCAAAGATTTGGAACCAAGCCAAATGTCCACCAATGATAGACTGGATTAAGAAAATGTAGCACATATACACCATGGAATACTATGCAGCCATAAAAAATGATGAGTTCATGTTCTTTGTAGGGACATGGATGAAGCTGGAAACCATCATTCTCAGCAAACTATCACAAGGACAAAAAACCAAACACCGCATGTTCTCACTCATAGGTGGGAATTGAACAATGAGAACACAGGACACAGGAAGGGGAACATCACACACTGGGGCCTGTTGTGGGGTGGGGGGAGGGGAAAATGATAGCATTAGGAGATATACCTAATGTTAAATGAAGAGTTAATGGGAGCAGCACACCAACATGGCACATGTATACACATGTAACAAACCTGCACGTTGCACATGTACCCTAAAACTTAAAGTATAATAATAATAATAATAATAAAAACACAACAACAGAACACAACAACAGTAAATCTCTCTTAGGGGGTAGAGGTATTTATTGAGGGTCCGAGGAGTTGAGGTGCTTCAGTGATTAATGTGTTTGCCAGTGGCCTCCAGCAAGACTCTTCTGTCTGTCATAGCAGCAAAATTACATACTTATGTTTTGCCTTCTCTGAGGGGACATAGTAATTGATAAGAAAAGGATTATTTGATTCAGTGGAGTATGGTCTTCATTGGGATTTTGTAAAAGGTCAGATTCTTCAGAAAAAAAATTTAGAATTGTCAAATCAATATATTCTCTTCAAACATCTAATCTACATATTTCCTTACTAAAAATTCCTCTTAGTATTCTAAAACACCTGAAGAAAATGAGAAGATTGAAACAAAGCAAATTATTGCACATATTTTATTATTGGCTGAAATGCAAAGTCCCGTATTTGATCTCTTTGTGTCTTTTTTTTTTTTTTTTTGAGATGGAGTTTCATTCTTGTTGCCCAGGCTGGAGTGCAATGGCATAATCTCCACTCACCACAACCTCTGCCTCTCGGGTTCAAGTGATTCTCCTGCATCAGTCTCCTGAGTAGCTGAGATTACAGGCATGTGCCACCATGCCCGGCTAATTTTGCATTTTTAGTAGAGACAGGGTTTCTTCATGTTGGTCAGGCTGGTCTTGAACTCCGAACCTCAGGTGATCTGCCCGCCTCAGCCTCCCAAAGTGCTGGGATTACAGGTGTGAGCCACTGCGCCTGGCCTGATCTCTTTGTTTCTTTCTCTTTGTTGATACTATCAATTCATATGAAAATAAGCCGTCCATTTATCCATTAGGAAAATGAAGGAAACTGTGTTGTGAAAATAAAAATATCAGATTTGGGTAGGACTGCGTAACTTAAAATTTTAGCATTACAAATTTCAACCAGGAAATGAGGTGTCTGGCTCCAGGCCAAGATCCTATGTGTGACCTTTCATGTCAAACCATAGGAGGTTTCCAAGTCATTATCTGGCAGGCTCATGGGGGAAGCTGCCCTCCCCACATCAGCTAGTGCTCTGCCATCCCTGAAGGGAAGTGCAGTCAAGGACTCAGATCCTGACCCCCACTCCCCTCAACTCTACAGCTGACCCTGTCTCGTGTATTTGCATTTCTACCTTAAGTGCCTCCATTCCGAGGCCGCCTAATTGGGCTGCCCCTAGCTTTGGGTGCATCTGCTGAGAACACCTTATTGGGGGAGACTTGAAGAAAATTTTCTTAACTTTGAATGGGTATTTTGTATTTTTTTCACTACTAGTCCTTTCCTCTTCCTCTCTGGGTCCATAAGATAGGAGGAGCCTTTGGTTCAGAGCTCCTTTGGCCGTGAGACCACCCTGGCCATGTGCAACACTGTGGGAGCTGGCACCTTCATCCTGGCCTGCACTACAACAATGAATAAAGGATTGCTGGTTACTTTCAGTTTGGTTCTTCCTAATTGACCCCTTCAAGGCAGGGTAGCTTGGCTTTCACTCTCTCTCTCTCCTTTTCTTTTTTTTTTTTGAGAGTTAAAAACCCCAAACTTTTATTGAAAATTTTTTCTTTATTTCTTCCAAACAAACAAACACGGGATACATGTGCAGAACGTGCAGTTTTGTTACATAGGTATACGTGTGCCATGATGGTTTGCTGCACCTATTGACCCATCCTCTAAGTTCCTTGCCTCACCCCCACCCCTCAATAGGCCCTGGTGTATTGTTACCCTCTCTGTGTCCATGAGTTCTCAATGTTCAACTCACATTTATGAGTGAGAACATGGGGTGTTTGGTTTTCTGTTCCTGAGTTAGTTTGCTGAGGCTGATGGGTTCCAGCTTCATCTATGTCCCTGCAAAGGACATGATCTCATTCCTTTTTATGGCTGCATAGCATTCTATGGTGTATATTTACCACATTTTCTTTATCCAGTCTATCATCGATGGGCATTTTGTTTGTTTCCATGTCTTTGCTATTGTAAATAGTGCTGCAATAAACATATGTGTGCATGTGTCTTTATAGTAGAATGACTTATATTACTTTGGGTATATACCCAGTAATGGGATTGCTGGGTCAAATGGTATTTCTGATTCTAGATCATTGAGGAATCACCACACTGTCTTCTACAATGGTTGAACTAATTTACATTCACACCAAGAGGGTAAAAGCATTCCTATTCCTCCACACCCTCACCAGTATCTATTGTTTCCTGACTTTTTGATAATCACCATTCTGACTGGTGTGAGATGGTGACTCACTGTGGTTTTGATTTGCTGATCGGTGATGTTGAACTTTTTTTATGTGTTTGTTGGCTGCATAAATGTCTTCTTTTGAGAAGTGTCTGTTCATATCCTTTGCCCGCTTTTTGATGGGGTTGTTTGTTTCTTGTAAATATGTTTAAATTCCTTGTAAATTCTGGATATTACACCCTTGTCAGATGGGTAGATTGCAAAAATTTTCTCCCAATCTGTAGGTTGCCTGTTCACTCTAATGCTAGTTTCTTTTGCTGTACATTAGCTCTTTAGTTTAATTAGATCTCATTTGTCAATTTTGGCTTTTGTTGCAATTGCTTTTGCTGTTTTTTCATGAAGTCTTTTCCCATTCCTATGTCCTGAATGGTATTGCCTAGGCTTTCTTCTAGGGTTTTTATGGTTTTGAATTTTACATCTAAGTCTTTAGACCATCTTGAGTTAATTTTTGTATAAGATGTAAGGGATGGGTCCAGATTCAGTTTTCTACATATGGCTAGCCTGTTTTCCAAGCACCATTTCCTGAATAGGAGGAGATCCTTTCCCCATTGCTTGTTTTTGTCAAGTTTGTCGAAGATCAGATGGTTGTAGATTTGTGTTGTTATTTCTGAGGTCTCTGTTCTGCTCCGTTGGCCTATATGTCTGTTTTGGTACCAGGACTATGATGCTTTGGTTTCTGTAGCCTTGTAGTATAGTTTGAAGTCAGGTAGCGTGATGCCTCAAGCTTTGTTCTTTTTGCTGAAGATTGTCTTGACTATACGAGGTGTTTGATTCCATATGAAATTTAAAATAGTTTTTTTTCTAATTCTGTGAAGAATGTCAATTGTGGTTTGATGGGAATGGCATTGAATCTATAGATTACTTTTGGTAGTATGGCCATTTTCACGATATTGATTCCTCCTATCCATAAGGATGGAATGTTTTTTCATTTGTTTGTGTCCTCTCTTATTTCCTTGAGCAGTGGTTTGTAGTTCTCCTTGAAGAGGTCCTTCACCTCCCTTGTTAGCTGTATTCCTAGGTATTTTATTCTCTTTGTAGCCATTGTGAATGGGAGTTCACTCATGATTTGGCTCTCTGCTTGCCTATTGTTGGTGTATAGGAATGGTTGTGATTTTTGCACATTAGTTTTGTATCCTGAGACTTTGTTGAAGTTGCTTATCAGTTCAAGGAGTGTTTGAGTTTTTGGGCTGCGACGATGGGGTTTTCTAAATATAAAATCATGTTGTCTGCAAACAGAGACAACCTGACTTCCTCCCTTCCTATTTGAATATGCTTTATTTCTTTCTCTTGCCTGATTGCCCTGGCCAGAACTTCCAATACTATGTTGAATAGGAGTGGTGAGAGAGGGCATCCTTGTGTTGTGCTGGTTTTCAAAGGGAATGCTTCCAGCTTTTGCCCATTCAATAGGATATTGGCTGTAGGTCTGTCATAAATAGCTCCTATTATTTTGAGATATATTCCATCAATACCTAGTTTATTGAGAGTTTTTACCATGAAGTGATGTTGAATTTTATCAAAGGCCTTTTCTGCATCTATTGAGATAATCATGTGGTTTTTGTCTTTGGTTCTGTTTATGTGATGGATTATATTTATTGATTTGCATATGTTGAACCAGCCTTGCATCCCAGGGATGAAGCCAACTTGATGGTGGTGGATAAGTTTTTTGATGTGCTGCTGGATTCAGTTTGCCAGTATTTCATTGAGGATTTTTGCATTGATGTTCATCAGGGATATTTGCCTGAAGTTTTCTTTTTTTGTTGCGTCTCTTCCCTGTTTTGGTATCAGCATGATACTGGCTTCATAAAATGATTTAGGGAGGAGTCCCTCCTTTTCAATTGTTTGGAGTAGTTTCAGCTCCTTTTTATATTTCTGGTAGAATTCAGCTATGAATCCATCTGGTCCTGGGGTTTTTTTGGTTGGTAGGCTATTAATTACTGCTTCAATTTCAGGGCTTGTTATTGGTCTACTCAGGGATTCAACTTCCTCTTGGTTTAGTCTTGGTAGTGTGTATGCATCCAGGAATTTATCATTTCTTCTAGATTGTCTAGTTTATTTGCGTAGAGGTGTTTATAATATTATCTGATGGTAGTTTTTATTTCTTTGGGGTCAGTGGTGAAATCTCTTTATCATTTTTTATTGTGTCTATTTGATTCTTCTCTCTCTTCTTTATTAGTCTAGCTAGTGGTTTATCTATTTTGTTAGTTTTTTTCAAAAAACCAGCTCCTGAATTCGTTGATTTTTTGGAGGGTTTTTCATGTCTCTATCTCCTTCAATTCTTCTCTGATCTTAGTTATTGATTGTTGTCTGCTAGCTTTTGGTTTTGTTTGTTCTTGCCTTGCTAGCTCTTTTAATTGTGACGTCTAGGTGTCAATTTGAGATTTTTCTAGCTTTCTGATGTGGGCATTTAGTGCTATAAATTTCCCTGTTAACACTGCTTTAGCCATAACCCAGAGATTCTGGTATATTGCCTCTTTGTTCTCGTTCATTTCAAAGAACTTCTTGATTTCTGCCTTAATTTCATTATTTACACAGGAGTCATTCAGGAGCAGGTTGTTCAGTTTCCATGTAATTGTGTGGTTTTGAGTGAGTTTCTTATTCCTGAGTTCTAATTTGATTATACTGTGGTCTGAGATACTGTTATGATTTCAGTTTCTTTACATTTGCTTAGGAATGTTTTACTTCCAATTATATGGTCAATTTTAGAATAAGTGCCATGTGGTACTGAGAGGAATGTATATTCTGTTGTTTTGGGGTAGAGAATTCTGCAGACGTCTACTAGATCCATTTGATCCAGAGTTGAGTTCAAGTCCTGAATGTCTTTGTTAATTTTCTGTCTCTTTGATCTGTCTGATACTGACAGTGGGGTGTTAAAATCTCCCAGTATTATAGTGTGGGAGTCTAAGTCTCTTTGTAGGTCCCTAAGAACTTGTTTTGTGAATCTGGATGCTTCTTTATTGGGTGCATGTATATTTAGAATAGTTAGCTCTTCTTGTTGAATTATTCCCTTTACCATTATGTAATGCCCTTCCTTGTCTTTTTTGTTCTTTGTTGATTTAAAGTCTGTTTTGTCAGAGACTACAATTGCAACTGCCACTTTTTTGCTTTCCATCTGCTTGGCAAATTTTCCTCCATCTCTTTATTTTGAGCCTATGTGTGTCTGCACACAGGATGGGTCTCTTGAATACAATACACTGATTTGTCTTAACTCCTTATCCAATTTGCCAGTCTGTGTCTTTTACATTTAAGGTTAGTATTGTTATGTGTGAATTTGATCCTGTCATTATGATGCTATTTAGTTATTTTGTACATGAGTTGATGCACTTTCTTCATAGTGTCATTGATCTTCATATTTTGGTGTGTTTTTGCAGTGGCTGGTACCAGTTTTTCCTTTCCGTATTTAGTGCTTTCAGGAGCTCTTGAAGAGCAGGCCTGGTGGTAATGAAATCCCTCAGCATTTGCTTGTCTGTAAAGGATTTTATTTCTCCTTTGCTTATGAAGCTTAATTTGGCTGGATATGAAATTCTGAGTTGAAAATTCTTTTCACTCTCTCTTGACTGAGGGCATATGTGGACTTACTCACTCCTTACCCTCTGAGAAATAACCCTTCTGTTCACAATGCCATTTGGCAGAGTTGTGTCTTTCTTATTCATTTAAAAAAACAAAATCACACAATGGTAACACAATGCTCAAAAACTGAAGTGAGTTCTAGATTCTAATGCTTGGGCAGGAGGGGACATGAACAGTGAGAGTCCAGTTGGATGCTCCTGCATTTGCACTTTCAGCTGTGCTGCTGTGAGGAGATCTCAGCTGTTGTGCATGAGCTTTACATACCCTAGATGTTACTGGGATCTCCTTATCTCTCAGAGGTTTAGAATACTTGGCTCAAAATGAATATTAGTCCTAAGTACTCCCCAAGACTTCAGCAAATTCCTTGCACTACATGTCACCACAGAGTTCTCTGTCCTGAGTTTGCAGATACAAATATGCTCTAGTCATGCATTGCTTAACAACAGGGATACCTTCTGACAATGGCATCATCAGGTGCTTTTCGCTGTGTAGGCAACATGAAGTGTACTTACACAAAACTAGATGGTGTTGCCAACTATACATCTAGGCTATATGGTATAAGCTATTCCTTCTAGGCTACAAGCATGTGCAGCAAGTTACTGTACTGAATACTGTGGGCAGATGGAACACAATGGTAAGTATTTGTGTATCAAAACTTATCTAAACATAGAAAAGTAAAATATAGCAGTATAATATCATGGAACCACCATTGTATATGTGGTTTGTCATTAACCAAAATGTCCTTATGCAATGCATGACTATGTTTCAAATTCCTATGTGGATTCCATTTATATTTTTTGGAAAGTTAAGTATTATTAATTTCCTTTCTAAATTAATTTGCCTCCTGAATAAAGCATAGCTGAGATATTCTAGATTGGTCAGATCACTGATTCCTCATCATTTTCCACAAGTGGTGAAAATGGCAATTTTACTGGAGATATGAAAAGTTAAAGGAGGGATTCCATAGGCATCTTCTGCTACCTTCAACTGTTCCATGCCCTGCTCCCTTCCCAAAGCCCGAATTCCTCTTCTGCCACATTCTTCCTTGGGCTTGGCCCCCAGAAGGGCATCCCATGCCCTGACTTCAGCTGTTTGCAGCCCCTCTGCAGTTATAAAATGAATAAGTTCTGGAGACCTAATGTATAGCATGGTAACTACAGTTAATAATATTGTTCATTTGAAATTTGCTAAGAAAGTAGATACTAAGTGTTCTCATCACACACACACACTAATGGTAACTATGTGAGGGAATGGCTTTTATTGTTTGTTTGTTTGTTTTTGTTTTTTTTTTTTTTTTGAGACAGAGTCTCGCTCTGTCACCCAGGTTGGAGTGCAGTGGCAAGATCTCGGCCAACTGCAACCTCTGCCTTCTGAGTTCGAGCAATTCTCCTGCCTCAGCCTCCTGAGTAGCTGGGATTACAGGTGCACACCACCAGGTCTGGCTAATTTTTTTATATTTTTAGTAGAGATGGGGTTTCACCATGTTGGCCAGGCTGGTCTCAAACTCTTGACCTCAGGTGATCCACCCACTTTGGCCTCCCAAAGTGCTGGGATTACAGTTCGGAGCCACTGCACCCAGCCTGGATGTGTTAATAGCTTGAGTGTGTCAGTCATTTCATAATGTGTACATATATCAAAACATCACATTATAACCTTGAATATATACAATTTTTGTTTGTCAATGTTACCTCAATAAGACTGAAACAGTCAGTCTTTGAGTCTGGTTTTCCCAGTATGATCTTTGTTGTGCTAAAGAAGAGAAATCTAAAACTTTTCCCTCGAACTACTTTTCCAAAGCTAAACAGTAAGACGGCTTCATTTAGTGATTTCCATTCTTTCTCATCTCTAATGCACATCTATTTCTTTAAAAGTCCTTATATTAACCAGGGCATTCCAGAGGGACAGACCCAATACAATATATATCTCTCTATATATATCTATATATCTAGATATCTAGATATATATAGATATATAGATATAGAGATATAGATATATAGATATATAGATAGAGAGATATAGATATATAGATATCTATATATATCTAGATATAGATATATATATAAAATAGAGTTTATTTTGTATATATATTGTATATGTATATGTTGTATATATATGTACTATATATGGTGTATATATAGTATATATAGTATATATATGTACATATTGTACATATATACATATATACGTACATATTGTATATATTGTACTTATTGTACATTATATACAATATATATGTATATACAATATACAATATAATATGTATATATTGTATATATGTACATATATTGTATATATGTACAATGTATATTGTACATATATAGTGTATATATTTAGTATATGCATATATTTTGTGTATATACATACAAAATAGAGTTTATATATCTCTCTATATATAGATGTATATATATCTATAGATATTTATATATATCTATATATAGATATATATATAGATATCTATAGATATCTATATATAGATATAGATATATATATACAAAATAGAGTTTATTAGGGAGACTTGGCTCACAGGATTATAAGGCAAAGTCACACAATAGGTCGTCTGCAAGCTGGTGAAGAAGAGAAGCCTGGAGTGGCTCAGTCCACATCCAAAAGCCTCAAAGAAAGGGGGCTGGGGCTGGGCGCGGTGGCTCACACCTGTAATCCAAGCACTTTGGGAGGCCGACGCGGGTGGATCACGAGGTCAGGAGATCGAGACCATCTTGGCTAACACGGCGAAACCCCGTCTCTACTAAAAATACAAAAAAATTAGCTGGGCGTGGTGGCGAGTGCCTGTAGTCCCAGCCACTTCGGGGGGGCTGAGGCAGGAGAATGGCGTGAACTCGGGAGGCGGAGCTTGCAGTGAGCCGAGATCGCGCCACTGCACTCCAGCCTGGGCAACAGAGCTAGACTCTGTCTCAAAACAAAAACAAAAACAAAAACAGAAACAAACAAAGGAAAAAAAACGGGGCTGACAGTGCCGCCCTCAGTCTGAGGCCAAAGGCCTGGGAGCCCCACCTACCCCCCGCAAGGGGTTGCTGGTGCAAGTAGACCCAGCAAGCTGCTTCTCTGCCTTTTTCTGCCTGCTTTGTTTTAGCCGCACTGAGAGCCGATTTGGTGGAGTCCACTGAGTTGATTTCTCTGGTTAGATATCATTAATCTTCATTCTAACCTAATTTGCCTATTGGAGAAACATTTCCATAAAACAATTTTCTTTTCTTCTAATATTTCATCTTTCAAATATTTTAAAAGCAAACTAACACAGGAACAGAAAACCAAACACCGCATGTTCTCACTCATAAGTGAGAGTTGAACAATGAGAACACATGGACCCCGGGAGGGGAACATCACACACCTGCGCATGTCAGGGGGCGGGGGGCGCCGGGTGGCGGCAAGGGGAGGGAGAGCATTAGGACAAATATCTAATGCATGCTGGGCTTAAAGCCTAGATGACGGGTTGATAGGTGCAGCAAACCACCATGGCACATGCATACCTATATAACAAACCTGCACGTTGAGCACATGTATTCCAAAACTTAAAGGAAAATTTATTAAAAAAAGTTACAAATGCCTTTTCTTTAGAATCACCATTTCTTTTCCACAGCATTCTTTGCCGAGGTCATTTCAGAGGACATGCCAACAAAGGCATACCCCACTCTCCTATTCTGCGTAGTTGCGATTATCAGGCCCATTCCCATCAACAGAGTCTACTGCCAGAAGAAAACTACAGGGGCAAGGAGAAAAGATCTAATCCTTTTTTTTTTCCCCTTCTCTCCTGTCTCTGCTGTGAGCAACAGTGAGAAAGGCCTGAATGCTAATTCAGAAGTCTTCATCCTGCTGTAGATCCATCACTTGCAGTCTATCGGCAGATTATGGAAATACTAGGCATGATGTTCTCATAAGGCAGGGCCTCCGATGACAGCCCTTCCAGTCAACACTCATGCCAGTGTTTAGAAACTGAGCTTATCAGGGTTTATAAACGTTGAATGCATGCAATTTTCCCTCACTAAGTTTTTCAGGATATAAGAACTGAGTAACGGTGTTCAAAAGTAAGCATTCACATGCATGAAAATGCTGGCATTATCACAACAGGGTCCCAAAGCACAGGGCCGACTATTCAGTACACTGGCTGAATCAAAGTTACAGCACCACGGGTATCATCATTATTTTAGTCTGAAGCTGAACCAGGTCGAGGGTTAATCCAAGCAAAAATTCTCCTTTGTCTAAAACTTCTTGCTACTTCAAGTATAAATTGTTTCTGCCTGAATTATTCAGATAAATGCCTCCTTGGTCCATTTTCTTTTGCTAGCATAGTCTTAGTTTATAATAGAAGCAAATACCAGGTCACAAGGAAAAAAAAAAAAGGAAATGAACTAAGAATAAAGAAGAAACCATGAAAAGAAAAAGAAATACTCTATACCATCAGTATGATGAAATGATTTTTGCTTTCATTAAAGTTCTTATGCCTCACCATAGAGGGTTATTTAAAGCAGTTGTAAAGCTCAAGTGTTCATAATTTGACTTCTTATTCTGGTGAGAATATCTGCTTCCTTTTCTAACAGTCATACTTCTCTTTCTTTTCCTTTAAAGATGTTTTTCAAACTCCAAACACCCTGGTCTCTTAATGCATTCTAGTCAGATCCAGTACACTCTTTGCAAAATGACATGGGAATCTTGAACAAGGTTTCCTGTCAGTTTAATGATTCAGTTGTTGATTTGCTGATATGTTTTAAAGCCATTTATTCTTACACAGCTGCATGTACTACATTGCTCTGTGCGTGTATTTGTGAATATATGTATATATTTTCAGTGTAAATATACTCATACACATAAAACAAAGGGATCTATTTCATTTTGGAACATGGTTTGATCAAAGAGAAGCTTTTTATTCTTTGTTTTTAGACTGCCAGTGAAGGGTAGTTATGAAAAATATGTCATATGCTGCTTTAAATGTATCGGTTAAACGCTAGGCTATTGGATTCATCATTATCAGCTAATGTTTCTGCTACTGGGCAGTGCGTTTTAGTATGAAATTTATTGTGGAACCTCACTATTCCCATCCTCTGAGTTGACTGTGTGGTCACAGCCTTGCTGAGAAGAGAGCAGTCATGGATGAGTGGAGGCTTTTGGTTCCTCTTGCATAAGTCTTTTGAGCTATGACAGACATTGGTCAATCAATTCTCAGTTCTCTCCTCCTATCTCCTATTTTCTTTTGCTGGACTTTCTGGTGTGTCTTTTTTTAGTTTCATTCTTGGTACATTTATCAGTAAAAATAATAATTACAGTGAATATCATGTACTGATTATACACTGTGCTAGGCACTATGTTGAGGGCTTTATACATGATCTCATTCAATCCTTAAAACAGTCTTATGAAGAAGTTGCTACCATTTTTCAATTCGTAAAGAAGAAATTGAGACATGAGAAGACTAATGAAATTGCCTGATATGACATGATGTAGCAGTGAAATGTCAGAATTCTAACCCAGATGCGTATGACTCTAAAGATCATGTTTTTAATCATTCGGGTGTTCTGACTGCTTCTTGAATACGAAAAATAGAGACCCTATGGTTACTCTCTTTACCCTTTTCTTTTTTTTTTTTTTTTCTGGAAACAAAGCAAAACAAAACAGTTTAATTTTTTTTTTTTTTTAAGACGGAGTCTCGCTCTGTCGCCCAGTCTGGAGTGCAGTGGCGCAATCTCGGCTCACTGCAAGCTCTGCCTCCAGCGTTCACGCCATTCTCCTGCCTCAGCCTCCAGAGTAGCTGGGTCTACAGGCACCCGCCACCAAGCCCGGCCAATTTTTTTTTTTTTTTGTATTTTTAGTAGAGACGGGGTTTCACTGTGTTAGTCAGGATGGTCTCGATCTCCTGACCTCGTGATCCACCCGCCTCGGCCTCCCAAAGTGCTGGGATTAGAGGCGTGAGCCACTGCGCCTGGCCAATACTTTAATTTTTAAGACAACCGCAAACACCTCAAACAATGGATTATTGTTACAACACTTGTTAGCTTTTCACAATCTAGTTATTGCAAAGGCATATGGATAAATGTTAATGGACAAAGTAAAAAATGAGGCACCTTAATTAATGTAAAATTTAAAGTAAAAAGACATTGAATCCACTGACTTCTAAAACAGGCTAAATATACCTCTATATGTTACATTCTAAAATTGTATTGCCACCTGTGGTTTGTGTCTTGGATTCTACAATTAATTTTAAGGAAATGCATAAACAAAACTGTGTGCAACTTGCAAAGGGAAAATCATTTTCTCAACTTCATTTCATGGAAAGACAATAAAAAAGCTGCTAAAATTTGTTGTAGCCACACATAAAGCTACCTACGGAATGAATATGATCACTGTTACCTTTGAGCTGTGAGGAGAATTCTGCCCACTGCACTGCAAATTGTATATACCATACCTTGTGTTCTAGACAAGCATGATCATGCTTTTTCGAAAATATATGTATTTTTTCATTCGACACAATGAACACATTTCTCTTTTCCAATTTAATCTATGTGGAGCTTAAGTTACAGTGCCCAGAGGAGGCATTATGACATGGTACTAAGCCTTTACATTTTTAAAGTGAAATCCCTCTTTTTCTTTAAAAATACTTTTAAAAATATGCAAAAATACAAATGGGACTGCTAAATTATTATGCATATTTTAGAATGAGAAGCCTATTTTTTCTTCCTTTAAAGTGCCACATAGAGAATGATATCTTACAACCCGGAGCCACTTTTTTAAAAATCCAATGTGAAAGGACTGTTATGGAATGAAAAGCTTGCACAACTCCTAGAAGCAGTTAAAGTCGGCTACATGCAACATATGCTACATAGAACTCAAGACTTGGTAGCTTTTCTGAAATTTGAGCCCCCCTCCCATGTTTAATGGAAAGTAACATTTACAGTGTGTGTTTACATACACTATAATACAGGAATGATGTCCCTTTGCCAGAAGATAACATTGCATATTTCCTTGCTATTTCTTGGTTCCAACTTGATAATTTCTTAAGGTTATCAATAATATAGTACTCAGCTAAAATTTATTTTTCATAAATAGATAGTCACAAACCCTGCCAAAACACAAAGGGGAAAGTATTTCTCATTAAAAAAATGACATTTGCATGTCACACAACACAAGAAACAATGCTTAGAGACACGTTATTGTTTCCAGAAGAAAACGGTCAGTAAACCACTAAGGGAAGTCAAAAGACTGCTCTTCCCCAGGATCAGAGTGCACAAAAAGCAAAATGTCAAACAACAGTACTTCAAAGCAAAATAAATGTCTGAGGATGAAGCCAGCTCACTTGTAATCCTGTTAAAGAATGAGAGTCACCGTTTATGTCCAACGCTCTGGGAACACTTGCTAGCTCAGAATGCAGTATTGGTAGAATTTGGTAAGAATTCAACCAAGGATGCTGAAGGCATTCGCCAGCTGAGGATCGTTTTTTCTGGAACCATTTCTAACATCGGGATCAGGAAATCTGTAAACTATGCAGCATCTTCATGGGGCCAGCCATACTTCTCCACAAGTACATCAAAAGGGCACCAGGGTTTCAGCTTGGTGATGTCGCAGTTCTCCTTTTCTGGTGAAAAACTCCTCGAAATATTTCCCCAACATAGCGTATTTTTTTCCAGAAGAAAACGGTCAGTAAACCGGACTCTCCCCAGCAGTTCAATGATCAATGCTATGTGATCTTCGTCTCTGGAATAGTCTTCCCCAGAATGTGGTTCAAACAAATAATCGCCCATTGCCAGCTCAAATGCCATACACGCCGCGCTCCAGATGTCCGCAGGGGTGCTGTATCCCTCTCCTATTAAAACCTCTATGGAACGGTATTGACTCATCTGGATGTCTTCCGTGAAGTGTTTATGCGCCCAACAAGCATTTCCCAGGTCAGCAATTTCTACTCTAATTTTATCTGCATTCCGTGTATCCAGGGGATTCATCAACAAGTCAGCCTCCCGGGTTTTTGCTTTTGGCAAATCCCCAGTACTGGAGGCTGAAACCGTCCTGCTTCTGTCAGTAAGTGGTGATCCCTCAGAAAGCACAGAGCTGCAGGCCACAGGTTCTAAGGATCCAGAAAACAACGAGGTGGAAAACTCTGGAAACTGTGACTCGGGAATTTTATGCCATACATTTGGCAATTCACTATTGAATTGTTCATAGGAGCTGTTATATGTGTAATCACTTTCTGCATTTGGCTCATCAAGATTATATTCCTCAGTATTTGGGCGGTCTTCTTCATTATCCTCTTCATCGTCCAGTTGCTGCTCCAGTAAGAATGGGCCATTTTCAAGATGGCCATTGGTTTTAGGTGATTCTATCCACGTAGGGTCTATGTTCGCAAGTTCCTGATCTACATCATCTTCTTTCTCAATGTTTTCTTTCTCAGGGTCTTCTTTCTCTTCCTGGTCCTCAGCTTCAGCATTGTCCTTTGCCGTCTGCCTCGGCCGCCTCCTCTAATCCTGCTGTTTTTAGTTTCACTTCTGCGCAGTATTCGCCATCCGCCAGAGCCTCCTCCCGGTCGGTTGAGCAAGTGAAAGCCGCAGCCCGGCTGGTTTCCGCGCTCGCGTCGCCATCACCTCCGCGAAGCCCCTGTAGCCCCGCTTGCGCCGCGTCGGAATGAGCTCCAGGAAAGTGTTGCCCATTCAGGCCCAAAAGCGGAGGCCGAAAAGAGAGAAACACCCTACAAAGCTGGAGCCTCAACAGAAAGCTCCTTTAG
This sequence comes from Homo sapiens, assembly GCF_000001405.40. Lineage (NCBI taxonomy): Eukaryota > Metazoa > Chordata > Mammalia > Primates > Hominidae > Homo > Homo sapiens. Next base: position 62,863,980 of record NC_000008.11, on the reverse strand, counting down.
TTCTTTCTCCTCCACCTCCACCACCACCACCGCCACCTTTGGCAGACCCCACACCACCAGAGCCAAAGGAGGAGATCCTGGATCAGATGATGAGCAAGAGGACCCTGCGGACTACTGCAAAGGTGGCTATCATCCAGTGAAAATTGCAGACCTCTTCAATGGCCGGTATCATGTTATTAGAAAGCTTGGATGGGGGCACTTCTCTACTGTCTGGCTGTGCTGGGATATGTAGGGGAAAAGATTTGTTGCAATGAAAGTTGTAAAAAGTGCTCAGCGTGATACAGACACAGCCTTGGATGAAATAAAATTGCTCAAATGTGTTCGAGAAAGTTATCCCAGTGACCCAAACAAAGACATGGTGATCCAGCTCGTTGACTTCAAGATTTCAGGCATGAATGGGATACATGTCTGCATGGTCTTGGGAGTACTTGGCCACCATCTCCTCAACTGGATCATCAAGTTCAACTATCAAGGCCTCCCACCCAGTACGTTGTCTGAAGAGTATCATTTGACATTTCCTTCAAGGGTTAGAATATCTACACAGTAAGACCAAGATTACTCATACTGACATAAAGCCGCAAAACATCTTGATGTGTATGGATGATGCATATGTGAGAAGAACGGCAGCTGAGACCACTGAGGGGCAGAAAGCAGGTATTCCTCCTCCTTCAGGGTCTGCAGTGAGTACGGCTCCACAGCAGAAACCTATAGGAAAAATATCTAAAAACAAAAAGAAAAAACTGAAAAATAAACAGAAGAGGCAGGCTGAGTTATTGGAAAAACGCCTGCAGGAGATAGAAGAATTGGAGCAAGAAGCCGAAAGGAAAATAATAGAAGAAAACATCACCTCAGCTGCACCTTCCAATGAGCAGGATGGGGAATACCCTTTTCTTAACTTGAGAGATATATGATACAGAGGATCAAAGCACCTAGAGTCTCCATAGTCACATCCTTGCATGTACACGTGTGGTTACATACCAACATATGTATGCATACACATGCACACACATATATGCATACACACAGACACTTAAAACACTGAAAACTGTGTCTTATCACTCCTGCACTGTGGAAAAATAAACCATTTTTAAGCTCCTTTTAGAGTTTTTGCAAAAAACAAAAGCTAATGCCGTTTTTCCTAATCTGAGCCCCCAAAGCTACACTTATATTATCTAACTTCTCTGTGGAATATTCTTATCTTTTTCATTCTGTTTTATTTCCTGAGTCTTCATTCTTTCCATTTCTTCAGGTCATTGACTTGTATCCCATCTCTCCTAAAAGCTATAAATCATTCAATGTTATTTTCTTCAATTCCAAAGCAATTTTCAGTGATCTTTAAAAACTATTGAATCTATTTTATTTAGAACTAAATTTTTTTAAAATGATTTTCAGTACTCTTTTCATGAAGGAAGGAAAACTCAGGTATTATAATAAATGTTAAATATTTCCTTTTTTTGTCCCTGAAAATGTTTTGAATTATTTTTAATTGCACTCTTTATTTTAGTTTTTAAATATATGATGCTCTTTTCAAGAAACCAGTTTCTTTAATCTTTTTAATTTTAAATATAAGTGCACTTTAGTTTTCACTTTGTTTTACCTACAAATAATCATGATTTTCTATGTGATATTGAAAATGTCTTTGTTATGATTCCATTCATTGATTCCATATTTTCTTTTTTTTTTAAATTACTACTTTCTTTCTAGAACTGACTGCTTTGACACTGCTATCTATGTGAAATATTTCTTCTTCTGTTTAACTATGTCAACATGATGAATCGGATCTGCCATGTAAATGAGAAGCCAAATAATGTTTTTACTGCTTTAAAATACAGAGGGGAAGCTGTCTAGTTTTATTAATATTGTTTTTATAATGGCACTGCATAGTTTTTAATGAGTGAGGAGAGCAAGAATAAAAATATCACCCAACATTCAGATTATGTAATAGCCAAATGGAAAAGTCTGAGCAGCTCTAATATGTACTCAATGTGGTCATAATAAAAAGATATTTTATAACTTTTCATGATTCTGGCTAGTTATGTGTTTTCAGGAATCCTCGTTTGGTGTAAACTATAGTTCACCTGTGCTAATACTGAAATCCTGGAGTCCATGGGAAGGTATTGGTTTTAGGTAATGATTTTATTTAACACCTGGTGCTCTTTGCACAGATGTGCATCCTTGCTTCTCCTCTTGACAAGGAGGAAAGACAATAGATGGGTAGAGATGGGTAGATGGAGCCCTTCCGTAGATTTCTTTCATTAAATTCTCCATGGGATGACATCTTTGACTGATCATGAATACATGTACCTGGCAGAAGATCAATAGCTCAGGCAGCAGGCTAGAAGACAGGTGGGCTTTGGGCTGAAAAAGTCTAAATATTTCAAAGTCCTGGGATTTCTGTGTTAGGAACAGTATATTTTGTTTTCTTTTGTACTCCAGTGTTTTCCTACCTAAGGGAGGCTGCTGGAAGTGATGATAAAAGCACCAGGGCTAGCCTTGGCTTTCAGTGATTTCAAGTGACGCCAGGAAAGTCCCTGAGTTCCCAGAATCACAAGGTTGTGAGGGACTAGGTAGTATGCAGAACATATATCCCTGGTGACATTTGAAATTATTTGTGGGTCTGGAAGCTTTTGAGGCATTGATAAAAAATTGAGATTGTCTTTGTTTATTGTGTTCATGGTGTTTTCACCCAGCTCGAGGAGTTACTCAGTCATGACACTATGGTTTGTGTGTGTGACTAAGACCAGTTCTTGAATAATGGCCAGTATCCTTATTGAACTAAAGTGGAACTTTGAGGATCCCCAGATAATGAGGTTTCCAATTCTGTCATGTGTGCCTTGAGAACCCTCCGCAGTAACTATGGGAGACATCATCACTGATCGAGGCACACAATTTATGCTAAGCCCAGAAGAGGACTGGGAATTCTACAAATATCTAGCTAGGCAGCCACTACCAGTAGATTAGTTGTCAAGCATGTTAAGTCTATTTGTCTTGGCTGTCTTAGGCCTTGAGTAAGCATTCAGCATAAGGCCTTCTGCCTGTCCTGGAATGAGGCCAGATAGGTGGATCAGTCCCAGAAGAGCTTCACTGTCCCCTTAGAGAAAAATTAGTCTGAGTAGAAATATCTAGATTTATTTCTAGGATATATGGTCTGGAGGCTGTCTTATCCTTGGTTATGAGCCATGTGCAAGAACACAAGTTGTCAGGAACAACTGCTCCTAGTCACCACTTGCAACCTAAGGTCAAGAAGCTGGCCTCGGACCAATCTGCATCAGATAGAAAAATTCATCTGACAGCATTGCATATGGACAAGTACCACCGACTATCTCTAATGCCTGTTCAAACCTCTCCAGGAACTTGTTTAGCAGGAAGAAGTGGGAGAAAGCCCTCTGCAGTGAATTACACTGTCTCTTCAAGGTCTGTGAGCTGGGCTAGTCTCTTAGAAGAAGGCTTAGGCCTAGTCCTTGATCACCTGTTAGTGTAAATTATCTGCAATGTTAAAACAGAAGCGAGGGAGAAAAAAGCAAACTGGCATCTATGGTGGCTGGAATTTTGTATACACAATGTCATTAATCTTTTCAACAGCCCCTTGAGTGAGTGGTATGATTTCATTTTACATGCAAGAAAGGTGATGGCTCAGAGGGATTGTGGACCCTGCCCAGTGTCACAAGTAGGAAAATGACAGAGGTGAGATTACATTTAGGTCTGCTCAGATGCTGCCCTTATTCCTTACGGCATCTGCTGCTACCATACCATGTGGCCTGTACTTGAAAATAAGCCACATCTTTCCTATCACATATTTTGCCTCTTCCAAATTTTAAATAGCTTCCCACTATTGTTTCAGGTCGCTACTCTACAGTCAGCATTTAAGCAGATTGGTCAAGCACTATTACCCACCTATCCAAGCTTAAAGGCTGCCATTAGTAATAATTCTGACATTTCTGAGGTCATTCCTTCTCCTCCCCTCAACATAGAGACACAGTCTGGCTCCACAATTCAAAATGAAAAAGCAAAATGGCAACAAATGTCAAGTGCAACAGTGATTCTTACAGACAAAGCACTAAGAGAGCAAAGCTATTAAAAATTTCATTCTACTTTGCTCTTCCATTTACTGGGCTATATCTTCTTTATGGTACTGAAATCAGCAACATTGGAAGCAATATCTATGACCACTACCTAGGACACAGACACTCTCCTGTACATGAGAATCTAGCAGAGTGAGACCCACGAATAGCTTATTTAGTACTGGGGGTTGGTAGCAAAAAGTAAGTAAATCTTGTAGGATTTACTATAAAGAATATAGGGAAATATAGCAACATAAGAGCTCATTATCTTTGAAGCAATGTAAGCACACACACACGCATGCACACACACACACGCATATATGTATATATTTATGTGGTTTTGGTTAAAATGTTATTTATTTAATTTGGTTAAATGTAACTAGGCTACTTCCATGAAGTTTTTTTTTTTTTAGTTGAAGTAAGAGTATAGAAAAAGTTATCTGGGTTACTAAGAATAGATAGGATGGCTGGTGCAGGAGCCCAGACAAGATGAGCCAGACAAGCTTGGCCTAAGGTTGTGGTGGTCAAAGTAGAATAAAGTAGATACCTCTGTGTTACTCAGGAGATTAACAAGTGATAAGGCTTGGTTATGAACTGGGGTGAGTGGATACAGCAACTTCAACTGAATTATCCAGCTATCCACAGTGGGATTGGTCAGGGAAATAACCCAACTCATGGAGAAGAAAGAAAAGCAGGGTAGGGCGATGGCCCACCTGGGTGTGACACAGGGCCAAGGGAACCCCCATATCCAGTTAAAGGAAGCAGTGAGTGATTGTGCGACCCTGGGAAACCACGCTTCTCCCACAGATCTTTGCAACCTGCGGATCAGGAGATCCCCTTATGAGCCCACACCACCAGGGCCTTGGGTCCGACACACAGAGCTATGTGGAGTCTTGGCAGAGAAGCTGCTCAGGCATGCACTGAGACCCAGGAGCTTTACATACTCCAGTCCTGGGATCCCCAACAAAGGTGTCTGCAGCCCAGGCAATGCACGGTGTCTGTACATACCCCTAGGAAGGGGGCTGAACCCAAGGAGCCAAGCAGCATTGGCCTGTGGGTCCCACTTCCATGGCACCTCACAAGACAAGACCCACTGGCTTGGAATTCCAGCCAGCCTGCAGTAAAAGGGTGCCTGCCTGAGAAGAAATGGGGCCCTGAGGGGAGGGGCAGGCTGCCATCTCTGCTGTTTGGTTGACTCAGCTGTTCCAGCCTGTGGACTTTGAAGAGTCCAAATGGTCTGGATGAGGAAGAGTTTCCCCAGTGCAGCATAGCTGCTTTGCCAGAATGTGGCCAGATTGCTTCTGTAAGCTGGACCTCAAACCATTCCCCCTCATTGGGTGAGACCTCCCAGCTGGGCCTCCAGCTACCTCAACCTGCACATACGGTATGAACAGTTCTGATCTTTCCCTGGGATGAAGTGCCCTGGGGGTGGGGCATGTCACTACCTTGGCTGTTCAAGCATCTTAGCCAGTCCAGCTTGTGGGCTTTGGGGTGCTCAATCTGATCAGAGGCTGAAGAGATCCCCAACACGCATGCTGCTCTATCAAAAAGCAGCCAGACTGCTTCTTTAAGCAGGTACTAGATCACTTTTCTTCTGACTGGGTGAGACCTCCCAAACAAAGTCTTCAGGTACCTCTTACAACTGCATTTGGCCTGGCAACAGGTCCGTACCCCCCGGGATGGAGCTTCCAGAGGAAGGGGCAGGCTGCCATCTTTGCTATTTCGCAGACTTCGGTGGTGATACCTCCAGGTACAGGAAAAACGGAGGTAACTAGGGTCTGGAGCAGACTCCCAGCAAACCACAGCAGCCCTATGCAACAGCCATCAGACTGTTCAAAGAAAAACAACAACAACAAAAAAAACACAGAAAACAACAACAACAAGAAAAAATCCCTGTGAGAACCCCATCCAAAGGTTGGCAACCTCAAAGATCAAAGGTAGATAAGCCCACAAAGATGAGAAAGAATCAACTCAAAAATGTCAAAAACTCAAAAAACCAGAGTGCCCCCTTTCTTCTAAATGACTACAGTGCTTCTGCAGCAAGGGCTTAAAACAGGGCTAAGGCTGAGATGCTGAAATGACAGAAGTAGGCTTCAGAATGTGGATAAAAATGAACTTCGCTGAGCTAAAGGAATATGTTTTAACCCAACACAAAGAATCTAAAAATCATAATAAAACAATGCAGAAGCTGACAGCCAAAATAGCAAGTTTAGAGAGGAACATGATAGAACTGAAAAACACAGTATAAGAACTTCACAATGCAATCACAAGTATTAATAGCAGAATAGATCAAGTGGAAGAAAGAATTTCAGAGCTTGAAGACTGTTTTTCTGAAATAAGACTGGCAGAAAAGAATAGATAAAAAAGAATGTAAAGGAATGAACAAAACCTCCAAGAACTATGTGATTATGTAAAGAGATCAAATCTATGACTGATTGGGGTACGTGAAAGAGACAGGGAGAATGGAACCAATTTGGAAAACATACTTCAGGATATCATCCAGGAGAACTTCCTCAACCTGGCAACACAGGCCAACATTCAAATTCAGGAAATGCAGAGAACTCCAGTAAGATACTCCATGAAAAGATTATCCCCAAGATACATAATCATCAGATCTCTAAGGTCGAAATGAAACAAATAATGTTAAGGGCAGCAAATAATGTTAAGAGAAAGGCAAGGTCACCTACAAAGGGAAGCCCATGAGAATAACAGTGATCCTCTCAGAAGAAACTCTACAGCCAGAAGAGATTGGGGCCCTATATTCAACATTCTTAAAGGAAAGAATTTCTGGTCCAAGTTGGTCACTTCCCTACACCAAAGTGAGAAGTAGCCAACATGTAAAGGTGGGAGTCGTATTACAAAACTGAGGCCGATGAAGAAGCAAAGAAGAACAAGAAGAGAACCTTGAAGCAAGTGGAGACTATAAGTATTCAGGAAGAGATAGTTTGTTTTTTTTTTGTTGATGCCTCCAGGGCTATGTTTGAATCTCAGAGTAAAGATGAGTTGACTCCCTTTGACATGAGCATCCAGTGTATCCAAAGTGTGTACATCAGTAAGATCATAAACAGTGTTTGAGATCTCTTGGCAGTGATGCTCTATAGTGCAGAGAAAGACAAAGATTCAGTGAAATATTTACATCTTACAGGAGTTGGATAAGCCAGGTGCAAAATAAATTCTAGAGCTTGACCAGTTTAAGGGGCAGCAGGAACAAAAACGTTTCCAAGACCTGATGGGCCACAGATCTGATGACTCACTCAGTGAAGTGCTGTGTATCTGTGCCAACCTCTTTAGTGATGTCCAGTTCATGATGAGTCATAACAAGATCATGCTGTTCACCAATGAAGACAACCCCATGGCAATGACAGTGCCTAAGCCAGCTGAGCCAGGACCAAAGCTGGTGATCTCTGAGATACAGGTATCTTCCTTGACTTGAAGCACCTGAAGAAACCTGGGGGCTTTGACATATCCTTATTCTATAGAGATATCACCAGCATAGCAGAGGATGAGGACCTCAGGGTTCACTTTGAGGAATCCAGCAAACTAGAAGGTTCACTCCAAGGAGACCAGGAAGCAAGCACTAAGCAGGTTAAAGCTGAAGCTCATCAAAGATATAGTGATCTCTGGGCATTTATAATCTGGTCCAGAGGGCTCTCAAGCCTTCTCCAATAAAGCTCTATTGGGAAACAAATGAACCAGTGAAAACCAAGACCCAGACATTTAATACAAATACAGGAAGTTTGCTTCTGCCTAGTGATACCAAGAGGTCTGAGATCTATGGGAGTCTCAGATTATAATGGAGAAAGGGGAAACAGAAGAGTTAAAACAGTTTGATGATCCAGGTTTGATGCTCATGGGGTGTAAGCCCTTGGTAATGCTGAAGAAGCACCATCATCTGAGGCCCTCCCTGTTCATGTGCCCTGAGGAGTTGCTGGTGATTGGGAGCTCAACCCTGTTTAGTGCTCTGCACATAAAGTGTCTGGACAAGGAGGTTGTAGCATCACGCAGATACACACCCCGCAGGAACATCTCTCTTTATTTTGTGGCTTTGGTGCCACAGGAAGAGGAGTTGGATGACCAGAAATTTCTGGTGACTCCTCCAGGATTCCAGCTTGTCTTTTTACTCTTTGCTGATGATAAAAGGAAGATGCCCTTTACTGAAAGTCATGGCAACTCCAGAGCAGGTGGACAAGATGAAGGCTATCGTTCAGAAGCTCCGCTTCACATGCAGAAGTGACAGCTTTGAGAACCCTGGGCTGCAGCAGCACTTCAGGAACCTGGAGGCCTTGGCCTTGGATTTGATGGAGACTGAACAAGCAGTGGACCTGACATTGCCCAAGGTTGAAGCAATGAATAAAAGATTGGACTCCCTGGTGGTTGAGTTTAAGGAGCTTGTTTACCCACCAGATTACAATCCTGAAGGGAAATTTACCAAGAGAAAACAAAATAATGAAGATTTTGGAAGCAAAAGACCCAAGATGAAGTATTCAGAAGAGGAGCTGAAGGCCAATATCAGCAAGGGCATGCTGGGCAATTTCACTGTGCCCATGCTGAAAGAGGCATATGGGCTGAAGAAGCAGGAGCTGCTGGAAGTTCTCTCTGAGCACTTCCAGGCCTGACCAGAGGCTGTGTGACCAGCTGCCCTTCCACACTGTGGCCAGGCTGGCAGGCCTTGTTCCCAGCCAGTTAAAATGTGTTTCTTCTGAGCTAGGAAGAGTCTGCCCAATAGAAGTTGAGGGACTTTACATTTTTGAGGCTTTCTGTTGCCACGGTGAAGGTGTAGTCCTCCCACTTTGCTGTTCCTTACTTTATTGCCTAAAGAGCCCTAAGTTTGTACTGAACACAAACAAACAAACAAAAAAACAAAAAATAAAAATAAAAAAAAGAAAAGAATTTCCAGCCCAGAATTTCATATCCAGACAAACTAAGCATTATAAGTGAAGGAGAAATAAGATCCTTTTCAGACAGGCAAATGCTTAGGCAGGCAAATGCTGTCTCAATGAACTGCCTAATAATGTCAGTGGGATGTTAAACCTCTGCCTTACAGGAGCGTATGAAGGAAGCACTAAATATGGAAAGGAAAAATCGTTACCAGCCATTACAAAAACATATGGAAGTGCACAGACTAGTGACACTATGAAGTAACCACATAAACTAGTCTGCAAAAATAATCAGCTAGCATCATGATGACAGGATCAAATCCACACCTAACAATACTAACCTTAAATGTAAATGAGCTACATGCCCCAATTAAAAGACACAGAATGGCAAACCAGATAAAGAATCAAGATCCATCTGTACGCTGTCTTCAAGAGAGCTATCTAACATGCAAAGACACACAGAGGCTCAAAATGAAGGGATAGAGGAAAATTTACTGAGCAAATGGAGAACAGAAGAAAGCAGGAGTTGCAATCCAAGTTTCTGATAAGATAGAGTTTAAACTAACAAAGATCAAAAGGACAGAAAAGGGCATTACATAATGGCAAAGGTTTCAATTCAATAAGTGCCAACTATCTTAAATATATATGCACCCAATACAGGGGCACCCAGATGCATAAAGCAAGTTCTTACAGACTTTAACAGAGACTTAGACTCCCACACAATAATAGTGAGAGATTTTAACACCTCACTGACAATATTAGGCAGATCATTGAGGCAGAACATTAACAAAGATATTCAGGGCCTGAACTCAGCTCTGGATCAAGTTGACCTGATAGATAACTACAGAACTCTCCACCCCAAAACAACAGAATACATATTCTTCTCATTACCACATGGAACTTACTCTAAAATTGATCACATAATCAGAAGTAAAACACTCCTCAGCAAATGCAAAAGAGCTGAAATCCTAACAAATCATCTCTTGGACCACAGCACAATCAAATTAGAACTCAAAATTAAGAAATTCACAGAAAACCATATGACTACACTGAAACTGAACAACCTGCTTCTGGATGACTTTTGGGTAAATAATGAAATCATTGCAGAAATCAAGAAGTTCTTTGAAACTAATGAGAGCAAAGATACAATGTACCAGCATGTGTGGGATGTAGATAAAGCAGTGTCAAGAGAGAAATCTACAGCACTAAATACCCACATCAAAAAGCTAGAAAGATCTCGAGTTAACAACTTAACATCACAGTTAAAAGAACCAGAGAACCAAGAGCACACAAACCTGAAAGCTAGCAAAAATAACCAACATCAGAGCTGAATTGAAGGAGACAGAGACATGAAAAACCCTTCAAAAATCAACAAATCCAGGAGCTGCTTTTCCTGGAGAAAATTAATAAAATAGATAGACTGATAGCTAGACTAATAAACTAAACATAGAGAAGATTCAAATAAACACAATTAGAAATGATAAGGGGAACATTACCACTGACCCCACAGACATACAAACAACCATCAGAGAATACTGTAAACACCTTTGTACACATAAGTTAGAAAATCTAGAAGAAATGGATACATTCTAAATGGGCTAAGTGCTCCAATTAAAAGACACAGACTGGCAAATTGGATAAAGAGTCAAGATCCATCAGTGTGCTGTATTCAAGAAACCCATCTCACGTGCAGAGACACACATAGGCTCAAAATAAAGGGATGGAGGAAGATCTACCAAGCAAATGGAAAACAAAAGAAGGCAGGGGTTGCAATCTTACTCTCTGATAAAACAGACTTTAAACCAACAAAGATCAAAAGAGACAAAGAAGGCCATTACATAATGCTAAAGGGATCAATTCAACAAGCAGAGCTAACTATTCTACATATATATGCACCAAATACAGGAGCACCCAGATTCATAAAGCAAGTCCTTAGAGACCTAGAAAGAGACTTAAACTCCCATACAATAATAATGGGAGACTTTGTTACCCCACTGTCAACATTAGACAGGTCAACAAGACAGAATGTTAACAAGGATATTCAGGAATTGAACTCAGCTCTGCACCAAGTGGACCTAATAGGCATCTACAGAACTCTCCACCTCAAATCAACAGAATATACATTCTTCTCAGCACCACACCACACTTATTCCAAAACTGACCACATACTTGGAAGTTAAGCACTCGTCAGCAAATGTAAAAGAACAGAAATGATAACAAACTGTCTCTCAGACCACAGAGCAATCAAACTAGAACTCAGGATTAAGAAACTCACTCAGAACTGCTCAACTACATGGAAACAGAACAACCTGCTCCTGAATGACTACTGGGTACATAACGAAATGAAGGCAGAAATAAAGATGTTCTTTGAAACCAACGAGAACAAAGACACAACATACCAGAATCTTTGGGACACATTCAAAGCAGTGTGTAGAGGGAAATTTATAGCACTGAATGCCCACAAGAGAAAGCAGGAAAGATCTAAAATTGATACCCTAATATCACAATTAAAAGAACTAGAGAAGCAAGAGCAAACACATTCAAAAGCTAGCAGAAGACAAGAAATAACTAAGATCAGAGCAGAACTGAAGGAAATAGAGACAGAAAAAACCCTTCAAAAAATCAATGAATCCAGGAGCTGGTTTTTGAAAAGATCAACAAAATTGATAGCCCGCTAGCAAGACTAATAAAGAAGAAAAGAGAGAAGAATCAAATAGATGCAATAAAAAACGATAAAGGGGATATCACCACCGATCCCACAGAAATATAAACTACCATCAGAGATACTATAAACACCTCTACACAAATAAACTAGAAAATCTAGAAGAAATGGATAAATTCCTCAACACATACACCCTCCCAAGACTAAATCAGGAAAAAGATGAATCTCCGAATAGACCAATAACAGGCTCTGAAATTGAGGCAACAATTAATAGCTTACCAACCAAAAAAAGTCCAGGACCAGATGGATTCACAGCTGAATTCTACCAGAGGTAGAAGGAGGAGCTGGTACCTTTCCTTCTAAACTATTCCTATCAATAGAAAAAGAGGGAATCCTCCCTAACTCATTTTATGAGGCCAGCATCATCCTGATACCAAAGCCTGGCAGAAACACAACAAAAAAAGAGAATTTTAGACCAATATCCCTGATGAACATTGCTGCAAAAATCCTCAATAAAATACTGGCAAACCGAATCCAGCAGCACATCAAAAAGCTTATCCACCATGATCAAGTGGGCTTCATCCTTGGGATGCAAGGCTGGTTCAACATATGCAAAACAATAAATGTAATCCAGCATATAAACAGAACCAATGAAAAAACCATATAATTATCTCAATAGATGCAGAAAAGGCCTTTGACAAAATTCAACAATGCTTCATGCTAAAAACTCTCAATAAATTAGGTATTGATGGGATGTACCTCAAAATAATAAGAGCTATCTATGACAAACCCACAGCCAATATCATATTGAATGGGCAAAACCTGGAAGCATTCCCTTTGAAAACCGGCACAAGACGGGGATGTCCTCTCTCACCACTCCTATTAAAAATAGTGTTGGAAGTTCTGGCCAGGGCAATCAGGCAGGAGAAGGAAATAAAGGGTATTCAATTAGGAAAAGAGGAAGTCAAATTGTCCCTGTTTGCAGAGGACATGATTGTATATCTAGAAAACCCCATCGCCTCAGCCCAAAATCTCCTTAAGCTGATAGGCAACTTCAGCAAAGTCTCAGGATACAAAATCAATGTGCAAAAATCAGAAGCATTCTTATACACCAATAACAGACAAACAGAGAGCCAAATCATGAGGGAACTCCCATTCACAATTGCTTCAAAGAGAATAAAATACCTAGCAATCCAACTTACAAGGGATGTGAAGGACCTCTTCAAGGAGAACTACAAACCACTGCTCAAGGAAATAAAAGAGGATACAAGCAAATGGAAGAACATTCCATGCTCATGGGTAGGAAGAATCAATATTGTGAAAATGGCCATACTGCCCAAGGTAATTTAGAGATTCAATGCCATCCCCATCAAGCTACCAATGACTTTCTTCACAGAATTGGAAAAAACTACTTTAAAGTTCATATGGAACCAAAAAAGACCCCACATAGCCAAGACAATGCTAAGCCAAAAGAACAAAGCTGGAGGCATCACGCTACCTGACTTCAAACTATACTACAAGGCTACAGTAACCAAAACAGCATGATACTGGTACCAAAACAGAGATATAGACCAATGGAACAGAACAGACACCTCAGAAATAACGCTGCATATCTACAACCATTTGATCTTTGACAAACCTGAGAAAAACAAGCAATGGGGAAAGGATTCCCTATTTAATAAATGGTGCTGGGAAAACTGGCTAGCCATATGTGGAAAGCTGAAACTGGATCCCTTCCTTACACCTTATACAAAAATTAATTCAAGATGGATTATAGACTTAAATGTTAGACCTAAAACCATAAAAACCCTAGAAGAAAACCTAGTCAATACCATTCAGGACATAGGCATGGGCAAGGACTTCATGTCTAAAACACCAAAAGCAATGGCAACAAAAGCCAAAATTGACAAATGGGATCTAATTAAACTAAAGAGCTTCTGCACAGCAAAAGAAACTACCATCAGAGTGAACAGGCAGCCTACAGAATGGGAGAAAATTTTTGCAATCTACTCATCTGACAAAGGGCTAATATGCAGAATCTACAATGAACTCCAACAAATTTACAAGAAAAAAACAAACAACCCCATCAAAAAGTGGGTGAAGGACCTGAACAGACACTTCTCAAAATAAGACATTTATGCAGCCAAAAGACACATGAAAAAATGCTCATCATCACTGGCCATCAGAGAAATGCAAATCAAAACCACAATGAGATAGCATCTCACACCAGTTAGAATGGCGATCATTAAAAAGTCAGGAAACAACAGGTGCTGGAGAGGATCTGGAGAAATAGGATCACTTTTACTCTGTTGGTGAGACTGTAAACTAGTTCAACCATTTTGGAAGTCAGTGTGGTGATTCCTCAGGGATCTAGAACTAGAAAAACCATTTCACCCAGCTATCGCATTACTGGGTATATACCCAAAGGATTATAAATCATGCTGCTATAAAGACACATGCACACATATGTTTACTGCAGCACTATTCACAATAGCAAAGACTTGGAACCAAGCCAAATGTCCACCAATGATAGACTGGATTAAGAAAATGTGGCACATATACACCATGGAATACTATGCAGCCATAAAAAATGACGAGTTCATGTTCTTTGTAGGGACATGCATGAAGCTGGAAACCATCACTCTCAGCAAACTATCGGAAGGACAAAAAACCAAACACCGCATGTTCTCACTCATAGGTGGGAAGTGAACAATGAGAACACATGGACACAGGAAGGGGAATATCACACACTTGGACCTGTTGTGGGGTGGGTGGGGGGGAGGGGAGAGGGATAGCATTAGGAGATATACCTAATGTTAAATGATGAGTTAATGGGTGCAGCACACCAACATGGCACATGTATACATATGTAACAAACTTGCACATTGTGCACATGTACCCTAAAACTTGAAGTATAATAATAAAAAAAATTTCCATAAAAAAAGAGGAAATGGATACATTCCTGGCACATATGCCCTCCCAAGACTGAATCAGGAAGAAATTGAATCCCTGAATAGACCAATAGAGAGTTCTGAAATTGAGACAGTAATAAATAACCTACCAACCAAAAAAAAAAAAAAAAAAAGCCCAGGACCAGATGAATTCACATCTGAATTCTAGCAGAGGTACAGAAAATAGCTGGTACCACTCCGACTGAAACTATTCCAAAAAATTGAAAAGGAGGGACTCCTCCCTAACTTATTCTATGAGGCCACCATTATCCTGATACCAAAACCTGGCAGAGATATGACAAAAAAGGAAAACTTTAGGCCATATCCTGGATGAACATCGATGCAAAAATCCTCAACAAAACACTGGCAAACTGAATCCAGTAGCACATCAAAAAGCTTATCCACCACAATCAAGTTGGCTTCATCTCTGAGATGCAAGCTGGTTCAACATACACAAAACAATAAATGTAATTCATCACATAAACAGATCTAAGGACAAAAACCACATGATTATCTCAATAGATGCAGAAAAGGCCTTTGATAAAATTTAACATCCCTTCATATTGAAAACTCTCAATAAACTAGATATTGAAGGTACATACCTCAAAATAATAAGAGCCACACATGACAAACCCACAGTCCATAGTGAATGGGCAAAACCTGGAAGCATTCCCCTTGAAAACTGGCTCAAGTCAAGTTTGCCCTCTCTCACCACTACTATTCAACATAGTATTGGAAGTTCTGGCCCAGGCAATCAGGCAAGAGAAAGAAATAAAGAGGATTCAAATAGGAAGAGAGGAAGTCAAACTATCTGTTTGCAGATGACATGATCCTATGTCTAGAATATCCCATCGTCTCGGCCAAGAAGCTTCTTAAGCTGATAAGCAACTTCAGCAAAGTCATAGGATACAAAATCAATGAGCAAAAATTGCTAGCATTCCTATACACCAACAACAGTCAAGCTGAGAGCCAAATCACAAATGAACTCCCATTCACAATTGCCACAAAAAGGATAAAATACCTAGGAAAACAGCTAACAAGAGAAATGAAGGATATTTTTAAGAAGAACTACAAACCATTGAAAAGAAATCAGAGATGACACAAATAAATGGAAAAACATTCCATGCTCGTGGATAGAATCAATATCGTGAAAACGGCCATACTGCCCAAAGCAATTTATAGATTCAGTGCTACTCCCATTAAACTACCATTGACATACTTCACAGAATCAGAAAAACTATTTTAAAATTCATAAAACCAGAAAAGAGCCAAAATAACCAAGGCAATCCTAAGCAGAAAGAACAAAGCTGGAGGCATAATGTTACCCAACTTCAAACTATACTAAAGGCTACAGTAACCAAAATGGCATTGTACTAGTACAAGAGCAGACACATAGACCAATGGAATACAATAGAGAACCCAGAAATAAGGCCACACACCTACAACTATCTGATCTTTGACAAACCTGACAAAAACAAGCAATGGGGAAAAGATTCCCTATATGATAAATGATGCTGGGAGAACTGGTTAGCCATATGCAGAAAATTAAAACTGGATCCTTTCCTTACATTGTATACAAAAGTCAACTCAAGATGCATTAAAGACTTAAATGTAATCCCCAAAACTATAAAAACCTAGAAGAAAACCTAAGCAATGCCATTCAGGACATAAGCACGGGCAAAGTTTCATGACCAAGATGCTAGAAGCAATTGCAAAAAAAGCAAAAATTGACCGATGGGGTCTAATTAAACTAAACAGCTTCTGCACAGCAAAACATACTATCAACAGAGCAAATACAACCTACAGAGTGGGAGACAGTTTTTTGCACTCTAACCATCTGACAAAGGGCTGATATCCAGCATCTATAAAGAACTTAAATTTACAAGAGAAAACCAAACAACTCCATTAAAAAGTGGGCAAAGAACATGAACAGAGACTTCTCAAAGGAAGACATACATGTGGCCAACAATCATATGAAAAAGAGCTCACTATCACTGATGATTAGAGAAATGCAAATCAAAACCGCAATGAAATACCATCTAATGTCAGTCATAAAGGCTATTACTAAAAAGTCAAAAAACAAATGCTGGTGAGGTTGTGAAGAAAAAGGAACACTTTTACACGGTTAGTGGGAGTGTAAATTAGTTCAACCATTGTGGAAGACAGTGTGGTGATTTTACAAAGACCTAGCAGCAGAAATACCATTTGGCCCAGCAATCCCATTACTGGATATATACCTAAAGGAATATAAATTATTCTGTTATAAAGATACATGCGTGTGTGTGTTCATTGCAGCACCATTCACAACGGCAAAGACATGGAATCAACCTAAATGCCTGAGATGGTTTGGTTGTGTTGCCACCCAAATCTCACCTTGAATTGTAATAATCCCCACATGTCAAGGGCAGGGACAGATGGAGATAATTGAATCACGGGGGCAGTTTCTGCCATACTGTTTTCATGGTAGTGAATAAGTCTCACAAGATTTTATGGTTTTATATATGGGAGTTACCCTGCACAAGCTCTCTTGCCTGCCACCGTGTAAGACATGACTTTGCTCCTCATTCACCTTCGACCATGATTGTGAGGCCTCCCCAGCCATGTGGAACTGTGAGTCAATTAAACCTCTTTCCTTTATCAATTACCCAGCCTTGGGTCTTTATTCGCAGCATGAGAACAGATTAATACAATGCCTACCAAGGATAGACTAAATAAGGAAGATGTGGTAAATGTATACCACAGAATAATATGCAGCCTTAAAAAGGAATGAGATCATGTTCTTTGCATGAACATGGATGGAGCTGGAGGTCATTATCCTTAGCAAACTAATGCAGGAACTGAAAACCAAATACCACATGTTCTGACTTATAAGTGGGAGCTGAATGATGAGAACACATGGTCACGAGGGGCAGAATAACATACATGGGACCTGTTGGAGGGTGGGGGATGAGAGGAAGGAGAACATCAGGAAGAATAGCTAATAGATGCTGTGCCTAATACCTAGGTGATGGAATAATCTGTACAGTAAACCATCATGGCACATGTTTACCTATGTAACAAACCTGCACATCCTGCACATGTACCCCTGAACTTAAAATAAAAGTTGGAAATAAAAAAAATCAACTGGAAAAAGAAGATTCTGTTATTTAAAAGGGAACTAAACTTTCTTTTAACTTTGAAAAAAGAAAATTCTTCTGTCAAAGCTCTTTTAGTTCATGCCTCTTTCTTGCACATTCATCATTTACTGGACTGAAAACACATGGGCTTTCTTTCCTGCCCTCTACATGTTATGTTAGTGTTTTTTTTATCTTTATTCCTCTCTGATAGCTGTGTGATCATAGATGAATTTTTAAGAATTCAAGTTCTAATTGAGATTTTTCTATCTTATGGATAGCAATTAAGTTTTAGAAACTTGACATTCTGAATTCACTCTATATCTTCTAAAAAGACTGGGGTCTCTGGTTAGTTCTGTGTAGCTAGAATCACAAAGCAGGTTTGTTTTTATTAAGTAAATCAATAGAATACAGAAAGCAGGGTGAATGTTGTATTTAGTAAAATTACTTTGAATCTGCTAGCAGTTTGGGTGTGTGGTGAACAAAAAGGATTGGTCAGAACAAAGCCTGTCTTTTCCCTAGGCCACTCATTTTTTTCTTTTCCGAATACACTGTTCAGTCCTTGCTTAAGTAATGCCAGTTTCCTCTAGCTCCCAGTCCTGCCTGCCAGAATTTTGTGCCTGGTCAGCAGTCTGCATGTCTGTATGGCCTATTATGTGAATGTCTGTTTAAAATTCTCTTTTCTCTGATTTTATTTCACATCTTCTGGGATAACTGTGATAAGCCAAAGTAATAAATGTGTAAGCTACATCAGTTATTTAGAGTTTTCAATCCTGATCCAATCCTCTTTCGTCATTCACTGTGGGTACTATATTTGCTCTGTTCCAGTTCACCACTGCTCCTGGACAGGACTCATATTCAGGTCCTGTGGGATGGTGGCGACAAGTGAGCTAAAGAAGTCCCTAGTCTCTTTTGTTAAACTTCTTGTTTGGGGAAGGACTGATGAGAGTTGGGGGAAGAATCTTTGATAAATACAAGGCAAGGAGCCAACTCTATTAGGTACTATATATATATATATATATATATATATAATCTACTATCCAGCAGGTCAATGAATCTACATTATGAAAAAGAAGATTTATAAAACACAGAGCCAACGTAGGAGCAAGAGAACTGGAAATAGGAAAGCATTGAAAGCATCCCTAACTTTGGACATCTGCCTTTATATTAACCCTAAAAAAATCCAACACATGATCTAATATTCCTTTTTTTTATTTCTAGTGATGTCCAAATATGTTCTAGGTCGGGGCAGTGGTTCTTTGATGATTTACGGTTGCATACAATATACTTGGTAGGAAAAACGGGCATTATTTCATCTAAACTGCCTTTCAAATGTGAAGCAGGAAGGTAAGTGAACGGGAGGGTGCAGAGCACTAGGGGCCCCTTCGTAGACAGTATTTCCTTGTTGGGTAATGGGAGTATGATTCGTGTTGGTGATGCTGTGGTTAGTCGACTGCCCAGGCTCAATATTTCTGCCCCCGATAGTCCTGGCAGTGCATTTATGGGAGCCCAAATGGGGACAGCCACCAAAATGAAACAATCTCCTTTGACCAGGAATTCTTTCTCATTCTTGTCTTTTGCCTTAATCTTTTTTCATCTGGACTTCAGGCAGATCACATTAAATTCTAATGTACAGCATTTTGTATCAAAGCAACTAATATAGAACAACAAAACAAAGTGTTCCCATTAAGGCTCAACTATCAATATCTGTTAACGTTGAAGTAAAAGACAATTACAATTTTATCTTGTGAAGCAATGGAGTGAGGACCCACTCTATTCTTGGGTAAAAAGTAACATTTTTCATTTACTCTGACTTCACATTTTGTTGTAAGTGATAACCTACAGCTTAATTAAGACTCCTAAATATAAGGAGTTAATCTGAAATTTTCTGAAGGAATCTGAAATCCCTACCATATGTGGAAATAAATTGTCCTTTTTGGTTGGACATGTGTACACAAGATATCTAGGGAGTTATTTTATTCTGTGGATACTTTCACTTTTTATCCGGTTTAACCTTCAGTAACTCTGGAGAGTTCCCCCATTATGCTCTCTGTAAATAATGGAATCCTAAAATATTTAAATAGCTTGAGGCAAAAATGCAAATATGTTAAGTTGCCAAAAAATATTTAAGGCCAAAGTTGCCCTGTTCCATCAACCGGGCCAATAATCTGCATGTTTGTGGCATTTAAGTTCTTGGTTTAGCTTTTGCATTGGCAACTACTGTTACTACAGTATTAATTTGTCATGCAAATAACCTTTAATAATGAAGTTGCGAGTGCCTCAAGTCACTTCTTAGTTATCGGATTTAGGATTCTTAGTATAAAGTTTTGGACTCCTACTGACAAATGGGCTAGTTCTCAAACTTTTTACTTCTTGCATGGCATTTCATTTGTGCAGAAAGGTTATACATTGGTACATACACCAGCAAAGGAGAGGAGTGAGGTTGCAGTGAACAGCACTCCCTCTTACAGCAGACTTTCCTTTCAGAAGGAGACACAGAAAGCTCTCTTATCATAGATGAGAAAAAAATGCGTGAAAAAGCACTCTATTAGTTCCCTATTGTTGCTGTGGCAAATCATCACAAACTTAGTCATTTAAAAAGCACAAATTTATTACCTTACATTTCTAGAAGTCAAAAGTCTAACATGAATCTCCCTGGGCTAAAATCAAGATGTCAGCAGGGGCCGGCCATGGTGACTAATGCCTGTAATTCTAGCACTTTGGGAGGCCGAGGTGGGCTGATCACTTGAGGTCAGGGGTTTGAGACCAGCCTGGCCAACATGGTGAAACCGTCTTTACTAAAAATATAAAAATCAGCTAGGTGTGGTGGCATGTGCCTGTAGTCCCAGCTACTTGGGAAGCTGAGGCAGGAGAATCACTTGAATGAGTGAGGTGGAGGTTGCAGTGAGTTGACATAGCACCACAGCATTCTAGCCTAGGTGACCGAATGAGACTCTGTCTCAAAAAAAATAAATAAATAAAAAATTAATTAATTAATTAATTAATTAATTAAAAAAAGAAAAAAGACGTTAGCAGGGAACTGTTTTTCTGGAGTCTCTAGGGGACAATCCATTTCCTTGCCTTTTCCAGCTTAATCTGTGTTCCTTGCATCTGGGTCCCCTTTAAACTACAAAGCCAGCAACAACCAACAACTGGCTGAATTCTATCTCCTCTGTATGACCCACTCATTCTACTGCCTCTCTCTTCCACTTGTAAAGACCCATGGTTTGCAAATATTTTTCTCATTGCATGGGTTGTCTCTTCACTTTGTTCATCGTTTCTTTTGCTGTGCAGAAGCTTCTTAATTTGATGCAATCCCATTTGTCTATTTGTGCTTTTGTTACTTGAGATTTTGGGGTTACATCTAAAAAAATCCTTGTCCAAACCAATGTCATGGAGCTTTTCCTATGTTTTCTTCTAGTAGTTTTACAGCTTTAAGTCTTTAATCATTTTGAGTTTATTTTGGAGCATAGTGTAAGGTAAGGGTCTAATTTCATTTTTTTCTGAATGTGGATAACTGGTTTTCCTTGAACAATTTATTGAATAGAATGTTTTTCCTCCATTATGGGTTCTTGGCAGTTTTGTAAAAAATCAATTGACCATGAAGGCATGAGTTTATTACTGAGCTTTCTGTCCTGTTCCATAGGTCGATGTGTCTGTTTTTATGCCAGTATTATGCTGTTTTAATTATAATCACTTTTATAAAACATTTTGAAATCAGGTAGTATGATGCCTGTAGCTTTGTTCTTTTTGCTCAAGATTACTTTGGTTATCTGGGGTGTATTGTGGTTCCACAGAATTTTAGGATTGATTTTTCCATTTTTGAAAAATGACCTTGAAATTTTTATAGGGATTGCATTGAATCTGTAGATTATTTTTTGTAGTATGGGAATTTTAATAATATTAATTATTTCAGTCCATAGAGATGGGATATTTTTCAATTTATTTGTGTTTTCTTCAATTTCATTCATCAGTGTTTTATAGTCTTCAGTATATAAGTCTTTTACCTTCTGATTTAAATTTACATCTAAGTTTTAAATTTTTTTCTGTTGCTATTGTAAATGGGATTATTTTCTTAACTTTCTTTTCAGATAGCTCATATATCTAGTAAGGGTTTAATGTACAAAATATACAAGGAACTGAAATAACTCAATAGTAAGCAAACAAATAAACCGATTTAAAAGTGGGCAAAGGACCTGAACAAACACTTCTCAAAAGAACTCATCCAAACGGCCAAAAGGTTCATTAACAAATGAACTAATCATTAGGAAAACACAATTTAAAAACCACAACAAGATATCTATTTATACCCAATAGAATGGCTTTTACCAAAAAGATGAAAGATAACAACCACTGGAGAGGATGTAGAGAAAAGGGAATGCTTGTACACTATTGGTGGTAATGTAAATGGTTCAGCCATTATGGAAACCAGTATGGAATTTCCTCCAAAAACTAAAAATAGAACTCCCATATGATCTAGCAATCCCACTACTGGGTATTACAAGGGAAATTATTAAGTATGCCAAAGAGATATCTGCACTCCCAGGTTCATTGCAGCATTATCCGCAGTAGTCAAGATATGGAATCAACTTGTCCATCAACAGTTGGATAAAGAAAATAGAGTAAACAAAATGAAATATTACTTATTCTTTAAAAAGATGAAATTCTGTCATTTGGGACAAGATGGATGAATCTAGCAGATGTTATGCTAAGTGAAATAAGCCATGCACAGAAAGATAAATACTACTTGATCTCATTTATATGTGAAATCTAAAAAAGATTCATCCATGTAAGTGGAGAATGGAATGGTGGTTACCAGAGCCAGGGATGGGGGGCTTGGGTGGGGAGGAGTGAGAGAATGTGGAGTTACTGTTTAAAGGATACACAGTTTTAGCTAGACAGGAGGTTTAGAGATCTGTTGCACAGCAGGGTGACCATAGCCAATAATAATGTACTGTGTATTTCAAAATAAGAGAGTAAATTTCAAAGATGTCATCACAAAAAATGTCAAGCAAGGGAAGGGATATATATGTTAATTAATTTGATTTAATAACTCCGTATTATATACATATATGAAAACATCACATTGTACTCCATAAATGTAATACAATTATGATTATTATAATTTATCAATTTAAAAATATTATATTGAACTCCTGGGAATAATCTAGGAAAATTTCCGCATTCTAGGGTCCTTAATTATAATCACAGCTGCAAAGTACCTTGTTCTATGTAAGATAACATATTAACAGGTCTGGGGATTAGGACAAGCCCATCTTTGGAGGTCCATTATGCTACCTACCACAAAGACCTGGCTGCAGTAGATGTGTGAACCCTCTAGCTGAGTTCTTCAATTTGAAAGTCCCTGGGGAAAATGCAAAAGTGTGCAAAAAGCAAGCATACTCCTAGCTGTTCCAGAGGTGCCATGATGATGCACTGCTGTTCATACCTGTGCATGAACAACAGAGGCATGGTTTGATGACTCTTTCTCAGATGTTCTCAGTAGGCCATATATTCAATAGAGACATTTTCCCCTTCCTTTGCCATAGTTATATTTTTCCTTTATGTGGGCTGAGTTGCCAACATTTAAATATAGAAACTGGGAACTGAAGAGGTATGTAATACTATTAAAATGGTTGGAGAAATCAATCTGGTAATATTTGCTTTGCTTGCAATTATAATATTTATTTGTGAAGTCCCTTTTATCCCGGAAGGTCAATCAGCATTAATACAGCATAGATATTATCAATCTGAGCCTCTCAAGCAATCTGGACTTCTGGAAGTCTCTTCATAAAAAGAAGTTTTAGCACAAAAATGTAGAGAGCAGTGTAAAAGGACAGGAACAAGAAGAAAGGGAAACTCAATTTCTCTCTGATTGTTTTTTTTTTTTTTGTGACCCTCCAGGTTTAAATAAATCAAGCTCAAAAGGAAAGGTAATATGTTTTACTGTTAATTTTTTTTTTTTTAGAAAGCTTGATGGATATGTCTATAGTGGAACTGAGCAGACTATGTTGAACAATGGTATATGCATTGTAAACACTAAGTACATGACCAGGTCACTAAATAAGTCAATATCCTTTTGAGATGTCTATTTTTCATGTGGAATTAGCAGTAGGAGGATAATGTAGGTTAAGGAAGATGTATGCCAGAAATATATTTGTTTCTCCTAGTGATAACAGTAAGGCTGAGCTCGTATTTACAAAAGCCATTTATTCATTCAAAAATATTTATTGAATGCCTACTAAGAGCAGTGCTTTGGAGGGGATGTATGTGGATATGAATACATAAGCATGAAAAGAAAATTTACTTCTATCCTCAATCTTGTTTACAATCTAGAGAGAAAATTCTAGAACTAATGTATGATTCTTGAATGTGGGGAAGGCATTTTATAAATGTCTTAGGCAGGCTGGGTGTGGTGGTTCATGCCTGCAATTTCAGCACTTTGGGAGGCCAAGGAGGGAATATTGCTTGAGGCCTGAGTTCGAGACCAGCCAGGGCAACATAGTGAGACCCTAACAAAATTTTTGTAAAAAATTTTCCAGGAATGGTGGCACACACCTGTAGTACCAGCTACTCAGGAGGCTGAGGCAGGAGGATTGCTTGAGCCCAGGAGTTGGGCTCCAGGAGGATTATTGAGCCCAGGAGCCCACAGTTACAGTGAACTGTGATCACACTACTGCACTCCAGCCTGGGTGACAGAGGGAGACCATTTCTAAAAATAAACAAATAAATTAAAAGAAAAAAAGTTATTTGATCTTCTAGTTTGAAACCAACTTCTGATTTCATTTATTTGATACATACCAAATCATGAGGTCTCTACAACAGATTTACTTCCTTTTACTAAGCATTTCAAAAAGCTAAAATAATGCCGCTTCAAATACGGGTATGTTTTGTTTTTTTTCTACCAATTTTTAAGAGACTTTTTAGGAAATCCAAATTTGTTTGATAGAGACAAAGGTGATTTCTATTTTATTCTGTCTTGGTGTGAAAGTCGTTTTTGTTTTTTTTTTTTTAATGTAGGCAAATCCTCTAAAATCTTTAAATAGAATAGTCTGTCAGGCTTAGCAGATTTTAAGTTGGTTGAAAAAAGAAAATTAAGCGTGCGTAAATAAAGAAGAAAAAGTTGATAATAGACAAGGAATTCTTGTTGTTATGTCTTTAGAAGGAGGAAAGTAGTAGAGTCAAAAACAACATAACAGAGAAACTGCATCACTGTCTGATTTCTGCCTATTAGAGAGATAGCTGTGTGAGATAGGATTGGGTGTGTGTACGAAGGGAGGTAAAATTATGTCTGAAATGTCTACACCCTGGAGAGCTGTGGAATGGAGTTAAATGCCTACAATCCTTGTACTCAGGAGCAAGATGGGAGATGACGCTGGTGTGTATTACAATTTCTACCCGAGTTATCCAAAGCTAAAAGTTAATAAAAAATCACTCTTTTATTTTCCATTAGAAGAGTCCAAGTTTTTCTGGTGATCCCCCAGAAACAAAAATATTGTCTGGCACATTTACATTTTACTGGGATAATTGGAAATCAGCTTCTGAAATGCTAAGGAGTTTATTCTTTTGGATATAATTTTCGATTATTTTGTGGAAGTTAAGATACATATGCAAATGGTGTTTTTAGTGCTGATGCCTAATAATTGTGTCTCACAAATACAAAAGGCTTCCGTATATGGAGTCAATAAGTCCCTCATCAACCAATATCCCTATCTGCTTGATCTGCAAGATGAATTTTCTCTGGCAGAAACTTATGTAGACATACATGGGAGCAGAATAACATTTACACATCAATTAAGACAATTATAAGATAATTTGAGAGTTATTCTAGCTACACAATTTTACTTGTTTGCATCTTCCATTTTTAATTAAAGTTTCACCAAATGTACAAATCTCTCTTCTAAATGTCCCACCTAACTCCTCTGGTGTTCAGTGAAGCACTTTGAACAATATATATGTGTGTATGTGTGTATATATGTGTGTGTGTATATATATATGTATATATATAAAATTCACTTTGCCTCTGATGATGAAAATAATTAGAATTTGCAAACATGATTTCTCTTAATTAAACATGAGTTAATATATCTCCCCACCAAAAGGAATCCTATCATAGGAAGCTGCAATATGCTTGAGTATATTTCATGATATGCTCATTTTATATACACACACACACACACACACACAGAGCGGTATTGTTCAGAGTGAGATACACACACACACACACCTTTGCACACTTCTACGTCCTAGGACTTAAGTACTTCCTCTCTATACATTTTGTTTTCCTAAGTTTTTACGCATTAAAAGAGTTTATCCTTACTTTTATCATTCTTATCAGCATTAGGACGTACCTTGCACATAATAAACCCAGACTATACAACTAATGCAATTTCAAGTAAATTTGAAGTCTCTCTGGATATCAAGCCCCCAAGCATATTGCAGCTTCCTATGATAGGATTTGTTTTGGTGGGGAGATATGTTAACTCATGTTTAATTAAGATAAATCACCTTTGCAAATTCTAGTTGTTTTTGTCATCAGCGACAAAGTGAATTAATTCAGAATCTTTTGTTCCTCAGTAACCCCAAAGCATATTGCATTTAGAAAAAAGTGTGAAAATTATTTGACATTGCATCTCATTTTGTCAAATCTACTAGCTATAAAATAATTATTCTGTTACAAATCAGCAGACAGATGGGAAATGGGAAATATTCAGCTACAGAGTTGAAATAGAAATACCATGCTGTGGTCATCAGAACTGGCACGATGTGTGGGCACTCTAATACAATGCCTTACACATTGTTTTCATGTGAAGAATAAAAAGTTTTCACAGAACAATTAAAAATTACTTTAAGATAACTCTAAAACCTTACTGGAATTTTCAGATGTAGGAAAATAATTCTTTGTGTTTCCCGATACCAACTATAAGGGCGTTTCCTCCGCCTCTATGTTACTGAATTTCCAAACTATGGTTCAGCAGTTGTGATCATTATTAAATCATTCATCACTGATTTAAAAGAATCATGAAGGAATGCTTTAACTGAAATGGAGAGAGTGTTACCTTCCCTATCTATGAAGATACATAGAATCAATCAACTTCAAACATCTTAAATAAATTGCAAGTTTGAGAAGACAGAAAGAAGAAAACATTCATTAAAAATAAATGCCAGTGCGTTATACACAATGTCATTTACAAGGTTCTAACACTGGAAAAGCTGACTACTACTAGGTAATGTTTTCTTAGAAAACAAATAGTGGAATCTTGTGAGAATGTCAAACAGAGGCAGGACACTGAGTCTAGTCTCCTCTGTGAGTGAACTTGGCAGAAACTGCATTTACTCCCTTTAATAATAAATGGACCTATCACACTTCAACTTTCCAGGAAAACTCATTTTTTTTGTTTAATAAAAGGTTTAGGTTTTACTCTGCTCAACTCTTCATACAGATATTTGCATCTTTAACTCTTTACTAGGCCTAATGCTGCTTAAGTTCTTGTAAGTCCTGTTTCTTAATCATCTCTGGACACTTGTTCTTGCCAAAGTCATCTCCAGCATGGACTTCAAGAAGATATTGAGAGCATTGGAGCCAAAGCATAACAGGATGATGCAGTGAGAAGCCCTCCACTCAGCTCCAGCCAGGCTGACTCATGCTGGCAACTTTGTTATCTACTGTCATTGCTATCAGAAAAACCATGTAATTCTACCTACTTGACAAGAGGAGCTACTGCTTTGTCTTCTGGTTTTGTTAAATGGGAATCTTGAAGACAACCAGAAAAGGTCAGACTGACATTATGAAATTTTAAAAGTTCTGAAATTTGCAGATGAAATGTACTATTATATTTAGTACATTTATGAAATCTTCCCTATACATTTTATTGTCACAGGACACCATACAAAATCTAAAATAAAAGGGTATGTTTTAGTATGTTATACTAAAACATTTAGGTTAGATGTGGGGTTTGAGTGGAAATTTTTTTAAAAATAATTTCAACTTTTATTAAGATTGAGGCGGTATATGTGCAGGTTTGTTGAATGAGTATATTTCATGATGCTGAGGTTTGGGGTATGAATGATCTCATAACCCAGGTAGTGAGGAGAGCAATAAATAGGTAGATTTTCAGCTCTTGATCACCTCTCTGGTATTCCGTTAGTGTTTACTGTTTCCATATTTATGTCCATGTGTACCCAATGTTTAGCTTCCACTTGTGAGAACATGCAATATTTGGTTTTCTATTCCAGTCTTAATTCGCTTAGGATAATGGCCTCCAGCTGCATCTGTGTTGCTCCAAAGATCATGATTGTGCTTTTTTTTAATGCCTGCATAGTATTTCATGGTGTATATGTACCACATTGTCTTTATCCAATCCACCACTGATGGGTGCCTAGGTTGACTCCATGTCTTTGCCATTGTGAATAGCACTGCAATGAACATACCAGTGCATGTGTTTTTTTGGTAGAATGATTTATTTTCCTTTGGGTATATACCCAGTAATGGGATTGCTGGGTCAAATGGTAGTTCTAAGTTCTGTGAGAAATTTCCAAGCCACTTTCTATGGAAGGTAATCTAATTTATATTCCCACCAGCAGGGTGTAAGTGTTTCTTTTTCTTCACAGCCTCACCAGCATCTGTTGTTTTTTGACTTCCTAATAATAGCCATTGCGACTAGGGTAGGATGTATCTCATTGTGGTTTTGGTTTGCATTTCTCTGATGAATAATGATATTGAGCAATTTTTCATATGTTTGTTGGCCGCTTTTAAGTCTTCTTTCAAAAAGTGTCTGTTCAAATCCTTTGCCCACTTTTTAATGGGATTACTGGTTTTTTGCTTGTTGAATTGCTTTTTGCTTGTTGAATTGAAGAAGTTCCCTATAGATTCTGGATATTAGATCTTTGTTGAATGCATAGTTTGCTAATATTTTCTCCCGCTCTGTAGGTTGTCTGTTTACTCCGTCAATAGTATCTTTTGTTGTGCGGAAGCTCTTTAGTTTAATTAGGTCCCATTTGTCAAGTTTTGTTTTTGTTGCAATTGCTTTCGAGGACTTAGTCATAAATTATTTGCTAAAGCCAATGTCCAGAATGGTATTTCCTAGGTTTTCTTCTAAGATTTTTATAGGTTAAGGTCTTACATATAAGATATTTAATCCATTTTCAGTATTGTATATGTGAAAGGTAGGTATTCAAATTTATTCTTCTGAATGTGGCTAGCCAGTGATTCCAGCAGCATTTATTGAATAGGGGAGTCCTTTTCCCATTGCTTATTTTTGTAAGCTTTGTCAAAGTCAGATGGTTGCACTTGTGTGGCTTTAGTTTTGGGTTCTCTATTCAGTTCCATTGGTCTGTCTGTTTTTGTACCAGTACCATGCTGTTTTGATTACTGCTGCCTTATTGTATATTTTAAAGTCAGGTAATGTGATGCTTCAGGCTTTGTTCTTTTTGCTTACGATTGCCTTGGCTATTAAAGCCAACTACTCTAAAAACTATTTTAGAGTAGTTTTTTCTGGTTCTGTGAAAAATGACATTGGTAATTTGATAGGAATAACATTGAATCTATTGATTGCTTTGGGCAGTATGGTCTTTTTATTTATGTTGATTCTTCCAATCCATGAGCATGGAATGTTTTTCCATTTGTTTGTGTCACTTATGTTTTCTTTCAACAGTGTTTTATAGTTCTCTTTGTAGAGATCTTTTCACTTCCTTGGTTAGATGTATTCCTAGGTATTTGTGGTGTGTGTGTGTGTAGTTATTATAAATGGAATTGCATTTTTGTTTTGGCTCTCAGTTTGAATGTTATTGGTGTATAGAAGTGCTACTGGTTTTCATACATTGATTTTGTATCCTAAAACTTTACTGAACTCATTTGTCAGTTCTAGGCATCTTTGGGTAGAGTCTTTAAAGTTTTCTAGGTATAGAATCATATTGTCAGCAAAGAGAAGTAGTTTGAATTCTTCTTTTCCTATTTGGATACATTTTATTTATTTCTCTTGACTGATTGCTCTGGCTAGCACTTCCAGTGCCAGGTAGAATAATAGTAGTGAGAGTGGGCATTTTTGTTTTCTTCCTGTTCTTAAGGGGCATGCTTCCAACTTCTGCCCATTCAGTATGATGTTGGCTGTGGGTTTCTCTTAGACCGTTCTTACTATTTTGAGGTATGTTCTTTCTAAGCCTAATTCGTTGAGTGTTTTTATCATAAAGCCATTTTGGATTTTACCAAAAGCCTGTTCTACATCTATTGAGATCATCATTTGATTTTTGTTTTTCATTCTGTTATGTGGTAAATCACATTTACTGACTTGCATATGTTGAACCAACCTTGCATCCCAGAAATAAAGCCCACTTGGTCATGGTGAATTAACTTTTTGATGTGATTTCTAGCTTCAGTTTGCTAGCATTTTGTTGAGTATTTTTCTGTCTATGTTCTTCAGTAATATTGACCTGTAGTTTTCTTTTTTCGTGGTGTCTTTGCCATATTTTGGTATCAGGGTAATGCTGGCTTTATAAAATGAGTTAGGGAGGAGTCCCTCCCCCTCAATTTTTTTGAATAGTTTCATTAAAACTAGTATCAGCTCTTCTTTGTACATCTTGCAGGACTTGGCTGTGAATCCATGTGGGGCTTTTTTTTTTGTTGGTAGGTTTTCTACTACTGATTCAATTTTGGAATTGGATATTGGTCTGTTCAGCATTACAATTTCTTCCTGATACAATCTTGGGAGGTTGTTTTGTTTCCAGGAGTTGATCCATTTCCTCTGGATTTTCTAGTTTGTGTGCATAAAGGTGTTCATAATAGTCTTTGATGATCTTTTGTATATTTCTGTGGGATTGGTTGTAATGTCAACTTTGTCATTTCTGATTTTGCCTGTTAGGACCTTCTTTCTTTTTTTCTTTGTTAATCTAGCTAGTGGTCAATCTTGTTTATTGTTTGAAAGAGCCAATTTTTGGTTTTGTTGATCGGTTGTATGGATTTGTACATCTTAATTTTGTTCAGTTCTGCTCTGATTTTGGTTATTCATTTTCTTCTGCTAGCTTTGGGGTTATTTTGTTCTTGTATTTGTGTGATGTTAGATCATTAATTTGAGATCTTTCTAACTTCTTGATGTAGGTTTTTTGCACTATAAACTTTCCTCTTAACACTGCTTTTGCTGCATCCCAAAGATTTTGGTATGCTGTGTCTCTGTTTTCATTTATTTCAAAGAATTTTTTCATTTCTGCCTTAATTTTATTATTTACCCAGAAGTTATTCGGGAGCAAGTTGTTTAATTTCCATGTAATTGTGTAGTTTTGAGAGATTTTCTTGGTATTGATTGCTATTTTTATTTTACTTTGGTCCAAAACAATGGTTCGTATGTTAAGTTTTGTTGAATTTATTGAGACTTGCTTTATGGCTGAGCATGTGGTCTATTATGGAGTATGTTTTGTGTGTAGATGAGAAGAATGTATATTCTGTGGTTGATGGGTGAAATATTCTGTAGATCTCTCTTAAGTCCAATTGGCCAAGTGTCGAGTTTAAGTCCAGAATATCTTTGCCAGTTATCTGCCTTAGTGATCTGTCTAAAGCTGATGGTGAGGTGTTGAAGTCCCTCACTATGATTGTTTGGCTGCCTAAGTCTTTTCATAGCTCTAGAAGTACTTGTTTTATGTATCTGGGTGCTCCAATATTGGGTGCATATATATTTAGGATAGTTAAGTCATCTTGTTGAATTGGATTCTTTATCATTATGTAATAATGTTTTATTACATAATGATAAAATATCATTATAATGATAATGTTTACTCCAACCTTTTACTTTGAGCCTATGAGTGTTGTTACATGTGAGTTGGGTCTCTTGAATATAGCAGACAGATGGGTTTTCGCTTTTTATCCACCTGGCCACTCTGTGCCTTTTAAGTGGGGTGTTAGGCAGTTTACATTCAGGGTTAATATTGATATGTGAGGTTTTGATCCTATTGTGAAGTTGTTCACTGTTTGTAGTTTCTATATATTAGTAACTTTATAGAGTCTGTGGGATATGTACTTAAGAGTGTGTGTGTGTGTGTGTGTGTGTGTGTGTGTGTGTGTGTGTGTGTCTGTTTGGTCATACCAGGTATTGTTCTTTTGTTTCTGTTTAGAACTTCCTTAGGGATTTCCTATAATGCTGGTAAAGTGATAATGAATTTCCTTAGTGATGGCTTTTATGGAAAAGATTTTATTTCTCTCTCACTTATGAAGCTTAATTTGGTGAGATATAAAATTCTTGGTTGGAATTTCTCTAAGAATGCTGAAAATAGGCCTCTTATCTCTTCTGGTTTGTATATTTTTTACTGAGATGTCTGCTTTTAGCCTGATGGGCTTCTCTTTGTACATGGTCTGATATTTCTTTTTTTAAGCTGCCTTTAAGATTGTTCTTTATCGTTGGCCTTGGACAGTCTGGTGACTATATGCCTTGACAATACTTGCTTTGTATAACATCTCACAGATGTTCTCTGGATTTCTTATATCTGGATGTCTGACCATCTAGCAGAGTTAAGGAAATTTTATTGAATTATTGTCTCAAATATGTTTTCCAAGTTATTCTCCTCTCTCAGGAATTCTAATAATTCATAGATTTGGTCACTTTACATAATCCCATATTTCTTGAAGGTCTTGCTCATTAAAATTTTTTTTTCTTTATTTTTAGCTAACTGGGTTAGTTTGAAAGACTAGTCTTCAAGCTCTGAAATTCTTTCTTCTGCTTGGTCTAGTCTATTGATAAAACTTTCATTTGTATTTTGAAATTTCTTAAGTAAGTTTGTCAATTCCAAAAGCTCTGATTGATTATTTTAAAGCTATGTATCTGTTCCTTATTTTCTGGATTGCTTTAGAAGTTTCTTTGTTTTGATTTCAAACTTGTCTTGGATCTCATTTGAGCATCCTTACAATCCATGCTTTGAATTATTCATGTCATTTCTGAAATTCCATTTTGTTTAGGGAGGATTTCTGGAGAGCTAGTGTGATTCTTTGGTGTCACCACATTCAGGTTTTTCATGGAGCCATAATTCTTGTGCTGGTTCCGTCTCATCTGGGGATGCTGGCACTTTTAAATTTTGTAATTTTTTTCATTTTTCCCTTGTATTTATTTATTTTTTCATTTTCCTTTCCCTACTTTCCTAGGAGGTGTGACTGTAGAGAATGCTGGGGTAGGGTCTTTGGCTTTTCTTCTACGCAATTCTGTCAGCAGGTCTTATATTGGGCTGTGTAACTCAAACTACAGGCCAACTGATGGCGCATATGGGTAAGAGTTAACTGCAGGTGGGTCTGATAGTTGATTATTATTTATTGAGAGAAACTCTCTCTGCTGCCTCAAGCAATGGGCTGATACGTGGAGTATATAGGGCAGTCTGAGCTTCTTGCTCATCCCTGTGGGGAGGGTCCAAGATGGGTGGGACTGAAACAGGCAGGCCTGCTTGCAGGTCCACCAATGGCAGGCACAAGCATCAGTGCTGAAGGGATGTCCAGTGAGAAGGCACTAAGCACTGAGACGTGTGTCTAGGCATGGAGGTGAGAATTCTCTTCTGCTGGAAGTTCTCTGCATGGGTGGTGGGGAGGTAAACTCCTAATCCTGGGTGTGGAGCATAGAGGACCCTGTTGCACCACAGTCTCTGCACAGGAAGGGTTGGGCAGCTCAGGCTGCTGATTGAGCTGTCCAAGTGCCTGGGCTTGGAGTGGAGAGGGCCCTGCTGCTCAGTGGAAGTTTTATGCTTAATTTCTGACAGGTTTTCAGAAATATAACTACTTTTATAGAGATAACATAAAGCAAAAGGAATTAATTTAGCTTTAGAAAAATTTAAGGCAAATTATGTTAATTGGGCCCTTATAATGTGCAGGAGTCTATATTAAGTATGTTTACATGTATTATCTTATTATTCAGTCCCTTGGTTAATGCTATTTACCATTTATATCAACTCTTGAGTTTACTACTACAACCCAGGTTTAATCCTAGTACACTTCTGCATATTGAGTATAAAGGGAAAAGTCTGGATTTTTGTTTCTTAGTGGGAGAAAACAGTAATAATTAAATATGAATCATAGATACTGTATAAGTGGCTACAAAAAGTCTATAGAAAATGTTGAGCCAGGTGACTTTTAGCCCTGGTAAAAAATGAAAACAAAACCAGAAAATATAGGTTTCTGAAAATGTACCTAGAAATTTTCTATGTTCTATCATGACTCTTAGATCCCTTTCATTTCTACCTTTCAGAGACTACTTTGAGCTTCTTGAGTTTGAAATATGTATATCTACAATAGGATTCTGGCTTCTCCTTTGATGCATGCTTTTGCTTTTTTAGTAACTAGAACACAATGTTTATGTCTTCAATTTGTTCATTTCCCACTTTATTTCAAAGTTAATTTGAAGCAGATGTAGCAATTATTTTTTTTCCTTTTCTCTCTTTCTCTCTTTCATTTTGGGATGAAAGTGAAAAGAATACCTTATGGGAGTCTAGTTTAGCCATTAATATTGCTAATGAATTTAAAAGTTTGTATTTACATAAAGAAAGAAAGGTGGTTATAGCTTTTAAATGGCTTTCCTTTTAAATAGATCTATCTATCTATCTATCTATCTATCATCTATCTATCTAGTTAACAAACAACAAAATAAATTTAGCCTTGTTAATCTTGCCTTCATGTTATCATTCTTATTTAATTTGTCAAAAATCATAAAATCACAGGACTTAAATATCCTATTAATATGATATGTCTGTTTATGTCATATCTATTTTCGGCAATATACCTGATCTTATTATCTCTTACTTTTCATGCCCATTTAGAATTTATCCTTTGCTGGGCTCTATTTTGTCTTGTAGAACAAGCCCACTTCAGGGACCTCTCTACCTGGTTTGCTTACGGTATTTTTTTCTTCACTAAGTTTCTTTACCTTTTGTGGTAGTGACGTGTGACATCATCCTGGGGTCCAGTTACTTTCAATTAATCTTTTCAGTGTGACTGAAATGCTGGGCGTCAAACATTAGGATGCAGAAGAACCATGTGGGAAGCTTGTTAAAACTGAGTTTCTGGATCCCCAATTCAAGAGATTCTGATGCATTAGGTTTGGCATTTTTCACAACACTTCAGATCATTCTTATTCAGGTTGCTGAGGTTGACACACTAAAAAACCTCTGCATTAAGGCAATAACTCATGACTCTGAAGCCTACTTTTTCTTGAAGAATGGTTTAAGTTCTGTATTATCTATTACTATATAACAAACATATCTATTATTATATTATCTATCAAACAAATTGACTATTACTATATAATAAACCTCCCCAAACTTAGCAGCTTGAAACAACCCCAGTGATTTATTTTGATCATGATTCTGAAATTTAGAAAGTGCTTGGTGGGATGTCTCATCTCCATCCTTGCAGCGTCAGCAGGGGTGGTTTGACTGGAGCTAGATAGTTACTTCCAACAGCCTCACTCACTCACATGTCTGGCAAGTTGGTCCTAGCTGCTGGCTGGGAGCTCAGCCAGGAGTCTTAGTTTCTTTCTTCATGAGATTATCTACGGAGCTGCTTGCTTGGCCTTTCTCACAGCATGGTGGCTGAGTTCCAAGAGTAAGTGTTCCATGTCAAGGTAGAAGCTTCTAGTATCTTAAGATCTGGCTCCCCAAATAGACATAGTAACATTTCCTCTGTGTTCCATTTGTCAAAGCAATCACAGAGCTCTAACAGATTCAAAGAGTGGGTGTTGACTCCTCCTGTCTCAATGGGAGAAGCGTCAAAATTTTTTTAGCTAGTTTATTATATTAACCTCATTATTTCAGATTATGATCATCACTAACAGAGAACTTAGAGGTAGTCTAGTCTACTGGTTCTTAAATTAATGTGAGTAATGAACCATGTGATTGTAAAGAGAAAGCATTTAAATTCGATTATTTTTTAATTCTTTTTTTGTATATTATCATACAATAAAATGGACTTTTTTGGCATGTATTTTGCAGTTCTATGAATTTTAATATGTGTGTAGATTTGTATAGCCATATTACAACTAGGCTCAAGACAGTTTTATCACCTCAAAGAACTGTCTCAGATAATCTTTTATAATTATATTCTTACCCCACCTATAACCTCTGGCAAACACTGATTAATTTTATGTAACAATAGTTTTATCTTTTCTAGAATGTGAAAAAAAGTGGAACAACAAAATATGTTGTCTTTTCAGACTGGCTGCTTACAATGTTATTGCATATATCAATAGATAGCAATAGTTTTTTTAAATTTTTTTTTTTTACTACTGAGTAGTATTGCATTGTGTGAATATACCTGTTGGCTTTTCTCTTCACCTGATGAAGGACATCTAGATGGTTTCTAGCTCCCAGCTGTCACATATAAATCTGCTATGAACTTTCATGTGCAGAACTTCATTATATTTTATTCCATGTTTTAAAATTTTATACTTATGATCTGTGT
The DNA here is from genome assembly GCF_000001405.40 of Homo sapiens. Classification (NCBI taxonomy): domain Eukaryota; kingdom Metazoa; phylum Chordata; class Mammalia; order Primates; family Hominidae; genus Homo; species Homo sapiens. The sequence goes on along the minus strand of NC_000008.11, from coordinate 62,827,901 downwards.
TCTAAAATGTGCATAATACCTTGGTGTAGCTCATAAATGTAAACATAACTGTTTATAATTTACATATAAGCCATGTGTGAGTACTTATTAACTTAATGTTTCTTAATGTTAATTATTAGAAATTGTATTGCCAATGGTTGAAGCTGAATGGTGGATACATAGAGCTTCATTATACTGTATTGTCTACTCTTATTTGTTTTAAAATTTACACAATATATATATTTTTAAGTTTGTAGACTTCTATCTGGTCTACCATATTCATGTGATAGAGAATTGAGGATAATAATGGACTTGGGAGCAGGTGTCAGAGAGACACACAGGTCATCTGCCTCTTGCCCATGTGTCATGCTGCCAGCCAGATGATTTAGGTGAAATAATAAATTACATAAAAATTTCAAGTTAACTATATGTATTCTTCACATTCTAGCATTTGCTCTCCACATATTTGGAAGAATTGATGGATAATTATTAAAAATCACATTATGAGAGCAAATCAAGGTAACACTGCTCGGTTTAACCTGTAAGGCTATTTTTTTCCCTGGCACACTTGACATATAAACTGCAGAGAAGGCAAATTGCTAGGCTTGTGAGAAATGGAAGTCCTTACTTCCAGTTCTTTGCCTCGTGTGTAAAGAGATCCCATGCTCTCTTAGTCTTTTGTTACTAATGCCAGCTAACAGGAAAGCACTGTATAAAGACTTTATAGCATGGGTACAATTCTACAACAATGATGCAAAGCAATTTACTTTGTCAGAAACCATCACATGCCAAGCTCCTATCTCTTTATTGATACCAGCCTTTTGGTTTGGGCTGGGAAATTGTTTATTTACTATTTACTGTTACTTATTTATCTATTATTTACCTTTGTAAAATGAAAATTAAACCACCTATACCAGCTTAGTTTGGCTAAAGCCTGCCAAATAACTGAGTAATTTCCTTTCCACACTCTTAGACCTTGATAGCCCGTTCTGATAAAAGAAAAAGACTTTGAGAGTAGGTATTGTATTTAAACCAGTAAAGGATCCCAGATTTGAAACAATGACTATAGTTCATTACAATTCAGCATGTCTCAGCTGTTTAAGTTCTTACACTTCCTCTGTTTTCCTAGCTACAGTACAAGGAGAGCATTGTATTTCCAATAAATAATGTATAATTAATTAGCATTTCCAAAAGCTTAGTACCCTTCACATGTAATTGTCTTCTCCCTACCCAAACAGCAGGTACTAATGAGATCAGGTTTTTGTCTTGGAGCAATCAGTGCCTGTTATTTGGTAATTATGGAGTGTTTAGGGAATGGAACTCAATTTCTCTACGTTCATCCATTTAAAATCAGCCTTGTTACTATGGAATGGATAGAAATATTTTACGTGGGAAATCTTATTTAACACAGTTAGAGAAAAGAGACTCTTGCTCCAAGGAAATTTTAATATGTACTGCCTAAGAGAACTTAATAATTCTGAATTAAAGAGAATATAGAAGTCAGTAGAGATGATGATCACATTTTTGAGCAGGGTTTGATCTGCCATCATAATAAATGCATAAGGCCTTACTCAAGCAAATTTAAATAAATAAAGTTCATTTTCTTGGACTAGATTTTTAAGAATACACACACACACAAACACTCACACACACCACTTGTTACTCTTATGGTAATACCTATTTTTGTTTATGCCTTTATGGCTCAAATTGCCTTCATGGTATTTCCAACGATCTATTGTTCTTTTAAGTTAGGAAATGAGGCTAAGATAACATAGGTTATTAAAGTGCAGTATCTCTTTAGGCAATTTCCAACATGATTATCAGAGATGAGCAGAGAAGGGTGTAGAGTACGTGACTCGATGATTAGGGGAGGAGGAGGCCTGAGCCAGGAGCAAGTATTATATTAGAGTGAGGCACTTGTTAGAACTCACCTTCAGGGATGCTATTGACATGGCATGTAAAATATGTTTGTCAGTTTTCACGGCATGGCTGCTGCGGTGCCCTTCCTTCCCTCACTCCAGACCTCTCTGTGACTAGTGGGGCTGCCTGAAGCTGACCAGCAGTCAGGGGCCATAAGCCAGAGGGCAGGACCACTCTGCCCTCTGTAGCAGCACCACAGAGCAGCCAAGCTCTGTCACCCCATACTTTATAATACAATTTCTAAGCCTGGCTGCACTGAAGATTATCTGGGGAGCCTCTCATAGGTAGCTGTTTAGACCACATATCATACATGGTCAGTGCACATCTCCAGAGACTGGGACTCAGGAATATTTGAAAATACCTCTGGGTAATTCTGATTGTCAGTCAGGTTTAGGGACCATTGTTTCGCTCAGTAGGTTTGGCTGGTTTAAATATAGCTATGCATAAAGACGACAAACACACACACATGCAGATACACAAATTGTCAAAGCCATTCAAGCCAGTAGTTTATCTAAACTAGTGAATTTTGTCTCATTATATCACCTGGACATTTTTGGAAACAGACTATAAAGATTAGAGAGAACAAAAACATTTTCAATATTTTCAGTTTCTCCATAGTAGCTCAATTGGACATACACAATTTATTATGGATTTGCCCCAACCATTTGTTGAATCTCCAATAAAAGATACTTTTGATCTTCCCCTAAATGTGTCTAGTAAAACAGAATAGTCCATGGGAGTTATAAATAAGATCACTCAGCTTGATAAAGTTTGTCTATTACTTTGGTGAAAAAAGTCTACTTTCTAACACATACTTCAAAGTTTCCTTAAACTTTTTTTAAGACTAAACCTGTGAATGGTTTCATTCATTGGCAGAGATAGTGTAAGGCAATGGGTGGGGTCCATGGACTTGGTCCTAAGCTTAAATCTTTGCTTTCTTTGCTGAAATACCTCAAGAAAATCACAATTTCCTTTCTTGCCTGCCCCACTCCCCTGCATTTGACATGCTTGGTCAAGATCATCTCTAAATACTTTTTGGGTTCTACATTCTGTGATATGACAATCTTCACTTAAGTATTGTGTTGACCCTGTCCTGCTGGTTTTGCCATTTAGATAGAGTGACATGACACCTCCAGGAGAAGGTAAATGGCATGTGGCATCAGGGGCTAATTCTAGTGCAGTTCACAACAGAGGTTGCTCAGATCATAAAGTGGGTTAAATAGTGGTAGATATAAAGCTTGTGGTAGAGTTAGAACTGGTCAGAGCCATATAGAAGAGGCTCTAAATAGGTGAAATATAGTGGAGAGGACAATCAGGGCAAGTAGAAAGCATGGAAATTGCAATATACATATGTTAGGCTCATGTTTCTCCCATGAAGACTGACTAAATTTCCCCAGGAAGTCAAACATTTTCTCCTTTGCATTTCCAAAGCATGTTGTGTCTATCATTTTTAGAGCACTCACCACTATTTGTGTGTGTGTGTGTGTGTGTGTGTGTGTGTGTGTGTGTGTTGAAGAGGTGGTATTTTTTCCGCTTAGACTGCAGAATCACTTTATATTCAAATTTATGTTGCCAAGACCCAGCAGATGTCTGGCATCCAGTAGGTTGGGTACCTAATAAATATCTGTTACATTAATGGATAGGAGAAACAATGAGAATACTGCAAAGGTAGGGCTAGTGTAGTAGGTGTAGTGGCATGCCACTCAAATTCCCCATACGGGACCAAGTACTCATTCTCTCAGCTATTGAGAATATTGGTGGTTGATAGTTTACTGCTCAGATACTTTCACGGAATTACTCTCAGCTGAAGAAAAATGTCTGACCCAATGTCATGTCCTCTATCCTGTAAGAGTCCATATCCAATGGCTGGTCAATGCAGGGGTATAAAATCTCAATCTCCTTCCCTCAAAGTGAACAATTTTGAAGGGATATCACAGCTCAAGTGTTCCCATGGAATTGCCTGATGTCTTTGTTAAGATTGCATAGCAGTTCAGTTCTCCCCTCTGCTTAATCCTACTTCCTGTACTTCCTCCAGGTGTTCATTCATGCAAGCACATATGCCATTAAATTTCTTGTATGAAACTTTCCACCAGCGAGCTTGTTTCTCATGGAATCCAATGTAAGACAACTGGTGTGAGAGTTTGATTTTAGATACTATAGCGAATAAGGTTGGAATGACACTACCTTGAGCCTGAATGACACTACCTTGAGCCCAAATGACACTTTTCTGAGAACTAGAAAGCCTTGCCCTTAGTCATCTGTCAGAAAATTATTGCCCTAAATATACAAATCTCCAGCGATTATAAAGGTGGAAGGTACTCCTACACTTGAGCTGCATAACAGAAAGTGGCTGTCTTGAAGTGGAAAGGTAGATTTGTGCCAGGTTACGAAGGGCTTTCTTAATCAGTCTGTTTTAATCGTCTCAAAGCAACATTCTTCTTTTTGTTGAAATCTGAGGGCCTTAGTATGATGCTAGGTTTTAAAACTAATTACACAAAAAATTCATTTTATAAATACTGTATTTGACTTTGCTATCAGTCTTCAGCTCCATAACATTATTGAACTATATCCTGTGAGATTTTCTGTTCAGTGTTACAGGTAATTTATCTGTATTAAACATTATGATATCAAGGAAGAAAAAACTGTGGTTTCCCTTGCTTTTGTATATAGTCATCTGCTGCATATGACATATTGGTCAATAGTGGACTGAATATATAAAAATGGTACCATAAGATTATAATGGAGCTGAAAAAATCCTGTCGCCTAGTGACATTGCAGCTGTCATAACATCATAGTATAATTACTTATTGTTTTAACATAGTTGTGTAGCCTAAGTGTACAGTGTTTATAAAGTCTTCAGTAGTATATAGTAATCGCCCAGGCCTTCACATTCACTCACCACTCACCCACTGACTCACCCAGAGCAACTTCCAGTCCTGCATGCTCCACTCATGCTAAGTGCTCTGTACAGATGTACCATTTTAAATCTTTTATACCACCTACATTTTTACTGTACCTGTTCTATGTTTAGATATCTACATAATTACTATTGTGTTACAATTGCCTACAATAACATGCTGTACAGGTTTGTAGCCTAGGAACAATAGGCTATGCCATATAACCTAAGTGTGTAGAAGGCTATGCCATCTAGATGTGTGGAGGTACATTCTGTGATGTTCACACAGAGACAAAATTGCCTAAGAATGCACTTCTCAGGATGTTTCCTTGTCATTAAGTGATGCACGACTGCATTTATTCACTAGCAAACACCTTCGGCAAAAGGAAGTCCCCTAAGGACTGCTCCTAGGACTCCTCAAGGTACACATAACAGTGCAGGTTGAATATTTAGCCCAAGAATGACAAGTATAATATAACATCAGTGACCTCCCACATCAGTGCAGAAAATGAGAAAGAGTTGAAAATTATGTTCCAAACTGGGTTCAAACATAAGTGTTCCTTGTATTGTCCTTACTTAGATCCTCCTAGATTAGTTAATTTAGGTATTTAGGTATTTTGGGATACTTTCATTCTAATACTTAAGAAGCCATGCAAAATCAGCATGTATGTTATGTACATGCGGGTCAGACTGTTAAGGTAAAATGCTTTAAAATTGATTAGTACATAATTTACCTCATATTAATGTTCTTGAAACACTTCTTATATTAAAGATTTCAACTGCTTTCAATTTTTGTATTTTTATCAATAGAATTTTCCTTTTGCTGCCTTTTACTCAGACTCCTTCAAAGATTCTCTTCCATTCCAGTGAGAGGAAATAAATTATGCCCTAGCATGAAGAAGATAAAATCAGCAATAGAACAATCACTATAGGTCAGTTGGTGCCTTTTCCTTTTGGCAATATGCTCCATTTTGATAACAGAAAGATTTTTCCACCTTGATCAATCCAATTTAAGCTTCACACTGGGTTGTAAACCAGTAATGAGAAAAATGAATCTTCAAATTTGTATCCTGGAGGGATTTTTTTCCAGCCCTAATCTGTGGCTTTGCCCATCACCCTCTATAAAGGCTTTTCCGTAGCAAGGCTATAGGAACATTGCATCGAAAAGTACAGCTTCTGGGGGGTCTCTGTTGGCAAATAAAAATTCGCCGAATTTTTATTTGGCAAATAAAAATTCATTATTTTCCCAATTTTACATTTTCAATAATTTAATGTCATTTAGTAAAACTCACACTCATGGGCTTGTGAATACCTTCTCAGGGAACACCCACCTGTCGTGTCCTCCAAAAGAGAAGGGTACAGGAGCTGAAAAAGGTCATTTTAGCAAGCTTATATGTCATATTTTATCATCTCAACTAATGCTTACGTTTCTTTGTTAAAGATGTAGATCAGGACACATAGGTATGTGTCTTCTACTTTCAGTATATGATTTAGAAATTGATGAACACTTTTAAAATAATGACACAATTCAAAAAGGGAAGCAGAATTGTCTTCCAAATTCTGTTTCTTGCCCAAAGAGTTCCCCTCATTACACATGAAATTACCTGTAACACTAATGGAAAGCACCAGCCAGTATTCAACTGCTCTTTCTCCTTCTTCTGAAAAGAAACATCATAACCTTAAAAGAAAAATTTCCCAGAAACTTTTGTTAAGAATAGAAAAGATATTTAAGTGTTTGAGTATAAAAACTGAACTTTGGTATGGAGACAAGACCTCTGTCTTGATATAGTGAAAGAGGAAACAGACAAATAAGCAAAGGATAAAATAAAACCCACCATTGTGTTTCTATTTTAATAATGTAAAATTTTGCCACAGATTCTCACGTTTGGCAGGGAGATATCTGAGAATTGACTTTGTAGATACAAAATAAAAGGAAACATTTACTATCAATAAAGAAGGGAAAGACATGATACCAGGGAATTATTGGTATCATTCTTACCTCAACTGTCATTTTATAAAAACCAAGAGCTAAAACCCTGCAGCTCATTGTTATAAGATGCAAAGGCTTTGAATTTTGCAACTGTCTCACAATAAAATGCAATCAGCATTAATTAAAATTCTCCTGCTTTTAATTATGCCCATGATAAGTTTGGGAGAATATAAACTACCAGGAAGCAAATAGCACAAAGATAATTAAACAAAAATAAAGGCTTTGTAGACTCAGATTGCTTCAAATTACTTAGCTAAATATGCACATTCATGTTTATGTTTGTTTACTTAGAGTTTCTTCTTCATGGATTCTTACAGCTCCCTAATATGGTATTCTAACATAATCAAGCTTCATCTCACTTACTCCAAGAAGTTTTTCTGAAATTACCCTAGACAATATTTTACTATGGTTCTCCTCGTCTCTGCCCATTACTCTTTCAGCCTACAAGTTCTTTCACATATTAGTTTGTCGGTTCACCAGAGTTTTGCCTTCGGTCTTCTCATTCTACAATAGACAATATATTTTGCTTCAGCAAAGGACAGCTAGCCTCCAGCCATGAGCTCTGCCTGGTTGTCCTATAGAGCTTCATGATTAACATGTCTAATACTGTGCTCATTACGTCCTCCCTCCCCAAGCCTACTCTAAGTTCCATATTCTCACACTTGGTTAATGATGTTACCATCAAGTAATATGTTCCTCTTCTTCCCACCTCTTACAGTGAGCCTCGAAGTCTTAACTGAATTAGTTGCAGACAAAGCATTTACTTCCATTCTCAATGCCATGATGTAGTTTAGCCCTCATTGTCTATTGTTTATACTATTAAAAAAGGTTCCTCATTGATTCCCCTGATGCCAGCTCATTCTTCCTTTATTCCATACTCCATATCACTACCTGAGATACATACAAAACAAACACAGCTCTGTTATTCCTTCGTTGCAAATCTGCATTGGTTATCTCTTGCCTATAGGGATTAAACAGTAAAATTCTTTGTGGGGAAGAACTTGTTAGTTTGGAAATACTATTAGTCATGTGGTTCCTAACTATCTTTCAGCTTCATATCCTCACTGTCCCCACCTTGGTTCCCAGTTTTCCAGTCAATATTTCAACATTTTCCTAACATAAGCTTTTTGTTAAAAAATTTGCTGCTTTCCCTGCCTGGAGTGATTTTTCTTTTCTTCCTTCATCCAGCATCCTTAGCTCCAAACATTTTATATTTTGCTTATTTTTAAAAAGCAAAATGTATTTATTGAGACTACTTGAAGTTTTTAAAAAAATTATTGTGCAGTCTTTTGGGTAGAAGGTTTTAAAATCTTATCAGCTTATTCCCAGAGTCAAAAGTGTGGGTTTACAATTTCAGAGCCGATAAAATCACTCACACATGGAATGTTAAAGAAGGCAGAGTGATTTTTTTTTCCCAGTAATTTCTCTGAAAAAAATGTCATCTTCATCCAATGCACAGAGGAAACACAAATAACTTCACTAAAATTTTTTTAATTCCTGATGACATGGCTGGTACCTAACTGAAATACAAGAGACTATGACTGAGAAGAAAATATTACTACCATGACTGAGACAATTAATCAATGCTATCTATGACTCAGAATAAATTAAAATGAAGATTAGGCGCTAAATAATCTGAATCTGCTACGTAAAATGTTGATGATTGTGGAATAAATTTTACTTTTTATTATGGGAATTTCCAAACATAGAATTAGCACAGGGAGAACAGTGTTAATGAATTTCCATTCACCCATACACCAAGTTCAAGATTTAGTCACTTTTTATTCATCATATGTCATCTATCTTCCACAATGTTGTTTTCTAGAGCATTTTATGGCAAGTCCCAGTCATCATATCATTTTATTTGTGAATACTTCAGTTTGTAACTCTGACATAAAGGATATAAGTTAAATAACAATACTGTTATTGTGCCTAACAAAAATAACAATTATATATATATATATGTATATATATATATATATAACGATAATTCTGTAACTCCCAGTATTATTAACAATATTATATCTTTGGGCATGCCATTACTATTACTCAGTATTAACAATAATTTCTTACTATCCATCCAATTTGTTTTCAAATTTCTTTGATTATACCATGAATGTCTTTTTGCAGTTGTTTTATTCAAATGATGACTATCATTTGGTTGATTTCCTTCTTAAGTATCTTTTAATCTGTAGCAATCTTCCCAGCATGCTTTTTATTCATATCATTCATTTGTAAGAAATCAGGCCAGTTATCCCATAAAATTCCTCACATTCTGAAAAATCCCTCCTTACCCTTTAGGATCTAGCCTGTATATACTCTGGGATGCTGTAACTGAGTCACAAAGACAAATGTTCCCTCTTCTGTGTTCTGGCAGCACTTACTTCATATAATTATCAGATTATTTTGTAGCTGCTTACATGTTTTTTCCTTTCCAATAGATTAGAAGAACCTTGGATAAAGAAATTCTATCTTATTAATCTTTGATATTCCAGGGCTTAATGTAGTGCTTGACACATAATTGGTGCTTCAAAAGAATTTGCTATGTGAACAAATAAATGAACAAACAAGACACAAGGTAGATCACACTGGGAAAAAAAAGTTGGCATAGAAATATGATTACTAGGAAAGGAGATAAAATAAAATTTAATTAATGCTTTCCATGCATCATGTACAGGGCCAAATGACTTTATATGGCATATCATTTGTTTTTCCTCAGAACTGCCTAGTTCTTGAATGAAAAATGATAAAAGCAATTTGATATTTGTATAACTATATAACCTTAGTTTTGAAACTTTTTCTTTTGAAATAATTACGATCTCACAGAAAGTTGCAAACATAGTACATTGAATCCTGGGAACACTTCATTTGGCTTTCCCCTCTGCAACATCATATATAACTGTTGTAAATATCAAACAAGGAATTGATATTGGTACAATACTATTAATTATTATGGAGCACATGCAGTTTTCTCCAGCTTTTACATTAACTAATTGTGTTTGTGTGTGTATGTATATCCAGGCAATTTGATAAAGCTCTATCATAAAGTCACACAGATAAAATGATATTAGTGCTAGTTCAGGTTTTGTTTCAAGCAGTACCGTTCACATTCTAATATACTTCTTTTACTTCAAATATACAGCAATAAAATATTAAAAGAGGCCATGCAGAAAGGCACTGATGGGTTTAAAAGATGAGTTATATATGCAATCAAAAACAGGAAAGAAACACAAAAACGATAAATGAAAATGAAGCCTCAGACCTGCTGGACCCTGGTCTGTGAGCCAGCAGTGGCTGTGAAAGTTTTAATCTTTAGAGAGAAATGTGGATAGTGCTTTCACAAAAAATACTAAGGACAGGCTCAATGAAGCCTGGAACTGAGGTAGAGGCACTTTTCTTATGTGGAAAAGGGGAGAATGGCTCTGTTTTTGCTTCCTGAAATTGTGACTTCACAAGATGCTCTCAGAGGTTCTGGGGGGATAGAACAAGCATTCATCCCCATAGAACTGAACCAAGATGCCTGTTGGCTCGGTGATTGGTTTGTGATAGCCACAATATCAGAGGCAGAGAGCTCTGAAAAATCACTGTAAGACCTGGTTCTCAACTGAAAGCCTAGAGTCAGTGAAGGTGGGTGGATACTGGAAGCTGCCAAGAATGCCAGACCAGAAGAAGGTGAATCTGGGAGGAAAAAGAGGGAAAAACTAAAACTTCCCACTCGAAACAAATTTAACAGCTAAAATTTGAAAATATATGGAAAGTTCACAATATGAAGCTCTCTTAGTAAGAAAGTCAACAAAATCAACAACTGGAACACACATTTATTTCAAGTTTTAAAAAATGATGGTTGTGACAAGAACTTTAAACTGTGCACATTTAATTGGTCATCAAGATGGCTGACTAGAGGCATGCAGCACTCACCTCCTCCACAAAAAAAGATCAAAACAACAAATAGATAACCACACATCAAATAGTATGTCTAAGGGAGAACACTGGAATTCAGCAAATAAGTGACAAAGACCCTCTGAGGCACAGAAACTCAGCACAGAGAGGGAAGCAAAGCACCTGGCTGGGAGAATGGCTTGGAGCCAAAAGAGGCTCCCCATTGTGAGGAGAAGGTAATCAGGAGATCCCCAGAAGTCTATATTCCTACCATGGATGCCTGCAACCCTACCTACAGAAAAGCCCCACAACTCTTGCAGGTCCTGAGCCCAGACTAGGGAGCTGCCTGGAATCCATGTGTCTACATCTTTCCAGGGAGAAAATTCTGTGGGATTTCTGACACAGTTGCTACAGCATGGTGCCATTTTGAGAGTGGAGCCACCACCAGAATGCATCCTGCCGTGGGGCTCATTAGTCCCTGCATCTCCACATAATTGAAGTCCTGCTGACACTCCCCCATATCCACTCTGAGGGCTGAAGTGTCTTGATACCAGCTGAACTCAATTGTACAGCGCTGACCCCAGCACCAAGCCCACATAGCACTCTACACCCTGATCGCACAAGTGATCCAGCATAGTGGGGAGGCTTCCCCCAGAGCAGAAGGAGCTAATGTATGTACTCCCCAGAACCAAGAGCTGCCATGGCCAAACTGCCTCCAGAGGTAGAACTGCCAATGTATATACCTCCCAGTAGCCTGAGAACCAACCCTCCTGGGGACAACTGTTGCCACAGTGAGCCTACCTTCTCCCAAGGCAGAGTTGCTGCATGCTTATGCACTCCCCAAGAACCCAAGAACCAGCACAACTTAGCAAAGCCATACCACAGCCTTCACAAACAATCACAGCCTAGGCCATGGAGACAATTGTATACACCACTGACATTTATTACAGCTGAACAAATCATACAAAGACTACACTACTGCACCTACCCAGAACCAATGCCAAAGCACCATACCCAATCAACTCCATAGGACACATCTACAGGAAAAAGTATTTCCTGAGAAAGTTACTCCATAAAGTTGGAAGAAGTGACTGTTCCACCAGATGCACAAACGTCAATGTAGGGACATAGGAAATATTAAAAAGCAAGGAAACATGACACTCTCAAAGGAACACAATAACTCTTCAGTAATAGAAAAGGAAATCTATGAAATTCCTGAAAAGGAATTCAAAATGACAATCTTAAGGACATTCAGTGAGAAACAAGGGAGTACAGATAGATAATTCAACAAAATCTTGAAAACTATGATCTCAATGAAAAATTCAACAAAGAGATAGATATAAAACAGAATCAAACAGAAATATTGAAATATTGGAACAGCAGATTCAATGAGTGGAATAAGAATGCAATTGAAAACTTCCACAATAGACTAGATCAAGCAGGATAAAGAATTTATGAATTTATCCATTCAGTATGATATTGGCTGTGGGTTTGTCATAGATAGCTCTTATTATTTTGAGATAGGTCCCATCAATACCTAATTTATTGAGAGTTTTTAGCATGAAGGTTTTTGAATGTTGTCAAAGGCCTTTTCTGCATCTATTGAGATAATCATGTGGTTTTTGTCTTTGGTTCTGTTTATATGCTGGATTACATTTATTGATTTGTGTATATTGAACCAGACTTGCATCCCAGGGATGAAGCCCACTTGATCATGGTGGATAAGCTTTTTAATGTGCTGCTGGATTCAGTTTGCCAGTATTTTATTGAGGATTTTTGCATCAATGTTCATCAAGGATATTGGTCTAAAATTCTCTTTTTTGGTTGTGTCTCTGCCAGGCTTTGGTGTCAGGATGATGCTGGCCTCATAAAATGAGTTAGGGAGGATTCCCTCTTTTCCTATTGATTGGAATAGTTTCAGAAGGAATGGTACCAGTTCCTCCTTGTACCTCTGGTAGAATTCGGCTGTGAATCCATCTGGTCCTGGACTCTTTTTGGTTGGTAAGCTATTGATTATTGCCTAAATTTCAGAGCCTGTTATTGGTCTATTCAGAGATTCAACTTCTTCCTGGTTTAGTCTTGGGAGGGTGTATGTGTCAAGGAATTTATCCATTTCTTCTAGATTTTCTAGTTTATTTGTGTAGAGGTATTTATAGTATTCTCTGATGGGTAGTTTGTATTTCTGTGGGATCGGTGGTGATATCCCCTTTATCATTTTTTATTGCATCTATTTGATTCTTCTCTATTAGTCTTGCTAGCAGTCTATCAATTTTGTTGATCCTTTCAAAAAACCAGCTCCTGGATTCATTAATTTTTTGAAGGGTTTTTGTGTCTCTATTTCCTTCTGTTCTGCTCTGATTTTAGTTATTTCTTGTCTTCTGCGAGCTTTTGAATGTGTTTGCTCTTGCTTTTCTAGTTCTTTTAATTGTGATGTTAGGGTGTCAATTTTGGATCTTTCCCGCTTTCTCTTGTGGGCATTTAGTGCTATAAATTTCCCTCTACACACTGCTTTGAATGTGTCCCAGAGATTCTGGTATGTTGTGTCTTTGTTCTCGTTGGTTTCAAAGAACGTCTTTATTTCTGCCTTCATTTCTTTATGTACCCAGTAGTCATTCAGGAGCAGGTTGTTCAGTTTCCATGTATTTGAGTGGTTTTGAGTGAGTTTCTTAATCCTGAGTTCTAGTTTGATTGCACTGTGGTCTGAGAGACAGTTTGTTATCATTTCTGTTCTTTTACATTTGCTGAGGAGAGCTTTACTTCCAACTATGTGGTCGATTTTGGAATAGGTGTGGCATGGTGCTGAAAAAAATGTATATTCTGTTGATTTGGGGTGGAGAGTTCTGTAGATATCTATTAGGTCTGAAATAACCAAATTGTTAATGTTTAAAAAGAAATAGAACATTAAAAGAATGAAAAAAAAAGCCTATGAGACATACAGAACATAATTAAGTGAAAGAATGTTTGCCTTATGAAAATTCCAGAAGAAGAAGGTGGGGAAAGGCATTAAAAACCCATATAGCAAGATAATAGCAGAAAACTCCCCAAGTCTTGGGAGAGGTATGAAGATCCAGATATAGGAAGCTAAAAGATTCTTACGTAAATTCAATCCAAAGAAGTTCTCTCAGAATCACAATATAGTCAAACTATCAAAAGTCAAAGACAGAGAAAAAATCTGAAAACAGCAAGAGAAAAACATCAAGTCACATGTAAGGGAATCCTTATTAGACTAACAACAGATTTCTCAGCAGAAACCTTACAGACCTGGACAGAATGAGATGATATATTCATAGCACTAAAAGAAAAACCTGTCAGTCAAGAATATTATATACAGCAAGGCTATTTTTAAGAAATAAAGCCTTTTTCAGACAAGTAAAGACTGAGGGAACTCATCACCACTAGACTGGCCCTGCAATAAATGCTTAAGGGAGTCCTACATCAGGAAGCAAAAATACATTGTCTACTCTCATGAAAACGTGCCCAGTTATGAAGTTTACTGGTAGAGAAAATACATGAGGTAAGAAAAAGGAATAAAATGTTATCACTATGAAAAGCACCAAATCACAAACACAAACAAGAGTGGAAGAAAGGAACAAAGAGTATATAAAACAACCAAAAAACTACCAACAAAGTAATAGAAGGAAGTCCTCATCTATTAAAAACAACTGTGGATGTAAATGGATTAAATTCCCCAATGAAAATATACAGACTGGCCAAATGGATTAATAAAAAAAAAAAAAAGGAAGACTCAACTGTATGCTGCCTACAAGAAGCTCACTGACCAATGAAGAAACACACAGACGTAAAGTGAAAGCAGTCTACAGATACAATGTAATAGCATCACCAAAATACCAATGACTTTTTCACAGAGATAAAAAAAAATCCTAAAATTTGTATGGAATAACAAAAGATTCTGAACAGCTAAAACAATCCTGAGTGCCAGGACAATGTTGCAGGCGTTATATTAACAGAGTTCAAAATATACTACAAAGCTATAATAACCAAAGTCACATGATACTGGTATAAAAACACATAGACCAATAGAAAGGAATAGGGAACCCAGAAATAAATAAATCCTTGTATTTACATCCAACTGATTTTCAAAAAAGGAGCCAAGAACATTTAATGGGAAAGGACACACCCTTTTTAATAAATGGTGCCAGGAAAATTGGATATCACTGTGGAGAAGAATGAGGCCTTAGGCCTTCAATTAATAAACAAAACACTTAGTAAAGGTACTACTTCAGCAACAAGAAAAATGAACCTAGAGGAAAGTACCTGTTACAAGAAAAGATAACAAACACAGAAACTGATAAGATGTGTCAATAATTTTAATGAACTATTGATTTTATTAAAAAGATTAACCAAAATTAGTGTGTGTGTTTAAAGCAGGTAGAACAAAAACTCTAAGAAACAATAACATGAGGCAGTTAAAGTGTGACATCATCTTATCATTCAGGGAGGAAAATAGCATTGAATAAATTTAGTCTTCATTAAGAAATGTATATTTCTCTAGAAATCTAAAAATTGAGTGTAGTAAAAAGCATACCAATTGGAAAGGAAGAAATAAAATCATTTCTATTTGCAGATGACATAATTGTCTATATGAAAAAATTCTAAGAATTAAAAAAAAACTCTCCTAGAACTAATAAGTGAGTGAAGCAAGGTTACAGAATAATATGCACAGAATCATATACAGAATCTTTATGCTGTAAATTATAAAATGTCAATGAAAGAAAGAAAAGTTCTAAATTAGTAAAGAGACATCATGTTCATACATACATGCCATTGGAAGACTCAAGAAAGTAAAGATATCATTTTCCCCCAAACTGATCTGTAGATTTGATGCAATTTTTAACAAGATCCCATCAGGGATTTTGTTGACATAAATAAGCTTCTTCTAAAATATATATGAAAATGCACAGCCCCTAAAATATGTAAAACAATTCCAAAAAAATAAAGTGGAAAGAATTATTCAACCCAATATTAAGATTTACTGTATAGTTGTAGTTATGAGAGTGTGGTACTGATGAAGAGATTGATACTTAGAAGAGTGGAACAAAAAGGGGAATCCAGAAATAGATTCACACAACTATACCCAATTGATTATTGACAAAGGTGCACAAGCAATTCAATGTAGAAAAATAGTTCTTTCACAAATTGTGTGGGAACTATTAGATATCCATGGGCAAAAATAAAGCTTGACCTAAATTTTCTTATTCAAAAATTTGCTCGACATGAATCATGGACTTAAATGTAAAATGTAAAACTATAAAAGCTTTAGGGAAAAAAAAACACAGGAGAAAGTATTTGGTGTCTATAGCTAGGCAAAGACTTCTTAGACTTGACATGCAATGCATGATCCATGGAAGGAAAAATGCTTTGGGAAAGACCCTATTAAGAGGATGAAGAGAGAAGCAACAGACTTTGAGAAAATATTTACAAACCACATATTCAGCAAATAAGTTGTATCTAGAAAATATAAAGAACTGTCAAAATTCAACAGTAAGAAAAGCAAAAAAATCTAAATATAAAATTGGCAAAAGACACAAATAGACATTTTACCAAAGAGGATACACCGATGGCAGATAAGCACAAAAAACATATTCTCCATTGTTAGCCATCAGAAAATGCAAATTAAAACCACAATGATATATTACTATGTACTTATGAGAATGGTTAAAATAAAGAAATAATGACAATAATGAAAAATGCTGGCAAAGATGCAGAGAAACTAGATCACCCATATATTGCTGGTGGGAATGTACAATGGTGCAACTACTCTGGAAAACAGTCTAGCAAGTTATTTTAAAACTAAATATGCAAATACCATAGTATCCAGAAATTACACTTTTAAGCATTTATCACAGAGAAATGAAAACTTTTTTTCACATAAAAACCTTTACATAAATGTTCATAACAGCTTTATTTGTAATGGCCCAAAACTGTAAACAACATAGATGTCCTTTCACAGGCAATTGTTTAAATAAGCTATGGTACACCCATATCAAGGAATACTACCAGTACAGTAATAAAAATGAATGATTGATATATGCTGCAAGACAAAAGCCAATCATAAATGTTTACATACTGTATGAGTCCATTTGTAAAAAATTCTTGAGATGACAACATATAACAACAGAGAACAGAGTAGGGATTGTCAGAGATCAAGGGTGGGGTTGGGAAGGAAAGGAGGAAGGGGATATAGTTATAAAAGAGCAACAGAAGGAATCCCTGTGCTGATGAAATTGTTCAGTATGTTAGCTGCAATAACGTCAATATCCTGGTTGTAATATTGTACTATAGTTCGGCAAGATATAGTTATTACTGGGGAAAACAAGGTAAAAGTACACAAGCTCTTCCTTTATAATTTCCTACAGCTGTACATGAATCCAATTATATTTTTAAAGTTTAATTTAAAGATTAGGAAGAAATTAAAAGTAATCTTTAATAGAAGAAAATATAGGTACATTTTTCAAGTGAGTGGCAAATACATACCTACATGCAGGCATACAAACATTAAGACCAGGAAGATTTAAATCAATATCAGTTTAACAGAAGTCAGGAAAAGGGAAAAAAGAAAGCAAAAAAAAAAAAAAAAACTTTCTACCTACATACTTACAATCATGCATACATAATATGGTAAATAAAACATAAAAAGATTGAGGTTTCTCCAATAAATGGAAACATATTCAGCTCACCTATTAAAAGAGATATCTAGTTTGACTTTTACATTTTACAAATGAAAAAACTGAAGCCCATGGAGTCTAAGTGACTTGTGGTTGTCCTTAAAGCGAATCAGATCAAGGGTCCAGGCTGAAACCCAGACCTTCTCATTCCCATGCTTGCACACCATAAATAAAACACTTTTTTACCTGAGAAATGACCTACTCCTCCAAATACATCCCCTTAGACTTGCTGGCATGCTTTGTGATATCCTCAAATCATAAAAGAAGTGGAATGTGCCTGAAAACTGAATTACATTTTTCTCCAGAGTAAAGGCTTTTCTGTATTACAAAAGTCATTTATTTTTAATTTTGCCATTTTTCAATTTCTCAACGTGCAGCTAAGGAAACTACCCAGAATCTAAAACTCATGAATATGATTATGCAAGCAAGCAGCTGAGTTCCTGTCTCTCAGGCTTTGAAGAAGAGCGGCTTGCTCAGTCCTCAGGGGCATGTTGGGGCTTCAAGGTCTGACTTCCACCTTGGACCCTGTGAGGAAGATTTCCTCATAAACCATGCGATTCTTAAATGAGAGTGACCAGTGCCTCTGATCTTAATTACAATTATTCTATCTCCTTTCACTGTCATAAAAATAAGTGAGGGGATTAAAATACATAATATTGACTCTAGAGGCAACTCTACTGGATTCAGAATTAGAAGACCTAGGTTACCTCAGGCAAATGCCGTTTCTCAGCTGTGTGATCAAAAGTAAATTACTTGACCACCACGGGCTTCAGTTTCCTCATCTGTAAAGTGTAGAGATATTAAAACAGTTTCCTAAGATTGTGAGAATAAATGGGATAAATTTATGAAAATCCCTGGCTTTCAATATGCATTCAATATATGTACATTTTAATGGAATTTGAATTATTTTGATAAGATAAATGCAGTAGTAGTGTAACCACTTAAGAACCTATACAATTGTTTTCCTATGAAACTGTGAGTCAAGTATTTTCTTCATACACACATGCTTTTGGGAATTGTTGAGGGAAGTCAGGGACCCCAAAAAGAGGGACTGGCTGAAGCCATGGCAGAGGAACATAAATTGTGAAGATTTCATGGACATTTATTAGTTCCCCAAATTAGTACTTTTATAATTTCTTATGCCTGTCTTTACTACAATCTCTAAACATAAATTGTGAAGATTATCACTTCCCCAATCAATACTCTTGTGATTTCCTATGCCTGTCTTTACTTTAATCTCTTAATCCTGTCATCTTCATAAGCTGAGGATGTATGTGGCCTCAGGACCCTGTGATGATTGCTTAACTGCACAAATTGTTTGTAAAGCATGTGTGTTTAAACAATATGAAATCTGGGCACCTTGAAAAAGGAACAGGATAACAGCGATGTTCAGGGAACAAGGGAGATAACCATTAGGTCTGACTACCTGAGAGCTGGGCGGAACGGAGCCATATGTCTCTTCTTACAAAAGCGAATAGGAGAAATATCACTGAATTCTTTTTCTCACCAAGGAACAGCCCTGAGAAAGAGAATGCATTCCCAGGGGTAGGTCTCTAAAATGGCCACTCTGGGACTGTCCGTCTTATACAGTTGCAGATAAGGGATGAAATAAGCCCTGGTCTCCCGTAGCGCTCCCAGGCCTATTAGGATGAGGAAATTCCTGCCTAGTAAATTTTAGTCAGACCAGTTGTCTGCTCTCAAACCGTGTCTCCTGATAAGATGTTATCAATGACAATGCATGCCCAGTGGGACATGAAACTTCATTAGCAATTTTAATTTCACCCTGGTCTTGTGATCTCGGTCTGCCCCCATTTGCCTTGTGATATTTTTTATTGCCTTGTGAAGCATGTGATCTCTGTGACCCACACTCTATTCATACACTCCCTCCCCTTTGAAAATCACTAATAAAAACTTGCTGGTTTTGTGGCTTGGGGGGCATCATGGAACCTGCTGACATGTGATGTCTCCCCCAGACACTCAGCTTTAAAATTTCTCTCTTTGGTACTCTTTCCCCTTATTTCTCAGACCGGTCGACACTTAGGGAAAATAGAAAAGAACCTACGTTGAAATATCAGGGGCTGGTTTCCCCTGATAGGGAATGCTTACCAACCTAATGCAATTGATAACATCAGACAGCAACAATAGACACCAGATGATGATGCACTGAAGAAAATAGTGTTACACTAGAATAACTATTGAGTTGAACTACTATTATAAAATGAGACTGAAATAAAGACATTCGGAGTAACAAAAAGCTACTAAAGAGTTCACAAGTTTTTGGTGAAACAACTACTAAAGCATGTTCTTCAGGAATAGGAAAATAGAACCCAAAGTAGTATGTTAGAATAGTGACCAAAGACATTGACAAGCACGTGGACACATCAAAGTAATCAGCTGCTATAAAAATATTTTTTAAGTTGTGCCCCTAATAAATAAGGGAGACCTAAAAACTAGACAAAATTAACATGAAAAATTGGTGAGGGATGATTGCTATAAAGACTTTATTGTGTTCAAAAAGAAGATAAAATTTTAAATTAGTTTAACTTTTTAAAATCAAGTATATGTCTTTTTTAAAATTTGAAAATAATTTTCTTTTTTTATTAATAACTATTCCAGTATTCATTCTAAAACATATAGCCTATTTTTAACATAATCACAATCTCATTTTTATACCTTAAACAATAAATCATTTTTATAAAATTGATAAAATTGTATGTATTTATCATATAGAGCATGAGTTTTCAAATATATATATATATATGTATGTATTTTATATATATATATCTTCCTGGCCACCATGGTGAAACCCCATCACTACCAAAAATACAAAAATTAGCTGAGTGTGGTGGCATGCACCTGTAGTCCCAGCTACTTGGGAGGCTGAGGCAGGAGAATTGCTTGAACCCGGGAAGTGGAGGTTGCAGTGAGCCGAGATCGAGCCACTGCACTCCAGCCTGGTGACAGAGTGAGACATTGTCTCAAAAAAAAAAAAAAACCAGAAAAGAATAACTATTGAAAGATGAGAAATAGATATATAATCTTTAACTAGCAGAAAGAATATGAAGACAGTAGAGAAGAAAGTTGATCAGTCCCACAAAAAGTAGGAAACAAGAAAACTGATAATGAGTGAAAAATATAGTAAATAGACACACAAAAATTTAAAAAATCTGTAATCTACATGTAATTCCATATACATTAATAAGATAAGCACATGAGGAGAAGGACACACCCCAACTTGAGGGGTAATGGAGAAAACAAGATGCAAGGCTGCTTTAATGGTATCAGTCAAGTTTATTAAAACATACCTGAAACAAAAATGGCAAATGTTAACATTTATTCAATTTGGATACAAGGGTATATGTTGTATTTTCTATTCGCTTGAAATACATTATAACAAATATCCATAAATTCTAAATCTTCACAAATGCATATGTGCACAAATTAACAAAAAGAAAATCTATCCTTTGAAGTAAAAGATTTAACAAACTAAATACGTGATGTACAAAGTAGTGAAAGAATAATATATGTTTTAGGAAATATTCTAGTTATGATTTTGGGCAGGGTCATCAGTGGACCATGTTGTTCATCACTACGTTTCATCACGCACTATCCTCTGTGCCCTGCAGAGGACAGGAATTAGTCCCCTGCTTGGTCTCATGTAGACAAGTGGAAATAAACAAGACATCTCTCTGGTGATATTGTTTTTATTTTATTTTATTTTTTTATATTATTTTATTTTTTATTATTATTATACTTTAACTTTTAGGGTACATGTGCACAAAGTGAAGGTTAGTTACATATGTATACATGTGCCATGCTGGTGTGCTGCACCCATTAACTCATCATTTAGCATTAGGTATATCTCCTAATGCTATCCCTCCCCACTCCCGCGACCCCACAACAGTACCCAGAGTGTGATGTTCTCATTCCAGTGTCCATGTGTTCTCATTGTTCAATTCCCACCTATGAGTGAGAACATGCGGTGTTTGGTTTTTTGTCCTTCTGATAGTTTACTGAGAATGATGATATCCAATTTCATCCATGTCCCTACAAAGGACATGAACTCATCATTTTTTATGGCTACATAGTATTCCATGGTGTATATGTGCCACATTTTCTTAATCCAGTCTATGATTGTTGCACATTTGGGTTGGTTCAAAGTCCTTGCTATTGTGAATAGTGCCACAATAAACATACGTATGCATGTGTCTTTATAGCAGCATGGATTATAGTCCTTTCGGTATATACCCAGTAATGGGATGGCTGGGTCAAATGGTATTTCTAGTTCTAGATCCCTGAGGAATCGCCACACTGACTTCCACAATGGTTGAACTAGTTTACAGTCCCACCAACAGTGTAAAAGTGTTCCTATTTCTCCACATCTTCTCCAGCACCTGTTGTTTCCTAACTTTTTAATGATTGCCATTCTAACTGGTGTGAGATGATATCTCATTGTGGTTTTGATTTGCATTTCTCTGATGGCCAGTGATGGTGAGCATTTTTTCATGTGTTTTTTTGGCTGCATAAACGACTTCTTTTTAGAAGTGTCTGTTCATGTCCTTCACCCACTTTTCGATGGGGTTGTTTGTTTTTTCCTTGTAAATTTGTTTGAGTTCATTGTAGATTCTGGATATTAGCCCTTTGTCAGATGAGTAGGTTGCAAAAATTTTCTCCCATTTTGTAGGTTGCCTGTATACTCTGATGGTAGTTTCTTTTGCTGTGCAGAAGCTCTTTAGTTTAATTAGATCCCATTTGTCCATTTTGGCTTTTGTTGCCATTGCTTTTGGTGTTTTAGACATGAAGTCCTTGCCCAGGCCTATGTCCTGAATGGTAATGCCTAGGTTTTCTTCTAGGGATTTTATGGTTTTAGGTCTAACATGTAAGTCTTTAATCCATCGTGAATTAATTTTTGTATAAGGTGTAAGGAAGGGATCCAGTTTCAGCTTTCTACATATGGCTAGCCAGTTTTCCCAGCACCATTTATTAAATAGGGAATCCTTTCCCCATTTCTTGTTTTTCTCAGGTTTGTCAAAGATCAGATAGTTGTAGATATGTGGCATTATTTCCAAGGGCTCTATTCTGTTCCATTGATCTATATCTCTGTTTTGGTACCAGTACCATGCTGTTTTGGTTACTGTAGCCTTGTAGTATAGTTTGAAGTCAGGTAGTGTGATGCCTCCAGCTTTGTTCTTTTGGCTTAGGATTGACTTGGCAATGCGGGCTCTTTTTTGGTTCCATATGAACTTTAAAGTAGTTTTTTCCAATTCTGTGAAGAAAGGCATTGGTAGCTTGATGGGGATGGCATTGAATCTCTAAATTACCTTGGGCAGTATGGCCATTTTCACGATATTGATTCTTCCTACCCATGAGCATGGAATGTTCTTCCATTTGTTTGTATCCTCTTTTATTTCATTGAGCAGTGGTTTGTAGTTCTCCTTGAAGAGGTCCTTCACGTCCCTTGTAGGTTGGATTCCTAGGTATTTTATTCTCTTTGAAGCAATTGTGAATGGGAGTTCACTCATGATTTGGCTCTATGTTTGTCTGTTATTGGTGTATAAGAATGATTGTGATTTTTGTACATTTATTTTGTATCCTGAGACTTTGCTGAAGCTGCTTATCAGTTTAAGGAGATTTTGGGCTGAGACAATGGGGTTTTCTGGATATACAATCATGTCCTCTGCAAACAGGGACAATTTGACTTCCTCTTTTCCTAATTGAATACCCTTTATTTCCTTCTCCTGCCTAATTGCCCTGGCCAGAACTTCCAACACTATGTTGAATAGGTGTGGTGAGAGAGGGCATCCCTGTCTTTTGCCAGTTTTCAAAGGGAATGCTTCCAGTTTTTGCCCATTCAGTATGATATTGGCTGTGGGTTTGTCATAGATAGCTCTTATTATTTTGAGGTACATCCCATCAATACCTAATTTATTGAGAGTTTTTAGCATGAAGCATTGTTGAATTTTGTCAAAGGCCTTTTCTGCATCTATTGAGATAATCGTGTGGTTTTTGTCTTTGGTTCTGTTTATATGCTGGATTACATTTATTGATTTGCGTATATTGAACCAGCCTTGCATCCTAGGGATGAAGTCCACTTGATCGTGGTGGATAAACTTTTTGATGTGCTGCTGGATTTGGTTTGCCAGTATTTTATTGAGGATTTTTGCATCAATGTTCATCAAGGATATTGGTCTAAAATTCTCTTTTTTGGTTGTGTCTCTGCCAGGCTTTGGTATTCTCTTTTTTGGTTGTGTCTCTGCCTGGCTTTGGTATCAGGATGATGCTGGCCTCATAAAATGAGTTAGGGAGGATTCCCTCTTTTCCTATTGATTGGAATAGTTTCAGACAGAATGGTACCAGTTCCTCCTTGTACCTCTGGTAGAATTCTGCTGTGAATCCATCTGGTCCTGGACTCTTTTTGGTTGGTAAGCTATTGATTATTGCCACAATTTCAGAGCCTGTTATTGGTCTATTCAGAGATTCAACTTCTTCCTGGTTAATCTTGGGAGGGTGTATGTGTCAAGGAATTTATCCATTTCTGCTAGATTTTCTAGTTTATTTGTGTAGAGGTGTTTGTAGTATTCTCTCATGGTAGTTTGTATTTCTGTGGGATCAGTGGTGATATCCCCTTTATCATTTTTTATTGCGTCTATTTGATTCTTCTTTCTTTTCTTCTTTATTAGTCTTGCTAGCAGTCTATCAATTTTGTTGATCCTTTCAAAAAACCAGCTCCTGGATTCATTAATTTTTTAAAGGGTTTTTGTGTTGCTATTTCCTTCAGTTCTGCTCTGATTTTAGTTATTTCTTGCCTTCTGCTAGCTTTTGAATGTGTTTGCTCTTGCTTTTCTAGTTCTTTTAATTCTGATGTTAGGGTGTCAATTTTGGATCTTTCCTGCTTTCTCTTGCAGGCATTTAGTGCTATAAATTTCCCTCTACACACTGCTTTGAATGTGTCCCAGAGATTCTGGTATGTTGTGTCTTTGTTCTCGTTGGTTTCAAAGAACATCTTTATTTCTGCCTTCATTTCTTTATGTACCCAGTAGTCATTCAGGAGCAGGTTTTTCAGTTTCCATGTAGTTGAGCGGTTTTGAGTGAGTTTCTGAATCCTGAGTTCTAGTTTGATTGCACTGTGGTCTGAGAGACAGTTTGTTATAATATCTGTTTTTTTACATTTGCTGAGGAGAGCTTTACTTCCAACTATGTGGTCAATTTTGGAATAGGTGTGGTGTGGTGCTGAAAAAAATGTATATTCTGTTGATTTGGGGTGGAGAGTTCTGTAGATGTCTATTAGGTCCCCTTGGTGCAGAGCTGGGTTCAATTCCTGGGTATCCTTGCTAACTTTCTGTCTCATTGATCTGTCTAATGTTGACAGTGGGGTGTTAAAGTCTCCCATTATTATTGTGTGGGAGTCTAAGTCTCTTTGTAGGTCACTCAGGACTTGCTTTATGAATCTGGGTGCTCTCATATTGGGTGCATATATATTTAGGATAGTTAGCTCTTCTTGTTGAATTGATCCCTTTACCATTATATAATGGCCTTCTTTGTCTCTTTTGATCTTGTTGGTTTAAAGTCTGTTTTATCAGAGACTAGGATTGCAACCCCTGCCTTTTTTTGTTTTCCATTTACTTGGTAGATCTTCCTCCATACTTTTATTTTGAGCCTATGTGTGTCTCTGCACGTGAGATGGGTTTCCTGAATACAGCACACTGATGGGTCTTGACTCTTTATCCAGTTTGCCAGTGTGTGTCTTTTAAATGGAGCATTAAGTCCATTTACATTTAAAGTTAATATTGTTATGTGTGAATTTGATCCTGTCATTATGATGTTAGCTGGTTATTTTGCTCATTAATTGATGCAATTTCTTCCTAGCCTCGATGGTCTTTACAATTTGGCATGATTTTGCAGTGGCTGGTACCGGTTGTTCCTTTCCATGTTTAGTGCTTCTTTCAGGAGCTCTTTTAGGGCAGGCCTGGTGGTGACAAAATCTCTCCACATTTGCTTGTCTGTAAAGTATTTTATTTCTCCTTCACTTATGAAGCTTAGTTTGGCTGGATATGAAATTCTGGGTTGAAAATTCTATAAGAATGTTGAATATTGGCCCCCACTCTCTTCTGGCTTGTAGAGTTTCTGCCAAGAGATCCACTGTTAGTCTGACGGGCTTCCCTTTGTGGGTAACCCAACCTTTCTCTCTGGCTGCCCTTAACATTTTTTCCTTCATTTCAACTTTGGTGAATCTGACAACTACGTGTCTTGGAGTTGCTCTTCTCGAGGAGTATCTTTGTGGCGTTC